>NC_000007.14:133131779-133756779 GCF_000001405.40 Homo sapiens | reverse complement strand
TACTTTCTTGGTTGCATAATATTAGAGTAAAATAAGCCACATAAAGTCTCCCACCTGTTAGGTGGGGAATACTTTCTGAATTCTATGTCATTTCCATAAATTTTTCTTTCCTGTGCTTAGGGCAAAAGATTCTTGATCCCCAGATGGTATTGCATGAAACATTATATGTGTTTGTGCAGAGTGGCAATTTTAAATGGAGGAGGATTCAAAACTTTCACCGCATTCTCAGTGGGGTATATGACACAAAAAGGTGAAGAATTACCAACATTAGAGAGGATTATAACATTCAGAGTATCATAGAGTCACAGACTAGTTACAGCTTAACAGGACTTTTGAGATAATCTTACAGATGATCAAGCTCAACACTTTTCTACAGGTGAGATAATGAAAGATCAGAGAGGGTAAGTGAATCTGAAGGAACTCTTGTGAAAAAGTAACATTATCAAAATTAAAAGTGACAGTCTAGGCTTCCTCAGCTAAATACCCCCACCCTTTACCTTAAATTGTAACATGAGTACTTAGGGGAAAAAAAGCAGTTAAGTGTCATCAAGATAGTAATTATGGTTGATTTATTTTCTGTAATGGGTTAACATTGCTTTTATGATGAAAATGATAATTATGAAAATTATATGGAAATATGAAAAAATATGCTGTGTAAGAGAAAAGCAGAATACAAAATAGTACAAGTGGTTTTATAAGAATACACATGCATGAGGAAAAGAGCTGGAGGGTATGGAACTAAAAGAAGTTATGTTGGGATAGAACATGATGTTTTTTCTTCATTCAAATATTTCATTAGTATCAGACTATTTTCCCAATGATCTTACTGAGAATACAGCCACCATGCAGACTCTGGTAATATAAGCTAAGTCATGGAGGATGAAGAGGTTAACAGAGAGAAGGAAAAGCAAGCTATTTAGATCAAAGATTACACCTTGACACTAGACACGAAGAAATTAAAAACAGGAATATCTTGGAAATGGTTTAAGAGGCTCAGGGTGGTTGAGCACATAGTTCTGTGGATGAGAGGAGACATGTACTATACCTATGCGCACAGAACCTAGTGTGCTAGGCATTCAGCAGATGGAATTAGGTGTTACTGTTATTATTCTACAGACCTTTTAAAAATTATAAACGATGCCAGGCGAAGTGGCTCATGCCTGTAATCCCAGCACTTTGGGATGCTGAGGCGGGTGGATCACGAGGTCAGGATATCGAGAACATCCTGGCCAACATGGTGAAACCCCATCTGTACTAAAAATACAAAAATTAACTGAGCGTGCTGGCGTGCACCTGTAGTCCCAACTACTTGGGAGGCTGAGGCAGGAGAATCGCTTGAACCCAGGAGGCGGAGGTTGCAGTGGGCTGAGATGGCGCCACTGCACTCCAGCCTGGTGACAGGGTGAGACTCTGTCCCCCCGCCAAAAAAAAAAAAGAGATGTGTATATATATATTATATATATATAATATATATATAATATATATAATATGTATATAATATATATAATATATATAATATATATATAATATATATATTATATATATTATATATATATACACACACACACATATATAAACAAATGGTTTACTAACTGTTTCATAGTGTGAAGAATTTATATAACTTCAAGTAAGTCTTGCAGAAATAAAACTGGTAAATGAAGGATTTGTTAGCACTTATTTTCTGTTGGTCTTTAGCCTGTTTCTCAGCTTTTCATTATATTTTAAATAGACTAAGTTGATAGAGAAAGGTATGTTGGAAAAAATGTAGGGTCAACATTTCTGGCAAGATTTTTGTTTTAAGTAGGGAAAAGAACATCATCAATACGCATTCACTGACCAGCAACTATAAAACTATGTTTACAGATCTGTGGGAAAATGCAAACAATCCCTCCTCATAAAGAGCAAGGGCAAATATGTAGAGAAAAAGAAAGCATCAATTTAGTCCCTTTGAAGAGCTTTAGACCACATCTTAGAAGTAATACTTCTTAGCCCTTCTAAATTCTAAGACAGAAAGAAAATTATTATTAACTAAATATGTGATGTTTGTCTTATTTGTTAGCATTAAAGTAAAATCAAGTTGGACTTTAAAACAGTACATATGCATAGCTCATAGTACATCAGAGCATCTCATATAATCAATCAATACTGTACATTTATGATGGCTAATGATTTTATCACAGTAAAAATGTTAACAGTATATAGTAGTAGAATCTTCCCTTTAGTCCCCATCCTCTGACCATTCCTTAAATGGTTATGTTCCCTAAAGTGTCACCCAGTTCTCTTCTTATTTAACAACCTCCATAGTTCCACTACTGACATGGTTCCAGCTAGCACCCAAGTACCAACAACTCCCTTCCATAAACCTTTTACTGATAGCCCTTTGAGCTCTTGAGAGGCATTCCTAACTAACAAGCGTATTCCTTCTCAGTTTTTGTTTGGGACCTCAAATGCCACAAATTCGAACCTAAACTTAACATCTTTCTCCAGAAAGCTGCTTCTGCTCTCAGTCTCTAGCTCAGAGAAAGGCACTGCCATCGCCAGCTGCCCAGGGCAGAATTGGGGGATCACCGTGGCCTTCTCCCTCCCCTTTACCTCCAACAGGCTAAGACCTGTCAATTCTTGTGACAAAACCCCTCATCTCAGCCTTACTGAAACAATCTGATTTCAAGGACCCATCATTTCTCAACCAGGGTATTATAATAAACTACTTTCGTTGCCTTTGGTTTTGCCCCCATTCAAAACATCCTCTACGTGACTGACACATTATTGTGGGCATCAAAGATGTGAAGATTAAATGAGTTAGTATATATAAAGAATGTGAATTTTTGGCACATTAGAAGAATTATAATCACCTTCTCTTCCCTTTTTTCCACCTGCTAAAAGTTCAAATCTGATCAAATCATTTTGACTTACACTCCTTCAACATTCCACAACCCATAAAGTCTAAAGTTCTGAGTCCTCTGTAAAACAGGCCGTTAGGCTCCAGCCTCGCCCCACCCTTCCAGCCTCAAGTTCACGCCACTAAATACACTCAGCATGCTAGGTACAGTGAGAAACTTGTAGCTGTGCAAAAATGTGAGATTCTTTCCAATTCTATGCTTTCTGCAGGTTGACTCCTCAGGCAGGAATGTGCTTCCTTCCTTGTTCACCTGGAGAAATTCTTGTCAGCCTTTAACATAAATAGTATAACATTCATCGAGCTCTTCTGCACCTCCCCTGGTAGGGCGATTTAATGTCTTCAGTATATCTCTGTAGTAGTAATTATATCTTGCAGTGCCTATTAGATATTTACATAGCTGATTTCTAGAGTTTTGGGTTGTTGTTTAGATATCATCTAAGCTCAGCCCTAAATGTTTGTTAATATAGTCCCTTACTTAGACAACATTTTATCAAGTGTCTGTCATCCTTGGATGTCAATGCTAGTAACACAAAGGTGAATAAATTCTCATCCTGCCTCACTGAGACCACAGTAAGGTAGCAGATTCAGAAAATAAACAGTTACAATGAGGACTACAAAGTTGGTCTTTGGAAAGAACAGTTACCTCAGCTTCTTCCCATTCCTATTCCTAATGGATCAAGTTTTCTATATTTATACATTTAAGCTGAAAAGGCACAGAACATAATTTACACATAAAGCACATTTTTAAAAGATTGAGTTCTTTGATCTTTAAAAGAGTTGGTCAATATGACGAAGAAAAATATCAAGAATATTCCTCAGGATAAGGATAAAAAGAATGGTGTTGCAGAAGTGGAAGTGATCAAATAACAGAGAAAGGAAGACAAATGAACCAGCTTTGCCTAAGCAGGATGGCATTAGCAAAACATGGCATCAGAGGTGGGCATCTGTGTGGGATGATGTCTGACAGAGCCAGTGGAGCGGTCAAAGGTTGAGAAGAACTGGGAAACTGAGACTGGTGAAACACCTGCAAGCTTTGCTAAGGGCAGCAAAACAAGGCCTATTTTTCCTCATCCTTCGTGAAGACATTCATTAAGTTAACATTTACACGTTGAGTCAAGTTACTTGTGCCTTCTCTCCATACCCCATCAAAAAAGAAAGACTGATGGTTTCTACTTGCTGCTTCTGTTTAATGCTCCCATGGCATCCTGTACTCACTCTTTTTTGTTTTTTGTTTTTAAACAGTGATCACACTTATAACCACTTTTTTAATGTTCATTTTCCCTAATAGATGGTGGGTTTTATGAGAGCATAGACTATGTCCTTCCTGACATTCTGGTGTTGGCACAGGGCTTCACACAGGGTAAATGCTCAATGCATATCCTGAATCAATGAAAGAACAAATAAGCAAACGAGAAAACATCATCCCAGAAAGGTGGGTACCATTAGTCCCATTTTATGATGAGAATATTGTGGACTGGGAAATTAACTGATCTGACCAAATTCACAGAGACAGAAAGCAGCAAAGGCAGTTGCAAGTCCAAAAACTTAGGACTCTGCACCCATGCTTTTTTCGCTTTTTCCTCTTCATCACAGAGTCCGCCTTTTAAAACAAGTAAAATTAAATTCTTAAGTGCTGAGAAACATAAATGAGTCCTCCAGAAAAGGAATACTTACTAGAGGAAGAAATTTTAGATAATGGTCTTTTTGTTTGTTTGTTTAAGAGAAAGGGTCTCACTCTGTTGTCCAGGCTGGAGTGCAGTGGCACGATCATAGCTCACTGTACCTGCAAACTCCTGGGCTCCTGAGATCCTCCTGCCTTTTTCTCCCAAGTAGCTAGGACTATAGGCATACCACAGTGCCCAGATAATTTATTTATTTATTTATTTATTTATTTATTTGGTAGAGAGATAGTCTCACTATGTTGTGCAGGCTGGTCTCAAACTCCTGGCCTCTAGCGATTCTCCCACCTTGGCCTCCCAAAGTTCTGAAATTATAAGTATGGGTCACAACACCTGGCTAATGCTGGTCTTGAAGAAAATAAATTAGAAAATTCAGAGAATATAATAGAGTAGCCGTTCCAAGTGAAAAAAAATAGTATGTAAAAGGATAGTTTCAAGGGCTCTTGAATCAAGATAAAAAGGAAAACTAGATGTAACTGTTTCACAGTTTTAAGACAACGTAAAAACTCATGTGACAAAAAGAGCTATATATGAAGCTGTGGTTTTGACAGAAATAAAAGAACAACAAAGAACAAACACCCAAATCAAGATGCTGCTATACATGGAGATTTGCTCACTTACATCATCTACCTAACTTATGCCTTCCTGCTTCAATTCAGTCCATGAAAACCAATTAAACTTGAATGAAAAGAAAACCAAGCAGTTTCTGAAAAGATGTAACACCCCCTTACATGCTGACAAATCAACTTTGGGTGGAGGCAAAGCAGCAAGGAAATTTCAAACTATTTTGGGCTATGTGTTTTCTCAGGTCTTTCCCTGGCTAACCCTTCCCAGCCCCAAAATTTTACTAATTGGATTTGTAGATTTCAAGCAGAAGTCTTGAGCTGTAATTTGGTACATCTGCTTAGAAATGTGACTAGACTCTCAAATGATTTAATTGTAACATTTGGGAATGGTGAATACTAGTGCAATTACAAATAACTACCAGAGAATTGCTAATAAATGTCACTTTGTTGGAAAAGGAGAAAGACAAGCTCCAACTTTATGCAAGCAATTAAAGCTGCCTTTGTGACCATGAAATAAGCTGGCCTTCCAAATATTTTGATGGTCTTCCATAAAACATGAAACTCAAAAGGATTCAGGAAACCAGTTCAGAGGAAAAAGTACTTTCTTCCAAAATGGTCCTTCTCCACACTAACACACTTGTGTGGGCGTGAAATACAAACAACGTCTGTCCAAGTGGTGTGATTCTTGTATTTCAGGAAACTTTATCTTCTCCAAAAATGGGTCTTTGTAAGTTTTCCCATCAAAAAAGTTCAAGGCTGGGCACAGTGGCTCATACCTGTAAGCCCCAACACTTTGGGAGGACAAGGTAAGAAGACAGCTTGAGCCCAAGAGTTTGAGACCAGCTTGGGCAACATAGGGAGATCCCCTATCTACAGAAAATAAACTGTATTATTTGGGCATGGTGGTGTGAGCCTATGGTCCCAGCTACTTGGGAGGCTGAGGTGGGAGGGTCACTTGAACCAGGAGATTTGGGTTGCAGTGAGCCATGACTGTGCCACTGTGCTCCAGCCTGGGAGACAGAATGAGGCCCTATTTCAAAAAAAAAAAAGGTTAAAAACAAGTCCATAATCCCCTCACACAACAGTTACTCACGTTCTCTAGCAGCACACTACCTACACCATAGTTTTAAAGCTGGATTCCTCACAGCATGAAGCACCACAGGCATTCTGCTTTACATATATATTCATTACAGAAGAAAGTGAGCTACCAATGGTGCTCTGAATCTCCGATTAGGGAACACCATATAAAACCAAAAGAGTGTAAGACCTATTAAGGAAATGGAGTTCAATGGATACCCTGAAAAGTGTTTCAGGTCAATGATCCTTAAACACATCGAGATCTAAATATGCTTGAAATATCAAGCACATTTCCATCCATGATCATGACAATGGCTCACTGTTAAGGACACACAGAATCCAGAGTCTTCAGGGAAAGGAGACAATGGGAAGTGGATGTAGTGGAGAAACAGAAGCCCATGTAATCTGAGTCCTCAGATAATTCTAATATACAACCTCCCTTCTCTGCTTATGACCCAAGAAAAACACATTAGGCCTTGTACCATTCCTTCACTTCTGCTAAATTTAAAGCAATCCCATTTTGGTCTCAGTGGCTTATCTGCTTAGAGTTCATGGCACCAAAATCCACTGGTTAAAAAAAAAAAAAAAAAAAAAAAAAAAAAACTGCCAACCACCTTTAGGAAGCCCAATAAGGGAGAGCAGAATATCTTAAACAAGTGTTAGGGTTCGTCTTCTACTGAACCTCAAGGTACTGTAAAAGGAGAAGCAATTTAGCTTAGAAAAATAATTGACCATTGGTTTGATGTTAAGATACTAGTTCATATCATGCTCAGTGCTTGAATTGAAATTTTAGACACAATATTATTCCTTTGAAGTTTAACAAGATTAGGTTTACTTATGACATAGATTGAACAAGCTCAAAACAGGCCAGGCCTGGTGGCTCATGCCTGTAATCCCAGCACTTTAGGAGGCCAAAGTGGGTGGATCACCTGAGGTCAGGAGTTGAAGACCAGCCTGGCCAACATGGCGAAACCCCATCTCTATTAAAAATACAAAAAATTATCTGAGTGTGGTGGTGCGCCCCTGTAGTCTCAGCTACTCCGGAGGCTGAGATATGAGAATCACTTGAACCTGGGAGGTAGAGGTTGCAATGAGCCGAGATCATGCTGCTGCACTCCACAATGAGAGACAGAGTGAGACTCTGGCTCAAAAAAAAAGACTCAAAACAATTAAGTCACATTTTTAGAGTTCTTCATTCTGATTATGCGGAAAGCTTTTAAATATGGGCCACCATCCATCAGGACCCAGAGATATGGATAAAATTGTAAAGTAGGCCATCTGGGGGAATATCTCTCCTTTCCATCATCCCTTCAGGCTCCAGTGAAAAGCCTATCACAGAGGGCAGTGATTCTCAAACAAAAGAGCAGGGCACCTAAATCTCCTGAATTTAATTTCCAAGTAATGAAGTTCCCTTAGATTACTAATAGTGAGTTATATGTACGAATGCAAGCACAAAAGTATTTATCTCTCATGTATGAAAACAGGCAGCAACTGTCCAGGCTCCTGAGCCTATTTTTACATGTTGCCTATCCACTGAAATCCTTGAAGCCAAGTACTTATCTTTGTGCAGTCTGAGGCTGCTATCTTAAGAAGGGCCTGTCTGCAAGGTTGGCCTTGGAGTAGCATTTGGGAACTAGGGTTTTGGAAGTGAGCTTACCTTTCCCTGACTGATAAGGGTAGTTTCCTATGCTAGACTGTGCAAATAACATGGTTTATGCCAAATACCTGATTTCCTTCTGGAAGTCTGAAATTTTGGTTTATGCTAGTGAGAGAGTTGCTGACGTGACCAGGTGACAAGTCCCTTATCTTAGGCACTGAATCTCTCGCAAATGCTGCATTTTTGTCTGTTGGGGAAGACTGTGCTCTATATGACCCTCTCAGGGAAGGGAGAGAGCACAGGAAGCCTGTACATGGATTTCTCTAGACCTCAACACCTGTGCTTTTTCCCCTTGTTATCCAGTTGAGTAACCTTACTACCTCACTGTAATAAATCATAGCCATAAATAAAATTACATGCTAAGGTTCCATAAGTCCTTCTAGTGAATCTCCAAACCTGGGAGTAATTTTGGGGACCCCAGTGCAACTCTGCAATGCCTAGGCAATCTGGGCCTTCATGTGGTTCCTCTCATCCCTGGGGCTCATTGATTGATAGGCTTCACTTTCCCCATGTTGAAACCTGCCTAGCTCATACTCTCCTAGATTACTGATACAGTGTGTTAGTGAAGAAGGGTCACTGTAGAGTTCTAAGATCTAAGGTCTTTCTTCAAAACTGTATCATTCTTGAAAAAAAATCCTCAGGTTCATTGTCTAAGCCAAAGTATTAACTATCATGGTAGAAATCTTAGGCCAGGTAGAAAGATGACAGGTCAATAATTGATCAGTGAAAACAAAAATCTGGGGGCAATACAGGCTTTGCAGTGTCTCTGGTCATAATACACCAGCAGCTCTTAGATCTGCAAATAGGGCTGGTCTAGCACAAAGATTTAGGTATATGCCCCCGGGAAGAGAAAATCTACTGGTCTGCTAGTCTTTGTGACTGTTTAGATTCTCCTTTTTCAGTATGAGACAGGGAGCAAAAAGCTAATGAGACATTCTGAATCTGAAAGACCAAATCTTCGATCAGGATGTAGATGTTGCAATTATGTGATGGTACGGATAGGCAAGAAAATAATTGATATTCTCCCTGACTGTTGTGTTTTTCTTGCTGAATAATACAGATTTAAAACACTGTCTCAGAATAGGAGCAGTTATGTTGGCGTGGGGATGAAGGAGCGGGGAGCAACAGAGTGGCTAGGAAGTCAGGTTATATGGTCAGTTGGATCCTCTGAGGAGCAAAACAGCTCAAATCACCTTTATTTTTTGACAAGGGTAAATGAATACACCAAGGTCAGAAAGGTACATCACCATCATCATTTTACCAACATACACTTCAATGTACACGCATTTCAAAATCAATTCACAAATTATTTCATTTGATACAGCATATCAATTTCTATGACTATTTCTAGTGTGATTTTAAATAAATGTTACTATATACTATAATATTAGTCTTCTTGGCGTTCTAACCACAAGTTAAACATGCCAAGTTTATTCCCTGTAAGAAAAATAAAATAACAGTGATAGTGACCACCATCCCCAACAGTACTACCACTGCCATAAGAAAAATTCAACCTGTACCATTTATTCCTTCTACTCAGCGTACAGTTGTCTTTATTCTGGACTACATTACTTTCAATAGTAATTACTTTTAGGTGTGTTCGCTGCAATACTTTCCAATATTATATTAAACAACAGATCTTAATATAGAGCAATAATAGCATGGTATTTCAGAAAACTGAAGATACTACCAACTTGGAGTTAAGGGCTCAGAAAAGTCTCAGACCTTCAGAGTAACAAAATGCTACTGGAAGATTCATTATGCACATCTAATTACGTCACTTCAACCAAAGATTCAGAGAAGTGGATGTTTTTCTAAGTGCTGCTTCAAACAACATACCTTTTGTCTGGACCTAATTCCTAACATTCCCCAGGTGTAGTTGTACTACTAGTATTACCCAGTCAATAAACACCAGTCTGAACCTCTGACTTTCCTCAAGTTATTTCCTTCTCTCTTTCTCTCATCTCCTGTTTTTGCTTTCTCTAAAGTCCTTCAGTGAGACCCTCTTTAGAAAAGAGAAAACGCTGCCCTGACTCATAAGGATCATGGTAGAATTTCCTGCTGTCAGTCTGGCAGTTGAATGAGGAATCACGAGAAAGATGGGCTGCATCTCTGGCTTTGAAATTTTTTAGTAACAGATGAGAAGGTTTCTGCATTCTGTTTGAATTTTCTCTGTATGAACCTGTGTGTATCGTTACAATCCTATTTCACTGAAGTTTCATCTTTAAAAATGAGCACTGAATTACAGAGCTAACAGAAAACCTTATGAACCTCAACAACGAATGCCAAGGCCAAGTTTTACTGGAAAGCAAAGTCTCTGGCAAAGAAACACGTATTCCTCTCACTGGCATATCTGCAGGTAAGTTACATGTAACCCAGCCTTAGGCAGAAATGCACTGTGGCCCAGTGAGTCAAAGCATACTAGGTAGAAACTCTGGCACTGGGATAATTAACACAGAGTAAACCACTAAAGGAATCTGTGAGTTCATTAATCATGCTACAATTTTTGGAATTAAAAAAAGGGATATTTCCTCACCTACAATAAGGCTTTAAGGTAACATTTAACTAGCAAAGTAACGAAAGTTCTTTATGTCACTTGAAACTAACTATCCTAATCAAAAAGGAAGAGCTTTAGTTTGTGTAAAACAGAATAGGGGAAAATTAAATATACCTAGGATTTTCTCAGACTGATTAAAAGCTAACAAGAAAAACATCAAAAAGTTAAAATAAATAAAGGCTGTGAGTTGGAATGGCCACTTCTAAAAACAAAACAAAACAAGTGAACATGTAATATGAGAAATTTTTTCTTCTTCTTTGATACTTTACCATGAACTATAGGGTAATACTTTTAAGGTTACCTATTTTAAGCCTTTAACAAAGCTGAGCTAATGTTTTAAAAATAGCCTTTTTAAAAAATGTTGTAACAGGGATTTTCTGTTAATATGACTGAAAAACACAGAAAAGTAAGAGGTAAACATATTCACTTAACACGTACTTATTGAAGAGAAGTCTTGTGCCAGACACTTGGCATTAGACACAATATATAATGGTAGAAAAAGATTGACTTGAGTCCTTTCTCATTTAAAACATACATGCTAGAAGGAGAGACCATCAAAACCAACTAAATAGACCAATACTATAACTGTGGATTGTGATAAGTAACCCAAACAGGAAAAAAAAAAAAAAAAAAAGAGTAACAGGAGGCAATAGTTCTAAAATAAACCATAATTAATATTTTGTCCTATTTTATTCCAGTCTTTTCAAAAATGTTTAAATGCTTGTTTTAATAGCTGTGATCACGTCACTTTATATCCTGTTTCTTAAAGTTCTCTCATGAACATTTTCTGTATCATTACACATACCTTACAGACATAATTTAATAAGTTTTTGTTATTAAATAGGTTAACATTTATTTATAGAACACTGTGTACAAAATACTTCCTATATGTTAGTCATTTAATATTGATAACAATGCTAGAAGATAGATACTTCTATAATTCTCATTTTATAGATAAAATTAGACAGTAAGTTTAAAGAACTTACTAAAGATTATATAATTAATTAAAAGAACAGTTGAGATTCAAACCAGGCAGCTGTACTCGAGTGTAAGCTCTTATTACATAACTACACTCTACTGCCTTAGTGCTTGCATAATATCCCATCATTCTTATTTGGTATTTGGCACACAAACTTTCTATAGGGTGAAAATCAAAACGGTAAAGACAAAAAATATGGAGTGACAATGGAAGCAACAAAAATAAAAGAAAAAAGGCAGAGCAGTAGAAAGAACCTTTCCTGGGAATGATTAAATAAAAAGGATCAAGAAAGGGGAGAAAAAGTGAACTTTCAAAAATTATCTCCTTGGCAAATTTCTAGACATTGCTGATCCAGAAGTGATTATGCATTTGGAATAACTTTTTTTTAAGTAAAAAACACAAATGCTTATTATGTACTAGTTTCACCATGAAATCATCAGCTAGAACCTTCTATACGCTTGGGATCATGAGCAAAAAGCAGCAAAAATGTAGCGATCAGCTTTGTCCAGGTTTGGCTGCATGTGCAATTCATTGGCCTTAGCTAAAGGGTGTATAGAATCAAGCATTTTCTGCGAGCCTCGGTACAGTCTTATAAAAATGACAGAGCCAAGTCACCAATCAGCAAAGGTTTTACTTGCTGGAGGTTTTACAGACAGCAGGGATTCACACATGCAAGCTTAACCAGTGGTGGAATAATATAAAGCCATTTGTGGCATTAAAAATAATTAACAACAGTTCTCATCAAAGCTCTAGTACTATCTGTGCTTCCTCATCTTAACTTTTCAATGCCTTTGGGCATGTACATTTAATTCAATACTCTTCTATCTCACTCTCCCAAACCAACAACTCTATCATCAGTTAGATTTTGGGTTCACTGAGTTAATACCAGCTTCGTACATTTCTTCTTCCCCTAGAGAGGCTTTCTTTTAAACATCAAGTAAAAATCGTAATGAAAGGTTTGTGCTTTTAAATCAGACTCTCCTGGATTCAAATCCTGGCTCTATTACTCACTTTTGATTAACAAACTTAGGAGGGAAGGAGGGGAGGTTCAAGGGGGCAGCGGTGATGAGGGGCAGAGTTAAGAGTTTGCTATATTTCCTGTACCTAAGATGTCTTCTATAATGCCTTGTACATAGGTGCTCAATAAATATCTTCATATAATATGCCCCATATCTACATTTTCTCTGAACATTTAACAAGATCTAATTCTCTTCCACATTTTTTTTTTTTGCCTCCAGGAAATGTGTACCTGGCAGATGTTTAACAGCTATATATCAGCAATGAATGAAATGATGTTGGTACATAATTTGGTTGTAAAGTTTATAAAGTACTTTGAGCTGACAGAAATAGTGCAAATGAAGACTGTAAATGAACATAAAAAATGAAATCTCTCTCTCAGTAGCCTATCCTTCCTCCTCAGAGTTCTCTCTCCAAAACTAGGAAATCCTCTGGTTTTCTCCTTCCCCTAGGAGGCAGACACACCAACCTACTAAGCAGCAGTGAGAAGCAGGGTGGCTCTGATGTATTTAGAAGATTTCACAGCATCAGGGCACGAAAACACCCAAGTAGCTCAAAACCAAAGATTAGACTCCTTCACACAATGTGTGTGGCTTGTTGATTAAGCCTCACTAAATGGACAGTGATCTCTAGCAATTATGTCCATAAAGAACAATGGCCCAAGTATGGCCCACAATGGCAACCATGGGGGGGTTTTGACTAATTTCATGGTTTCATAAAGGATGGCATCTAGTTTCCAAACATATCCTGATGTTTTGGGGAGAAATCCATTCGCTATCTTCCTCTGGAGCTTTAATTTAATACATGACATGTCATAGTGCTTTTGAGTGGGCTACTGCCAGTAGTACAGAAACTGATGACATGAAACAGGTACCAACAATGGCACAGCTGCTAAGGGGTACATTTAAATCAACATCTATTCTTCCCATGCCATCATGCAAAGCCCCTTTTACTGCTCTAAAACAAATACAGCTTAATTTTATTTCCTGCTTGGCTTTGTATAATTTTGACATGTCCTCAGTCAAACACGACCCAGGCCCTTCAATCAGGGCCTTCAATCAGGCCCTATTTTTCTGGAGATGGGAAAACAAGAGGAAGCTAAAGTAATTATTGAAAACCCATAAGCAGCAGCTTTAGCCTAATTACCTTGACTTTTCCTTTTAATTTTTCTATCGATTGTCTCTTGTTAATATACAAGTATTGACTGAGCTAGTAGAGCCTGGTGCTACTATGATAAGAACAGATGCCGCTGGGAAGTAAAATATAATTATGAGACCCAATATTCTGTTCTTCTTTTTCAGAAGCACACATGTACAGTACAGACTTTGGTTTAAGAGCCTCTTAAGAACCACCAGCAGCACCTACACAGCAAGAATCTTTGTTAAACGTCTTTGCTGTCTGTTGTGCCTTTGCCACCAGAGGGCAGTTGGGAAAAGCAAAAACAATCTTTTTCTTTGTTCCTCTTTTGATGTTAAAATAATATGTTTCCCGTATTTTTAACACATATTCTATTAGAACTTCCAGGTCAACAACTCCAGGGGGATGCACAACCCAGGAATGAAGGTGACATCCTTTCGAGCTACATGTGTTCCCTTTTAAATGCTGCTGTATTCAAAGTCTCAACTTGGGGGGAAAAACAAACCAAAAACTAAGCAATATTGCATGAGCTATCGTGAATATTAATGTATCACTGACAAATGCTTTTAACAGATTCTGATTCCTTTGTCAGAGAGAAATTTATGGTTTTCTTGCTGCAGGATATGAAACTAGCTTTAAAAATACTTCTAAAATACTTTAAACTTTTTGGTTTCTCATAAATCCAAGTTTTATGGAATACTAATAACATCTTACATGTTGAGAATCTTAAATTGCTATCAAGGTGTAGTTCACTTTAAGCAAACATAATTCAGTAAAGTTGTCGCAAATCCTTTCTCTAGGAGCCAAGAAGACCTTGGTAAACCAGGGTATCATGTTGCATTGTTTTACTGTATCTTTTAAAGCAAAACTCTAAGAAGAAATAAATGAAGCAGGAGCAGTTCTCAATGCTAAAGGTAACCAGAAATCTCTAAAAACGGGACTTTCTCAAGGGCTAGCTAGCAACAGCCCTAAAAATGGTGTTAGTGTTGTCTAATCCAAGAAGCATGGGGAAAGTGACAGGAGAAGGAATCCAATGGATTCAAAGGAAAAATGAATTTAAAAAATCATCAGACTGAAAAAGAGGGCTAATGACTGGTATTCAACACAGATGGTGCGATGAGCAGTAGAAGCAGCCGCAGAAGTAGTTTAGTACCTACAAAGTGTATTATAATAACAACAACAGCACATTCACTACAACGTGACAATTCTATAGACTTTGGGGGCATTCATTTCATAAAAGGGCAAATGGATTTCTATTAAAATAACTTTATCAGTCCCTGAGGGCACTGTAATCAGCTAGTCTCTGGAATAACTACATCACCAATCCAGATCAGCAAATGGCAAACAAATCACTGGAAGGTACTGAGAAACAAAGTCATACTACAATCTATACAACAGTATAAAAAGCATCAGATAAAGTCATAGATACTCATCCATAATATGGGTTTCAAACATGCCTTAGTGAAATGTTAGTTCAGGTACCTTAAATTTAAGGCTCAGAAATGAAAGCTGAAAAATATCTTTAGGATTTTGAATGACCTAATTCTGAAAAGTAATACCGTACTGTGCACATAGTTCAATTAGAGCACTCAATGTTTCAGAAGTTCAGGAAACATTTTCTGAGTGCCAACTATGTCCCAGATGGTAGAATACAGGGCCAGATACGACCTAGGCTTTCTCTCTAGAAAGGTCTTTGCCTAGTGGAGAGAAACACTCTAATAATTATGATACCATGTGATAGGAACAATAATTATGACAGGAGCGAGGTGTTATGTTAACTAAAGAAAGAAAATGGGAGGTTTCATATTTTTTAGGTTACATTTAAGCTATATCTTGAAACATAATTCAAATAATCAGCAGGAGAGCAGCAGGGCTGGAACAGTGGGTAGAAAGAGGCCCTGGCATGCTCAGGTCAGCTCAGGCCTGGTGGGGAGAGACAAGCTGGTATGAATAAGAACAGACCTGTGTTTAGAGGCAAGAACGGGAAGAGAGATGAAGATACCTGCTGGGGAGCTACTTTAGGAGACAAAGTGAAGAGTAAAGAAAGATGAAATAAAAAAGTAGACAGTCATCTTCCAGAAACTGAACTCTAGTTCTTACCAACTTTCTACACATGCGATAATTGAAAGAGCTTTGAATTTATTGTTAGATGGGCTGGATTTAAGTTCTAGCTCCAGTATTTACCCTGTATGTGACTGTTTCCACCAGTGTTAATTGAGCTGCAAGTAACAGGAAACTGACTAAAAGTGGCAAATAGGGTCTCACTGTAACAGACAGAAACCACTCTAGCTATTATACCTCCAAATCTCAGTGTCTTCCTTTCCTGAATTCTAATGTGAGGATGTTAATATCTGCCTACTCATCGAACAGGGTCATCATTCCCATGAGAACCTATGCCTACTATCTAATGGGGCCATCATTCCTAGAGGATCACATTAAATGACATATGTAAACTCTCTGTATACAAGTAGATGCAATTATTATTATAAGGGGGAGTGAGAAAGGGGACTTTGTTTCTCAGAAAATATCTCATTCTGAATAGTGTTAATTAGAAGGACAAATAATTGTCATGAGGAAAAGCAATTTGCTGAGATGTGTGTTTCTGAAGCATTTTATATTGTCATCGTGGGAAAGAAGGTTAGATTACATCTAATGAAAGACAACCAGCAAACTATGAAACTGCCCAACAGTGTTGGAGTGTTTCCAGATAATTTTTTTAACAGAGACTCTCCTGAGCAGTGTCACTATGTAAATGAAGATGGACTACATTTATGAAGCAATTCTGCCATCCCAGCAGGTAATAAAAGATCAAGAACCTGAAGTTTAAGGGACAGGTCTTAGTATTAATGTACATGCTAACATTCATGCAGACTCATATATAAAATGTGTGAAAAATTGGGAATTTTATGGTCCTACAGTTTTCAAAGGGTCATATGCTTACTTGTTGCTTCCAGTGCACAAGCTAATGCATATCAAGTCTTCCTGTCAAGTTCTAACATTATTTTTTTACACTCAGTAGAATTTTATTTCATATAGTTCTATGAGGGTAGCAAGTATTACTATTATCATGCTTGTAGTATCTTTCTGCTTGCTAAAGTTAACTCATCGAATCAAACTACATTATAATATGAAATATTACAAAACTGGATGCCATAAATTGATGATGAAATTTTCAAAGAAATTTCCTCTAATATCTTCATTTCTTTACTCTTAATTTTGCTACATTAGAATCCTTTACCCTTAAAAACAATGAGCCATGCTATAGGACTCTCAGCCCCACAGTAACAATAATGATGCAAGGAAATACACTGGTTATGCCTCAAATTTCATCATCCAGGTATTATGAGAAGGTTGGAAAAAGCCCTGGTTGCAGAATACTACCCTTTTGAAATATTAGAGAAGTTATGCAGAAGGCTTATTTGCTTTGGTGGCTTTCTAATGTGCAACTTGGCCAGGCTGAACTGCATTTCCCAGAATTCTCTTCCCTGTGTGTTTAGGGCTAGGGTGGGCTAAAAGAGACATTTTTGCTAGAGCAGTGAAGGGTGGAAGTAAAGCAGTAGCCAGTCTGTTTTAGACACTCAGCAGCTGCAGCCTTAATGTTGCTGCTTAGCAACTTTTCATGAGGCAGCTGCTCCAACTTTCCTGGATCCCCCTTCTGCTTCACTGATGTGTAAGCCAAGTGTTTCTCTAGCTCCATGATGCTTCTCCTACAGGACATCCACATCATTAGGACTGGAGACAGGGAGAACTGACATGAATTCCAGCCCATTCTAGCAGTTCCAGCTTGTCACTGCTCTCCCTGACTTTATGATCCCTCTGTCTTCTGATGGCCTGCCTTGTGAACTTCAAGCTCCAGCATGAGTTGAGAAGACAAAAATCTTACAGAGACTGTTTAGCCAGATCCCACAATTAAACGAGGTCAAGTTCCTGAAACAAATCTCTTTTTATACACACACACACACACACACACACACACACACACACACACAAACCCCTCTACATGTGCTTCTGTAAGGTAGGTAGATGTCACGATAAACTTCAATGCCATCCTTTCATAAAATGTCTTTTGTTGTTCTATTAGAAAAAGTATAGTCCTATACCATGGTGGGAATTCATAAAAGGCACCAGAAGTAAGAGTATAAGGTCTTGAACCACAACAAATAATTTACATTTATATTACATTTTATAGCTAAGAGTACACTTTGGGTCTCAAGTTATGTTTCAGTCTCCATTGTGCAGGTTGGTTTCGCTCTCTTCACAGCTACAAACTGTTAAAGTAATCCATCTATTTTATAAGTGTATTCTATATATAAAAAGGAAGACTAATCTAGAGCATATTCATTTCAGGTGCTGATAACCATTTGAACAGAACGGAAGTACCAACACAACTTGGAGTTGATAGGAAACTTACAGGCATGCTGGTTCACATGGTACCCAAGCTCCTTTCTGCAGTATCCTTGGAGATGTAACATTATCTTCAAATTAGAAGAAGCTAATAGTTTAGATAATTTCTAATAATTACTACTTTAAAAATATTTTAAATCATATTCCCTAAAAATGATGTTTTCAAAACTCCAAAAATACATGTCAAAATTATCTATGAAAAACAGGTCACAATGACTGGAACAACTGAGCTTCTTCATACATGCAGAGTCTGATAGCTAATCACAAAGAATGTCTCGTAGAATGCAGCTCAAAGAGTAAGAAGTTATCATTTTGTTATTCCATTATCCACATTCTCAACTATAAAGCTCTTCTCCAAAGGAATTCTTCTTGTCTTTTACAATGTTGCACTAAGTAAGCACCATGCTATTTCCAAGAAATGCTAACCACAAAGGTAATGAGGCTACACATTTAATTTTTCTAGCCTTCATGTGACTGTTGACATTATAAATGAGTCATTAATGGTCTCAAATAGATTGACATTGTTTGCTACTACTGAGAAATTTCATTTCTTTTAAGATAGCAGGAGGACAATTTGGATTTAATAATCAAGCAGGGCTCGGCACTGGTGGCTCACGCCTGTAATCCCAGCACTTTGGGAGGCCGAAGCAGGAGGATCACTTGAGGTCAGGGGTCCGAGACCAGTCTGACCCACGTGGTGAAATCCTGTCTCTACTAAAAACACAAAAACTAGCCTGGCATGATGGGGTGCACCTACAATCCCAGCTACTCGGGAGGCTGAGGCAGCAGAATTGCTTGAACCCAGGAGGCAGAGGCTGCAGTGAAATGAGATTGCACCACTGCACTCCAACCTAAGCAACAGAGCAAGACCCCGTCTCAAAAAAAAAAAAAAAAAAAAGAAAGAAAAATCAAGAGGCACAAAAAAGTGGGCAAAGTTAAAAGAATCTAAAAGTATATGGGTCCAACTTTCTAGGGAATTTATTTTGTCATTTAACTGAAAGTCTGAATGGCATATTCCATAAATCATGGAGGCTGTGAAGATAGCCTCTGGCCTACAAAAACATGGTAATTAAAAAACAAAACAAACCTGAAAAACCTCTTCTGTGTCATGTATAGTTTGAAGGAAAAAACAATCTGCTACACAAAGGTCGCAGGATGTCACATACATCACAATCAGCCACAAGCCATCTTCTAATGTACAAACACATCCTGGTTAAATGAGATACAAACAACTAGAAACGGTAAGCTACCAGTTCTATACTGAATTTGGAAGTCTAATAACATGAGGTAGATCTATATAGCCTAGAACAAGGCAAAAATTTTCCTGCCTAAGGGGGTCAGAAAAAAAATTAATAAGCTTCATAAGAAAAAAGAACATTTATACTAGAAAAGAAATGTCCAAAAAAAAAAAAGTTTAAAGGCTAGGGAACAGCAAGCAGCCCAGTTTAGCTGCAGCATAGAGTCTCTGCAGAAGAGTGATGGAGATGGATTGAAAATGCTGGCAGAGAACTATTACCAAGTGCCTAGAATTTCATCCTAATTGTTTGGATTCAATTACAGTCAATAAGGAGCCATAGAACACATTAAAAGACAGTGAAAAGATTGGGGCTGTGCCTGAAAATATGACAGCAGTGTGTGGTACATAGTAAAGACCAGCTACTAGGTTATTATAATTGTACATGTGCAGCCAGAATATGATTAATGACTAGAGGAATACTAAAAGAATAGCAAATTAAGAAGCAGTGTATAGGACGGAATCTATAGGTTTTAGATAATAACTGTTAGTGACAAAAAGAAAGATAAAATTTAAATATGATGTTTATGGCATAGGTGGCTGAAGAAACAGGAGCTAGAAAGAAAAAACAAAAACAATTTCAGCAAGACAATAGGTTCTTCTTTGGACAAGAATGCCAATGATATATGTAAAAAGGTGTCCAGAAGGCAGTTTGTTTTGAGGATTCTGGGTTTGGGGAAAGAGTAGGGTGATATTACACAAACATAATGGAAAAGCAAGGAAATAAGATCATTACTCTAGACTACATAGATTAGAACAACTACCCAGGTTAATAATTGGGGCAGAAGTAGTATTTTTGGAACAGGAAAGGGGAAGACCAGTCAAAAGAGGACAAAGACAATGAGCAGTCAGAAAGGTGGGAGGATAAATATGGTGCACTATTTCAACCGTGAATATTTATGGGCATAGGGAATGTTTTCTCCTACTTTGAAAGAATAAACCTAGAAGGGTAAATATTGGGAAGGAAATCTGTTGATGTAACCTTTAGGAGGTATTATACTGATGAGTTAGAGCAATGGTCCTCAACCCAAAGCATATTAGAGTCTTCTGGGGTAATTTTTTAAGTTATCAGTGGGAAGACTTATCACTGACCAATTAAATCAGAATTTTTCAGGATGGAAACAAAGGATTAGAAGTTTCTAAAAGCAACCCAGATGATTATATTCCAACCAGGGCTGAAAACACTGTTCTACACAGAATGATGAGGCAAAAAATATTCAAAAGAGAAAGAGTAGAGTCAGTGGGTGGTTAAAGTAGAGAAAAGGAACACAGCCTACTGTTTGGATAAACTTGGGGTAGAAGAGTATCTTGAGAGGATCTCAGGTAAGGGGAAGGTTTCTTTAGGATAAGGAGAGAATGAGCATGCTTGTAAGTAGAAAGAAAGAAATCAGTGGACATAGAGAAAATAAATATCTTTTTTTTTTTGAGACAGGGTCTCCCTCTGTCACCCAGGCTGGAGTGTAGTCGTGCGATGCAGGCTCACTGCAATCTCCGCCACCCTGGCTCCAGCAATCCTCCACCTCAGCCTCTCAAGTAGCTGAGACTATAGGCATGCACCACCACACCAGGCTAATTTTTATATTATTATTATTTGTAGAGATGGAATTTCGCCCTGTTGCCCAGGCTGGTTTCGAACTAACCTCAAGTGATCTGCCTGCCTCGGCCTCCCAAGGTGCTGAGATTACAGGGATAATCCACCATGCCGGGGAAGTAAATAAGTATCTTATGGTAATAGAGGGCTGGATTGGGTTAGGTGGGGGATCATGGAGCAAGATTCTAGAAAATTTGGAGAATTTATAATCAAAAACACAAATGGGGAGCTTCGCTTGATATAGCAGAAGACAACTCGTTCCTCAGAAAAAGTGAAAAAAGAAGAGAAGAGAAAGATAAAAAGAGATTTTTGAGTAGAATAGAGTCATGCTAGAAGAAGACTCTTCAGAGGGTCTCAAATGGCAAAAAGTGGAGGACTATCATATCTCCAAAAATAGAGAATCTAAGATCCCATTTAACTGAGGCAGGTACATAATCTTCTAATGCAACTAATCAGATTTCCTTATAAGAAAAGATCAGGAAGATGAGTGGTGTGCATGGAGATGACTCAGATAAACTTGTAAGTCATCTAGTAGAGGTTTATAAACAATATGCTAAGATTAAAAGTCAGATCCCAGCTGCTTTATAAAAAAGAAAAAGCACTGCTTAAACTGATGTTTCAACATGTACATTAAGTCTAAAGAAAGACAAACACCAAACCGTACTTTAACTTTTTTTTTTTTTTTTTTTTTTTTTTTTTTTTTGAGACAGAGTCTTCCTCTGTCACCCAGGCTGGTGTGCAGTGGCTTGGCTCACTGCAACCTCCACCTCCAAGGTTCAAGCAATTCTCCTGCCTCAGCCTCCCGAGTAGCTGGGATTACAGGCACACACCATCATGCCCGGCTAATTTTTGTATTTTTTTTTTTTTTTTTTTTTTAGCAGAGACGGGGTTTCACCATGTTGGACAGGCTTGTCTCAAACTCCTGACCCTATGATCCACCCGCCTCAGCCTCCCAAAGTGCTGGGATTACAGGCGTGAGCCACCGTGCCTGGCCTTTAACATTTACGATATACAGACAATGAAGTGAGTCATGACTTGTTAAATCTCTAATATTTCAAAAAGTTGCATGAAACCGATACAGGTTGAGTATCTCTTATCCAAAACGCTTGGGATCAGAAGTGTTTTGGATTTTGGATTTTTTTCAGGTTTTAAAATATTTGTATCACATATTCTTACCAGTTCAGCATATCTAATCCAGAAATCCAAGATCCAAAATACTCCAAATGAGCATTTCCTTTGAATGTCATGTCAGTGCTCAAAAAGTGTCAAACTTGGAGCATTTCAGATTTTGAATTTTCTAATTCAAAATCAGGGAGATTCAACCTGTACAGGAAAACTAGAATTTCAAGAAGTCCCTGGGTTTCTGGAAGGCATACAGAAACCGGGGGAAAAATCCTCGAAATATAATTTTTCCAATAAATGGAATCTAACAGAAACAATTAGAGATCTAAAGTTTCAACCTCATAACCATCTCGAAAAAAAAAAAAAGTGAAGAATTATCATGAGATAAGTGAACTTCAAAGGTTCCATTTACATTCTGCCAGGTCCTGTTTAAGTAAAATGGAAAACCAATTTATGACCCATCACCATCTCCCTGCTTAATGTGATAATGACTGCACAGGCTTAAAAGGTTTAATTTTAAATTCTTCCTAGTACTTGGGATGTTCTCATCAATAATTTGAGTTTTTGAGTGTCACCAACTCTCACTCTGGGCTGCTAACGGAAGCTGTCCCAAGGATACAATGAAGCTCTCCTGTGGATAACAAACAACTTACCTGTACAAATTTGATCTGCCAGAGGCGCTATTGTCTAGTGGTTGGTAAATGGTTTGTATAAAAATCCATATATTGAGTTGAGCAGGAATGAAATAAAGTCTGAGCAGTGACAGAATGTCAATTATGGAGTTGGTAAAATAGCCCTTTTAAAAAGTTGTTAACTTAGGCACTTTTTTGATTCTAAGGATTTTATTTAAATATCATATTTCTCTGTCACAAGCCACCTTTTTGTCACTTGCATAGTATCATGAGGAATTAGAAATGAAGGGTGAAGAATCTCAATAGATCACCCTAAGATTTCTATAGAAATGTGGTAGTTACAAACACTGAAGAGAAAGTTACCATAGACTTGTAAAAATTAAAGTTCAGGGAGAATGAAAATTAAAGAGTGACACCTAGACGTGTCAAGTGTAATGACAAAACTAGTAGTTAAGAATTGGCAAGGAAAGGCAATAAGAGGAAAACATTTATGCCATATATCTGTATATGCCAAATGCCATATACATTAACATTTGAGGCACTTTCTTTCCTTTTGGCTCTTTCAGTAGCAGCACGGCAGTTGCCAAGAACAAGTGCCTTACAAAAAGTGGCAAAAAGGAAGCCAAGAAAGTTGTTGATCCATTTTCCTTTTTTTATCTTTATTTTTTTCTTTCTTTGAGACAGAGTCTCTCTCTGTCGCCCAGGCTGGAGTACAGCAGCGTGATCCTGGCTCACTGCAGCCTCTGCCTCCTGGGTTCAAGCGATTCTCCTGCCTCAGCCTCCTGAGTAGCTGGGATTACAGGCATGCACCACCATGCCCAGTTAATTTTGTATTTTTAGTAGAGACGGGGTTTCACCATGTTGGCCAGGATGGTCTTGATCTCCTGACCTTGTGATCTGCCTGCCTCGGCTTCCCGAAGTGTTGGGATTACAGACAAAAGCCACCATGCCCAGCCGGTAGATACATTTTCTAAGACCGACTAGTGTGATGTGAAAGCAGCTACATTCAATATAAGAAGTATTGGAAAGACACTAGTCACCAGGACTCAAGGAACCAAAATTGCATCAGATGGCCTCAAGGGTTTGCGTGTTTGAAGTGAGCCTTGCTGATCTGCAGTCAAGTTGCATTTAGAAAATTCAGGCTGATTACTGAAGACGAACAAGGTAAAAACTGCCTAACTTTCATGGCATGGATCCTACCAGTGACAAAATATGTTCCATGGTCAAAAAAATGGCAGACCATTACTGAAGTTCATGTTGATGTCAAGACTACTGATGGTTATTTGCTTCATCTGTTCTGTGTTGGTTTTACTAAAAAGTACAACAATCAGATACAAAAGACTTCTTATGCTCAGCACCAACAGGTCTGCCAAATCCAGGAGATAATGATAAAAACCATGACCCAAAAACTGCAAGACAGATGACTTGAAAGAAGTGGCCAGTAAATTGACTTCGGACAGCATTGCAAAATATATTAAAACAGCTTGCTAATCTATTTATCCTTTCCATGATGTCTTGGTTAGAAAAGTAAAAATGCTAAGCCCAAGTTTGAATTGGGAAAGGGCATGGGGCTTCATGGTGAAGGTAGTGGTTCTGGAAAAGCTACTAGAGACAAGACAGGTGCTGAAGTTGAATGAGCTGATGGGTGTGAACCACTAGTTCAGGAATCTGTTTAAAATTCAGCCTTTTTTCTGTTGCTGTTTAATTTTAAGTTCTGGGATTCATGTGGAGAATGTGCAGGTTGGTTACATAGGTAAATGTGTGCCATGGTGGTTTGCTGCACCTATCAACCCATCAGTTTGCTGCACCTATAACCCATCACCTAGGTATTAAGCCCCGCATGCTTAGCTATTTATCCTGATGCTCTCCCTCCCTCCATACCCCTGACAGGCCCCAGTGTGTGTTGTTCCTTTCTCTGGGTTCATGTGTTCTCATTAACTCCCACTTGTAAGTGAAAATGTGGTGTTTGGTTTTCTGTTCCTGTGTTAGTTTGCTGAGGATAATGGCTTCCAGCTCTATCCATGTCCCTGCAAAGGACAGGATCTTGTTCCTTTTTATGACTGCACAGTATTCCATGGTGTATATGTACCACATTGTCTTTGTCCAGTCTATCACTGATGGGCATTAGGGTTGATTCCATGTCTTTGCTATTGTGAATAGTGCTTCAGTGAACATACGTATGCATGCATCTTTATAACAGAATGATTTACGTTCCTTTGGGTATATAACTCATAATGGAATTGCTGGGTCAAATGGTATTTCTTGTTCTAGGTCTTTGAGGAGTCGTCACACTGTCTTCCATAATGGTTGAACTAATTTATATTCCCATAGTCTGATTTGTTTAAATTTTTTTTTGAAATGTGAGTTCTAATTTTCAGAATACTTTGATATAATTAAATTTCTGGTCCTCACAACATGAACATGAGGCTGAAAAAACAAGCTTTTATTATACCCATTCTATAGCTGAGGCAACTAAGAGAGGTTAGCAACTTGCCTAGAAGCAACCATTTAAGCTAAATGGTAGAGTCAGGATTCAAACTGAGGTCTCATGCCAAATTCCATGCTACTCCACTGTATTAGTGAGTATTTTATTTGGCTAGACATGTTACTATTTTATTTATCTCTTTATTTTTTTCTCTGCTGTTTTGCAAGATCACAGTAGTAGTTCTAGAAGTCTAGTAGTTCTACAAGTTACTATTTTTTTTTCATATCCCAGTAACAAATGGAGAGTCTTCAGTTAGTACCTATTACTTAAAAAAAAGCCAAAGATATGGGATATTCATTTATGCATGTCTCACATAAAAGAAAGCAAGCAATAAAAGGGAAATAAGAAGTTATTGGTTAACGGGTAGCATTTCAGTTTGGGGAGATGAAGAGATCCTAGAGATAGATGGTGTTCATGGTTGTTTAACAATGTGAATGTATTTAATGTCACTGAATCATACACTTAAATGGTTAAAACAGTAAATCTGATGTTACATTTTATTATTTTATTGCAATGATCAAAAGGAATAAAACATTAACAACCACATCAAATTTTCATTGAAATATTGTGCAAAACATAAATTAGGGTGAAATCTAATATTTTTGAAAATCTCTGTGAAATATGCTGCTTATTTAAATGTAATCTATAGTTTTAAGTAAAATCTAAAGTAAAAAATACCTAAATCCTATCTTCCATTTGAAGAACTGGATTTACTTTGTAACTATTATCAAGTGAATCTTGTGAAGTCAAATGAGATCTAATAGAGGAAAGTAGAATATTTAACCTTACTAAAGGCCTGTCTTCCACAGCATTCACCAAAAAATTACCAAAGTGCACCATACTTGTGTTTATCTGTTATTGCAAGTTAATCCATACAAAATTGAAAAATAAAACCAATATAGCACATAATTTCAAATAGTTTGATATTCAATGTTGGTATTTTTGAACTCTTCTTTCAATATGCTTTGGATTGTAAGCTCCATGAGGACAGAGATTCATCTTACACTTTGCTGTATGTCCAGAATTCAGCAAGTAATAGAGGAAGGAAGGCAGGAAGAGAGGAGAGACAGAAGATTAATGACTTTATAAACATATCCAAACAGGCATCCCAAAGCGAATGTGAAATCTGCCAAATCTAAAACAGCTGGTAGCTCACCAAGTTGACTTTCGTTATATCAGAAAGCTGTTTTTTTAAGAACTGTGCTCAGCAGATAGGGCAGGACCATTAATACCATCTTACTAATCTGTTAGAAAGAAATAATGAAAATTTAGAACATTTCAGTAAAGTGCCATCATAAACAATTAATCCTAACGCTCCATACATGAGGATCCTGTTACCTCTAAGATCTCCCCTATAAGGTCCCTGTCCAGGTAGAGAATGTAATTTTAAGCCCATTTAACAAGATTGTCATATTGTTGCAATCAATTATTATCCTGTTTCCAATCATCTCATTTGTACAATGTAGGTCAGAAAGAAGGTCACTAAGAAGCTGTTTTAGCTGCCTTTGGGATCTAGTGTGCGGTTTTGTTTGTTTGTCATCCTTGATTTGTGGTTATTAGAAAGAGTAGCAATGCTGGAATAACAGGAAATTAAAGCCATGCTCTAATTTGGTCAAAAGCCTGCATCTTTTATTTCCTTCACCTAAATCCAAGAAAAGTAATAACAATAGCCAATGATTATTTATCCGAATGCTATAACATTTAATTTCTAAAGGTCGATTACTTTATCTTCCTCTGAGAGGTTTCCAGATAAAGATTTAATGTATCGTATACCTTTGACCAAGAGACTGGACTACTGTAGACCTAGAAAAGGAAGTTTTCTTAGCCTTCTGTAGTGAGGAGAGAATCTATCTTTTGAATACATGGAAGCATTTAGAAAAGGAGAAATATAAAAGCTGATTATGACTATTTCAATACTTTTTAAAAAGTTACCATCAAAATAAGGAAGTTTGAAAAATACTCTAAAAGAAAAATCTATAACTAACTAAAAATAAAATAACAAGAAAGCTTGAGAAGTCTTACCATCTTTGAAAAGACCAAAGAAGTTATTCTGTAAGTAAGCACTCCCTTCCAGTCATGCCAGATAATATCATTTCAATCACAGGAGGCACAATGAGGCCTTTTCATTGCTCCCTAATATGCAGTGAACTGAGCTGACAGTGCTGACTCTTTCTGGTTAAATATATATTTACCTGGCAGTATCTTTTATGTGTTTCTCCCTTCCCCAGTGCCCTCAAAAAGCAGTTTGCAAGATTTGTATATTAGGTCAATGTGAGTCCAAACCCATTGATTAAAGACAAATAAGCAAATAGCATTGCTTTAACAATTATACAATAGACTAGTGCAATTACTGTCTTCTCAAAAAAATAACATTTTTAAAAAATGGCATAATTATATATTTACTCAATAGAAGGTAACCAAGCCAGCTGTCAATCATTCCCACATTTCTTCTCACAACTTGCCTCAAGTTTTTAGTTCGCAACTAAATTTTTGTATTTGTTCTTTTTAGGTCTTCTTGAAACTAATTCTAAGGAAATATAATGGAAGAAAATTCATCAATAACCAACATTATCTGAGAACCAACAGAGTCTACAGAATAGAACTATGGATCTGTCATTCAAATATTTGAAGAACTGTTTTGTGGAAGAGAGATTAGACTATTTCCATAGAAACCCAAAGGCTAGAAGTGCAATGGAAATTTCCCCCAGTATATACTGTCACAGAAATAATCCTCCTGGGAGGAGACTGCGTTTTGCATTAAAGGAAGGCTTTCTAATAGCTAATTTCATTGAGAGATGGAATGGGTTTCCTCAAAAGGTGGAGAGTTCTGTATTACTAACAGTATGTTAGGGTGGACAAAATTCAAGATGAAGGGATGCTAGAGAAAAGATCATGTGTTGGAGTGTCTGGGCTAGAAAACCTTCAAGGTCTCAGTATAATGACTTGTACATAGAAGTCCTTCTTGTTAATGCTATTGGCCAACTAATAATGAAATGGGGTAAGAGCCCAAAAGAAGTTTACAGAATAGATGAATTTTACATCATGTTATAGTGGCACATACTGTAAATTACAAATAGCTAGATGGCAATGAAGTAAGGGAAGTTTACACTAAATATGAAGACAAATTACCAGCAAATACAACCATTTTCCAAGGGAAGGACAGAAAATCCAACTTAAATCTAACAAGGAAAGACACTCTTTGATTCATTCGATATGGTCAGAAAAGCTTGAGACAGTCTATAACTCTCAATGTTATCTACAGTTCTGAAATAAAAAACTGTCTACAGTAAACATTATGTGACAACATCAATACAAAGTCTCAATAAAAATTTCCCCAGTACATAGTGTCACAGAAATAATCCTTTCAAGATGGCTCCCTAGCAAATAGTTACTTTCATGAAACAGCAACTATGCTTCTTACTAGTCAAGTTTCACAAAGCCTTTAAGCAGAGGTTTAGCTTCCCATGGAACTTTCTCTCTCCACCTGATGCACTACCATAAATTTCTAACATAAGATTTTAAGGTCTAATGATAAAGTTATAAATATTGACTTCGGCTGTTGCTGGTTTTCACTCAGTGATGCTGCTGATCAACAAGAAAAGTGGCAATTTGGGGTAAAGGAAGAATCAGATACTCATTTGCTGTTATCAAGGCAATAAACTGCCAAGTCGGCAATGATTTAAAAGAATTTTAACAAGGAGTGTAAAATGAAAAATAAAAAAGAAAGAAATTCAACTGTAATTAACTTAAAACATAAAAGTTAATGCTTAATCCTTTCAATGTAAATAATTTAAGAATAAGCATGTGTTCACAAGGGAAAGTGGTAAACACTATAAAAATATAAAAACGAATAAAAATGGGAGTAATCTTGTTATAACTTTTCCTTGCACACACTTGTTTATTAAATTATTTACCCGGAGGTACTGCTGCTTGTTGTGGGTGTGACGACTTCGAGGTTACTTTCCGGAGCTGCAGCATTGACTACGCAGGCCCGCAGTCCCAGTGGGCGACCGCAGTGCGCTCCACGGCATCTGGAGGTTGTGCTCCTAGTGATAGTGAGCAGGTGACTGGGTTGGAGAGGGAGGTTATGATGGCTGCACTGAAGGGACTGGACCCTACAACATACTAACCCCAAAGGCAGCCTCAGGAACCAAGAAGGAGCCTAATTTGGTCCTATCCATCACCAACAAGCAAATAGGGGGCTGTGTCTGTGAAGAGGACAACAGCGTCATCATCTGGTTTTGGCTGTGCAAAGGCAAGACCCAGCAATGCCTTAATTGTGGAATCCATTAGAAGGTGGTGTCCCAGCAGGTGGCCCACTGAGCCCATGCACTAAGTTACTCAAAATGTGCTGTAAAGTTTCTTCTTTCTCATAAAGATTAGCCATTGCATTGGCACCTTCTCTTATAAGTGGCTGGTCTTATTTCTTTCCGATATTTTTGGGTAGGCAGGGAATATTCTTATGCTGGCAATAGCTATCTGTTAACACTAGCTTGACATTCACTTACTTAAAGTATATAATCACTGTATAGTGCTTAGATCAATAACAAAAACAGATTGACAATCTATTAAAAATAAATTATTTAAATTGAAAAAATTTAGCTTGAATCTGACAGGCAATAAGTGCAATATTTGAATAAATTTAATGGAACTATCTCAACTAATTCCATGACGCCTTATTTGTCTTCATTTACAAGTGAAGAAATGGAGCCTTCAGGAGTTTAGGTTACTTAGGAAAGTCACAGGTTCGTAAATAAAAAACTAGTATTTGAAAACAGGTCTGTTTATACCATTCTCCATGTTCACAATCATTCCACTATGGTGTCATGCACCTGCTCACAGGGATCCTAGAATATCATGTGCAAAACAAAATGAACAACTGGAACCAAATGGAAAGTGGGATGCATGTCAGTAGAGCCATGACAAGGGTTTAAGGACAGGTTAGAAGAGAAGTGGAGGGAAGGGGAAGTACTCATTTAGGAGAGGGCATTTGAAAGGGCTCCTAGTAGAGGGATAAGATTTCAAGAGGCAAAGAAGGACAGAATGGCATTTCACACATGAAGGAATTTGCATAGAATGAGTAAATAAAGAAATGCAAAATTGCAGAGCCTATTGGAGGCCTATGAAGAGGTGTTGCAGTTCAACTCAGTCATATATTAAAATACAAATTCCTGGTCAAGGAGTTGGCAATGGGGAGCCATTAAAGGCCTCTGAATGGGGTAAGGGGGTGTTGTACATTAGAACTCAACAGAAGTCAGTATAGAATAGCACGTACCCAGTTATTCATTGACTCAGCACACATACGTGTGCCTATTACGTACCAGGCAGCATTTGATAAGTACTGATGAAGTCTTACTTGACACACTTGTACTTGGCTGCTAAAACATCACTTTCTGGTTTCTTTCACCCTTCTGCAGTCTTCTTTTCTCAGTTTTCCGTATGTGTTTTACCACATACTGAAGTATGCCAAGGATTAGTCCTCAGACCTTTTTCTCTTCTTTGTCAAATTCTCTCTCTAGGAGATCTTATTCCTACCCATGGTTTTAATACCATTTTTTATAACTATCAAGTGTATATAGCTGCAGTCCAGATCTCAGTCCTCACCTCCAAACTTCCCTTGGATAACTGACAGACATCTTAAACTTCAAGCCAAATTTAACAGTTTCTCCCAAATCTGCTTCTATCCAAGTCTTTCCCATCACAGTGAATAGCAACTCCTTTTTGTCAAATGTGGAGTCCAAACACCTTTAAGTTATTTGTTTGAATTTCCTCTGTCTTTTACACCACACATGCAATCCACCAATAAATCCTGTCAAGTCTACCTTTGAAATAAGCCTGGTCATCGCACCTCTCATTCACACCAGGAGTTGGTAAACAACAACCTATGGGCCAAATCTGACCAATGAATGAATAAACTTTCATTGAAACACAACCATGCTAGTTCATTTACATACTGTCAATAGTATACTTCAGTAGTTGTCATAGAGTCCCTATGAAATGTCAACCCTGGCCAGACACAGTGGTTCACGCCTGTAATCCCAGCACTTTGGACGGCTGAGGTGGCTGGATAACCTGAGGTCTGCAGTTTGATACCAGTCTGGCCAACATGATGAAACTCTGTCTCTACTAAAAATACAAAAATTAGCTGGATGTGGTGGTGGGGGCTTGTAGTCCCAGCTACTCGGGAGGCTGAGGCAGGAGAATCACTTGAACCCAGGAGGCGGAGGTTTCAGTGAGCTGAGATCGCGCCATTGTACTCCAGCCTGGGTGATAAGAGTGAAACTCGATCTCAAAACAAACAAACAAGAAAAAGGAAATGTAAACCCTAATATAGTTACTAGCTAGCCCTTTATAAGAAAAAAAATTTTTGCTAAGCCTTGATCTGCATTCCTAAGGCTTCTCCCTGCTTTTGCCTCTTTGCTTCCACATACTATTCTCCATAAAGCAACCTGTGAAAATGTATAAAATTTTTCTGACCAATACGCTAGCCATATGTTACTGCTTAAATTAAAATTCTATTAAATTTAAAAATTCAGTTCCTCAGGTGCATTGGCAACATTTCAAGTGTTCAATAACCACAAAGGGTTAGAGGGCACTGCAGATTTTAGACTACTTCCATCATCACAGAAAGTGCTATTGTTCAGGACCGCTTTAAAACCAAAGTCACATCATTTTCCTGTACTTCGCTAAACCTTCCAATAGCTTTTTAATTCAATGTAAACATCTTTGCTATGGCTTATGATGTGATCACCCTTCATCCCCAATTCCACACCACTTCTCTGACCTCATCTCCCTTCACTTCTCACTCATTGTGTTCTAATCCTACCAGTCCCCTCACAGTTCCTCCAAATGCCAAGCACATGCTTCTTTCAGGTACTTTGTACTTGCTGTTCCCTCTTGCTAGAACATCTGTCTCCAAATAACTGCATGAACCGTTCCCATATTTCTTTTGGCCTCTGCTCAAATATCACCTTCAGAGATCCCTTTCTTAATGAGCCCTTCAGTCCACTTTACCTTCATGGTGCTTGTCACCAAATGATCTATTATCTGTATCTTATGATTCATTAATAAAATAATAGATATGATATTATTAATATCTGTATTTCCCTGCAAGTTCCAAAAGAACAAAATTTTTTTCTGTTTTGTCACTAATATAACTCCAGAGCCTAGAACAATATAATGTACACAGTAGATGCTCAATAAATATCTGTTGAAAAAAATAAAAAATATTTGTTGAATGAGTGCTGAGTAAATGAACTTATGAATGAAAACACCCAGCAAACGAGTTTCCGGAAGAATTAAGGTATATGAAGTAATGCTTTAGAATGTGCCTTTGCTGCACTGACCTTGCTTCCAGATATGGTTTAAATTTTAACTTGACCTCCATCAAACTTTGGTCTGACTGAGGTCTCCTTTGGAGTAACTGGAAAAGTGAAGGATTCTCAACAAAAGAAGACTGTAAGACTTTTGAAATATCAGCCTGGGAAAACCAGATCTGACCTAGCAACTCAAGGCCTAAGACTAAACTTACCATTGATTAGTCTGACAGCCTAGGTTTAATTATAATCAATAATCTATCATCATTAAACTGTTAATAATTATGTAAGATTTTTGGCTCTCACATAAGTTAAACTGGCCTGACTAGCAAATGCATGTAAGTTTTTTTAATATATATATAACTCAGGGCTTCGCTTTTAATTCTAAATAAGTCATTATGGAAATAAAATCTATTTATTTAGTAGATCAAGATAATATTCTCAGTTGGGCATGGTGGCACATCTATAATCTCAACTACTCAGGAGGCAGGTGGGAGGACTGTTGGAGCCCAGGAGTTCAAGACCAGACTAGGCAACATAGTGAGGCCCTGTCTCATTAAAAAGAAAAAAATAAATAAGTTGGGCATGGTGACTCACGCCTGTAGTCCCAGCACTTTGGGAGGCCGAGGCATGTACCTTACCCGAGGCCAGGAGTCTAAGTACAGCCCAACCAACATAGTGAAACCCCGTTTCTACTAAAAATACAAAAAATTAGCTGAGCATGATGACATATGCCTGTAATCCCAGCTACTTGGGAGGCTGAGGCACAAGAATCGCTGAACCCAGAAGGCAGAGGTTGCAGTGAGCCAAGATCACGCCATTGCACTCCAGCCTGGGCAACAGAGTGAGACTTTGTCCCAAACAAACAAACAAAAAAGAAAGAAAGAAAAAAAAAGATGTTCTCCCATCAAGTACAAGAGGTAATGTCTTACCTGTGTTCTCTGCCAGAGGGGGATATACCATTTCTCTTGTTTTAAATAGTGTTCTATTTCTCCTCTCTAACCAATTCCATCTAAGATTGAATGAATGAAACAACATGGGAGGTGGAAGAGTGAAAGCAATTGCTCAAGGTTTAGCAGAAACTGCCCAAAGGCGCCAGCTAGTGCCAGCTGCAGCACAGCAGACTTTGCTATAAACTGCCTGACCTCTTCTCCCCTCTTTTCTACCCCTTGTAACACTTTTTATTTTTGCTGTGAATCCCAAACCAGCTACTTTAATGAGCAACAGACATGTAGCACAAATATATTCACTCATCTGGCAGCTTTCATCTGGCAAATTTGTAACATATGAATTCCAAAGCAGGTAAATAATTTAAGATTACTAATGTAAATGGATAAGTAACACTTAACTCATAAATAATACTCATAGAGGAATTTTTCTCTAAGGCATATAAAAGCAAATCTGTATGATGATCACTGACCTAAGAAAAGGTTAAGAGTAGTTTAATAAATGCACAAGTAGAATTCAGACTGACACAAATTTATTTTTCCTGCTACTACATCCACATGGCAATAATCCAATCTGTGAAGCTGAATTTACGAGGTAAGGGCATAACTCAAAACCTGCTTGTTTAAAAATGCAACAATTTAGGGCAGTTTGGAGTAGTGATATTATACACCACTTTGCATTTTGAATGGCAGTGAAATTTTACATTGATTTTCACAGCAGAAGACACTTACATGAACACTCTAGTAAAAATTAATGGATTATTTTCCCTTCCCCAATGACCTTTAAAATGCCTAAAATTCAAGGTGAAGTACGTAACAGTTATCACCTCTGCTTACTACACCAGTTGTATTACACCAAAGACAGGGTTTCAATATTTCCAAATTGGCTACTGATAGAGACATGCAATTGCCAAAGGCAGGGTTTAACAATAGCCAGTTTCCCTTTCCCTGTGGAAAAAAAAATATTGCTTCCTTAGCATTTCTCATTCTGTAGAATCTTGATTTCTAAAGGAGAAAGACATTAACTATTTTCTCCATTTAAAGAGACTGTACTCTAGATAAATGCAAAGGTAACAAGAATGTAATGAACTCAGGTAAAGTAGCTGAGTATGTGTGGCCAGAGATACCAGTTTTCTCTGGTTTTATGTCTTAACACTCTCAAAATCAAAGTGCATTATCAATAGATTTCCAACATTTCATTGCAATGAAAGAACAGTTTTCAGGCGTCCAAGTCCCAAATGGGATACAGGGCAAAGCCTATTTAGCAAGAAATCATAAAGCCACATTTTTATGTCTTTAGTTCTGACCTCCTGTTTGCGTGCCAGAATTTATATGCAGCTGCAAATTGCATCAGGTATATAACTTCATCTCTGTCCCTTACTTTAAATTCAGTATGTTCAAACTCAATTCTGCCAGAAACTGTGAAGAATCTCAGGTTTTACCCTACTTGCAAGCTAACAAGTTAGCCTGCCATCATTTCACAGATGCTGGTAGAAATTAAAAACAAACAAACAAACAAAAACTCCTGGGTCAGGGACAAGGATATTTTATTACTCCCCACAAAAATAGTAGCCAGAATATCATCATTTAGTGGGAGGCATTATCTCTTTCTTCCAAGGCTGTTCACTAACCAACCATCCTTCAGGTCACAACCAAAAGGGTGTCACTGTGCCTCTGTTCATGACACATGGACACAAGCGATCCATGGAGCATTGTCTCCCAACAAATTCCTTCTTACCATGTAAACCTAACCCATGACTACATGAAAAGAGACGCCTGATTTATTAGGAAGTCATGAAAAAGAACTGGTGCTTCTGGTTGACCACAAAGATTCAAAAACTTACTGTGTCATACACCAAGCATCATATTTTATCTGGATTTTTCTTTTTCTAAATCTTAAACTGGCCTATGTCTAATGTGATAAAATCTGGCCTCTGACAACATTAGGAACAGGAATGAGACTCCTTGACTTCCAAACGTATCGTTTTTCTGACACACCACCCTGGTTTCAAATTATGAGAATCTCTATCTTATTAATGGTTCCAATTACCAGTTTTGATTCGTAGCTCTTTCCCTAAGGATACTATAAGAATCTCAAACAGGTAACACTCAAAAGGTATGTCTGATAATGTTTTGAGGTATTTTTCTTTATAATAAGTTCCTATGAGTATGGGAAATAGTAAATTGCAAGGTAATGCCATTGCTGATAAATGTGCAAAACACAGATTTTTTCATAATCTTAATGAAAAAAATGAAAATTAAGCTCCATATTTTCTCATCTTCACCCAAAACCAAGGCCAGTGTATAGTACATATTTTGATGGGAAGAATGAGTTCTCTGAATTTCAAGTTCTCTATTTTCCGTTAATTGGATACAGGTAGTAAATTCAAGAGCAAGTCTACCAGAAGCAAAAGGAATAGAGCAAAATTACCATTTCAACATCAAATACCACTAAGCTACACATTTAATGTAGGAAAATCGAAGGCTCCTATATTATAACCTAGCTCAAAAGATTTTGTTCTCAAAATTATCAGATAAATTTAAGTCCTAAATAACTATTAGCTGTTTTTGTGGTGGCATGCTTAGGACAGCAGTCAGGTCAGTTTGAAGTTATCTATCCTCTTGCTGGAATATTCATTTTCTACATCTCCAAATAGTCTATCTTCTCTTTATCTACCATGGAAATATTATTGTTTGCTAAATACAATAGCAGGTTGCCGTTAAGCATCATCAACAAGTTAAGCAAGATATTGTCCTGACTCTCTTGAAATTTATTTTTCTTTGGTATTTTAACAGAAAACAACTGAGGCAGGCATGCAAAATCCACCAAACTATCAGAAATTTCTAGTTGTATAACTTGATATATTCCAAAAGGGACTATTTTATTTGCTTTAACATGAATAGAAAATAAAATACCCCCAAAATAAGATCCTATGGTCGACTGTTTTGTGCATTATGGTTTCCTTGGGTAAAGAGGTTATTTCCTTACCGGTGGTTATGCCTTGCAATCTCATAATTATGAAGGTTTATACGCAACATTCATTAAATAAGTCTCTTGATTATTTGCACATATAGCAGATTTAATTAGTATTACTCTAAGGTATTATTATATTTTAACCTATTATGTATTGGCAAAATAGGTACTATACACATTTTTTCAGATAAGGAAATCAAGGCTCAGAGATCTTAAGTGAGTGGCTTAAGGCCCAAGGCCAGAACATAATCCTTTATTGGTGATATACTCTCCCAGAACCCCACGCTTAGCATTATTTCAGGGGTAGATTCACTTACCCACTTAATGAAAGACTATTCTAGTTAACGAGATAGGAACTGGTAATACAGTGAGAAAAACAGACACAGACCTTGCCCCAAGAGGTCCACAGCCAAACGTGGCGATGGTGAGAACATATTAGACAATCATATATAATCAATCACAATCAGTGGGATAAGGTCCAATGAATCTGAACTCCTTTGCATACCTTCAATTCATCCATCCATCCATCCATCCATCCATCCTTTCCTGAGAAGTTAGTTTCTTACAAGCATTATGCTAGACGGGGTTAGAAAACAGAATGTTGAACAAGACACTGCAATCTTTTATAGAACTCTGGCTCGCTACATTAAAAACAATTACTATTTCTTGAAATGAGAAAGTATTGTTTCTGAGTTTCTGCCAATTCAATTTAATGAGAAATCACCAAAACTCACTTCAGAGAAATGCCATTTATGTTGTTTTTGTCACTATGCCTTATTAAAATAATCTTGATTACTTCTTAACTCTTTTTTGCAATGCTAAGCCTCAAACCATGCACACAATGATGAAGAGCAGCAGACAGACAAAGGTCTGAGGCACACTGCAACTAAGGGCTTAATGAAAGGAATGAAGGCTGATGGCAGACTAGATGGAAGTCGAAGTTCAAAAAACTCAAATCCATGGCTTCCTGGAAAATAAATTACTTCTAGCCTAAAAGGTCTTCCTGCTTTTAATTTGTTTACTTTCCAATCTATGTGGAATGCCTACCACCACACTATTTTTCCTAAAAATTCTTCTATGTGTCATAGTGTATTAGTTCGTTTTCATGCTGCTAATAAAGACATAACCAAGACTGGGCAATTTACAAAAGAGGCTTAATGGACTTACAGTTTCTCATGGCTGGGGAGGTCTCACAACCATGGTGGAAGGCAAGGAGGAGCAAGTCACATCTTACGTGGATGGCAGAAGGCAAAGAGAGAAAGTTTGTGCAGGGAAACTGCTCTTTTTAAAACCATTGGATCTTGTGACACTTATTCACTACTGAGAGAACAGCATGAGAAAGACCTGCCCCCATGATTCAATTACCTCCTACTAGGTCCCTCCCACAAAACATAGGAATTGTGGGAGTTACAATTCAAGATGAGATTTGGGTGGGGACACAGCCAAACCATCTCACATGGTTCGACGTGAAAATCACGAATGGCTCCAAATGGACTGGAAGAGGACTCTTTGGTCTTACATTAAGGGCCCTCCACAAATCCAGTCTATTCTCCCTAGAATGAGCCCTTTCCCTAACAAGACTGGGAAAGTGGGTCCACCCACTATCCCTGAGCATGGCTATGCCCATAAAAATGTTCTCACCACTCGCTTTCTCAGAGGATCCTTCCTTTTCAGCTAATGTTTACTAAACATTCACCATGTGTTACATGGCTATTTTATTTAATCCTCACTACAATCCCAGGAAAAATGAACTATTACTATCCCAACTTCATATTTTACAATACTAAGGCCTAGAGACATTAAGGGCCTCAGGTTACATAGCCAGTGAGTGGGGAAGCAGGGATTTGAATTGAAGTCTTCTAGGGTGCAAATTCTTAACCTCGGTAGTGCAAGAAGCAGGATTATCTGATAGTGACCCCAGAGCTGACCCAGTGTTGCCTGGACAATGGGCTGGCTTGGGTAGGTGAACACTTTCCTCCCAAATCAGTTCTCCTCAGCACTGGTGGCTTCTCTAAAAAGAGAAAACTGCCAATTCACATCAGTCTAAAGGCATCTAAGTACTAGGAAAGCAGCTGACATTCTCAGACAACTTCTCTAGGCAGCTGGGGCCCTAAATTGAACTGCTTGGTCCTAAGTAGCCTCTGTATTCCCCACCAATAAGAATGCTTCCTCATTCTTGCCCTGTGGTAAGGCGGAATACCAGGGAAACTCAAACCCACAGAGTAGGTTCAGCAGAATCCAAACCTAGTATACCTAGTACTCCCTCTTTTCTCTTGCTGACTTAGCCTTGTAAGTTTTCCCTTTCACCAGTAAAACCTATTCCTTAACCCACGCTGGGTGAGGCGGGCAATCAGTGTTGAACTCTGGTGCATGATGAATGGAGACTTAGATGGAATCTAGTGAATGAAACCACCATCACCACCTATATGACAGTGCCTTTTGTCATGTGTCTCACTCACTTTTTTAAGGCTGAGCTAAAGTCCCATTCCCTCTGTGAAGAAGTCCCTGATTCTCCTTATTAAAAGGAGTTCTTTAGCCTCTGTTTATAAGAGAGGTGATCCTTTAGCCTGTGAATAAAGCAAGGCTTTGAGATATACACCATCTTTAGTTAAGGCAACTTTTTCACAAATGTTAATTTTGGTTCCAATGAAACTGTAAGCTCCCCAAGGATAAGACAAGAGCCTTATATTTAGTAACTTCAACAGGCCCAGATATAAACATGTAAAAAATAGGCATTTAATGTATATTTGCTTGTTGTGTGTGTATGTGTGTAAGTATATTCTATCCTTCACATGACCACACTTCATCTACTCATTATTTACATATGCACATCTAATACACCAAGTACCGTGCTGGGCACTGGATTCACAAAGATACTGTCTTGGCACAAGAAGCTCCCAATCTAGCAGTAAGATGAATATATAAACAATATATTCAAAAAATTTATGCAGAACCATGGGGTAGTGTGGAGAGCACATCATGGAGGACCTCACGGGTTGGGGGGCGGCAAGCATGTGCACAGCCAAAACAGCTACATTCTAGTAGTGCTCTAATGGATCAGATTAAAAGGGAGAAAACACTTACAACTGAATGAGAAATACACCAACTCTTTAGCTATTAAATGAATAATACTAACCTAATAGAAGATTGTTCCTATCATTGATAAAATTATAAAGCTCACTTTATGATCGAAAGTTCTCCCACAAGTTATTAACCTTGAATTACACACAAAAGGCAATTTCACTGATTTTATTCTTTGGCAGTAGCCACCTTAAAGGATAAGAAAAATAGTGAACCTTTCAGAAGTTTTTACAGTTCATCTTTGGAATTTTTTTTATTGGAATCTATTCGGGATACCAATTTTTTTAAAAAATGTAACTATGAAAGAAAAACTAAATTTCTTGCTTCTTAATTTATAGTTGAGCTCAAAGAACACAGGACTGGTATGAATTATGGCCAATTGAAGAAATGTACTTTTAAAGAATATTTTATTTTTTTTCTTTTTGTTAAGATGGAGTCTTGCTCTGTAGCCAGGCTGGAGTGCAGGGGTGTGATCTGGGCTCACCACAATCTCTGCCTCCCAGGTTCTAGTGATTTCCCTGCCTCAGACTCCCGAGTAGCTTGGAATACAGGTGCGCACCACCACACCTTGCTAATTTTTGTATTTTAGTAAAGACGAGGTTTCACCATATTGGCCAGGATGGTCTCAATCTCCTGACCTTTTGATCTGCCTGCCTTGTCCTCCCAAAGTGCTGGGATTACAGGCATGAGCCACAGTGCCCGGCCAAAGAATATTTTCTAAGTAGTGTAAAACAAATAAATCCTATAATTACAAACATATTCTAGAAGTAAGCTCTTTTTTGGGGGCATTTCCATTTCTATATGTCATGACAGGAGACCATATCATAATCTATATTAAAAACCATTTTATGTTTTCAAGTCTATCAGGCAAGATTAGATGTAATAAGTATACACTATTCTGTGAATAGGCAGAATGTCTCTTACAGATCCTTCTAAAGCAGTATTTTTGCTCTTACATTTTTCTAAATCCTTATCTGTATACATAGGTTGCATTCACCCAAGACTCGCTCCCATATACAAGTATTTCAGCTCTATAACAAGCCCTTACATTTTTCAATTTGTTTTCTCCAACACAGTGAAAGCCACTTAAAGACAGAGTCCCATGTCAACTTTTCATTGCTACATGCCCAGCACTCTGTAGTGCCCTGCACATTGTAAGTATTCAATAAACATTTGATGAATGGATGCCTAAATGAATGAAATGCATCTAGAAAAAGAATACTTAAGTATCATGCTAGAATAAACCTTTTTGAATGTAGTGTTGTAGCATGTACTCTTTAAGTATTTGACTTTAATAATTTAAAGAAGCAGGAAAAGAATTTCTCAATTGAGATACCATGTGCCTTCCACCTTCTCCAGCAGAGTTAACTGCTTTAATGATTCTGCATCACCTATAAATGGTTCTCCCCATTTGAACAGGAATAATATAGCAATTTGACAGTAACATTCCAATGAAAAAAATATGCTTTCTAGACTAAGAATTAGAGTTAACATGGGAAGTAAACTGCTCAGCCTCATGGGTCTATAGTACAGACTCATGAGAATTTAGGAGTGAAAGGGCACTGGTACCCTAGCATCCTCCCTTCTCTTCCCTTCCTTTCTCTCTCTGAAAGCCTCTAACAGTGAAAAGAAAACAACGAACAATGTCTGCTGAAACAACACACAAAATGCAGAAGAGGTAGAAAGTGGTCAGCTTTGAATTCAGCAGACAAGAGCAGAGATAAGGCCCTCAAAGAAAAAAGAAAAGAAAATTTCCTATATTCACACAAAATATAAGGGTTTTTATACTGTATGACTGAATTACTATAACTTTTTATATTACTATAACTTGTATCTCTCCCATTGCTTGCATTCCCAATTTCTCCCCCTTCCAAAAAAAAAAAAAGTCATTAGAAAATGTGAAAGATTTAATGGCTACTTTGAGGGTGGCAGAGAAAGGAGCTAAGAGACCGGATCCGTTTTTGTGGTCTGCAGTCAGGTTTCACCTTTTCTAGCTAAAGTGTTCAGTGGTAGCCACAAGAAATGAAAGGATAATGAGAACACTGAAGTCTGGAAAATAACTGATTTGGGCACAACTGTAGTCCCAGCTACTCAGGAGGCTAAAGCAGGGGAACTACTTTAGCCCAGGAGTTTGAGGCCAGCCTGGGCAACATAGCAAGACCCTGTCTCTAAAAGAAATTATTTAAAAACATATACTAGTTTGGAATTAGAGATACTGGAATACCCAGTACAAGGCTGCCCACAGTTTCCATTCTCTGCTGTCTAGCCTCCTTTATTTATACAACCCAGGAAAAAACTGCTGCTCTTTTGTGATGATCATGATGATTTTGAGGAGTAAAGAAAAAACAGAAGAAGAAATATTAATGGAATCAGGTATTAGAACCATAAGAAGAGCTGGAGATCAACAGATATAACCTACCCCATCATACCACAGAGAAAAACGAAGCCCAGAGATGTGATGTCTTTCTCAAGGTCACACAGTAGCAGAGTAGAGGCTAAAGTCCAAATCTGTTTGCTCTTTTGTAGTCTAGTGCAGTCATTCCTGGTATCTGTATGGGGACTGGTTCCAGGACCAACCCAGCCCACTGCCCATGGATGCTCAAGTACCTGATATAAAATGATGTAGTATTGGCATGTAACCTACGCACATCCTCCCACATACTTTAAATCATCGCTAGGTTACTTACAATACCTAATACAATGTAAACACTATGTAAACAGTTGTGCAAAAAAAGTCTGTACATGCTCAATACAGATGCAATGATGTTTTGATTTATACTCAGTTGAACTGGATGCAAAACCCAGGAATATGGGGGGCCAATTGTTACTTTTATTATATTATGACAATCATTATAATATGAATGGAAAAGACAGCTAGATTTGAGTTCTAAAGATCAGGAATTGAATCCTGGCTGAGTCTTAGGCAAGTCACTACACCACTAGAGGCTTTGTTCTCACTCTGGTAAAATGGGGATGACTTGCTAACACAATTGATTCCTAAAATTCCTGAACATACAATACAGACTATGGAAGAAACATCCAAGGTGACCTCTCCGTCAGTAGGCTTTCAGCAGCAAGAGGATGCAACAGTTAGTCAGAAGGTGGGGAGGGTTCCAGGACGGTGAACTGTGGCTCCAGCTGTCTGTCACTCCCTTGGCTCTTGCCTAGTCCATGGTCAGCCTGTCCTCAGGTTATCTTCCCTTTAAACTGCAAAAGAGTTTTTTGCAGAAAAAACTCTCTCCCAACTCTAGAAAGCTTCTACCTAGTACTGATGCTGGTGTGAGGGTGGGCCTGACAGTGGTTGTGCCCACATCCAAGGCTCTGTGTATCCTATCAAGCAGTATAGACCAAATTCCCCGCCATATTTCTATGTCTCAGCTTCCTATTGGTTTCCATTATAGCTCTTATGTTCTATGATACTGTACTAGTCTATTTTCATACTGCTATAAAGAACTGCCTGAAATTGGGTAATTTATAAAGGAAAGAGGTTTAATTGGCTCACAGTTCAGCATGTTTGGGGCGGGGGAGGCTCAGAAAACTTACAGTCACGGCAGAAGGTGAAGGGGAAGCAAGGCACCTTCTTCACAAGGAGGCAAGAAGGAGAAGTGCCAAGCGATGGGGAAAGAGCCCCTTATAAAACCATCAGATCTCATGAGAACTCATTCACTATCACGAGAACAGCATAGGGGAAACCACCCCCCATGATTCAATTACCTCCACCTGGTCTCTCCCTTGACACATGGTGATTATGAGGATTACAATCCAAGAGGAGATGTGGGTAGGGACACAAAGCCTAACCATATCAAATACCTTTCTTGTGTTTGTTTACTTATTTTTTGGTCTTTCTATTCAAACAGAACCTTAATTCTAGATGATATCTATCTTACTCACATTTATATCCCCAAGACTAACATAATGCCTATAGCACAGCAAGCTCTTATGAATATTTCAGAATGATGAAATTAATGACTGTTATGTAACTTTGTGAAAAAAAAATAATTGGTAAGTCAAAGAATAATCCCCATTCTGAGGGAGGTCACAATCTAGTTGGTAGGAATGAACATGGTCCATATTCCTTCCACTATAAATTATCTTTTCTTACTTAGGCAACTCTGTAGAAGAGGAGATGAGTTGGTTATTCTTATAAAACCTACTGCATATGAGGACTTGTCTTTATTAACCCTTTACTTTGTCTTCCCAGATAAGAATTCTTAGCTATTTTTTTTCCTCAGGAATAACTTATTAAGGTGAATTTCATATAATACAAAATTAGCCATATTAAAATGAACAGTTCAGGGGCACCTAGTACAATAAATATTTTGCTATCACCACCTCTCTCTATTTCCAAAACATTTCCGTCACTCCAAAGTAAGAGCCCTTATCCAGTAAGCACTTCCTCCCAATTGTCCCCTTTCCCTAGCCCCTGGCAACCATCAATCTGCATTCTGTTTCTATAAAATTATCCATTCTGGATATTCATATAGATTGAACCATATAATATATGGCCTTTGGGGCCTGGCCTTTTTCACTTAGTATAATGGTTTGGAGGTGTATCCGTGTTGTAGCATGTATTGGTAGTTCATTCCTTTTTATCACTGAATAATACTCCACTATATGGATATACCATTAATTTGTTTATCCATATATTTGCTGACGGCTATTTGGGCTATTTCTATCTTTCAGCTATTGTGAATAGAGCTTTATTAATGTGTGTGTATATGTACTTGTTTGAGTCCCTTTTTAAATTTTTATTTTTGGTATATATATCTAGGAGTGAATAGTGAAATTATATGCTAATTCTATGTTTAATTTTTTGAGGCACGGCCAAACCTGCCATCATGCATCATGGTGGAACCCTTTTGTATTCCTACCAGCAGTGTAGGAGCGCTCCATTTTTTTTTTTTTTTTTTTTTTTTTTTTTTTTTTGAGACAGAGTTTCATTCTTGTTGCCCAGGCTGGAGTGCAATGGTGCAATCTCAGCTCACCGCAACCTCTGCCTCCTGGGTTCAAGTGATTCTCCTGCCTCAGCCTCCTGAGTAGCTGGGATTACAGGCATGTACCACCATGCCCAGCTAATTTCGTATTTTTAGTAGAGATGGAGTTTCTCCATGTTGGTCAGGCTACTCTTGAACTCCCAACATCAGGTGATTTGCCCACCTCGGCCTCCCAGAGTGCTGGGATTACAGGCGTGAGCCACTGCGTCCGGCCAGAGGGCTCCAATTTTTTAATGTCCTGGCAAGACTTGTTATTTTGCATTCTTATGTTACAGCCATCCTAGTGGGCTTGAAGTAACACCTTACTGTGGTACTTCAGTCTTTTTTAAGCCTCTAATTCTTAATACTTGCATTTTCTATCAAGTACTTCTGAATGTTCTTGATGTTTGTCAAATCCACTTTATTTCATGGAGCTCAAATTTAGGCAATGTGGGGAAACTTTTAGAGCATCTTGATAGTCAAAGAGAAAAATAAATCCAAAATGGGCATAAATAAATAAATAAACAGGAAGGCATGGTAAGACAGTGAGTACTACAGTCAGTCAAGAACTATGGGCAACAGTCAGGAAATGACAATAATAAGAGGCACCCATATGAAATGAACCCTCTCTCCCAACCAGGAAATCTCCTAAATGATTCCTGCTAGGAAAAAACTAAATGCTAGGGTTGGCCAGAAAATAATTTGGACTTTATCCTGTTCTTTGCTAGCTCAGCTCTCTTAAGTGCACCTAAACAAGTACGGCTTTACAAATACTGTATTCAAGGACTATGATAATGGCACTGAGTATACACAACTACACCCCAGATTGACAGAGTCTGAGTTCCCCTAAGTGTTGGGAGTCTTGTCAGTCTCCATCTCACTGAGTCTATTTTCCCTAAAAACATCCATGAATTGCTTAATACCATGTACTTTTATGAGACACTCAAAAGTGATCGTGTGTATTTTTATCAGTGGGTTTCAGTTTGTGCATCCTTCCACAAAAATCCATGAAACTCTCTCTATTTTGAGTTTCACTAAATCCATTTTTCTCATTTCAGTCTGAGCATTGCAATCCAGCTCCACAGGTAGCAAATTGAAATGTTTAGTGGCCCATTGCAGACAGATTGAATCTGAAAAGAATACAGCAATAAGAAAGAAGCCAGGCATCAATATCATACAGTAAAACTCTCACCAATGACAGCGATGATGTAGGGTGAATAATTGAGCATTTGTTAAACTTCTACCATTGTGAAAGTAACCTATTATTTTCCTGGTTGTGCACTGAAATGCCTCAATCACCAACAGAACAAGTCAGTAAAAAATGATACAGTTCATTTTGTATTGCTGTTTTTCCGTGGGGACGGTGTGGTGTATCACATCTCTCACCCCTTGAACTCTACTTTACCAATACTGTGCTCAAAATCTCTTCCCTCATTCATTTTGTAAAATGTTTTATATCTTGGTGGCGATTTTTTTTTTCTGGCTGTTAAAATTAAGCCTGATATCATGACATGGTTTTCTGATTTAGGATTACTCTATAGAAAAGAACAGTATCTGGCAAAAAGTATCATGTCAAAACAAAACAAAACAAAAAAAAAGAAATTGGTAGCAGCTGCCCTGAAATACATTTCTGTCTCTCTGACTGCATATTAAAAATAGTTGAGGCTACTGGACAGATCTCATGCAGTAGCATTTTGTATCTGCAACTACCAACTTTTTTTTTTTTTTTTTCTGAGACAGAGTCTCACTCTGTCGCCCAGGCTGGAGTGCAGTGGCGGGATCTCGGCTCACTGCAAGCTCCGCCTCCCGGGTTCACGCCATTCTCCTGCCTCAGCCTCCCAAGTAGCTGGGACTACAGGCGCCCGCCACTACGCCCGGCTAATTTTTTGTATTTTTAGTAGAGACGGGGTTTCACTGTTTTAGCCAGGATGGTCTCGATCTCCTGACCTCGTGATCCGCCCGCCTCGGCCTCCCAAAGTGTTGGGATTACAGGCGTGAGCCACCGCGCCCGGCCGCAACTACCAACTTTTATCACAACTAGTTTCTGTGTCCACATCATCTCATCACTGAGTGAAATCCCCATTCAAACTGAGCCACTAAGGATGCACTGACCCAGGCCTTTGAGCAAGAGGGAAGACTCCGGATGGCACATGAAAGATCAAGTACAGAGGAGACAGCATATCTCCAAGGTCTGTCCCACCCTGTGATAGAAGCCCAGACTATCACCATTGCTGCTTCTGCTGCACTTCCTCCCAAGTATTCTCTAAATGCCTGGCTACTATGGCATACGATATTTTATTAAACTCATAAGTTATTTTATGGCTGATAAAAATGACAACACTCATAGGCAAAGTGCCAGGAATCTAAAAGTAAATGCTCTTGTTCATCTGTCATTTGATGCTAAGAGGATAATGGTGACCAATTTAAGTTTGGTGTAATAACATATGTGTAATAATAACTACAGCAATAACAATAATCACAGTAATAGCAGTCTAGCTAATGCCTACAGCATTTACCATGTGCCAAGCACTCTTCAAAGTGCTTTACTCACAAAAATGCTATCAAGTAGGTTCTATTGCTATCCCCATTTTATAGAGGAGGAAACTGAGACAAGAGATTAAGTCATTTATCCAAGGTTTCACAAGTAGTAAGAGATTGGCATTAAGATGATTTGGCTAAAAAGCCACAGAGTCTTCACGACGACACTGAAACCACATACCACTTTGAAAAAAAAAAAAAAAAAAAAAGAAAACAGATTATGATAGTGATGAGTCCATCAGAGAATGTTTTAAAACAATGCTAAACTCACTTAGGCAATGAATAGACATAATCTTCCAGCTATGTAGTCTGAGGTCTGGCCAAATCCACATTAAATATGATTATGCCCCATTCTCTTGGATCAGATGTATTCAAAACCTTAATCTAATAACAAACAAGGTGTCTAAACAAATTGGCAGGTAGCAACTCTCACCTGCTGGGGCAGAGCCTGGTGACAGCCACTGCTGATAATCAGTTTGCCAGTTTGCAGGATGCTTCACTGTAGCTGACTGGTCTGTGCATGGAACTGTCTTGCTTCCTTTTTATCTTTTCTTCCTCCTTGATGTCATCTCCTACGTCCTATTCCTCCACAAAATCTATATGTTTCTACAGCACCTCCATCAATGTCCACCTTGGCAGACACAGCCTAGTGATAACTTGTTGTCCTTTGCAATTACACAGACTACACTAGTAAAGAGGAAGCTGCTGATCAGAACCTTTCTGAACACAGTGCCCATTACAAATCTTCCTGCTGTTACTGACGAGAAGTAGCCATTTGTGCAACCAGATCAGAACAGCCACATCAGATGTCATTTCTTTGAAGACATAACCAAGCCTAATACTCCAAAATAACTGCTCTGAAAAAATGCAACTGAATGATGAGCAAACTCACATGTTCTAAAATTATTAAATGTGGACATTTGGTAAGGGATTCCTATAAAAAGTGTGACCATGGAAGGAGACAGTACAGTAGTGGAGCTATGGATCCATGGGGTCAGACCAACTGAGATTTTTGTTTTTTGAAACCACTTTATTAGGATATGACTGACAGACAAACAAGATGCTGTACATATTTAATGCATGTAACTTGATGAATCTGTTAATAAGTATACATCAATTACCTTTCCAGTTACTTACAAGCTGTGTAATCTTCAGCAACTTACTGAGACTCAGTTTGGTCATCTTTAAATGGGAAATAATGATAATGCCATAAGTTGCTGCAGGACTTAAATGAGAGAATGAACGGGAAGAACCCATCACAGTGCTCACAACAAAATGGACACTTCTCTCTCATCAGAATTTAACCTCTACAACGGCAGGGAATCTTGTCTGTTCTGCAGCAAATAATAAATGTCCAATAAATATTTATTGAATAAATAAATGAATAAATGTGTTGATTGTCTTCTTCCAATCCATTCAATGTCAATTAATGTTGATCTCTCTTTCTCCATGCTGTGGAATGGAATTCTTTTATTAGGACTAGGTAACCCACTGAATTGTTTCATATCAATGTTCCCCATCTAGCCAACTAAAATGTTTGTTCTTTCCCAAACTCAGCATCACAAACTCAACAAGAGATTATGATAATAAATGCCTCAAATTCTTCATTTATTTTAGTTTATCAAGTCACGTATGAAGAATTCCTATTTTTCTGTATTGACCACATATTCTTCCTTTTTGTGTCTTTTTCTCCTTGTAACAAGGAGTCATATACTTCTGCTTCACCTTATACTAAGAAGTCAGTACTCCTACTTCCAACTTCTGAGTCTGAAAGTTTTTATTAGATTCTATCTTGAAGATTTCAAAAAAGCACATTATAAATAATATGAACCACAGAGCACCTTAAAAATTTCTGGTATTTTTATCATTCCATTATCTAAGTAATTGTTCACTGTCACTCATGATAACCAGAGTTTCAGAATTTCAAAATCCAGGAATTCCATTCCATCAAAAACAAAAATGAGGCCAGGCACAGTGACTCATGCCCATAATCCCAGCATTTTGGGAGGTCAGGAGTTCAAGACCAGCCTGCCCAACATGGCAAAACTCCGTCTCTACTAAAAATACAAAAATTAGCCAGGCGTGGTGGCGTGCGCCTGTAGTCCCAGCTACTCAGGAGGCTGAGGCAAGAGAATTGCTTGAACCCAGGAGGTGGAAGTTGCAGTGAGCTGAGATTGTATCACTGCACTCCAACCTGGGCGATGGAGTGAGGCTCCATCTCAAAAAAAATAAATAAATAAATAAAAAATAAAGGGCAAATATTGTTCAGAAATAAGCACCTGGGAGGTGAGCAAAAATTGGGCAGATTCCTAAAATCTACACTAAAATAGAAAACTTAATTAATTGGTATTTCATTTTTAACTTTTTCTTTGTTTCTCTTTAACAATGACTTTTTTGAGTAGACTCTTGTGGAGGGAAAAAAAAAAACCAACAATGGCTTTTCTATCATCTTTTATTTTCTTTTGATATGTCAATAAAAAGCCTCACTCTGTCACCCAGGCTGGAGTGCAGTGGCATGATCTCGGCTCACTGCAACCTCCACCTCCTGGGTTCCAGTGATCTTGTGCCTCAGCCTCCAGAGTAGCTGGGATTATAGACATGCACCACCACATTTTCTGTCATTTTCTTGGCTAATCATGGATCTATGTTAAATTCTATACTTTTACCAGTAAATGCTTCAATACAGATCCTTCAAAGCACCTCAACAATTAATTATGTCCTAAATTAGTGTCTTAGCTTCAATTTTATATTGGTTTTCTTAAAGAAGAACAGGCAAAAAAAAAAAAGGCCACTTAATGTGTACACACACATGTCTTACAAGAGCTCTGGTTTACTGGGATAGAGACAGTGAAAGCTTGAGGTTATAAATGCTATGGTCTGAATGTCTGTGTTTCCCCAAATTCACAGGCTGAAGCCCTAATCCCCAGTGTGACAGTATTAGGATGTGGGGCCTTTGGGAGGTGCTTAGATTCAGATGGGGTCATAAGGGTGGGATCTCATGATGGGATTAGTGCCCTTAAGCAAAGAAGAAGAGAGACAGGTACTCTTCCCTCTCCACCTTTTCCCCTTGCTCCACTCATAAGCCATGCAGGGATATTAAGCACTTCAAATGTGGCTAGTCCAAATGGAGGTGTGCTCTAAGTATAAAACACACACTGGGTTTCTAAGACCTGATATGAAAAAAAGAATGTAAAATATCTCGTTAAAAATGTTTATATTGATTACAGATTGAAGAGATAGTATTTTGGATGTACTGGGTGCAATAAAATGTATTATTAAAATGTATTTCATCTATTTCTTTACACTTTTTAAATGTGGCTCATATTATTTCTGTTGGAAATAAAATTACATTTGTGGCTTGCACTATATTTCTCCTATCAGAGAGGGCTCTTAGTCAACCAAAAGCCATGTCTAATGATGACTTGTGAGTTTCCATGTATGTGTGTATAAATGTAAATATAAGTACAAATACTAATATGTTTGTGCACATCTCCTTTGCTGTATCCTTTTGTAATTGATAAGCCTATTTTGTAAATTCTTATAAAGTAAAATCATAGTAGTATGCTGGAAATTACTTATCTGGATATTTTTAGTACAATAATTTAATTATATTGAGGCTAATGGAACTAATAAAAGGATTCATACACAATTTTTCACACACACAGATACAGAATTGCACTTACACATACACATGGTGGTCATCAAAATGACATTAATTCAAACTCGCTGGGAGGGAAGTTTATACACAACCTGACAGAAAAGGCAGGTGGATACTATACTTTTTTTAAAAATTAAGAGAGATTATTTCTAAAGTTATAACTGCACTGGAACTGCTAGTTAAATGCTGTCTGCTTCTAGTAGAAACGAAGTTTAATAAACAAATTAAAATACAGTAATTCCTCCTTATCTACAGTTTTGCTTTCTGTGGCTTCAGTTATCTGCAGTCAATTGTGTTCCAAAAATATAAAACGAAAAATTTCAGAAATAAACAACTCATGCATTTTAAATTGCACACCATTCTGAGTAGTGTGATGACATCTCATGCTGTCCCACTCTGTCTCATCCAGGATATGAATCATTCCTTTGTCTAGTGTATCCGTGCGTTTTACGCTACCTGTCCATTAGTCACTTCGTAGCCATCTCGATTATGAAGTCAACTCTCAGACGGGTATTGCAGTGCTTCTGTTCAAGTAACCCTTATTTTACTTAATAATGGCCCCAGAGTCCAAAAGTAGTGATGCTGGCAATTTGGATATACCAAAAATAAGCCATAAAATGCTTTCTTAATATTTAATATTTTTGGACCACAATTGACTATGGGTAACTGAAGTCACAGATAGCAAAATTGTGGATAAGGAGGAACTACTATATTTTTATTTGTTTAGTAACTATAGTTTCTACTAGAAGCAGACAGAATTTAACTAGCAGTTCCAGTACATTTATAATTTTAGAAATAATCTCTCTTAATTATTCTTCTTCTTATTTTTTGAGATGGAGTCTTCCTCTGACACTGAGGCTGGAGTGCAGCAGCATGATCTCAGCTCGCTGCAACCTCTGTCTCCCAGGTTCAAGTGATTCTCCTGCCTTAGACTCCTGAATTGCTGGGATTACAGGCACACACCACCACACCTGGCTAATTTTTGTATTTTTAGTAAGAGATGGAGTTTCACCATGTTGGCCAGGCTGGTCTTGAGAACTCCTGACCTCAAGTGATCCACTGGCCTCAGCCTCCCAAAGTGCTTGGACTACAGGCATGAGCCACCGTGCCTGCCTCTCTCTTAATTTTTAAAAAGTATAGTATCTACCCGGCTTTTCTGCTAAGTGAAAAGGTAAAAGTTCTTAACTTACGGAAAGAAAATAAAATCATATGCTGAGGTTACTAAGATCTAAGGTAAGAACAAATCTGTGAAATTATTAACAGCATATTGTTATAATTGTTCAACATGTTGAGCAACCCTAATCCAAAAGTCTGAAATCTGAAATGCTCCAAAATCTGAAACATTCTGAGCATCACCTGATGCCACAAGTGGAAAATTCCACACATGACCTCACATGACAAGTCACAGTTCAACTTCAGGTGTACAACACAGTTTATTCAGCACTCCCAAGGAACAAATTACCCTCCCAGGACAGATTTTTTTCTTCCCTTCAGCTGCAATGTATCTTTTCCACACACACCCGGATCCCTCCCATAAAAGCACACTCACAAAGTGTAATACAATGCCACATGTACAGGCCAGATGCAGCAAGGACAGGTTCCCCAGGATGGGGCTAAGACCTACGTGCATTACTCACTGTATTTTTGTGCTTATTCTCTGCTCTGTGGTGAAAGATATTGTTGAAAATGTCAAGAAGGCTATGAATAACAGTGATAGGAAAAAGGGAAAGCATTTATGTTTCTCTATAGCACTGAAAGTCAGGCTGTTGGAGAAACTGAATAGCAGTGTAAGTATGGAACATGTCACAGAAGACTACGGTGTTACAATGACCACCATATATGACCTGAAGAACAAGGATAAACTGTTGAAGTTCCATGCTGAAAGTGATAAACAAAGTTAACGAAAAATACAAAAACACTGCATAAAGCTAAAAATAAAGATCTTAGGGATGGCCATGGTGGCTCACACCTGTAATTCCAGCACTTTGGGAGAAGACGGGAGGATCACCTAATTGCAGGAGGTCAAGACCAGCCTGGGCAACATGGCAAGTTCTCGTCACTATTTAAAAATTAATTTATTCCTTTTAAAATCTTAGGTGTTGAAAGAGTGGATTGATCAGTGTCACAGTGAACACATGCCTCTTAATGGTATTGCTGATGATGAAACAAGCAAAGCTCTATCAAGATGAACTGAAAATTGAAGGGAACTGTAAATATTCAACAGGCTACTTATAGAAACTTAAACATGGAATTCAATTTGTTTTAAAGATTTATACAGTGAGAAAGCATCTGCTGACCATGAAGGAGCAGAGCAATTCACTGATGAATTTGCCAAGGTCATCGCTGATGGAAATCTGATGCCAGAACAAGTCTATAATGCTGTTAAAACATCACTGTTTTGGTGTATGGTCCCAGAACGACACTGGCCACAGCTGATGAGACAGCTCCTACAGGAATTAAGGATGCCAAAGACAGAACAGCTGTGTTGGGATGTTCTAATGCAGTAGGCATGCATAAGCGTAATTTGTTATGATAGGAAAAGGCTATGATCTCACAGTTTTCAAGGAGTGATTTTCTTACTAGTCTATTATTATATGAACAAAAAGGCATTTATCACCAGGGATATCTCTTCTGATCGGTTTCACAAACATTTTGTACCAGTGACTTGTGCTCACTGAAAGGAAGCTGGCCGGGATGACAAATGCACAACTTTATTATTCCTTGACCACTGTTCTGCTCATCCTCCAGCAGAAATTCTCATCAAAAATCATGTTCATGCCACATATACTCCCCCTAAATGTGAATTTATTAATTCATCCATGTGACGAAGGTATCCTTACATCAATGTAGAGTGAATATAAAAATGTATTCTTGAACAACATGCTAGCAGCAACGTAGCAATGAACATTGGTGTGGTTGTGGAAGATATTCAAAAGGAGTTTAGCATAAATAATGCTACATATGCTGTTGCCAACACCTAGAACACTGTGACTAAAGACACAGTGGTGCGTGCCTGGCACAGCTTCTAACCTGTGACTATGTTCAGTGATAATGATGAACAAAATGCTGACTTTGAAGGATTTCACATGTCAAGTGAGAAAAAAAAGTCTGATCTCCTTACATATGCAAAAGATGTATCTTCAGAATTCATCAGTATGCTGGAAGAAGTGGATGTTAAAGAAATTTAACATTGATAATGAGGCTTCAGTTATTTCATTCATTGACTGATGGCAAAATAACCAAAATGGTTCTGAATCAAGGTGATTGTGATAATAGTGACGATAAAGATGGCATTGTTAACACTGCAAAATTACTATCTACAGACAACATGGTGCAAATATGTGATGAGCTTACTGAAGGACTAGAGCAGTGCACATTCATAACAGAACATGGCAGTTTATAAAATTAAAGAAAGACTTCTAAGACAAAAATTGTTATGGAGCCACGGATGACTCTGCTGGAAGCATTTTTAAAAGCCACCTAGCACAATGCTTCCTCATCCCTAGGTGATCCACTTCTTGGTCCCTCAACTGCTTCTGATGTTTCTTCTCACCTAAATAAATAAAATACAGGCTGGGTGCAGTGGCTCACATCTGTAATCCCAGTGAGGTGGGAGGCCAAGGCAGGAGGATCATCTGAACCCAGGAGTTTTAGACTGGCCTCGGCAACATAGCAATTCAAAAAAAAAAATTGGCTGGAAGTCATGATGCCCCACTTGCAATCCAGGCTTCTCAAGAGGCTGAGGTGAGAGAATTGCTTGAGCCCATGATTTCAAGGTTGTAGTGAAATGTGATCACATCACTGCACTGCAGCTTGGGCAACAGCGTGAGACCTTGTCAAGATGGGAAGGGAAGAGAAGAGAAGAGAATGAACAAACCAGCATCGTTGGTGGCGACAAAGCTGGCTGTGGTTCAGCAGCTGATGCGGGTGTTCTGGTGATGCTGCTGTGCTGCTTAGATACCCCGAACACATTATTTTTTCACTATTTTAATGGTATGTTATATATTTTGCTATTAAGTATTTATGTGTGAATAAGCGTAAGAAAATGATTGCTAATCAGTAGCTTATACATTCAGAGTCAGAAATGATGATCACTTGAGTGTGGGAGGTCGAGGCTGCAGTGAGCCAAGATCACCACACTGTACTCCAGCCTGGGTGACAGAGGGAGATACTGTCTCAAAAAAAAAAAAAAAAAAAAAGAAAGAAAGAAAGAAAAGGAAAAAGAAAAAGAAAAAGAAAAATGACAGTGATTCCAAACAACCACAGATTGTCCCCATGGGTGGCTGAGATAGTGACACCTTTGTTTTCTGATGCTTTAATGCACACAAACTTTGTTATATGCGCAAAATTATCACAAATATTATACAAAGTTACCTTCAGGGTATGTGTATATGGTGTATATGAAAATAAATGAATTTTGTATTTAGACTGGGGTCCAACCTTAAGATATCTCATTTTATATACATGCAAATATTCCAAAATCTGAAAAAAATCAGAAATGCAAAACATTTCTGGTCCCAAGCATTTCAGATAAGGGATATTCAACCTGCATTTTATTATTAGTTATTGTTGTTAATCTCTGACTGTGCCTAATTTATAAATTAAATCTTATCATAGGTATGTACATATAGGAAAAAACACAGTGTATATAGGGCTTGGCACTATCTATGGATTCAGGTATCCATTGGAGGCCCTGGAATGTCTTTCCCATGGATAATGGGGGAATCACTCTAACCAACAACCAGCATAACAAGGCCCCACTGTATGCAAAATCCTTAACAGTGTCTAAAACACTGTTGATTAAACAGGCAAATGTTTCCATTTTGAGCCTGTTGATCTTGTTTAATCAGGTTAATATTCTCCTTCATTAAAATATTTAAGGCAATATTATGCTTCAACTCAGTTCCAATTCAGATTAATGCTGAATTATGAAGTCTCTTGCACTCTGTGGAGATCTTTTGGGGGCATGTAAGAGCTATTTGGATAATAAAAAATTTCTCAAGTCTAGGACATTTTACTTTTAATTATCTATGGATAAATTCAAGTTGGAAAAGTAAGACTTCATAGATGTTTTTAACTTTGGTGGAATACCACTTGCAAGTTCAAAGTAATGTTTATTTTCATTAACATACGTATCTATATTTTTATTCTCATACTGCTTACCTGGTCTTTTCTATTTATTACACCAGGTAAGAATACATTATATTTTTTTTTTCTTGATACAGACAGGGTCTTGCTATGTTACTCTGGCTGACCTTGAACTCCTGAGCTCATTCTAAGCCTAATATTTGAATTTGATCAAGTTAAATTATCTTACAACAGACACTACTAAACTAAGTTAATACTGACTATCAGAGAAGGCCTCTTTTTCCCCTTTACTAACTAAAAATAATGGCCACAGAGAGGGGTCCCTGTAATGTTCCTTAGACTATATTTGATACTTAAGTCTCCATATAAAAAACAATTACCAAGCCAACCTCCTTCAGCTAATAAAAACATAAATCCAGTAAAGTAAATGAATTTGGATTGTCTATTATTTATTATAGTATGATCTGACATATACATCTTAACTAAGACCTCTTAGCAAAACAATGACTACAAGCTGAAATTCACAAATCCAAAAGCTGAGTATTTGACCATGTGTCTCCTCAGATAGCCCCCTTGCTAATGAATAAATGGAAACAATTTCCTGCAATTTTGGAATTTGTCAAAACTTATAGAGCATATCAGAGTCGAATATAGGAAAAGAGCCCACAACCAATATATTTTCAATTTCTTTTGTTAACATACAAAGTTGAGATGACTTTGATATAAAGAACTTGAATCAACATCTTACAGAATAGATTAGTGTAGCTCCTCCAAATTACATCCTTAAAAAAAAATAGTCCCTCAAGAGAAAATAAGTAATTTTGAAGAGGGCTTCTGTTAACATATAACTGTAAAATATTGCGTGTTAAATCAATCTCTTTGGTACTATGCACTTTAGCACATTATAGTTGAGAAAAGTCCTGGAGTCAAAAGTAAAAAATACTATTAACTTTTACTTAATAGTTTTTTCCAAAATCCATTTCCCCTCCACTGGCCATGATTCCAGTTACATTTCTTGGAAGCAATAGTGTCATGTGGATTGTAGCTGGGCAAATGCAGGTTTTTTTGAAAAGCATATAGGATTGAATAACACATGAACATAATGTCAGACTAAATCTAAGGGACAATCTGTATGACTTCAGAAAGCTATTTAGCTACCTCAGACCTCGGTTTTTCTGAAAATAAGAATCATAACATATGTCACAATTATATAATGTGAAATTAGTTGTTCTGTTACATTTTCTATTGCAAACAATAAATTTTATTCATTAAATCAAAATCAAACATTTAGTGAATGTTCAATGTTTCAGACTCTATGGGACCTCCCACAGATGGTCCTTACATGAAGGAGCTCACATGTACTTGAGAAGACTGTGAAAGTTGTCCATGTCAAAAGAGAGTCACTTATTCAAACCCCAACAAAATGGAGCCAGGATGCGATGAAAGACAGGCCCTCATGCATGTTTGCTTGACAACAGGAATTATCATAAGAGACTGCCAAAACCACAACATTACATAAAGGCCACCGCAACCCTACATACAGATTAGTTCTACAAGGAGACCAGCCCAGCAACTGCCTGTTCCACTAACGAACTGATGCTAAACAACTACTGTAACCTCCCTCATTTTGCCTTTACAGACTCTTACCTTCCCTTGCCTCTCTGGAAGCGCCTATGATCCATCATAGCAGGCATATTCTGGATTGCTCCCCTGCTATTCCTGAATAAACTCTTTGGCGAGTTGGTCTTTCTGTTGCTTATTTTAGGTTGATAAGACATACACTTAAAAAAACCATTGCAGGTACAGACTGGGGGAAAAAACACTGACTCAGTCTAGGAAAGTGTCAGGCGGAGAAGGCTCTTTTGAGGAATGGACCTGAGGGGCTGCAAACCAATTTGCTCCAGGAGCAAAAAAGGGAAAGAGAATTCCAAACAGAGAGAAGAGTGTAAGAACATGCATTTTAAACACTCTAAATTAAATATATCCCTCTCTTAAGATTTCGAACTATCCTCTTTACTGTGTATTTTAATTTCACCTGTGCAAATATTTACATCATATCTATCAATGTGATTCTAAAAAAAGTGAATGCTGATACTAAACAATAACATTACTTCTAGAAAGCAACCTCAAGGTAGTGCAGTTTTACAAGAAATACAATATAATGCTATAGAACTTGCAAAGCACATGCCTATTTTATTGCCTACTTTTTCATTTTCATAATTTATTGTTACAGTCAGCTTTTAATTTCCATATTGCAGACACACATCATACACAAATAAATTAACCATCAACTGCTAAACCTTAACATGCTATGCAAAATCACAGTACATGGCCTCAAAGCCACCAAGACAGAAAAACAATAGCCAACATACTTGCCATAAGAAAAAAACAAGGCACAGAGTGTGTTAATGTGCACACTGAATATAGGTTGCTGTTTTTGTAAGTTTAAGAAATAGTTATATAGTCTAGTCTGTAGTGTGAAAAAATAGTTGTATATCTATATGCATCGCATCTTCTATATTTTTTTTTTTTTTGACACCACTCTGGTGTCTGTGCTGGAGTGCCGTGGCGTGATTTTGGCTCACTGCAACCTCAACCTCATACACACAGGTGCATCTCCCACCTCAGCCTCCCAAGTAGCTGGGACTAAAGGCGGGCGCCACTACACCCAGCTAATTTTTGTGTCTTTTGTAGAGACACAGGCTGGTCTTCAACTCCTGGGCTCAAGCGATCATCCTGCCTCAGCCTCCCAAAGTGCTGGGATTATAGGCATGAGTCACCACAACTGGCCTGCATGTTCTTTAAGAATAACAGTCTCAACACAGAAGTGAAGGCACTACTTAAACTATACACAATGTTTTTTAAAAAAACAATAGACCAGGATTCCCCCACCACCACCCCCGCCGCGGAAAGGCACTGATACAGAGAGCAGGGGTAAACAAAACACAACACAACCAAGGTCACACACATAAATCAACATAATTTTTTTTCATAAATTATTTACATTTTTTAATGAAATAACTCATTCATTTTCTTCTGTTTTTAAAACAGAACACATATGCAGTCAGTACAACACATTTATAAAACAGCTAACTTTGGTTTTACAGCAGAGCTGGTGATAGACTCTCTTCATTGACCTAAACTTGAGCCAGCCTCCTCTGAGTCCTTTCTGAGTAAGCAGACATTGGGTTTCCCTCTCTGCTTTTGTAGAATCCAATTAGAGCAAGAATCCTAAGTCAGTTTAGGGAAAATCACCCACCTTTGGTATCTGACCACCGTGGATAACTTATCATCTGGCATGCCTTCAACAGTGGTCCTATCAAGTCGGGTTAGCCAGAAACCCCCTGCAGGTGATGCTTCCACTTAGGGACTTTCCACCCAATCCTGCACCACATGCTCTTTGGTTATAAATCCCCACTTGTCCTTGTTGGAATCAGGGTAGAGCCCAATCTCTCTCCCACACTGCGAGGCCCCATCGCAGTGGTCCCCATACCTATGGCCAAGGCCCCTTGAATAAAGCCTCCCTCACCATCTTTAACAAGTGCCAAGAATAATTTTTTTCTTTAACATTGCTTTTAATTAAGGGAAAAGAATATGAGCTCTGGAGTTACACACCTCTGGATTCCAAGCCATATTCTAACATTAACTCGTTTTGTGGCTTTCTGTAAGTTTTAAAAACCTTCAATGCTCAATGGAAAAAAGGGAAATAATAACATTTACTTTACAAAATTATTAAGTGAAATAAGATAATCTATATTGAAGTGCCTTCCCATTCCTTAAACTTGAAAATAAGCTACTCAAGTCTCCCAATTTCTATTTTTTTCTTGTGAATAGAAACAAAAAATTTAAAAAAACAGAGACAAAGATATTAATCAAAGAAAAGGAAGAATATGATATATCCAGTCTAGTGAAAGGACAATCTCTTTATCTTGAAGCATGACAGAACACTAGTATTACTATGAGAGCTTTTTTAAAACAAACAAACAAACAAACACTTCCCAGGTCCCAAGCCTTACCCTATAGTATGAGAATCACCAGGGATGGAGTGTAGGAGTAAAGAGCCTCTTTCAAAGTTCCCTAAGTAACATGATGCAGCCAGGACTTAGAACAAATTTCCTACAACAGGTAACAGTACTAACACAAAGTCTGTGCTCAAAAAATGTTTATTAAATGAATTATTGCACATGATTGACTAATTGAGCCATTTGTAAAATCATCAGAAAGAAAAACTACACTAATAATGTTCCAGGGACAAGAGATATAGTGACAAATAAGACATTTTGCCCTCATGACATAGTAAGGGAGAGGCTGATGTGTAAACAAAGAAATTAAATAAAATTGTGGTAAATGCAACAACAGAAACATAGTAAAGAGGAAAGTGGGATTAATGCACTGCTCTAAAGCAGCTATAAGAAATCAATAATTATGTTATTCTCTTGTCAATATCAACAACAACAACAACAAAGATTATACAGAAAAAGAGACCAGAATTTGAGTGGAAACATACGTTTGTTTTGCATTTAAAATACTGTTAATATAAGACCATAAGGTACATGGGGAAAAAAAAGAGGAGCTATATTTTCTATAAGCAATATGCAGATTGGGGACCAGAAACCTACAGTGCAAACTGAAAATGTGCTGGCTCTGAGGATGGGTTGAAGAGTCAGAGATTATGAAGGCAAAAACTGTAGGACAGAGGAGGAGAGTCAGGGGAGTGAGGAATAGTATTGACTGGATGACCTTTAAGCCCTAAATCACCAGTCTTTCTTAATTGGCTGGTTCAGTGGTCAGTTGGTTGGTGTCAGGTGGTCTGTTGGTGGTCAGCTGGGGGACTTCCAGCTACAGCCTATCTCTGCATTGACAACAGAAACTGGTTTGGCATGATCGTAGAAAGGGAGGTCCTGTGACACTTTAACAGCATCTCTGCAAAACACAGAGTACATGACTGCTCCCTCACCCAGCCACGGCCACCTGATCTGTTTAATGAGCACCTCAGTTAGCCACAGGAAGTCCGCTTTGCCAGCCGGGGCATACTTTAACACTGTCATGCTTTAAATGCCCCTTGATCAGTAAAATGTTTTATTTTTTAATGACCTAAGAAGCAGTACAAATAACCTCTAAAACATGAAAAACATTTGAACCATATTTATATGTTAATCTTCATATAATAAAACATTATTTCAAGCAATCCCCACATACAGTTGTGTTTCAGTATAACAAATGAATTTGGATGGTCCCCTTGGCTTTTACTGTAATAGCATTTGATTCATACAACATAATTGTTAGGATAAGCATAATTCAGATGCCTCTGGAATTCCATTTCAAATTTGTAAATTGCTGAGACAACTCAATGAACATCAATGATAATGGACTAGAAAAGGTGCTATCTCTATATCACTGCAACAATTATCAATACAGACTTATTTAAGGTGATGATGGTTTGGTTTTACCCCAATACTTAAATAATATGTCATTAGTTAATTATAACATTATTAAATAATATGAAGTCTCTTAAGAGTAAGAGGCTAGTTGGGAAGGGATTCAACTATTGAGAAAGAGGTGAAAAGTGAAAGTGAAATGTGGAAACCTGCTATCCACAAAGTCTACTTTCTTATTAAAAAAAATGCTAGACATATAATAAAAAAAATCAATATATCAAAGATACCTATATGTTCATATTTATCGCAACACTATTCGTAATAACCACGATATGGAATCAACCTAAGAGTCTGTCAACAGATAAATGGATAAAGAAACTACAATACATGCACACATTGAAATATCACTCAGCCATTAAAAAGAATGGGAAGCTGTCATTTGCAACAACATAGATAGAACTGCAAGTCGTTATGTTAAATAAAAAAACCCAGGCACAGAAAGACATGTTGTGTGTTCTCACACATATGTGGTAAGGTAAAAAAAAAAAAATGAATCTCATGGAGATAGGGAGTAGATTGTTGATTACCATAGTTAGAAAGGGTAGTGGGGGCCGGGCGCAGTGGCTCACACCTGTAACTCCAGCACTTTGGGAGGCCGAGGTGGGCCGATTACCTGAGGTCAGGAGTTCCAGACCAGCCTGACCAACATAGAGAAACTCCATCTCTACTAAAAATACAAAATTAGCCGGGCATGGTGGTGCATGCCTGTAATCCCAGCTACTCGGGAGGCTGAGGCAGGAGAATCGCTTGAACCCAGGAGGCAGAGGTTGCGGTGAGCTGAGATTGCGCCATTGCACAAAGAAAAGGTAGTGGGAAGGGAAGATGATGAAAGGTTGATTAATAGGTACAAAAATGCAGTTAAAAGGAATAAGATCTAGAGTATGATGGTGCAATAGGGTGACTACAGTTAGTAATTTACTGCATATTTCAAAATAGCTAGAAGAATCTGAATGTTCCCAACATAAAGAAAAATGTTTACAGTGACAGATATCCCAATTACCTTGACTTGATCATTACACATTGTAAGCACGTATCAAAATTTCAGAAGAACGCCCAAAATATGCACATTATGTAACAATTTAAAAAATAAAAATAAATGAAATGAGAATATATCTTCAATTGCTTTTCTTTACACATACTGTTAGACCAAAGGTAGACAATTTCAGTATGATAAACAACTCTGTTTCTTTTAGGTTGCAAGGGAGAGGAATGGAAATAATATTGTAATTCTTGAAATAAGTCACATTCTCTCATCTTCTGAGCATTTATAGCGGTTCTCAAGTTTGAGCATACCTAAGGATGACCTGTAAAGGCTTTAAAAATGCAGATTTCAGGGCCCAACATTCAGTGTTTCTGCTTCCATAGGTCTGAGACTTAGCATTTATAACAATTTTTTTTTTTTTTTTTTTTTGAGAAGGAATCTCACTCTGTTGCCAGGCTGGAGTACATCAGCGTGATCTCGGCTCACTGTAATCTCTGCCTCCCGGGTTCAAGCAATTCTCCTGCCTCAGCCTCCCAAGTAGCTGGGACTACGGGCACACACAACGCCCAGCTAATTTTTGTATTTGTAGTAGAGACAGGGTTTCACCATGTTGGCCAGGATGGTCTCAATCTCTTGACCTCATGATCCGCCCACCTTGGCCTCCCAAAGTGCTGGGATTACAGGCATGAGCCACCACACCCAGCCAGCATTTCTAACAATCTTAAGAGATGTTCATCCAGGGGTTACTCTGTGAGACTCCCTGGTAAGCATTATCTCTTCAGCCTTGAACACCCCTACACAACCTGGCCATACCCACTGAAGCTTATGTCATAAATAATCTCTTTTCTGAAGCCTCATCTGAGACCTTAGTTGTGTCTTCCTATCCTGCTTCCCCTTCCTCTTACAGAAAAGACACTTTCCTTACAGCCTTTCTCTGCCAGGGACTACGGAGGCTAGGTTTATCTACACGGCTATTTTTCTATCACCCATGCCGAGAATATAGACAGCATTTTATATTTTTTTTATTGATTTAAATCCATGTGATTATCAAGAGAGTGGGCCCTGGAATCAGATTGCCTGGGTTTGTTTGAATCGTGGCTACACGACTTTCTAACTGTGTAATTAGGAGTGTGATGGGTTAATATTGGGTGTCAACCGGATTGGATTGAAGGATGCAAAGTATTGTTCCTGGGTGTGTCTGTGAAGGTGTCGCCAAAGGAGATTAACATTTGAGTCAGTGAACTGGGAGAGGCAGACCCACCCTCAAGCAGGGTGGGCACCATCTAATCAGCTGCCAGCAGGGCTAGAATAAAGCAGGCAGAGGAAGGTGGAAGAATTTTGACTTGCTGAGTCTTCCGGCCTACATCCCTCTCCCATGCTGGATGCTTCCTGCCCTCTAACATCAGATTCCAAGTTCTTCAGCTTTTGGACTCTTGGACTCACACCAGTGGTTTGCCAGGGGCTATCGGACCTTTGGCCACAGACTGAAGGGTGCACTGTTGGCTTCCCTACTTTTGAGGTTTTGGGAGTCGGACTGGCTTCCTTGCTCCTCAGCTTGCAGACAGCTTATTGTGGAACTTCACTTTATGATCGTGTGACTCAGTACTTCTTACTAAATTCCCCTTCATATATACATCTATCCTATCAGTTCTGTCCCTCTAGAGAACCCTAATACAAGGGGCATGGTACTTAAATTCTCTGGACCTCAGTTTCCCTATCCAAAACAAGGAGGAGGATACAACAGGACATACTTCATAGGACCAAGGTACAAATGGAATAAAATAACATGTGAAGCGCTTAGCACAGTACCGAACATGTGGCAAATAATTAATTTCTACTTCATTGACAATATTATTGAGAAATACTAATTCTAAGGAGGAGGAGAAAGGTTAAGGTGCTGTTGGAAAACTCTCGAATAAAAACGTACATGAACATACACTGATTTTTACACAGAGACTGATACGTATTGCTACTGGACACAGACTGAGTACTAAGTTTGAAAAGGACTAAGAACTCTATTGACTTTTAAAATATTTTCTTTTCTCACAACTGGCAATCCAGAGGGATTCTGATTCATTGGAAGGGGAGATTATGGAAGTGGAATCACTCAAATATGGATAAGATGGAAGTGTTTAACAAGTATCTGGGATTTGTTCCATCTTCCCATTCACACAACAATAATTTCCTGAGATTTCCCATAAAAGGTCCAAAGACCCTGTGAGTGTCCCAGGGCAGGAGGTGGTGTTAAAGAGTTGTACACCATTGATCTGAGCTCAGTTAGGGGAGACACAAATAATAAAGCCTGCGATGCTGTAAAAAGAAAAGCACACAATGAGTAATTCCTAGATTGGTAGAGAAAAGACTTTAGTAAAAACTATTTTTTTTTACAACTAATAATGTGTATATTTTGCAATCACATTTGGAGAGTATGCCAGGAAATTCTACTGCTCATAGCTGGACTCTAGAAATACTCTCTTGAGGATTACTTTTGGCTTGATTGTCTTTTCTACTTAGGTTTATTGGCGCTAAGGTAGTTTTTTTGTTACTACTGCTTCATAAATTTTTCAGGTTAAAACTACCACAGACATACTCCATAGCCTCACTATTTATGCATAGGTGAGAAGTGAACGTCTTCCAAAGACACTCTTGACCCAGCCTTATCATTATTCCCTCTATATTATTTTTCCTCCCATCAGAGATGAGATGGTCTCTCCAACAGCAGACTGAAACATCAGCCATGAGATTATGACGTACACAGTGGAGATGGTCAAAGGGTAGCAACTTTTCCATGTGAAGGCTTCCTGTGATTTTAAGCATAGCCTTATTTTAAGCACACTGGCTGCTTTTCAATTTCTGAAATGTGCTAAGCTCTTCCTCACCTCAGAACCTTTCATTCTCAACTTGAATACATCTCCCCAGGAAGCAACTTTGGCTGAACCTTCTCAAAGTGGCCACCTAATTTTATTCTTTATTGTATTACTCCCTGGTGATTTCCTACCTGCCACTTACTGGATTTCATAAGTATCTGATATTTTTGCTCGCTTACTTCTTGTTTATTATCTGTCTCTCCCCATTATATTTATAAGCTCCTTGAAGACACAGGTCATGTCTGTCTGGTTCACTATTACATATCCAGCATACCTAATGTGTTTCTGGCATACAGAATATACTCAGTAAATATGTATTATTAATATTTTATTTACTCTGTTGTACTGCATTTACTTCATTGTTAAAAATATACGCATTACATTACAAAGTATTATCTTCAAGAGAATCTCTAGAAGCTATCCCATTCCCAGGAACAGATAATTCTTCTGAGCAAATGGTTTATTTTATATGATAGACCCAAGGAATCAAATGAGGTATATCTATGTGCATCTCTGTGCTGACTGCTGGAAAGCTCAAGACATATTCACAGTCCATCTCCAACCACTAACATCAATGGCTGCTTCTGACTTTTTGAGCCATCATTTCATTAGTTTCATATTTCTCATATATCATTAAGTTTAGCTTACTTAATTGCATCTGTAAAAACCACCTTAAATCTTTTGTGGATGAAGGAGATGAGGATATACTACCCTAAAATATGCTGCTCAAACACAAGGATTATTTTGAGCTGAAGGCAAGTGAGAATGAACAGATGCAGAAGAGTTCTCTGCCCTCCCTTATCTGCTTAAAAGCAGGGCAGAAATTTCCCTTGTGAGGGTGCTCCGTACTTCCGGACCACAGAAAGGAGAGCAACTCTTATCACAAGTTATCACAAGATGAGGAGTCGGCACCTGGATGAGACTGAATTAGCAACCCTTACTAAAATAATCCTATCTTCCATTAGTTTCCCCCATATTCCTAGTCACTTCCCCACAATTTATGACCCCTTGAAGCCCAATCCGCCCTGTCCTATGTTTGAATGATACAAGACCCTGAGACTACTTTTTTGATTTTCTCTTCTGTGAACTCCCATGTATGTAAATATTAATAAAAACTGTGTAACTTTTATCCTGTTAATCTGTCTTCTGTTATTCTAATTCAGCAGTCCCCAAGCATTGAATTAAAGAAAGTAGTGAAAAAGTTTTTCCTCCCACCACATGGAAAAGGGGCGAATATAAACAAATCTGTTGAGATGAAGCATTTGATTCGCCAGAATCCCAGGAGAGCTGCCCCTCTCAGGAAAAAGCCTAGAGCAGGAATGATCCTGTATCCAAGGAGGCACTGCTGCATCAGCAGGAAGGAGAGAAAGAAGAAGGTAATGGTAACAGGGAGATGGCATGGTGGCATGCGGCCTGTAGGCACATTTTTAGCTGCTGCCATGACTGCAAACTTTGCGCTGAGGAGGAGGTATCTCACGAGGGCTTTTACAAAGTTTTGCTGTGAAGTGAATCTTAAAAAGTGACTTTCTCCTCTTCAAGAAAATTAAAAGTAAATATCTTTATTCTGACAAAGACTGTTAAATAAAATTTACAGGAGGCTATTGGTTTGGACTGAGCTCCCGCACTACACCCAAGAGACCAAACCAAAATGGAATAACTCATGCTGAAGTACCAAGCCACCAAGCTGAAAGCAAGTTATTTATCTGACCTTCTGGGGAACCAGGAGAGAGATGATAGCCAAATCTCCAAACAGGCCAGTTTTAGCTGGCATGATAAAGAAGTTCCCTGTGCTTTAACTTTCATTAAAAAAAGAGCTTTGAAATGACCAATCCAATTTTTGCAGTCTGTTTTTGTTTTCCACAGCCATTTTTAGTCTGTAAAGCCAACCTCATCTGCTCAGCTCATCAAAACACTCATTCTACTTTATGGAATGAGGCATTGCTTGATTCTAAAATTGCAAATAAAGGTCAATTAAGATCTTTAAGCTAAATTTGTTGTAATTTTGTCTTCTGACAATTCTTTCCCCTGACCAAACCTGAGTCTGGCTCCTCTGAGCCCTCTTTCTGAGAAGGTCCCTGACCTTGGGTTCTGTCCTTGGCTCCTTCAGTCCAGTTTTAGCAACAATCCTACTGGGTTAGTTGAGGAAAAGTCCCTCACCCTGAATATCTGATCAAATTCCTCCTCCCCACCCTTGATATCTGACTACCTTTGATATCTAGTCAAATTCTTTAATCCCTGCCTTCCGTGTTTTACCACCTTGGCCTGCCTTCAGCAATAATCCTATCAAGTTGGTTTAGCCAGAACACTGTTACCCTTGATGTTTCTTCTTAGTAATTTTCCATACGGTGAGCCACATCCATATCCTTGGCTATAAATCTCTACTTCTCCTTGACATATTCGCAGTTGAAACTGATCTTTCTACCCCACTACAAAACCCCATTGTAGTAGCCCCCCTTGAATAAATTCTATCTTTAACAGGTATCATGAATTAACTGATTTTTTTTTCTTTAACAATTCCTTCATAGCCCTCACTGTTGGGCTGGTTTGTTCAATTAGGCCATGAGACTGCTCAGCTTTCTGTATTTTATATGTGTTAGAGTAAACAGATGTAAGAGGAACTATGAAAACACTAAAGGAGGAAGCTTAAATTGGTCAGGGAAAGTATTTCATCATGATCATGAATAATCACCTCTACTATGACAGCCATTCACTGAGAAATTGCTGGGTGTGTTGGTTATTCTACCTAAGAGACCACAGCATAGTTTCCAGATTGTGTTTCTTTTCCAAACTATTCAACATAAAGCAACACATTTGGGGAAGGAGGGTGGCTACAAGGGAATGAGGACTGGGCCATATATGAAAGAAGCTATATAAATAGTCACATTCACAAAATGTACCTATGGCAAGAAGCCATTAGCACAAATTCAGCATGTGCACACAATGTTGTGAATGCCTGACTAGTAGATGAGATACCATTGGTTAATTCCAAAAGAACTGGAATCCTCTGGTTTCTTAAGTATTCAGAGTGTAATATAAATGTCAACACTTTCACACAGGAACCAATGAAGCATCTCTTGACAAAAAAAAAATAGGCCTAGACGACAGGGCTATGCCTTCTGAATTGTTTAAAATGACAGACAAGCTAAATTATGTATGAACGTTTTATTTTTCTAAGGCAGACAAACTACATTTTTTGCCAATACTGAAAGATAATTTACTTGTTTAAAAATATATTCAGGCCACGTTCTTCTAGCTCCACAAGCTTCCCATAATACTTATAACAAAGAATACTAATGACTAATATAATTGGGCACCATTTCTTTTCTTATCAGTCCCAAAAGAAAAATAATCATCACTATACTGTCATTTCTAGAGTAAAGTAAAATCGCTAATCCACTGGGACTCAAAGTAAAAAGCTGCAAGATACTGCTTTACCGCTATTACTTTTTTCAATACGTATTTTCACTTTTGTAGATTTTCATTCTGTTTAATCAAACATATGCATTGATCAAAGGAAAAATACAGGTAGATATGAACATAATGAAATGCCTATTCCATGCACTGTGTGCCTACACAGAGAGCAACATTTCAACCCACTTCACATAAAGGCCACCTATCACGCTATAAAACTTACTGCCTTCTTCCTTGCTTTGGTGAAGACCCCTATAAAATTACACAATGACCTCGGGACATTTCTATTTGCATTATAAGTATCTCAATCACGATTTTAACTCTGAGTTCAATGGCATGGAAAGTGATGCTAAATGGTTCCCTAAACTATTTTAAGGGAGCTTGAAGGCAAATATAGATGTTCTCTAATCCTAAAAAAAGTAAATTTCACACATGCCTGTATACACACAGTTTGTTAGAGTTATACACTAGTATTTTAAGATGCAATGAAAATATTTATGTTAAATAAATATCTTTATCTAACGGGTTTTTTTTTCCAAGTCACATTTCATGGTAACTGATTTAAAAGCTAGTTAAGCTAAAATAATGACCAATTGTTTGAATTATTTTTTAAGGACAGATTGAAGAATATAACTAGTTAGGAGAAAAATTAGCACTTGTATTAATGTTACAGAAACACCAGAAGTTCAGTCTAGGTCCTGCTGCTCACTGTGCAGAAAGCCAGTCACTGAGATGGTGATTACTGCAAAGGAAGAAGGCTTCAGTCAGGTGCTACAGCCAAAGAGGCAGGAACTCAGTCTCAAATCAATCTCCCTGACTGACCAAAACTAAGGGTTTATATAGCAGCGAAGAAATGAAAGAATCTGTAAAGAAAACGGGAACTAGGGATGGGCAAGGAAGCAATTATGGTGAATGAGGGGTCCAGCATCTTATTGTCTGGATTTAGTGATCTGGTGAGTTTCAGTTTTTTTTTCTTTAATTTTAAATATAATATTTTAATTTGTTATTTCCATAGGTTTTTAGGGAACAGGTGGTATTTGGTTACATGAGTAAGTTCTCTGATGGTGATTTGGGAGATTTTGGTGCACCCATCACCTGAGTAGTATACACTAAACCCAATTTGTAGTCTTTTAACCCTCACTCCCCTCCCACCCTTTCCCGAGTGCCTAAAGTCCACTGTATCATTCTTATGCCTCTGCATCCTCATAGCTTAGCTCCCATTTTTGAGTAAGAACTTCACACAATGTTTGGTTTTCCATTCCTGAGTTACTTCACTTACAATAATAGTCTCAAGTTTCATGAAGGTTGCTGCAAATGCCATTAATTCGTTCCTTTTTATGGCTGAGTAGTATTCCATCACACACACACACAGACACACACACACACACACACACACACACACACACACACACACACAAAATTCTTTATCCCCTCATTGATTGATAGGCATTTGGGCTGGTTTCTGTATTTTTGCAATTGCGAATTGTGCTGCTACAAACATGCATGTGCAAGTATCTTTTTCGTATAATGACTTTTTTTCCTCTGGGCAGATACCCAGTAGTGGGATTGCTGGATCAAAAGGTACTTCTACTTTTAGTTCTTTAAGGAATCTCTACACTGTTTTCCATGGTGGTTGTACTAGTTTACATTCCCACCAGCAGTGTAAAAGTTCCCTTTTCACCACATCCACACCCACATCTATTATTTTTCTATTATGGCCATTCTTGCAGATGTAAGGTGGTATCGCATTGTGGTTTTGATTTGCATTTCCCTGATCATTAGTGATGTTGAGCATTTTTTCATATGTTTATTGGCAATTTGTATATGTTCTTTTGAGAACTGTCCATGTCCTTAGCCTACTTTTTGATTCTTAGATACTTTTTTGGGAGGCCTGAAAGTCCATTCCTGAGGAAGGACGTCAGACAAAACAAATGTTAAGTTTCAAACTTTAGGGCCAGAAGCATCAATTGCTGTGTTTATCCAAAAACAACTGTCTATAGGACTATCGGGTTTTCATTAACAGTAGAGTCCTATGGTGTGGGAAAAAAATGCTAAGAGGCAATGAGAGGAAGGAAATGCCAATACAGAAATTCTGAACTCAAAATATGTTTCGATCCATTTTCTGTTGCTTATAATACCTAAAACTGGGTAATTTACAAAGAAAATAAATTTATTCTTACAGTTATGAAGGCTGGAAAGTCCAAGGTCAAGGGGCTACATCTGGTGAGGACTTTCTGCAGAGTCATGAGGTGGTGCTGAGCATCACATGGGCAGGGGGCTGACTGTACTAGCTCAGGTCTCTCTTCCTCTGGTTACACAGCCACCAGTCCCAATCTCATGATAACCCATTAATCCACGAAAAAGAATAAAATCATGTCTATTGCAGCAACATAGATAGAATTAGAGGCGGTTATCTTAAATGAAACAAGAAAGCCAAATACTCATGTTTTCACTTACAAGTGGAAGCTAAATAGTGTGTACGCATGGACATGGAGTGAGCAATAATAGAAACTGGAGACTTGGAAAGGTGAGAGGCAGGTGAGGGATGAGAAATTAATAGGTATGATGTACATTATTTGGGTGATCACTATACTAAAAGACCAGACTGCACCACTACGCAATATGTCTATGCAACAAAAATGCACTTGTACACCTTAAATTTATAGAAATTTTTAAATATTTAACATTTTCATTTTTAGAGGTATACTTGTTCTTTCTCAAGTCGGCCTAGTCTTCTCTGGCAGCATCTTAATCTTTTACTACTTTTACTATGTTTTTATTCAATTTCTATTTCTTAAATGTTTAAAACATAGACATTTGATATTCTGTAATCAGAAATCTCATTTCTAAAGTTATTGGGAACTAACTGAACTGCTGTATTAGTCCATTTTCATACTACTATAAAAAACTGCCCAAGATTGGGTAATTTATAAAGGAAAGAGGTTTAATTGATTCACAGTTCAACATGGCTGGGGAGGTCTCAGGAAACTTACAATCATGGCAGAAGGTGACGGGGAAGCAAGGCACCTTCTTCACAAGGCATCAGGAAGGATAAGTGCCGAGCAAAGGGGGAAGAGCCCTTTAGAAAACCATCAGATCTCATGAGAACTCACTATCACAAGAACAGAGTGGGGGAAACCACTCCATGATTAAATGACCTCCACCTGGTCTCTCCCTTAACACGTGGGGATTATGGAGATTACAATTCAAAATGAGATTTGGGTGGGGACGCAAAGCCTGACCATACCAACTGCTTATTGTTTCTGCTGACTCCAGCTTATGGTTACATATTCCCTGTATATTTCTATGATTGGGGGTTGTGAACTCATGTTTTAGAAGACTTTATCCATGGGAAGAACAAAGGCCTAAATTGAAGGCAAATTCCTCAAGAGAAGAACTGCTTGCTTTTGCCAAGACAAATTTCCTTGCCATCTCCCTTTGCTGATTGGATTTTTTTCTATTCTACCCTTTAATTGACGAGGTAACCCTTCAAAAATTACATGCTTTATAAAAAGGAGGTTTCAATTCTCCATCCCCTCTTGTACAGGCCCAAGGCCCTGTCTTCAGTAGTGATCCAGCTGTTAAAACTTGGACCTCTAGGTTCCTGAGGCTGACAAATGCCCCAAGGCAGCTGCAATATCAGTGTCCATTTACTGTTCTGGTTTTTAGTTTCCTCTTTATTTGCATGCCCAGGAGACCGCTTACTCTCTAAAGAAGGTCAACAATACTTTTTTAAAAAGAAGTTTATTGCATTTTACCCAACATTTCTAACTCCTTTGTACTGGAAATTTACCACATATTTTAGCACTCAACCTTGCCAGGAATCAAAGTCCTTTCATTTTCTTTTTATGGGGTCCTTTCTAACATATTTTCTTCACCATTTTTTCTTTCTTGCATTTTCTTAGACATAGAACCCACAAATCTATCAGATATCATGGAAAAGCCTTCTACCTTATCAAACCAAATTATTAAAAAGTCAAAGTAATTTAGTATTTTTCAAATTACCAATCCAAAATATGGTAATTTGTACTATAATTGTCTTTAGAAGCATATCAAGTTTACACATAATATTTAAACCATCAATTTTGAATCTTTTACAAAGTTATGAGCGCATTGCACAACTCAAAGAATAAAGTATTCTGATATTTTAAATAACCTTTTTATCATGAAGGATGAACACTTTGATTTGTAAAGCAAGAATGATACTACATCCTGAGACATCTTTTCTGAGCAATATGACCAGTTCTCACTCAAGTTCCTTATATCTATGCTAAGTAGGATCTACGAGTTATAGTTCGTTAAAGTAGAGGTGTCTAAATAATTTGGATAAGCAGTGTATGCTATGGCAGAACAATAAATATTTAAAACAGCAAATGTGATCCCGTAGCTTTCTAAATCATATAGGACAGATTGCTAAACATGTATAAACTAACTTGGATGTACTTTGTGATCATTTGCTCAATATGCTATGCTTAATTTTGAAAAAAGAAAAAATTATATTTTCTAGGTCTTTTATTTTGCAGCCCTATATTTTGTGCATTTAGATCTATAGTAAAGATATTTACCAGCTTGTTATATTTTGATGTTAATAAATATTATCTTGTTTTTCCCCATGTTAAAAGTGGCAATTTTAACAGAGTTGGTAAAGTTGCTTCGTGGTTGAAGAATGCCTACAATCTCACATGAGTGCCCCGAAATTGGAAAAAAGAGACAATGTGCTATGTGGGGTAGGAATTTTTTCTTTTTCCTTGCTTTTCTTGTTTTATTTTTAGGGGTAGAGCTTTTAAACGGGGGCTTTACTAGAAATTATTTTCATAATTCTAACCTTAAAACAACACTTAATTAACATTCAGTGAAAGAATAATTATCACAGTATATTTTCATTTGATTCAAAAGATACAGATATTAGTTAAAATGGCTCAGATGATCAAATTATGAAGCATTCATTCTCCTACTGCCAGTGTCTTGACAGTTTAATATATATGTTAGATTCTGAGCCCCAAGATATGAACCAACGCTGCATATAAAATCAGTACACTGTGAGTTAAATTAACAAGTCAGACGTAGAATAAACTGCAAACTTGATACTGCTCAATTATGGCCCAAGCAGAGCAAACAAGGAGTGCTATCTTTGAAAGTAAGCCTGTTGACCTGGAAGAAGGAGAAACAACACTCTCAGTGACTTTACTCCTTCTAATCTCTCTGATAACACTAACAAAATGTGTCAGCTAGAATGAGCTATGCAATATAAACACAAGGGGAAGGAGAAGTCAGGTCCCACAAAGAAAGAGAGGGGTAAAAGACCAGGAGGAGAGATGACATTCAAAAGAGTCATAGTGCTCAGAAAATCAAGGTGAGAAGGGAGGACTTTTAAATGAGCCTTCACAGTTTTCCCCCTTTCACAGAATGACAACATCTCTGTAAGATCAGAAAACCAACTTGTTTAAAGAAAAGCATTTCATGGTGTTCAGCACAAGAGGGTAAATCCATACATCCCTTTGCCATGTCTGCACTACCTCCTTTCCTTCAAAAGCACGTATCGGTACTTGAGAAAATAACAATGTGCTCTGGGACCGAGCAGGTGCGGCATTTGAGTCATTTTGACTGAGAGCCTCAAACTCTATGTGGTGGTAAAAGCGTCTGATGTTTGCCACTACTTTACATGTGGTAGATGACTAGCAGGCAGGGGAATAATAATGTGTGCATGAGAAAGGTGGCTTAAGAAAGTGCTCAGGGTTTGCCCTTCCTCCACAATGCCATCCACGCTTATCTGAGTGTTACTCCAACAAACTTAATGGTATAAACCTGGTATGAGAATTCCAGACATGGGGTGTATTAGTTTGTTTTGATGCTGCTGATAAAGATATACCCAAAACTGGGAACAAAAAGAGGTTTAATTGGATTTGCAGTTCCACATGGCTGGGGAGGCCTCAGAATCATGGTGGGAGGTGATAATGGCGGCAGCAAGATAAAAGGGAGAAAGAAGCAAAAGCAGAAACCCCTGATAAACCCATCAGATCTCGTGAGACTTATTCACTATCACGAGAATAGCACATAACATATACTTTTCAAATTACTATGGGTGAAGAATTTCATACCAAAATGGTTGAGAATGGAAACTTTTTAAAAATACAAAAATTTACAACTTTGGTAAATGATAATATAAAAGTCATAAAATCAAGTAAATCTATTTAGGTAATAAAGATAATAGCTGCCTGGGCATGGTGGATTACTCCTGTAATCGCAGCACTTTGGGAGGACAAGGTGCCTGGATCAGTTGAGTCCAAGAGTTTGAGACAAGCCTGGGCAACAGGGCAAGATCCCATCTCTTAAAAAAGAAAAAATAGCTGGGCATGGTTATACGTGCCTGTGGTCCCAGCTTGGGAGGCTAAGGCCGGAGGATTGATGGACCCTGGGAGTTTGAGGCTGCAGTGAACTATGATCATGCCACTGCACTCCATCCTGGGCTACAGAGTGTGATACTGTCTCTAATAATAATAATAATAATGGCTACCAATTATGGAATATTATAAATCTAGTGCTGTTTTAAGCATTTCATATGTATTAATTTATTTAATCCTTACAACTAAAACGTACAACCGATGAAGGAGGCACTTCCTTATCTCATAGTGAGATAACTGAAACACCGAGAAGTAAAGGCCAAATTCATACAATATGCAAGCTAATCATTTTGCTCCATGATATGGTTTGGCTGTGTGCCCACCCAAATCTGAACTTGAATTGTATCTCCCAGAATTCCCACATGTTGTAGGGGGGACCCAGGAGGAGGTAATTGAATCATGGTGTTACAAAGTCCTTCAAAAAGTTTTCTCTAAACTATGGTAGGAAGACTGAAGTCCACATACTAACAACATTGAATGTAAGCTGGGCCCAGTGACTAAGGAATTTGCTTTGCTTCGCTACTTATTCGAATTATTATGTGAATAAGTAGAAGGTGTCCTATTTTTGTCACAACTACAGACCTTTCTCACTATAGATACAGAGAGAACATTTATTTAAAAAAAAAATTGCCCTTGAAGCAAGTTTTCATCATTCAAAAAGATATCTGGTGCTGAAATGCCCTTTACTTTGCTTTATTTACATGAGAAACACGACAGAGACTTTATGCTCTCTACTACCTAATTTCTCTAAGTTACAGCCATTGATTCTTTGTAAGTTTATTTATTCAAAACAACAGCACAAACAATTCTTTTTTTCTTGGGTCAGCAGCTTACTGAATTAACATCAATCATCAAAGGAGACGGGGCTGAAAGGAAGATGGAAGCCCATTTTCTCAGAGATTGATTTTTTTAAGTCAAAACACACAGGCATAAGCAGGAGGCTATTTACCATCAAAAAGGTTCAACTTGAAAGTCACAACCAAAAACTGAGCCCTCACAGTACTGACCAGGTTCCCTGAAATCTTAAACAAGGAAAATGGTTTTCGTAAAAATCATTTAAATTTCTTTTATAATGGCCTGTGAGAGTTTGATTACTTTGCTATATAAAGCTCAACTAAAAGGTTTAAAAACAAGGAAAGGGGAGGTTCCAAAGGAGAGGGAAGAAGTAGATCAATGTTGGTATTTATTATAATGATTTTCTAATGGCTTTCTCTACTCTCTTTGCTTCGTTTGATGTATTTAAAGTGGGAAAAGTTCATCAAAAGACTTCTGTGATTAGGGGCTTAAATGTATTCAAATAACTACCTTTGGCATGTTTGAAAGGTGATTTGCTCCATAGGTCCTAGCGAAATTATTCTTTGAAAATCTTGATTCGCTTCTTGCTAGAAATTCAGCTCAATTATTTTTCCTTACAAGATGGGGGTGGAGAGTTCTTGCTTGAAAATGAAGTCAGAAGGGTCAGTATTCCTGAGACTCTGGGAACTGCAAAAAGTAATTGGTTTATATCCATTTTACGTCCTGTCGTGTCAGGGGAATGTGTTTCCTTCCTATAGCTTTTCTGGAGATTTATGTAAGGTGAGGAATGTATTAGACCAAATATGTATAAACTGCTGGCTGCCTATTTCAGTAGAATGTGTTATATTCTTTATTTTAGATATTTTTAAGTGTTAACTATATTGTTAAATCAACTTTAGAAGAAAATGTGAGATTTTTCAATTTAGAATTGTAGTGAATGAAAAAAGATCAAAAAAATAAAAGGCCCATATGCCTGAGTTGGTTGGCAGAAAGGACCTGTATTATCACTATTTTCTCTCAAATTGAGACAAAATTTATTTCATTTCAGAATCTGATATCAAAGCTATCAATCACTTGCTTGTCTGAGAATGAAGCAGGAACATCCATTTGTTCTCCAGATGTAAAACAAAGATTTTTAGCCTCTAATTTGCAGGGATTATGATGAAGAATAAAATTCATTCCTTGGAAGGGAGAAAACATATAAATTACTTAAATAAAAAAAATTAAAAGCATGAAGGACTTTCACCCAATTTATAAAAACAACAACAAAGCCCCCACTATTTAATATTGAGACAGTATCATTTGTTAGCCACTCTAAACCTTCTTTTCCACTTACTCTCATAATTAAATCATAAACAAATGAGCAAGTTAATGTACTGCATGTTCTCACATATGGCCATTTATGAGCAATCTTTTAGCTTTAACATTCTACAGTGTTCTGCAGTGAGAAAATGCAAATTCTAGAAGAACAAACACCTGTCTCAAATAATGACTGGCAATGTCAACTGATTATAATAGTGTTATAGTTAATATGATGTCCATACCACTTTATGAGGAAAAGGTGGAATTCAAGTGTAGCTAAAACCACTCCCCAGGGCCAGCTATGAGGCATGATAGAGCAGCAATCATTCATGGATGGATGGATGGATGGATGGATGGATGGATGGATGGACGGACGGACGGATGGATGGGGCAGTAGCAAGAGCTCCTGGAACATCAGGCTAAAGGCTCTGCTCTCAGCAGCTCTGTAGTGGACTTCCACCATGAGGAGAACTCTCAGAGGCCTCCAGAACATTAACATCATGGAGGGAGGAGGTAATTTATCACAATGAGTTATAAGAGGGAGAACTGAAAAGTATTATTAATAGAAATGCTTTGGGAGAAAGATTGTTTCAAAAGCATGATTTGGAACAAAGGTAGCGAAAGGGAAAAAAAGGCCCTATAAAATTCTGAAAATGTAATTTGCTAAGATTTTCAAAATGGCACATTCACTTTCAGCAAGATGCTTAATTCCCAAAACAACTTATGGGAAAGAAGCATCAGACTTAGATGAATAGCAACTGTAAACTTGTCCTGCTTTTCTATGGTTGGGAGCACTGAGGAAAACACACCAAGGCAAGGACCTAAATTATAAATATGTGATGGGCCTTAAAGATTTTAACAAAACAGAAGTTATGACATCGGTTTCAATGCATAAAGAATAAACACAAAAATAAAAAATAAAATAAAGTATTTAATTGAAAGAAGTATGAGATTAACCAGGCAGGACGAGGAGCCATAAAGACAGTGGAAGCTGGCCAGGTGTGGTGGCTCATGCCTGTAATTCCAGCACTTTGGGAGGTCAAGGCGGGGAGAATGCTTGAGCCCAGGAGTTTGAGACCAGCCTAGGCAACATGGCAAGACCCCAGCTCTACAAAAAGAAACAAAACAAAAAACACTACCCAGGTGTGGAGGCATGCGCCTGTGGTCCCAGCCACCTGGGAGCCTGAGGCAGGAGGATCACTTGAGCCCAGGAGGTTGAGGATACAGGGAGTTGTGTTCATACCACTGTACTCCAGCCTGGGCAACACAGCAAGAACCTGTCTCAACAAAGAAGAAAAAAAAAAAAAGAGGGTGGGAGCAATCAAGAGCTTGCTTGGTGACACAGTGTGGAAATTCCAAAGGGGAAAACAACAAAAGGAGAATGAAACCAACCAGGTATGTGACTAAATTTATAATTTCAAAATAAACATAACCTTGAGAAATTCGTTACTTTAAGAAAGGGGTCAGCATGAGGGAAACAGTTGGAAGTGAACTGCTTTAAATTATTTCTCTGTGACTGAACACATAGTGCAATAAGCTGTGAAGAGGGTAATTCCATACTTACATTGTGTTTTACAAGCAAAGTGGGAAATTGAGAATTATTGAACCATGCTCAAGTTCTTATCCAAATGAGTGTTTCAATTAGTTAACTAAGATTTCCTCATGTTTTAGAACTGTAGTATGTGGAATAAAGCAGTCAATCTATGGTGCTGCAAAATGGCCCAGCAAATTTGTTACATGTGGGATTAAATCTAACAAGAGAAGGCTATTTGTGTTTTAACACCCAATAATATAATTTAGATACTTTAGGTTATTCTTTTTTATATAGCAGCTTTACTGCGATATAATTTACATATCATAAAGTTCATACTTTTTAAAAGGTTATTATTGATTTCAACAAATGCAGGAGGCAATGAAGACATTAAAAATTGCAAGTTTTAGAGTACAATTATAATGATGCTTTTTAACAACAGTACACTGTTGAACACATTATAGGACATTCAATAAACATCCTAATTCACTATGTGATGTAAGGTCTCTCAAATATATCTACCAATAATAACCAATTAAAATATTTTAAAAATCCCTCAGTTACAACTAATACAAAAAAAGCCCTCAAAGTGATGCCTTCTAATGATATTTAGCAGAAAGAGAAGGATTTAAGATTGATTAGCAGGTTTGGGTGGCCTTGGGGTAGGAGAAAGTAGAGATAAGCTCTTACTTATCTTTGTAGCTATTAAGGTGCTTAAAACAATTCTTTGCACATAGCCAACATTTAAGAAATATTTGCGAAATTAACCTAGAGAAAGAAGGAAGCTGAAATGTATAAAGAAAGAAAAAGCCAAATTAAAAATCGGAGCAAAACAAACTTTAAGACACAAGCTTGTAATTGCAAACTGAAACTATGGAATTTTATTTTTATGATTGATAAACTTAGATGACAATCTTTTTTTTAAGTGTACACAATATATTTGACATTTGAGAAATTCTAGTATACATTCTCTGTGGTGAGATTAGCATGGCCTTGACAAAGATGGAAGTGTCTAAAGATGAAATCATGGAACAAATCAAGCACAGTAAATCACCTGCATACGGCACTTTGACCCATGGATTTGGTAGAAGGCTTATGGAATGACAAAGACATGGGATTTGTCATTTGTTCCTAGAAACAACAATACATCTTAACGGTAACAAAGATGTTAACAAGAATCTTCTGTTCTTTTTTCCTAAAACTCAAAACATTAGAGACAAGGGAGACACTAAGAATTACTAAACCACTAAGTTTTTTCTCATGTATATGAAACAGGGAGCTCTAATAAAACAGAATAATACCTTGTAAGGATAAGACAGATGTTATCAGCATAAATAAGAATGACTGTCAGAATAAAGGAGGCAAGAACTCTGAAGCCTTGGTGATTCATCACTTTGTTCTCAACACACACACACACACACACATACACACACACACACACACACACACACACAGAGTTTACTACATACCCCCCAATAATTTATTTTTTGATTAAATGAATATAACTTTTTGAATAGCTTTCTATAATATACATAAGAAACTCCTACTGTAAATAAGAGATCTTAAGAACAGACTTTTAACTAATGAAAATGACCAGAAAAATAGGAAAATAAATAGCTCAAGGGTATACACAGTTAGATACCACATAGATATCCTATTAATTAATTTATTTACTTAATTAGAGAGAGAAAAGAATGCCTTGGGGAAAAAAGGATAGGGTGGTAGCTGATAAAACATCTTTTGGGAAAGTAATAAATCACAGAAACATAACACCCTCCCTTCCACTTTGTACATGCTAGATCCTCTCACAATTACTGTCTTCAGTCCTGGTTCCTACACATGAAAAGAGACAAGAGTCAACTAGAAAAGACTCACAGAAGGGCAGCCAAACTATTTAGAAGAAGAACTGGTGCTATTCAGTCTAGACTTGAGGCTAATGTGATTGAAATATTTAACGGGTGTCATAAAGTGATTAGAACTACTCTATGTTGCTCTTCAAAATAGGCATACTCGGTCCCATTCCAGCAGTTGCAGCTAAAACAAAAGAGGCATACTTGGTATGCTACTTGTTTAAAATAAAATTTTGCGCCCATTCTAAATGTAATGTACTTTGTCGGGTGAAGTAGAAGATAAAAGGCGATCAGACAACAACCTTATTCTCATAGAGTACAAGGAAGATATAGAGGATGAGTACCATCTAGTATCTAGAACAGTGCCTGGTACATAACGGGCACTCAATAAATATTTTTTGAATGAATGAATGAATGACTGCAATTCTCACGCCACGAATTTTGCGACCACCTGCTTGACTGAGTTGCACTAACAGATCTGACTGTCTCATGTTCCTCTTCAAAACTGTCAGCTCATGAAGCAGACGACATTGCCACATAGAGATGAGACATCCTTTATTCATAGTACAAGCATAAATAATACACAAGGCAGAAACTAACAATTTGCCTGAGAAGAGAACCAAATGGTGCACTGGGAATTTTGAGGTTGAATAAATTAGTATTAAAAATCATAAGCTGGCATATTTCATCTCAATTTAATAATTAAAGCTGTCCAACAAAGGAACAATTCCCAACCACCCAAATCAAGATTGTGCTTTTTGAAGCCTCTCTTTAGAGGGATACGGTATACAGTTCCTCACTCCTACGCCGTTATCTGGAGATGTAGTGAGGGGCTAATTCATCTTGGCAGAGCCATCAGATATGTAGTCTGCTCTAAATCAAATAATCTACAAAGCAGAATGATTTGTCCACATAGAAGTAGACAACTAGTAAATCAGACCTAAAAATCTTCCAGAATAAAGTCAACTCTTCCCTGATACAGAACTATGGCCTATACTGTTTCTATAATACACTGCCTGGTTTCAAATTTTAAGCATTCAAATTTGTGACCATTTATTTAAAGGAACAAATATCTACAAAAGCAAATCATATCAAATAAAAACAAAGATAACACAAAAATAACCCAAATAATCTTAGAATATAATCAGGCATACATTCATCTAGAAAGAGTTTTGAACACTCATATATTGACTCTTTCTGGACTTCAACCATAAAACAGAATGGCCCTACTGACCAAATGCCACACAGACGTCCTGGCTTGTAGATATTGCATTTATGGATAGCTGACAGCTGGGGTCGCCTTGAAAACTCCAAATGGAATTGACAGAGAAGAGATTTTGAAGCAATCCCCTGCCCCCTACCATCCCCCACCAAAAACACAACCCTCCAAAACTAAGGGTTTTCCATGGGTGAAGAAAATGGAAAACACTAACTTACTGTGTATTTAGCATAAGAAATTAAGCATTATATGCTTTTAAAGAACACTTTCTTATTTGAATTGCCAATTTAGACTTTGTATCACCTTCTAAGATGTTGCTAATGTGACTGAGTCTTTTCCCTCCCTGAGTCTCACTGAATTCAGATGCTAGTAGTGAGCACAATGTTAAGCACTGTAATTCTGTCTTTATTAGATTCAGGTATATAAATGACATCCCAGTGAGCATGGTGAACTTTGATGGTTACTTCTCCACTCAAGTTGTGTTCATCTTCCTGCTGAGAGGATGATCAGTGAGTTTTACCATAGGCCCAAGGGACCTATTATTTATTATAGTACATTTTATGGTGTGGAGTAAATAAATAGCATTAAAGTGCTAAATTCATTCACAAGAGATGAACTGTATTCATAAACTGGAGAAGTTCTTTAAATCAAGTCTATGCTGCTAATAGGCTCTTCATAAATATGCAGAAAACATTCATTGTAATATGACAGCAATAAAGGGAGGCAGCTGGAGTAACACAGAAACATTAGAAAGCAAACATTCTAGGCAAGGCACATTATTGGCATATAAGTGAATCATGAGGTTAAACACACCAAACTCATTTGGTAATCTATCATTTTTATATACCTGAATTGCAAAAATTCAAACCTTAAAACAATGTAATTATCGTGATAAAATTTAAAATAAATTAAGTGTATGAATGTATAAAAAAATCCAGCAACCCTGACCCCACCTAAGATGTTCCTAATTACTGTGCATTTTGTCTTAATTGGCTTGTTTTATAGTAAAGCCCACTGGGTGGGGAATGTGTGTGTATTTGTCTTTTGTACTATATATAATCCACTCTCATTTCCATTTGTGGTTTCTAGGGTTTCGAGCAATTGCTTTTGGTATAGCTTTTGACTATAAACTACTTTCTAGCCATCAATCCTTTGGGATTTTCTTTCCCCATTCCTCATGTGACTTTTAATCATTCAAGGCAAGCTCCAGCTCTGCATTTTTTCCTTGGCAGGTTTAAAATCTGGAGAGTTTGAGAGTGACACAAATTCCTTGCCTTCCTTGAACTCCACTATAGAAAGTCACAGTAGGTCTTAAGAATAGGGCACCATACAACCCTAGCATCTGCTCTTCCTCATACAGTGCTGTACCAACACTTCCTACAGGACTGTGAGTGGCTTTAACAATAGGAATGAGGATGCATGTTCTTTGTCAATTACAATATTTGTTTAGTATTATGAGCTGGTACAACACAGATATAAGGAACAAGAAAAATGAGTAGTAACAGAATGCCATAGTAATTATTGAAAAACATACTTAACAGAATTCCCACAAGACCTATAATCAACATCTTAAAAATGGCAAGGAAAAGAAGCATGTGTGTTGTCTTCTTGTTTTTCAGATTTACCTCTATGCTAACGTAATAGCTCAGAGAGCACAGGAAACAGTATATCAAATACAGAATGGAAGGTAAGGCAGAGCCAGGTGCAAAGAATACAACCAGAGGTTGGGACATGCAGGAGAAATTCCAAATGCAGACATGTTAGAGTACTTCAAGACAAAGCAAGGGTGTGTGTGGTGAGACCAAGAAAGACTCTGAATCAGGGCATACACCGGAACAATGAATGGAACTTCATTCAAGGGGAAAAGAGAAAGACAGGAGATGCAAGGTTAACTCTCAACACTTGAAGTCCAGAAGAATTAAAAGATGAGAAAAATAATGGAAAAATAATCAGATCTAGCTACCAGAGATTTGGGGTAAAATCTACTTTTTAACCATACACAATAACTTCCTACCAGTTACCACAGTCCAAGTATACATACAGATGCTAGCTTCCCCATCTAGAAACTAACTCCCTTTAAGTACTCCTTTAAGGAACCAAAGAAGAGCAAAGTAAGGGAGAAAGAGAAAGTCCAGAGCTAAGCAGATGTTTGGCTCTTTAACCTCAACTGCTGAAATAAGAAATACTGAGGCTATCTCCAATCCAGCTCCTCTAAAATAAGCCCTGGAAGAACTGGGGAGGGGTGATGGTGGGTGGCTGATGAGTAAGAGGTCAGTCATTAACAGAATCTGGGATTTCCAACAGGTAGCAGCTATAAGATGGCAGTGCTTGGACCTCAAAGAAGAGAGCATATTTCCTGAAAAAAAATTTTAAAGGCTAATCGAGTAACCCATTAATTTGTTCAGCATTGTTCATTTTAAAAGTGATTATAAAGCAATAACTATTTGCTAGGGCCTGGGATAAGACTGGGTTTCAAAGAGATAAATCCTTACGTGACTTGCTCTATAATGAAGGTGATGAACAGATCAACAGCATTTATACATTTCATCATTCTCATTAAAACACTTTCTTCACTTGGTGTCCTGGAAACTGATTTCTTTTGGTCTTCCCCTTCCTCACCATCTGTTGCTTTTGGAATACCCTTTGCTGGTAGCTTTCCATTTTCCTAACCTCTACACTGGAGGTCTCAGTCCTCAGATGTCTTTTCTTCATTACCTGTGCTTCCCCCAGGTGGACTTATCCAGTCTCACAACCTTACAAAACACTGGAATGTTGATGGCTTTCAAGTTTATATCCATAGTCTTCCATGCCAAGCAATAAGTAACCACTACACACATATGACTATTTAAACGTTAATTAAGATTAAATAAGATAAACAATCCATATCTCAGTTGTTCTAGGTACTTTTTTTTTTTTTTTTTTTAAACGGAGTCTCACTCTGTCGCCCAGGCTGGAGTGCAGTGGTGCGATCTCGGCTCACTGCAAGCTTCACCTCCCGGGTTCACGCCATTCTCCTGCCTCAGCCTCCCGAGTAGCTGGGACTACAGGTGCCCGCCACCACGCCCGGCTAATTTTTTGTATTTTTAGTAGAGACGGGGTTTCACCATGTTAGCCAGGATGGTCTCAATCTCCTGACCTCATGATCCGCCTGTCTTGGCCTCCCAAAGTGCTGGGATTACAGGCGTGAGCCACCACGCCTGGCCTGTACTAGGTACATTTTAAGTGCTCAATATCCACACATGACTAGTGGCTATTATATTGAACAGTGAAGATATAAAACATTTCCATCATGGTAGAAAGTTCTTTTGGACAGTGCTAGTCTAATTCCCATTTACGAATTTTAGTGTCATGTACTTCAACTAGCTGCTCAACACATACACTTGACTATCTAATAGAGATGTCAAATTTAGCATGTCCCAAACCAAACTCACGATCTTACTCTCCAGCTAGCTTCTTCCTGTAGTCTTCCTATGGTCTTCTGAAATTACATTTCCATTGTGCTGTTACTTAAGTGAAAAACCTTTGCGATATGCTTGACTCCTCTTTTTCTTACCTGCACATTAAACCCACTGGCAAATCTTCACACTTCATCCAGAATGTGACCACTTCTCCCCTCCACTGTTACCATCTCTTACCATTAATTATTACAATGGCTTTCTGCTCTCTGCCACTACTATTACTCCCCTACAGCACATTCTTCATACGGCAGCCAAATCCATCCTATTTATTTACTTATTTATTTATTTAAGATGGAGTCTTGCTCTATCGCCCAGGCTGGAGTGCAGTGGCGTGAACTTGGCTCACTGCAACCTCTGACTCCCCCGTTCAAGTGATTCTCCTGCCTCAGTCTCCTGAGTAACTGGGATTACAGGCACCCACCAACACACGCCCAGCTAATTTTTGTATTTTTTAGTAGAGATGGGGTTTCGCCATGTTGGCCAGGCTGGTCTTGAACTCCTGACCTCAAGTGATCCACCTGCCTCGGCCTCTCAAAGTGCTGTGATTACAGACATGAGCCACCGTGCCTGGCCCAAATCTGTCCTTTAAAAAGGTGAAAGCAGATTATGACAGCCCTCTAGTCAAAACTCTCCAATAGCTCCCCATCTCACTGTGGATAAAATTCAAAGTCCTTATTACCATCTACATGACCTTTCATAATCTTGCCCTGGCATCTCTCTGATGTCATCTTCGACACACTCCCTTCCTTGCTCACTTGTCTTCAGGTATACGGGTCTCAGGGCTGTTGTCCTCTACCAGGAATGCGTCTCTCCCAGGTATCTCATGGTTTGTTCCCTGAATTCATTCAAGTCTTTGCTTGACCACGCACCCTGAGCACCCTATGGCAAGCAGCATCCTATCTGACTCCTCCTTAGCCCGCTTTATTTTTCTTCACAGTACTTAACACACCTGAGGCATTTGACATTTGCTTATTGTCTGCCCCTCCCATTAGAATGTCCACTCCATGAAAGCAGGTTTTTTTCATTACTTGATACATAACAGGAACTAAATAAATACTGTTAAATACAAACACTTATTACATCATGGTGGTAAATGCTTGAACAGCATGTTGTAAGAATGTTCTCCAAATCTGTCACCTCAGCCCTCCAGTTGGGATTACCTCAGTCAGGCAAATACTGTCATAGAAAATATAGAGATAGAGACACAAACAAACATTCAGGAGAGATTCCCAGTATAACATGTTACACAGTGAGGAAGAAGAAACACAATTAGCGCATCTAGGAAAGAGTTTCTGGAGGCTCATGCCCCTGACAAAGAGGCAAAGTAGCCTTCAATGTTTGGAGGCTCAACAGACGCCCTCTAGCCAGACTGTACTGCTGCTGTTTCTCTGCCTGCTCGTTAGCAATAGGCCAAGAGCATGCAGTCACACATGGAATCAAATTGAAACAAACCATACACTGGCTAGGCAGCTAGGAAATGCCAGAATCTTTCACATAATATCATTTGAGTTGACACTTGAACAACACGGTGAGCTAGGTATTTGCTCCATCGTACAAGTGAGGAAACAAGTTCAAATGATTAAAGAACTTTCCCTGTCACAAAGCTGCATGGCTAGAATTTTAACCCAAGCACAACCCCAAAGACTCTGCAACCTGAGATAAGTTAATATAGCTACTGAGGGTGGTATGCACCTTAGCAATGTAGGCACCAATCTTTAAACGAGACACTTCAAATTCACAAAGAAACACCCTCGCCACAGCAGTTATTTGCAATCTTAATGTTCACCATTAAAACTAATCATGACTTTGTAATACCAAAAGTTGAAGGAACTAACCTTCAGGAAATCTACCAAGTTCATTAAAAACTTCAATTTTGAAAAGAAAATGAACTTCCTAACACCCCATCCCCCGCCAAATCACAGCTACAATGCCAGATTAGGTAAAGAAAATAACTGTGGAAATAAAATGTTTTGATATAAAAATATAATAAGGGAAACAACATTCCTTAGAGTCCTTGTAAGTGTTCCTCAGAAACAGGAATGTTGTCTCCTGACGCCCTTCAAGGAGCTTTACATGAGTGGAAGGGACTCTGAAGGAATTTATTTCATGTTTCAGCCCATCTAGCTTCCCTCTCTTTCTGAACACCATCTCTTACCCCAAATATACGCAAATGCATTTCACTATAAATTTCTATCTTTTAAAACTGTACATATTTAGAAGATTCAGGGTCAAGGGACATATCTTCTCACATGTTAAACACAGGCATTTAGCGAACATAGTTCTTTATTCACTGCTGTGTTTGAATATTATTTAATTGGTTTCTAAAATTAAAAAGTTTCCATTCTAAACTTTCCATGATTTGTCACTAAATCAGAAATTCTGATTCCAAAGAAAAGCACTGAGCACTCTTCAACCGTCCTCCCCACACCCACACAGGTGCCCTGGCCTGGCCAAAAAGCTAGCATTGTTTACCCTCCCCACCTCAGCAATGGCTTCCCCCACCATGTGATGTGTGGATCTCGCCCTGCATTGAGGCAGCCTCATCCACTGCACACTCCAGCCAGGCCATAGGAGCTCCTTTTCCTTACATCCCGCGGCTCCTCCTCTCACCACTGTAAAGGCTGCATCCACCAGAGACAGCTCGATTTGGCTCCTTACCCCTCCCTCCAGTCATGGCCTCCCTGAGCGAGGGGGAAAATCTGTATTGGTGTGCTGGTAGTGGTAATGGGGAAGAGAAAGGTAAATGCCTTTTTGCCAAAAAAGGGGAGTTCACCCAACATGCCTTACTAACTAGAAAGGGAAGTAAATAGAATAGAGTATGAAGTGACAGGCAAAAAAAAAAAAAAAAAATTGGGAGAACAATTCTATTGTGCATAACAAAAGGGACCCACATATTCACTCCTATCCTCAGACCCCCATCACCTCCTCCCCTTCCCATGCCTCACCCCAAAGCTGTCATCTGACCCAGGCCACATCCTGCCTCTTATACCAGTGACCCCTGGAGGCTGCCCCTCACCACCTGGCTCTCTCCAGAAAGGCACCTCTGGCCCAGGTCCTTGGAACCATAACTCGGGAATGTTGGAGGTGATGTTCTCATTCTCAAAACAAAGGAAGGTGGACTAAATAAGCTTTAACATCCCCTCTGTTGACCATGTCCTAACATCACATGAGCTTCTGATCCCACAAACAGCATTCAGTAGGAAGAAATGTGCTCCTAGAATCTCAAGTCAAACTCTAAATCCATTCCCAGGACACATGCTTAACACTTCAGTTAAATTTCAGAAAGCCACAGTATGATACTAGAAATACATTATGGATAAACCTGTGTTGCAAAGGGTTGCACCAATCAAGATAATATAAGATGATGTCTATGAGAAAATGCATTCTGAATTCCAAACAATTGACTAACAAGTGAATCAGATGTATGAACTATAATCTATTTACAAGAAAAAAACTATATTGTTACCATTATAATGGGGTGCCCTGCTTATAGAAAAGCTTCAGAAAACAGGCGATTAGGCAAATGACTGTGAACACGACCGAAAGATGACCACTGAATATTCTGTATGTATACATTTTTATTGGACTTACATTTCTGGAACACATTTATGAGAAAAATAAGACCTTCTATAAAATTATTTTCCATTCATACATTTAATGGCTTTAATTCCTTGCCTATATTCATTGCACTTCCTTTGACATAAAAAACCATTCCGAATATAAACCATACAGTGCTTCTGTAGTGTATCAGATTTTAACACTGAGTCACTTTATATTTGTCTGTAGAGCATGAAGGAGAGAGGCCCACTAAGGCCTAAAACATGATATGGCTATTAAGGTAAAAACATCCTAAATCTTAGGATAGGCAGCAGATGAGAAAATTACAAAGAAAAATCTCAAGTCAAACAAATTCAGATAATTTTGTGGGAAAACAGCAAAAAGTTTTTGGTTGCACAGTCTATTTTTTGTCTATTTGATTGTAAAGGCTATTTATGTAAGAGTTCTTACCAAATGCACTAGTTGTTGGAGTTCCAACAACTGAGTGACTGTTGGAACAATTTAAAGTTCCAAAACTGAGTGAGTGAGCCTGGAAATACAGCGAAAATTCCTGTTATTAAGTCTTGCATAGCAAAGATAAAAAACAAAATGTTTGAAGAAAATGCAAATGTAATTGTGAAATGTGCAACAACAAAACAATAACCTTCTATGAAGACAAAAGAGTAAATTCAAAACAAGAAGATCCATGGAATACTTCCCTCAAGTACAAAGTGGAAAACTAGAAACAAAATACACTGCACAGGGCTTAGGAAAGTATTACACTCCACACGGGCTCAATAAACATTAGCTAATGCTTCCCAGCAGTGTCCATAACTTATTTATCTATCCACTTACATTCTCAGTCCCTCAATTTCCCTGTCTAGAAAATAAACAAATACTTACTATAAAATAAAACAGCCATCTATACTCACTGAGGTGTTGGGAAGCTTCATTTCAGTTTCAGAAGCATTTGGAAGAAGGCAAATGATGGATGTGAGTGTCAGTCATCATCATTGCTCACAACTGCTCTTGCAGCAAGCAGGTTAGAAAGCCAGCATGCCAACTCTCCTGGCTCCTGTGTTTTCTGTCACAGGAGAGGTGTCCTTTGTCTAAAGCCACACTCTCCTCGATTACTTAGGGTATGGAGGAAAGAAGAGAATTGCTAAGGCAATAAAACTGGATATAGCTAAGTTCCAATGCTTTACATCAATAAAGATTTCCCTTAATGTATGACAAGTATTTGTGCCTACAAAATATATATATAAATTATTTCCTAGGAAGTGCTAAGAGAGAATGGAAGAAAAGGAAAGAGAAACAGGGAAAGGAGGGAAAAAGAAGACACCCATCTGGAAAAGTCCAGACTTCACCACTATGCAATATATGCATGTAAGAATCTGTACTTGCACCCTCTAAATAAACAAAAATTTAAAAAAAGAGACAGAGAGATGATACTTATCTGGGCTTTGAACAGAGTTGAAGAAGGAAAAAATCTTTGATTAGGATCTTGATTGTATACTACTGGGTCCTAATCCATCAGTCTATAAATTACTTGGAAGCAGGTATTGTGGCAATCACTCTTACATGCCTAGTGACTGGCATAGTGTCTGGAATACATTAAGCACTGAGCAAAGGTTGAGTGAATAAATGGATGAATGTCCATGTCTCAATGTTTTATCAAGCAATAGTCAAAGCCAACCAGCTACCAAAAAGCTGACAGTAATGGTTCTAGTTGCTTATAAACTGCATTAAAGTAAGATTTTGAATGTTTCCATCCCCATTAGCATAACCCTTAAAGGCAGGAGAGAAGAGGGAGGGGAAAAAAAGACAGCATCTCTATACTCTACAATATATTGTGAGTATAGAGATGGTGGACTCTACAAAATGTCCACCACCTTAATATATGACATGGCTATCAATCTGTACACCAGTCACCCCAATCCATTCTGGAGAAAAATCACTGCTTCCAACATAATACACTAAAACAAATTTATAAATGTTAATAAAATTTTTAAAAGGTCAGGTCACTACTTCCTGTAACATATGTCAGAGGAACCTAATATATCTCAGTATCAGGTCATTGGCAGGACAGCTATGACATTAAAGGATGGAGAAAATGGAATTTTTTCGCTTTTAAAATTAGTTAACCAGCACATCCGTCTATTTCCCTCTTGGATGCCTGGTATGGAGCAAGAACTGTAACAGGGGAAATTTATTGAAACATACCATTAAATCAATATGGCAGAGCACTCTACTTTATGCCATGCTATAAAAGTCATGCATGTGGGAAAGCTGAAGGAAACAAATTGGTACTGAAAATAAGAAAAGAAATGTTTTAAAAAGTAAATGGATTCCTAGAATGTATAAATTTAGTAGATGAGGTAGCAAAACCAGGGTCTTGAAATAGGCCTTGAAACTCTTTTGTTCTTAGGCTAAAATTGTAGTCAGTTCTGTTACTTCAGAATCTAGCTTGAAAATGACAAAACAAAAATGAAGGTTCTGGCTGGATTAACAGAAATTACTTTGGAAGAAGGCAATAAAACTGAATTTATAGAAAAGAGTCATACCAGGGTTTTATATTGTCACAAATGGAGATGCTATATTTTTGTAGATCATCCAGGGAGATTCAGAGGGCAGGAAGGAAATGTGTTGTCAAATAATTCTGCTGTAGGGTAAAAAGTGTTCTGAATATCTGAGAAGCAAATACTGAAAATATAGTATGTGTGTCACAGTGACATTCTGAATAGATTATAAAAAAATCCTAGGCCACTTCAGATCATTCAATAGTTCATGGTCAACTTGTAGAAACCCCAAATTTTATGTATATATGTATATATATCCCAATTACCTTAATTTATAGAATTTGCCAGAAGGATTACTTTCAGAAGTCTTAGAATGATTCAAGTCTACAAATCAACTGGTCTAATATCCACATAAGCACCATTAACTTAAATGTTTACAGCAATTTATGAAGCGTATTTGTACACATTTGATCCCCACAACAATCATGCACAATAGGAAAAGTTAACTGATCAACTTGAGATCACCAGTTAACCATGTAAAAGTCAAATGGGAAGGGGAATGACACACATGCTTCTCACTTAAATTAATAATGGAAACAAATGCATGGAAAGTGGAAGAAATCAGTATAGATTCCTGTGACCATGGTGTAAGTGTCTACAAGTAAAAATAACAAGGAACTAAAAAATTCAACATAACAATTTGCAAGACATGTGAATACCACAGGAAAAGGAATGAATGAACTATACCAGGTTGGAAATAAAGAGCATTGCATTTTTCTTTAACAAAGTAGAGATTCCCCCACCACTGTAAAATGGTGCCTGTATCTTTTTCAGCCAAAATGCATGTACTTACAAAACAAAGAAAGGAGAAACAAAAAGATACCATGAAAATGACCTGGGCCAGCAGATTGTTTCTTTGCATCTTTGGATGAGACTTTTTTTTTCCTTCTTCATTACCTTACCAAAAACAGGGAAAAATCCCCACCTTGCATGGTTGCTCAGCCTACAGAGACCCATTTTGTCACAGGCCATTAATGTTCATCATTACACAGCTTAATGTAGTTGTCTGTTCCCTTAAGTGAATTCTGCATAGATTTATCTTCAGCTAATGCAGCAGAGGCTAAGGGAAACTACAAAGGTCTCTGGATTTGTTTGCCTTTATGGGTTAGCATTTTGAAGTCATTCTGGGCCAAAAGGATTCTAAAGAATTGGAGATGGTAATATGTGTTTCTCTTGTTTGGCTCTAATAGGCAGTGCTTGTTCACAGACATAAAGATCTGGGTATTCAGAGGCACCTCTGTTCAGAGGTGGAAAACTGTTGTCTTGAGACTGTAGTTTGGAGATCAGTAGAAAAATCGTACTCGCAGACCAACATACACTGACATACCCTGACTCAACCACTCTATTTTAGGCTCTGAAACTTCATTCATTCATTCAACAAACATTAATTGAGGGCCTACTGTATGTCAGGAACCATTCTAAGTGGTACGAAAACTACAGTGAACAAAACAGACAAAAATCCCTGCCCATTTGGAACTTATATTCTATTTCCAGATAACAGATAAAATATGTGCATGGTAATAAGGGCAACAGAAAAAAATTAAAAAGTAGGGCATGCTGGAAGAAGATATCACAGTTTTCAACAGGATGGCCTAGGTAGGCTTCACTAGGAAGGTAACGTTTGAGAAAAGCCGTAAAGGTATTAAGGGAGCAAGTTTCTTGGACGTTTGGTGGAAGAAAAGTAGTGCAAATGTTTAAGGTTCAAGGAATAGCTGAGAGGCCAGTGTGGCTGGAGGGGTGTGATCCACAGAGAAGATTGTAGAAAATGCATTCAGCATCAACCAGTAGGGGCAGATTATTTAGGGCCCTGTAAAACACTGAAAATAATTCTGGCTTTTACTCTGCATGAATTGCTGTTAAAAAGTTCTGTGCCAAAATGTTCTTGTAATGTGACTTACATTTTAAAAGCATCATTATGGTTAAAAGGGAGAGGAGCAAGAGATAAAGTATAAGACCATTAGGAAGCCTAATCCAGGCAAGAGATGTTGACAGCTTAGACCAGGGCAGTAGTTATGAAGGTGGTGAGCAATGGTTAGATTCTGGATATTTTCTGAAAAGCCAACAGGACATGCTGATGGGTTGCTTCTAAGGTGTGTGAGAAAAGGGATACTCCTGGGATTCTGGTCTGGGCAACTGGAAGGATGGCATCCCACAAATTGAAATGCAAAGACTAAGGGAAAGAAGGTGTTGAACATAGAGTGTGGAATATTGGTATCTCAGTTTTGGATATTTTAAATTTGAGGTTCCAATATAACAAGGAAGTGGACATGTTAAGCAAAAGGCATTTAAGGCTGGGGTTCAGTGAAGTGGTCCAGGCTGGAGATATAAATTTGGAAGTGATCAGCTTGAGACGGTATTAAAAGCCTTAGGAATGGATCAGATTACCAGGGAAGTGAGTGTACATGAAAGAAGAAAAGGTGGCCAATGACTAACCCCTGGGTACTACAGGCTAGTAAGAGGTCAGGGAGATGGAGGGGACAGAGTTGGGAGGAGACAATGAGGCAGGAGAAAAATTAGAAGAGCGCGTATCCTGGCAGCTAAGTGAAGGGAGTCTTTCAAAGAGGATATACCAGTGAGCCACATCAAATACTATAGATGGATTTAGCAACAAGTCAGAATAGCTGGTCACAATGGTGGTGACACTTTGTTCTGATCAGCAGGAAAAATGCAGACTAGGAGACACTGCACAGAAAAGGAAAACTGGGGGTTGCATTTGTCCCACACCACTCCTTTCTGTTTCACTTTCTCCACTGCAAAAGGGAAAACAAAGAAAATTAACAGCCATATCACTTGCACAATACATACTTATAAAAACGAAGCAGGTCTGTGAGATGTTTTGAGTACCTTAGTAAAAAGTATAGGAAATTCCACTTTCAAGAGAGTCCACTAACACATTTACCGTTACCTACTGCCATCTTCTATCTACTGCTTCTTAGCAAAATACTTCCTAGGCAAAATAGAGAAAAATAGCTACTTCTGCTGTTCTCAGTAAAGCAGATACTATCCCACACTTTTTTTTTCTTGTTTTATACACATATTTGTTTATTTTAGAAAAGAGGAGGAATGGGACAAAGAAGTAAAGGAAGTGTCACATGCGCTATTTTGTTGTTGTTGTTGTTGTTAAAAAACATTCAGAACTGTTACTCTAGATTAAATAACGCTCTTAAACTAGCCATACGTGATAGGTGAGGATAATCATGGAATAAACTAATCCAAAGCTTCAAAATGAATGGCATATTGAGATATGACTAAATGCTCTACTCAAAACTGTTCTTGTCAAAGTCCCTAAAGACACATAATCTCTATATCTGATAATTTCCCTCCCATTCTCCTTGAGTTCTTTGTAGTTTTTAATAACTCTCTTCTTCTCTAAATAATACCCTTGCATGGTTTCCCGAAACTGGCTTTCTTTCTGTGTCCTTTGCTATCTCATCATGTGCTACCTCAACACTTCTCTCACCCTTAATACGGGTATGTTCTAAGATTAAATGGAGCCCTGTTTTCAACTATATTTAAGGTTCCAAAATCACCTCTATGCAGACTACCACAGGAATGAAAAGTTCAGATTTAAACATCACAAATGTTTGCCTTTGAATCTCGCCCTAACAATTGCAGTTGTGTGAACCGAGAAAAATTACAAAAACCTTTTCTGCGCCAGCCTCCTCATCTGTAAAATGTGGGTTTTAATACTACCTTCGTGGAGTTTTTGTGAAGATTTAATGAGCTCATCCACATAAAAGGCTCAACACAGAGATTGGCACATATTAAGCATATTAAAAATGCTGGCTATTATTATGGCTCCCAAATACAAATTCCTAGCTCCAGCCTTTCTTAATTTCACGTTTAATTTCTTACTACTCTCTAAGTACTAAGGAGTTTGATGTGATACCATACTTTATAGGACTATATATGCTTTACAGGACTACCAATATAGTCCTATAAAGCATGGTGCCATATCAAACTCCTGCTGGACACCCAGCTCACTAGTTACAATGTATTTTAAAATACAGAGTCTGACTGTGATCAAAATTCTTGTTTTTTTTTTTTTTGTTTTTTTTTTTTTTTTAGTTTTAAGGAGTGGAGAATTTAACAGGTAAAGAAAAAGGCAGAAGGACGAAGCTCCTCCATACAGAGACAAAAGGAGGGGGGCTCCAAAGCCGAGAGATGGAACTCCCAAAATTCTTTTATTTTACAAATATACAGCCCCTAACGATAAGCAGTTAATATGATATATCCATAGGGCCAGCTAAATGTGTATGTTAGCATTTCTTTCTGAGTTTTCTGTATTCTTTGTAGCAGCAAACTTTTACACTTTTGCCCAGAGGAAGGGGGCAGAATACAACTATAGCTCAGGTTTTGAAGATAGTTGCTAAAATGTATAAAATCCCTCCTGTATTGCTCAATGACCTCGCACAGTAAGATGTGTATATGGTTAATTGTGATCTTGTGCTCTTCTCCCTCCAGAAGGCAGTTCTTTAAGCAGTTAATTCTCAGAGCCTCGGCACATATACAGTGGCTCTGCTAGCATGCAGCAAGAGACTGCCAAGCAGCGGCCATGGAAGGTAGGTTCCCATCCTTTACCCCTCTCAGGTGTGATGCTACCCTGTCATTTCAGGTATCTCAAGTGCATCATGAAAATGCCCTGCCTGGCATTTTTGTGGGGTACCCTGGCAAGCGAACAAAACTTAAAATCAGACAAACATGAATTAAAATCTGAAATACAACACATGGTAGTCTGTTCTATAACCTTGAGCAAACCACTTTATCTCTTTCTCAGATTTCTGGGGTTTTTTAAAATATCAAATGACTGTTATGAGAATTAAGATAAGACATGAAAAGTAGTTGGTACACAGCAAGTGCTTAATCAGTGAATAAACAGCAGTTCTCTCCCTCCAGGCAGTGTGTGGACTTCTGAAGGCGGCAGTACATCCCACACATCCACACTTTTCATCAAATTCTGTACTCAACTTTAATGAAGTATTTACTATGTATCCCCAAGGAATAAAACTACCATTGGGTCTCCCTAACAAGTAATAGGAGGCAAAAAAGTGAAGAATAATTTTTTTAAAAAGATAAGGAAAGCTGTAAATTTCACTCAAAGGTTTAATATTCTTCTGACTGGATGCTTTTAAACTTTGCAGAGTTCCACTAAGACAATTCAGTATGGAATAAATTCTTTTCCATGGCTTATAGAGATCAGCCCAAAACAAAAACAAGACACGTTGTGCTATACTCCTGTTATCAAGAAGTCTTCCACACAATGTGGCCGAAGTAATACCTTAGAGGGGTAGGCACCTTCGCCACCATTCTTTTCTCCTGCTTATTCTGTTTTAAAACTCCTGCAGCAAACACAAGCAGACAGCTATTTATGCCTCAACAATTCCCCTTACTCTAGTTCACGGTTTCCTAACTCACCTTTGCTTGGAAAATACTCAGTAAAGAAATGAGTGGAAACAAATTAATCATTCTGCAGTCTATTGATCAAGCCACACTAAATCAGTCTCAGAAGGTATGCTTGGGGAAAGGGAAGCAATCAATTCAAGGCTGCAAAAAAAAAAAAATTAATGAAAACACATAGAAGTTCTAGTCCGTTTTTAGCTTGTTATTAATATTCAGGTTGTGAATTCTAAATGTACTGCTCCAGGGCAATAACAAACCCCAGGATGGGGAAAGGGAAAGGGTATTGGTAACTCCATGACACTGCAGGTTGGTGGCTGATGGTGTCAGCCTCTGCTTCTGGTTTCAGAGAAATGGATGCTAGTAAGAGAAGACTTAACTAGAAAGGAAGTGAGTTCAGTCATATCTTACTGATCTCTGGGAATTATCCACGTAAATGAAGCCTGCTTAAGAAGCAAATTGCTCAGTTTCTCCACCCAAAGTAAAGCAAAGAGGGTTTGTCAGGATTCACAGTTGTAGAAAATCTGTGTATGTAATGGAAAGAAGAGGAAAGTGACTGTTAGCCTTTCCTTAGTGTAGCACCAAATGGGAAATCGGGGAGACAATGTGACCCTAACAGGTTGTAAACTTCAATATGTATAGAAATCACCTAAGAGCCTGCTCAAAATGCTGATTCTCCATGCCCTTCCCAGAGGTTCTGATTCAGTAGGTCCAACGTAAGGACCAGGAATCCACACTTACAATAAGAACCCCTGCTGATTTTGATGCAGGCAGTTTTTAGAACACACTTTGACAAACACTGCAAAAGTATAAATGAAACCAAAATAAGAAAACATTTGCTTTTGCCAAAAAAAGGGAAGAAATGCAAATAACAATATAAAACCAGTAATTTTTCCCCAGAACGCAGGCATGGGACAAGGCCCTTAGAGCATCCTTAGTATATATTTGCTCAGTGAATCAATGAGTGAGGGAATGAATACGTTCATCATTAGCAAACACAGGCAGACAACTGTCACCATAGTTACCACTTATCGGATACTTAAATAATCTTCAGCAACTCTATGAAATAGCTGCTGGTGGTGCTGCCACTACTACTATCCACATTAGAAAGATGAAGATAGATTAAACAACCAACCCTATATCATACAGCCAAGAAATCATGGAACTAAACTGCCCTCACATCACAGTCTATGTCTCTATTACCTATGGATGGTCAATGACTAATGCTTTGAGGGCATTTTACCTGAGAGGAGATACCACAGCTACTTCTGTCTTGGAGAAACCAGCCCCTTTTCCCATTTATATGAACCACAAAAAAAAAAAAAAAAAAAAAAAAAAAAAGCTTCTCTGAAGTCTTCACCAAATCAATGATTGGCTAAGGTTACTTCTTTTGTTTTTGTTTTACCTGAAACTAAACCAAAAGATCATTTCTTTCCTATGCAATATCATTTGCAACAATATCAACATGCAGCCACTGTTCCAGGTACACTAGTCTCTCCATAAACTATGCATTGAGATTAAACAGGATTATTAAACACCACATCTTTACTCCTTATTGCAACAGTATTCCTTTCTGTTACCTTTACTCAAGATCTCATTTGATTTCTACCTTCCTAGGAAACCTCTTCAGTTGATCACACATCCACCCCACACATCCTTTCCTGTCGGAATTTTCCGTTGTGCTTACAACTTACTTCACTATCATAATAAATCTGTAGAAGAGGTGACTGTAAACTGCAGCGTTACCCCAAAGACATAGCCAATCTCATGATTTCAGTTAGCACAGGCTGTGAAGAGACAGCAGCCCACAGGCTAGGTGCAATCATGTACTTTTGGGGCATGGGCAACATGAGCCCCATAGCAGCCTGGCCATACAGAGGATATTCGGCAGGGACAGACACAGTAACAGATGTGGACCTCCTTATTTGGGCACAGGGCAGATGTAAGTAGATAAGTAGATTTTAACCTGCTGGGATCCTTAAAGGCCCTAAAACATACTGGCAGAAGGGTCGTGTGGCCTATAATCACCTGGTTGCATTTTCAAACCATAGGTGAGAAAGTGCAAGAGCTAATGGAGAAACAAGTTCATACTGGCATAATCTGGTAGATCTTAGACTCAAACAGTCCTCACGGATGTATTGGGATCTCTCTCGCTCTCTCTCTTTTCTTACCGCCTTGGCACATGCTGTACTTTCTGACAGAAAAGGTCTTCTCCATATCCCTAACTGAATATTAGTCATCCTCTAGGGTCTCAGTTTAGACATCTCCTATTTTAGGAGGATTTCCCTGCCCTAAAGGTAGAGTTAGATTACTCTACTATACTCTCCCATCCTTTTGGTACCTAACTGCTTTCTGTAAGATTGCCTATATCCCGCACTAACCTGTGAGCACCATGAGGGTTGGAATGACTCATGTCTATTTTATTCCTATTGGCTAGTACAGAGCCAACCACACAATGGGTGTTCAGTAATTGATTGCTGAATGAATCAATGAATAAACCAATGAACAAATAAGCAAGCAAACTAAGCCTTGACAAAGTCCAAGGACCCACAGTAGGTTCATGGCAGAGCCAATTCTATAAGATTTATTTCAAGCGTTGAGTATAAAGTGTCAAAGAGCAAAAACCATGCATACCATTACAAGATGCACAGAGAACCTGTATCTCCCAGTTCCAAGTTTCTCCACACAGCCTTCGTAACCAACTCAATTATCTCCCAATGCTGAGCCCAAACTCAACCAAGGTAGGATCCACACTGATTTCTAACATAACAGTACAACTCTGGTTAGATGAGAAGAAACTCAAAAAGCACGCACACCACTTACAAAATGCTGTCCTTGGGAAACTGAAGATCATTTCTGCTTAGAATTACAGTTTATACTAAAAGTATAATGACCCTCTTTAGTAAAATACCAACATCAGTAAAATTTAATTGTATCTATCAAGGGAGTTGGGATAGAACTAATACAGAACTGTTGATGGTGTTTAACATCCATGCTAAAAAAAATGCTCGGAAGTAAAATTTTGATATTTAAAATTTTATTTCTCTATGCTCAGTAACAAAACTCTAAAGCTTTCTTAATAGTAGCTGTGAATGACCATCCCTTCCTGGGTTGAATATTAACTAGGAATGGAAAGAAACTGATGTCCATGCTTCTCATTTGCTGAACTTCATTCACATCATTAATTTAATATGAAACCCGAAGGGACCAGCAACTGTCACCATGCATTTAGCAAAACTTGTTTTTCTTAGTCATGCCTCAATTCCTAGAGGAAATGCCATTTTACCTTTCCAGACTAAGAACAAAAAGACAAGAGATAATATGTGCCACTTCTGATATTCTCCTTGGCTGTCTCCACATCTTCACAGCATATGTTAAATTAGATAAATGAGCTTTTGTTCCCCTAAGTGCCATTTGTTATTTGAAATGCTCTTCTGAATTACTCTCATTTCAAGTCCCAAAATCATAACTTAATTCCTAAACCATCAAAAGTAAAGTTCAGACAAGTATATACAACTTCACACAAATCACTACAAAGCTATACTATATCATTTCACAACATTCAAATTTATGTTAGTGTACTGGCACAAATCATACGTAGTAAGTCAGACCTGATTCATTTAGTACAAATAACTGCAATTCTACTATTTCTGGAAATATTTTCTGCTTAAGATGGAAACAATTTAAAATAGGTAGGCACTTGTGTTTTTGTTCTGTAAGGATTCACTGAAGTCTTCACAATTAATTTAACACATATGTGTCTGTGATGGGTCATTTCATTAGTAGTTGGCTGTTGTCTCATTTGCATTATTACCTTAATAGGATCACTCACCATTTTACTAGCGCTTTTTCTGTATTTGAGGGGGTTATTACCTTCTTAATATTTTCAGAATTCAAAAATAGTGATTCTCACTGTTCCAGTTATATATATACACACACACACAGATATACATACATACATACATACTGTGGATGCTTTATAAGATCAAATTCATTTTCTATTTCTTCCAATATTCAAACTCATTAATTTATTTTCACAGGCTGAAAAGAAAGCAGTATATTCTATGTGTTTTATGAATTCCCCCTTGCCAACTGATATCTTTGCCACTAAAGCTTCAAATTTAAACCTTAATAATTTAAGTGTAAGTGATCTTTCTCCAAGTCCTTCTATACTACAAATACTGTGGTGAGGCAATATATCCTATTACAGTCACGCACCACAGGATGACGTTTCGGTCAAGGATGGATTGCTTATATATACCATGGTGGTCCAATACGATTCCAATGGAACTGAGAAACTCCTATCTCCTAGTGATATCATAGCCATGCTAAGGTCACAGCACAATGCATTACTCATGTATTGTGCTGATGCTGCTGTCAACAAACCTACTGTACTGCCAGTCTTACAGAAGTACAGTATATACAATTATGTAAAGTTGATAATACCAGATACGAATAACAAACAACAATGTCACTGGTTTACGTATTTACCATACTCGGCTTTTATCATTATTTGAGAGTGTATTCCTCCTTATTAAAATAAACAAAAAAGTTAACAGTAAAGCTGCCTCAGGCAGGTCCTTCAACAGGTATTCCAGAAGAAAGTATTGTTATCCTAGGAGATGGCAGCTCCATGTGTGTTACTGCCCCTGAAGACCTTCTGGTGGGACAAGATGTGGAGGTGGAAGATAGTGATATTGATGACACTGACCCTGTGTAAGCCTACGCTAATGTGTGGGTTTGTATCTTAGTTTTTAACAAAAATTTTAAAAAGTAAAAAAATAAAAAATTTCCAAAACAGAAAAACATCTATAAGGATATAAAAAAGAAAATATTTTTGTACCACCGTACAATGTGTTTGTGTTTTAAGCTAAATGTCATTATGAAAGAATCAGAAAGTTAAGAGGAATATGTTCAGGTGTTCTATTATACAGCAGGGCAACTATAGCTAATAACAGTGTATGGTATATTTCAATATAGCTTAGAAAAGACAACAGTAACCACCACATAGAAATGACAAAGGTTTGGGGTGATAGATATGCTAACTACCCTAATTTAATCATTATAAAATATATACATGTATTGAAACATCACACTGTACCCCAATGTGTACAATATGTCAACTATAAACAAAATTTTTAAAATAAAGTTTATTTTAAATAAAGTTGAAAAAATTACAGTAAGCTAAGGTTAATGTATTATTGAAGAAAGAAAAATATTTTTAAATAAATTTAGTGTAACTCAAGTGTACAGTGTTTACAAAGTTACAATACTGTTCAGTAATATCCTAGACCTTCACATTCACGTACCACTCACTGACTCACCCAGAGCAACTTTAGTCCTGCAAGCAACATTCATAGGGTAAAGGACCTATACAGCTGCATTATTTTTTACATTTTGTATGGTATTTTTGCTCTGCCTTTTCTATATTTAGATGTTTAAACACACAAGTACTTACCATTGTGTTGCAACTGCCTATAATGTTCAGAACAGTAACCTGCTGTTGAGGTTTGTAGCCTAGGAGCAATGGGCTATACCATACAGCCTAGGCGTGTAGTAGGTTATAACATCTAGTGTTTGCATAATGATGAAATCACCTAATGGCGCATTTCTCAGAACACATCCCCATGGTTAAGTGATGTGTGACTATATTTTATTATGAATGACGCCTGAGCAATAGGGAAAAGAAAGAAAGAGAACTGCTGCGCCCAGTACTGAGATAAGAGGGAAGGAGCAGATAATACAACCATACCCTTCAGTTTGCTCTATCCATAACCAACACTCCCAAATGCTAAGGCCCCTCAGATCCTCTAAAAGTGTTAATCCATTTAACCATCCATTTTTCGGTTTCTACAACCACCACCTGTACCAATATCATTTAACAACACTTGTGTTTCAAGTACAATTCTAATTAATTTAGGTATAACGGCTCATCTTCTCCTAATAATCCCATAAAACTTAATAATATCATTCCCATTTTACAGATGAAGGAACTGAGGCTTAGGGAAGTTCAGTGACTAAAACAAGAATGGAACTTAGATTAGTTTGACTCTAAAACCTGAACCTCAGCTGTATTGCTGCTTTCAGGGCTAAACAGTTTCACTCACAGTTCTCGGAATACTAATGAATTTAAGGTCCTCCTTTAAATTCCTACTAAGGTATATTCTTTCATGCAGGATTGATTTGGATAAGCCCTTATTCACACATGCATAGAACCGGTGCTGTAATGACAGAGACCACCCAGTGCACTGCTCGATTTCTTATTCAGGCAAAACTCCATCTATTAGAAACCCTATTTTATGAGTCCCAAAGGGGGAAAAATTTCTAGAGGAAACTCACTTCTTCCATGACTATCCCTACCTTTCCCGACTAGGTTTCTTAATTGTAGTTAGACTTTCTTGTGTCCTATTCACCTTGGCCAACAGAAACAGAATTTCTCTAGCCCTGAATTCTCTGCTGCCCTGGGCACTCTCTTGCCCTTTTCCTGTTCTCGTACTCATAAAAGGTAGCTGTGGACAGAGAGTACACCATTCTCAATATCTCTAATTTGCTCACTCCAAATTCTGCTGGGCAGTTCAGAAATAGGAAAGTTGTTTAGAGAGTGACAACTCAGAAAAAGGTTCATAAAGTCAGGCTTACCTTTTCTTATCTGTCAAAAGGGAGGAAAATGGAGCAACATGGGAAAGAATACTCAGCTATATAGGGAAAGGTATTTGCTGAGCTTTGGACAGTTTACAAGGAATGAGGGGATATTTGCAGAGCTGAAGACCCAGAGAAAAAAAGATTAGAGAGGGTATTTACCCTATCAACCTGCCAGAGAGAATTGAAATTTCTGAGAGATAAATGTACTGCTGCATTTGTGTGCAAACACAAAATAGTGCAAAAATAGTAAAGAGAGGTCCTGTACACTTTAACAAATTACTCTTGATACACAGTTTTACAAGTAAAGGGGCATCTTAGTACAGTGAGTATTCTCAACTGTTATAGGTAGATATGTTGAGAGCATTTTATCATGGCAATTGGTCTTTAGGGCGAAAAAGCCAGTGAAAGCTAAGTTATGGTTTTGGATTACAAACCAATTCAAAGTAATAGAGAATCTGAAAATATAGCATCTACTTACTAATATAACATATTAATATTAATAATGATCTTCTTCCTCTCTGAAGACACCCCCAGGCCCACCATGTAATATGTAGAAAAACATTACATACAACTGTTCTATTACAGATGCAAACATATAACCTCAGGTTTCAAAATTCTTCAAGGCCCCAATCTCAGTTACTATTTACCAATGTTGTTCTCTGCCTAGGAGTTAACCTAATTTAAAAAATTGTAAGCATTGCCAAAATAGGTCACTGATAGTTTTAAATTCCTACAATTCCTATGTCCTAAAGATTTTTACTCTTTCAAACAAGAAAAAGCAGGCTGATATTTTAAGTCCAAAAGGGGTCTACTTTAATATAGCACGTGGTCTGTAAACTTTTAGGATATTGCCACAAAAGCATTAAAGCTATTTTCATTTCTCTATTTGTAAGTAAAACTGATGATGATGATGAGAGTTTGGAATGTAGAAACAGTTGAAATTCATTAAAACAGCAAAAACAGCTGCTTGCTCGGAGGCGGAAAGGCCAAGGGGGCCACCTAAGGCCTTTGACCTGTGGCTGCTTCTCTCTTCCCAGCCACCCTGCAATCTCCATTTTTCTCTAAGTCTCCTTCTTGAACCAGGACTCCCTCTTGCCCCTTCCCCACTACTCCTCTTTGTACCCTGGTCTGTCTTTGTCTTTCTTCTTTATATGGCTTCCCTTTGCCACTGGGCAAGGGGGAAACTCCACTCTTTACTCCTTCCCTCTGCTAAGTGGCTTTTATGGAACTGAGGTTTGGTTGTTTTTTTTAAAAAAAAAAATATTGCTGTGTTTAGTAAATAAAGCACTATAATCTCTACATTATGCTAAAGACAATTAAATAGCTTATATTTCTTTAAGAACAATAACAACAACAAACTGTATTTTACCAGTATTTCACTTTCAAATTAAAATCTCTCCTCCAACTCCCACTTACATTCATTCAAAGATACTATATGTCTAGGCTGCATGTGAAAGTAATAACAATTCATATTTTTTCACATGTAAATCTTTTTAAATGTGCATTCTTCTATTATAAGTATTAATACTTACACTGGTAGGTTTTCATCTACATGGAAAATATTTACTGTCAGTGTCACGGGGAGAAAGGCAGTTATAAACCATCGACATCACAGCCGAATTACTTGGAAAAGAAAATCAACCAGGTTTCCCGTTTATTTCTAAGCCAATAATGAAAATCAATCTATCAAGTCGCACCTGCCTTCTAGAGTTTGAGTTACGGCAGGGCGTGGTGGCTCACACCTGTAATCCCAGCACTTTGGGAGGCTGAGGCAGGCAGATCACCTGAGGTCAGCAAGACCAGCCTGGCCAACATGGTAAAACCCCATCTCTACTAAAAATACAAAAATTAGCCAGGTGTGGTCGTGCATGCCTGTAATCCCAGTTATTTGGGAGGCTGAGGCGTGAGAATCCCTTGAACCTGGGAGGCAGAGGTTGCAGTGAGTCGAGATCATGCCACTGCACTCTAGCTTGGGCGACAGAGCAAGACTCCATCTCAAAAAATATATTTAAAAAATACAGTTTGAGTTACAAGGTGTGGTCCTTCTGGGCAACTCTAATATCAGATAAAAGTCCTCAAAGTAATTTTTTAAATCTTCCTATGCAATAAACAAGCAATCTGTATCTTGGAATCCTGGTTTAATGCTATGAGGCTAAGCACTTATCCGTATCATAAGTGATCCAAAGCCTATTTCCATTATAGTCAACAATCCTTTTCTTATGATAATGTGATAATTTTTCATACTAATGAATCATGATGTTTTTCAGAAAATGTTCAATTCAAAACAAATACAGAATCTGTAGTGCTAAGGATACTATAGGTGTTGTGTTTTTTTTCTTATTTTGTTTTGGTTTTTAATTTTTTGAAGATATAACATCCTTTTCCTTTAGATTTATTCAAGTTTGAATGAAAAGTTCCTGCTTCAGTTCTGAGTTTTTATTTTCTTAGCTATGATGTCTTCCTTGACCTAGACCCTAAAGAACAGAAGGCGCTACACATGCTGTCAATCATTTACATCAAATGCTGGGAGTGAGTAGAAAGGGACGTTTTATTACAGAACACTGAGGTCTTATTTCGACAGAAACTGGGGGATATGTGGTGTATGACTTTTCTTCCTTCTCATATGGGGAGTACTTTGAACATATTCAAAGAAACTTGCACAATCATAATAATTAAATCACCAAGGAAACTCCCTCCTGCTTTCTTTCTTTGAGGACACACAATAAATGCCCATTCCAAAAAAAAAAAAAAAAAAAAAAAAACTGACCAATCTCAGTATGTACTAAGAAAGCTTTATTTATAATCCTAAATGAACAGCTTCTCTCTATTATGGGATAAATAACCTAGAAAATAGGAATATGTCTCCTGGCTTTACTTCTGCTTTGTATTTCTTCCATTGCAGTTATTGTACAGTTAGTATCCAAACAGTGAATATCCAGCAGGGTAGGTTGCTGATTACATCTTATGATGAGACCACTCCTCCAGATTTGGGCTTCAATACGAAGTCGGCCAGGATTATTAGTGTAAAGTCTTAATATAAGATTCACTTCCTCATTCCAAGGAGTAACTACTATAGTTAGGGACCTTGAAACAGCTACTCCATTAGTTTGAAGTGGCATGAATTAGGGCTTATAATTTAGATCCTTTGTATAATAATATACAGACATAAACACACACCATGTAAACTTCTGGCTTTTTTTATTTAAAAAAACCCACCAATTTGAAGATTAAAAATTGACTAAGTATTCTTAAAAGGGCATAATTTTCATTCTAGAAAGGAAATGCACAATCTCAAGTTGCTAGCAGTGGAGGATCAATTGAGCCTAGAGCTCCATTTCACAATTTACACTCTGGCTGCATTTTATCGTCAAGCCTTTTTTCCTTTTTCCTTCTCGGTGCCAGATATACATTCCAGAGCCAATGTTCTCAAGTGAAAACACAAAGTATTTAGACTAGCTGTAATTCACTAGTAATGTTGCCACATAATCATTTCACACACAATTGCTAATCATGCCATGTGAGAGAACTCTCCAGACCAGGGTACATACATATGACCGTAAAATTAAATTACCAAACTGAAAAATAGAGGAAAAATGATCAAACAAAAGAATGTATTCCAAGCTGGTTCAGAGTATTAACCAAGTCTGTTTTGAGTAGTTTTGTATATTTATAAAAGGATAAAAACCTAGAAAATAACTAAATCTTAGGAATATAAACTTTCTCTTACTCCTGAAATACTCAGCTAAAATTATTTTTCCCCAAAGTAGTGACATAATATTAAATAGGTTCTCATTCAGTCATTTATCATCATAACTTCTAAGAACTATGCTCTTAAAATCATTCACTGAGGTTCATTCCAATGACAGCATCAACAAAAATACTGAATGAAGTACATTCCTACCAAGCCACCCTCTCCCTCTAAATAACCACTTCAAGCCACTATCAGGCAGCAGTAGAAATAAGGTGTTGGAACTACACCAGCGCTTCTGAGAGCACTCTCTTGTGAAAAGCAAAGCATGGCCTTGAACCCAATTCCACTTCTTCTCCTTTTGCTTAAAAGGAATGACACAGAAGGTGGTGACTGAAAGTATTAGTGAGGTTTACATACAGGAAAGCCAAGAGAAACACTCTGATGGGGTACACCATTCCATCCCTTCTTCAGGAACACAAATGAGCATGAAAGAAATCAAAGTTATAAATAATCTTTACTGGTTAAAAAAAAAAAAAAAAAAGAAAAAGTAGTAATGCTTCACACACAGTAGGGTCTGGCAGAATATGTTACAGAGCCAGCCTGTGAAATGCTTAGCTATCAAATTCATTCCATTTGGCTGGGCTATGAACCCTATCATGTGTATTGAAAACTAGATGAAACATAACTAAATGCAATGATAAAGAGCAAAGAAAGTGGTGCTGGAAAAGTAATAATGAAGCTTCAGGCATGTTTAATGATTCTGTCAATATCTGGAGAAGAGGAATTCCATAGAACCATAAGTATCCTAAGGGGGATTTTGCAAACATTGGGAAGAAATTATAAAAAAGGGTTTGCAATGCCAGTAATTTTTAAAAGAGGAGGGGGCACTATTATTTTAAAATAATAGCTCAAGAAAATGCTCAACTAAATTTAAAAGCCAAGGTGACTTTTCCCTGTATGAGTGGTATACTGAGGCTTGTAAAACTACCAAAAAAGTCTACTCAAGCTTCAGTGCAATCCACCATCGACAAAATTAATCCCTTTCATCTCTCTTTGTGATATTAAAGGCACTAAATGGGAAAGCACAGGTATTTCAAGAGAAATGGGTAAGAAAAATTAAATATGTCCAATGCTTTCCTTTCATAAATTGTTGCCGACATTGTTTTTCCACAACTTCTGTTTTTAACTGCCCCTCAAACGAAATATTCAGGCAACTGTTTCACAGTCTTTTCAGAAAAGGATAAGCAAGTAAATAAATTTTAAAAATTAATGACGTTTCTGAATCAAATTGCAAATCCTTTATTCGACCTTTTCCAAATAAATATATAAATGTATCTACTCCTCCTCATGTAAGACTAAGGTTCAAAGGCGGCACTAACAAACAGTCTTTTAAGTCAGAATTGTCTTCCTCCCCTTTTATGGCACGCACTATATCATCCTACTATAAAATAAGGACTAAGGAATATATCGTACATTGGGGGATATATGTGTTTAAAGCCAATTCACAATAGTGTCATGAAGACTAAAATATTTGAGAACAATATTATATTGCACATATCTCATGGAAAAAAGATGATGATTCTACAAAGGCAGAAGTCATTTGAGAAATAATGTAATGCCACGAAATGTAGGGAAGTGTATGCTCTCCAGAAGACAGTGCCAACAGAGAATGTTTATAAAGGAGACAGTCCTGTAGGCAGCATGTGAGGTTGCTAAAAGTTTTCTTTTCACTTCAGACCAAGACCTATGCTAACAGGGGAATCACAATGTTCACTTCTAAAAATATTTAAGTGCTCCTCTTTGGCAATAGAGGCAACCCTAATCTGTGCAGATCAATTTTCTTTTAAATAAATTAAATTATATTTTAAATGGGCTTGAAAATTTACCTTGGGTAAATGTATTTAATAAAAGTCCTTAAGTTATGCGAGTAATTAGACCTATATTAGCCCATTAAATACATAATGTTTTCTTCTAAATTGGCCCAACTATTTCTAGATTCTTATCTTTTAGAAGCAAAACTAATAGAAGGGCATAGTGACTGGGCTGGACCAACATAACAAAGTGTTCTGAGGAGCTCATCTTGACCTGGCCTGGGAACTATCTGGAATGCAGGGCTGATTTTTTTAACAGAAAAATCACGTATTTTAACCTAACAGGAGAACTGTTTATGAACCAGAAATCTTCCATGATGGCTCTAATTAGGCTGTTTGATAATCCAGAGTCAAACTGGATTATCTGTTTGACTGTGGATTATCAGAGTGGATTATCTACTCTCTGTTTGACTGTAGATAAACTGTTTGACTGGATTATCAGAGTCAAACAGCCTAATGAGAGCCACTATGGAAGAGTCCTCGAGCCTTTGAGCCTCCTCTGGTAAGGGTTTTAAATGGAGGCACACACCTGAGGCATAGAGTTGGAGGTAAGAGTTGGGGCTCTAGGGTCCTTCTGTCTAGGTTTGATCCTAGCCACCCATTTACAATAGCCTGGTCTTTGTCAAGCTACTTCATCTCTCCATGCCTCAGGTTCCTTAGCTATAAAACGGGGGTGATACTATTTCCTACCACACAGAGTTGCTAGGAATACTAAATTAGATACTACATGCAAAGTGTTGATAACATAGCTGAGCTCATCACTAGGGCTCAATCATTTTAGCTCTTATTATTATTTATTTGAGTTGATTGTGACCTTTGCAATACATACGCAAATTTCAAATGACCCAGAATGTACCCTTACATAATTAGTTCCATGTCATATTATCCTAACATGCCCAGACTTCAGAATATTTGAAAACTTTTACTTTCTTGTATATGATCCAAAATAAGAGGATTCAAGATGTATGCTCATTACTATTTCTAGGGACAAGTAGGAAATGACACTAATGTTTGCGAAATTCAGTGTTTGCGTGCCGTCAAACATTTAGTGGCAAACTGGATGTGAGCAATGCAAGCAAAATCATTAGGACTGCATCGGTAATTTGACTCCTTATGGCTTTAGTGATGGCTTTCCTGGAGTTGGCCGTGAAAATGCATATTGATAATGCTGATCCATTAAGGGCCATGTGTGCTGTTTCAATGTGCTCCAAGTAATTTAATCATGCTTGTTTAGGAAAGGCTTCGAGCTGTCTTAGGAACATTCAAATACCTGGGTTTCTTAGGATATGCTAATATATTTAAATTATAGAGGGGTTTCCTGATTGCATTAGAAATGCATCCATCTTCCCCTTCTCTTCTTTGCAGAGGGCATACTACTAACTTTGTCACAACCAAATGTAAACTTCTCCAGGCCTGGTGTTGCTAATTATATTTTGAAGAGCAACTGGTTTCTCTCTTAGTAGTTATTCAACATCCATCAAATAAAATAATATCAGAAATATGCATACCACACATACATATATTTCATCAAACTCCCAAGTAAGTACACATGTGGATAATTCCCAGAAGTGGGTTTGGTGGAAAGCATCTAGAAGACTGAGAAGAAAGTAAAAGGAAAAATAAACAGAAATTTTAGAAATATCAAGGCCATTTGAAAAAGCTTACACTTTCATTTTCAGAGAAAGCAAGAAAAAAAAAGAAAATGAGATATAAGTAGTATTTAGAAGAAAAAATATCTAGCCTCTTGTAGGGTAGTAAACTATAAAGTTCACACAAACTACTGGAAAGATTGCAAATGTGTCAGCAGAGGCCTCCTTCCTCTTTTCCAAGCTATGAAAAATACTTCTTGGAGAAGCTCCAAAGTGTATGACAAAATTTCTCTAACATTTACATCTGTAATGGTTTTTCTTCTGGAAAGAAGAAAAAATATAAGGACATGAAATTTTTGACAGCCTTTGTGATGTTCAGTAAGGTGGAAGTATGTTTGCAAACTCCAAACCTGACTGACTTGTTGTAGCACCTTTTCTGACAGGCAACGTTAAACAAATGTCTCACATAGGAGGCTCCTCTGATATGTATGCTGTTTGGGGAGAGGAGGAGAGGAGAAGCTTCGTGTGCTGTCATGGGAAATTAATGGTCTAACTTAAGGAGTTTACAGACTATCATTTTTAATCAAACACAGGCAGCCTGCCAGCTAACATAAAGCAATAAAGATTGCAAAACAAAAGACCTTCTTTATCTGCTTCAGCCTCATCTTTACAATTACCTAAATAAAAACTAGTCCTCTTTACATAACTTTACCACAAAATACATTTGGAAGTGCATATTTGTAATTTGTCTATTTGGATATCAAAAGCAACTCCAAGAAGAAACATTGGATGAAAATCTATTTTAGGGGGCAATGGTCCAAAGGTACACAGGAGCACAAAACCTGAACGATGAACTGTGTGAATTCCTAACAACCCTGTTCTTGATATCCTGGTTCTGACAGAGAACTATATGACCTTAATTTCCATAAAAAAATCACATTACCAAATAAAAATCACCAAATATTTACTGAGAATCTAGTGTGTGCTAAAAATCATTCAAGTTCTAGTTATGCAAAGCCAATCAAAAAATGGTCCCTAGCATCTTCTTTATGAGGGAGAACAAATACTCAGGAAATAACCTGCTAGGTCCCACAAGGGCACAGAGGAAAAGGAAAGGGACCACTGAGAGAAGAGGAGGAATAAGAGAGGTGATAGAGGGCCAGGTGTGGTGGCTCATGCCTGTAATCCTAGCACTCTGGGAGGTCGAGGCAGGTTGATCACGAGGTCAGGAGATAGAGACCATCCTGGCTAACACAGTGAAAACCCCAACTCTACTAAAAATACAAAAAATTAGCCAGGCATGGTGGCACACGCCTGTAGTCCCAGCTACTTGGGAGGCTGAGGCAGGAGAATCACTTGAACCCGGGAGGCGGAGGTTGCAGTGAGCCGAGATCATGCCACTGCACTCCAGCCTGGGCAACAGAGCAAGATTCCATCTCAAAGAAAAAAAAAAAAAAAAAAAGGTGGCAGAAGGCTCCCCAGAAAAGATGTTGCTGAGGGATGAGCAGAAATTCACCAGGTGAAGGAGGAGGAAAAGGGCATCGAGTAGAGAGAAAGAAAACACATACAAAGATGCAAAGGGGATACAGCTATGGCTGAGCACTGTGGCTCACAAAACTTTAAATAGTTTGCACCACAGGAAGAATACAGAAAAATGAAGGAAATGATGCTTAAAAGAGAGTTCTACAATCCCATCTTTCTCATGCACTTACTAAATGAAAAGATTCTGAGGGCCTAGGCGTGAGGGGGGCCACCAAATGGAGGTGGCCTGAATCCCTGAATCACCTTGTGGTACATCCCATGGAGTACCTGGGAATGGCTCTCTTCATGCCCAGGCACCAGATCCAACAAAGTGCAGAAAACACAAGATTTAGAATCAGATTCACGGGTTTTAAGTTTTGTCTCTAATACCATGTCACTTTAAACAAGAAACTGTCCAAGCCTCAACTATAAAACAGAAATAATATGACTCCTTCAAACTATTTCTTAGGGTTGGTATGAGGACCAAAAAAGACAATGTATTTTCACATATTTTGCAAACTGTACTTAAATGTTAGCTATTAATGCTATTATATACTTTACATATTCAAGTAAACATCATAATCATAGTAATAAAGTTATAACAGATCTAACCATGGGAACCACAGTCATTCAACTACAAAATTTAAATACAATGGGAATAACTGCATCCCAAGATGGCAGGGGTCAAGTGATGGCACTCAACCATCAAACGCAAAGTAGGCATAGCTACCGTAATGGACAGCAAGGGCAGAGCAGCAATCAGAATAGTCTGACTTCTGTAGAGCTCTGGCATTGGCTAATTAATCACAGCATTCCTAAAAGTGAAATTGATAGGAAGCCTACTGCATACCTACTTAATTTATATAAGCAGAAAACTTCTAGGTCAAATGGACAAAAGACTAATTTGAATTATAAAAACAGAGAATCAAAGCCCCTCAATCAATTTTCAGACTTGAGCCAGTTTACAGACCCAGAACTCCTTGAATGAACGGGAGGCCGGGTCCCCTTGAGGAAGAAGCCTACCGCATTACTGACAATTTATGCAGTGAATCTTTCTCCCATCCTTCCCCAAGGAGACCTCTGGCCTTTTACCACGGTAACTGTACATTGGGGAAAGGAAAATGATCAGTAGAGGAAGTAGTCATCAATACCAGCCATGACCACGTGACCAGTTACAGAAATGAGGACTGTAATTATCATGAGTATTTCCTCCTTCTTTTGTTAAAAACATGTTTGTGTATGTATACACTTGCATTAAGAAAGTTTCTTCATTTTATTTCCTTTTTCCTTCATCATGTGACATAAGATTTATTGACTTCATATCAGCATTTAAGTATTGTTAACTTTATGTAGCAGCATTTGGGCTGAGGATTGGTGTGTTTCTGGTTGTACAAAGGATAGTTGTATTATGTTAGGCGTAATTTTGACCTTATTATTGTCTTTATTTTAAGATTATGTATGATCTCAGGAGATGTGTATGGGTTCAAGTTGACAAGGGGTGGACTTGGGATGGTTAATACTGAGTGTCAACTTGACTGGATTGAAAGATACAAAGTACGGATTGTGCGTGTGTCTGTGAGGGTGTTACCAAAGATTAACATTTGAGTCAGTGGGCTGGGAAAGGCAGACCCACCCTTAATTTGGGTGGGCACATTCTAATCAGCTGCTAGTGCGGCTAGAATAAAGCAGGCAGAAAAATGTGAAAAGAGAGACTGACCTAGCCTTCCAGCCTACATCTTCTCCCATGCTAGATACTTCCTGCCCTCAAACGTTGGACTCTAAGCTCTTCAGTTTTGGAACTTGGACTGGCTCTTCTTGCTCCCCAGCCTGCAGGCTATTGTGGGTCCCTCAGCCTATTGTGGGACCTTGTGATTGTGTGAGGTTCTAGAGAACCCTGACTAATACATCAAATAACACCTGTGTTCTCTTTTGAGTCATCTCCAGACAATGTGCCAGGTGCTATAATAAAAATATGGCAAAATCACAATAATTTTTTAAAAGCAGACAGCAATCCACTTACATTATGTAAGGGTGAGTAAGAGCAGGCACAGGAAAAAGTTGGAAGAAAAGGGGATACATGCGCTGATTCTTGAAGGATAAAATGTCTTTCAGATAATGAAGGAGGTCAAAGGTCAGTGTTGGTAGATGCATTTTTGGTAGAAAGAAAAAAATTTTGAAAATAGCATGACAGACCTGGAAAAAGGAAGGATTCGTGGCTTTGAAGTGTACAAGGGGGCCTGAGATCAGTGTGCATAAAGTCAGAAAGTCAGGCCTTCTATTCTACAACAAGGAATTCCACTTCAAGGGCTGAGGATAAGAAATCACAAAGAAGGAGGGGAGTGACATGATCACTCCGGAAGTAGTGTAGAAGATGGATTAAAGAAGTTTAGGTTTGGAGTAGCAGAAACCAGTTAGGAAACTGAGCGACTAAAGCAATGGCAACAAGTATCAAAAGCAGGGAATGGATAAATTTGAGACATATTTATAAAGCAGGACTGGTAGAAACTAGCAACACTAGACGTGTGGGGTAAGAGGGACAAGGATCTTCTAAGTAGAACTTCAAGATTTTTTGATCTGGATCCCAAAGGGGATGGAGGGAAATAGGATGAAGATCAGAGGTGAAACTGCCTCTGAAAAAGAAATGGCATGAAAAGAGCTGTGCCTCTACAACAGATAATCTTCTACGTGTAAAAAAGGAAACTGGAAGAAATTTAGCATTAGTGGAATGAGGGACTCCTTTATCATAGATTTTCTCTTATTCTCAAATTACCACAATACCCTCATTAGGAACACAGCTTCCACAAAGCCAAGGACAGTGTCTGGTATATAGTAAGCACTCAGCGAGTATTTGCTGGAAAAAAAAGAATGAATTAAAAATAACAGAAAAATATGACTATATTGAAGAATTTTGCCCCAAAATTCAGTTTAAATACTGTCAACTCCCACTGAATGTTGAAGTTGCATTTTTAAAATCAACATGTCAATCAAAAACATGTAAAAAAGAAAATATAATGAGTTGAGGCTTATAAAGCAGACAGACCTCCAACGTTCAGAGAAGGATGTTGGTTTCTTTTTAATCTTCAGTGAAATCCTCGTATCAATTTTCTTAAAAGCTTCAAAGTAAGAAAGAGCTGTAGATTCACTTAGATGCATTTCTGAGCATTGATGCACCTCTATCGAACCTGTTCAGCATTTCTAATTTCATGCTAAAGAATGAATTTAGTGGCCTATTTTTGTACAATTTTCTTTACTATTCTTATTTCCACTCTTACATTGAGAAGATGTTCTACTATTTTTCACAGATGCAAAAAGCAAAACTAAATAGAATATGCAAAAAAGATATTGATGGATGCCAGCACCTTCAGCACACTGGACAGAGTAAGAGAGCTTCAGGTGGTTGGCAAAGCATTGCAGGTGACAGCGATACTGGCAGCCACCAGGAGAGGCTGCAGATGTACTAAAACTTCAAAAACAAAGTGGCTGGAACAAATGTGACTGTACAGAATATATTCTAATAATCAACTAGCTAAAGTGAAGGCAATGAGTGTGTGTGTTTGTATGTACGTATATGTATGTGTGTGTATCTATATATATATGTGTGCTCAGGACAGTGTAGAGATTTAAAAAGTATCTTTTAATATTCAAGAATTACAATGAAAGGTACTGTAGACATACTGAAAGAATATTCAATATCCATCCAATTTGCCTTATACATTTAAAACTGCCCCCATCACTTTTACCTTCAATTCATTTGCTCATTTACTCAAAACATTTTTAGTGACTGCCTGTTAGGGACCAGAAGGATGTGATTTACAATCAATAAAAGTAAATTCCCAACTCACTACAACTATGTTAGGGTCTCTCAATTGGGTCCATACCTGCTCATGGCTTCCTGTGATAATTCTGCATCTGGTTCTTGGCTAATCCCTCATGTCAAGCTTCTCTCCTCCCTCCTTGACTGAATTTACTGTCTCCAAAAACTAGCCTACATATTAATGTTGGCTTAAGAACATTGACTTACGCCAGGTATGGAGGCTAAGGTGGGAGGATCGCTTGAGCCCAGGCATTCTGCAGTGTGCTATTACTGCACCTCTGAACAGCCACTGCACTCCAGCCTGGGCAACACAGCAAGATCCTCTCTCTTAAAAAAAAAAAGAGAGAGAGAGAGAATGTCGATTTTAAGTTGCCAATTATCTTTCCTTAAAAAGGATGGATCTTAATTCTAAGAAAAATCCCTTTTCTTTAATAAAAGTAGCAACTCATGTTAATTGCCAATTATCTTTTCACTGACTGATCAGAAAACCCAAAGTCTAGGAAACATGTCAACTAATTTTTGCTCCGCTAGCTTTTACTACCAAAGCTGTAGGAAACAGTCTACATTCATCATGAAGAGAATGTGGCTTCCAGCTATGCTGGCTCACTGCTCTGCTGGACACTGCTCCACCGCAAGATCTCTTACTGCCCTGAGAACCTCCTTGGCCCCACAAGATAAGAAATCAAAAGATTTCTTGGAAAGCTGTTTAGAAGAAGTTTAAATTGTGAACAGTTTTTAGGATCACAGGATTCTGAAAGTTCTTTTATTCCAAATTAATGATTAAATATTATATTTTATAATTGCTCATTTCAGTAGTATACTGACACAATGACTAACATAAAGAAATCATTGTTAGTCTATGGATGACCAACATAGACATCATGTCACACAAATGTCAGGCACCAAAGAGGACATACTATATGATTCCATTTATATGAAGTTAAACCATAGGCAAAACCAATCTATCTGTAGGGATAGAATTCACAATAATGGTTATCTCTCAGGGAAAGGGATTGACTGTCAATATAAGCAAGTCTTCTAGGGTACTGAAAATGATCTATGTCGATGTCTAATATCTTGATTTGGGTCATGGTTACACTTATGTATACACATGTAAAAATTCATATAAATATACAAATATTTAAAAATATGTGTACAGATTTATACATTTGAATGTATGTATGTATAGCTCAATAAAAATTTTAAAAGATTTTTAAAATTTAGAGATTCTGAATTTACAGAGTCCAATTAAGTAACATACTTCCATATTCCTTCACTAAAGAGTGATACCCTAGAAACTTGTTAGTGTTAGTTTTTTTTTCTTCTTGACATTATTGAATACTTTCTCATGTATTTACAATGTGGTATTTTACAGAAATGGACTTTGAAGAATGCTCATCGAGTTTAAAAATAGCAATTGTCAAAATTACTATTCTTTCACAACTAATAAAAACAACATAAAAACATCAAACATTCCAGCAATTATTTCAAGTGCAACAAGAAAGTCAGACCCAGCACTTCCCAGGTTCATAACCACTACTCTTACCAAAAAATGAAATTAAGGTAATTAAAAACTAAAACTTCCTTTATGATGCTTCCACCTTCTTCTCCTTTCTAGCTGGCTCTTCTCACTTATCTTGCTGAATCAAAGAAGTTTCCTTTCTCGGTTAATAAATAATAAAGTCCTGAGAAAATAGCATTGCTTATTTTGGGGCCTATTTTTGTTTAACTACAAAAGGAAAATAAAAAAGATTTCATGACCATGAAATGAAAAATACTTCACAGGCAGTATGACACATTTTTTAAAAACACAGTAGGCAATATTAATGATCAAATGTTCAAATGACACTTATGACCAAAGAAGAGTCTTTGGTATTATATAGCAGACCCAGTAACAAAGAATGCAAAACAGAAACAGAACAAATCGGAAAGAGGGGGTGTGTGTGTCTTTCTGTTTTCTGAGGAGCAAGGGGAATGATAAAATAATTTTCCAAATCATACAAGGAAACAATGCATAGCCAACACTCAAAGGAATATACGTTATTAAAGGGAGAGACTGTATTTTCCCCCTAGGTATGCCTATGTTATTTTTAACACCAAATTACATTATCAATTCAGATTTCAAAATCAGATGTAAATGGCCCTGTGGCTGGACATAAACATATTTCGTCAAATGCTGAATAAGCACATTTTGGGTACTGCAGTCCAAAAGACGAACACATGTTCAGAATACATAAAAAGCAGCATACAAATTATGCAAGCATTTTGTTCTGAATAGTCTTTTCTACTGTCTTTTATATATAAGCTGCTAATAAGGTTAATCGATAATAAAAAAAAATAATTGATAAAGAGACGAAAACCTGCATCTAAAATATCAGCTTAAATCTAGGTCAAAATCACAGCAGCAAAGTCATGCTGATTTTAGGTTTATTTGGAAATACAGCGTTGGTCCCACATTAGCTTTTACAACAGAAGAAAGCTAGTTTTCTTTTTCCTTTAACAGTCACTGGAAGAGTTAAGTTATACTCGTACGTACCAGTTACTGGACATGAAAAGGAAAAAGAAAAATACAAAAACAAAAGCAGAGAAGAAAAAAAGAAAGAGGACAGAAGCAACTATATGGTAGGGAGGGGTGGCATTCGTCTAACAACCCCTCCATGAGTCTCTTTGTGTTCCAAAGAAGAAAGTCAATGCTGAAGCGACACAGAAGTCAACTATACTCCTTGACTCTGCCAATGATAATCATCAGCATTAAGCTGAAGTATAAAAAAGTAACTCAAATGAGCAAGATTGGAAGAAACATATCTACCCCGAGCTCTGAAGCTGCACAGTATATTAGGAAGGCTTACAATCAGAGATTTAAAGAATGTAGACCTGGAAATTCAACAACCAGTTAACTGCATCATAACTTCAACTTCTGGTTAAGCATTTCCATGAAAAATATTATCTCCCAAGAAAAGCTTTCCTATTTCTGCTGCCTTATTCATTTGAAAATTCTCATTGTGTAGAGTAGAATCTCTCTAAACATACAACCAACTAGTTATAATCCATACTTATGAAGCAACAAATAACAAAATAACTATCTCTTTAAGTGATTTCTATATAAAGTGATCTCTTTATATATGTAAATAGATAAAAAATCTTCTGTTTCTCCTCTGTTTTTCACTAACATTTCCCGTTTTCCCTACTGTTTCTCATGAGAAACCGCCTATTCTTTTGTGCTAACTAGATTGGGATGCCTCACCTCTTTAGAAACTGCTGAAATGTGCATAGATACATGGGTTGATATCTTGACTGGCTCTCCATTTTATTCAGTAGTATAAAACCGCCCAGTTAGTTGCAATCGGTGTTTAGCCATATGTCATACATTTTGAAAATATAAAAGTAAAAAAAGTTTAGAATGAAATTTTTTAATCTCCAAAAGTTAGGTGGTTTGAAGGTTTATAGCATTTAACATTTATAATATTAATTCAAAAGAAGTTACTCAAATACAGGGTTTGAAATCTATGTATACCAACCACTCAGCACTTCACAGACCTTACAGGTCAGGCAGACTGAAAACTAGCAATATTTTTTCATAATTCTGAGCATAGGGGGAAAAATGGCTGTGTTTCATAAAAATGCAACAAGGTGTCTATATTTCCTCCCATGCATGAATAATATGTGATCTACAACATTATTTGCTAGGCTGTCTAATCACTAACATCTTTCAAAATGTCTACATAGGCTTTAGCTCATTAAGAACAAACATGCATCTGTATAAAAATATCACATACCTGTGAACACTGAGAATAATATTCTGCTAAATAAGTATCAATGTACACATCAAACTGACATGGGTAGAACAATGTCACTGCATTTTTCAAAGATAAAAATATTAGGGAAAATGTGCTTAATTATAACAGCAAATTATATATGCCTTTGATCTGGAAATATTGGCAATATGTGATATTATAAGTACTATAATTATTAAAACAAAAAGTATAAAATAAAAATGTTAATCACAATTGTCTTTTACTTTGAAATGTCACTTTTGGAAACAGAAATTACTAGTTAATAGCATAATCACCTTTGGAGCCTTTCACTCCTCCAGGTTTGGATTTAGTTACTTCCTGTCCTCCTAACTTTAAGCATCTCTTAATCATAGGCATTTCAAAGCTATTTCACAAACAGGCCATGAAACAGTACCCTGTACTGCTGCAATATGGCGATTTCTACATGTAACATATACATCTAAGAGTAATTTTTAGAAATTATTCTCTATACATTAGATGATATGACTACAACTACTTGTTCTGACTGTTACTAGTCTTAAGAATGTTACACAGCCAACCATACTGTCTATCACCAAAAGCCCAAGTTGCCAAGAGAGGTTCATCTTCTTAACTGACCTAGATGCCAGGACTTTACTCACTGACCAATAAATATTTCACTTTTTGCTCTACCTAGAAAGACATTAACTGATGTCTGATCTTAATGAGGTGTGAATAATTACTAGTGAAAAATGCTCATAGCCCAGATATTCAATATTCCAGCAGTGTTCAACAGAACCAGCATCAGTAACACTTTGCAATTTGAATGGCATCATCATCCCCATGTCCCCAGCCTCCTGCCTCTGCCATGTCACTACAAGACTGCAAACAACTGTTCTTTGGTTCTCCTGTAAGAAACATATTACTTCATGCATGCCAAGTGTTCATTACCCTAAAGAGCCAAATGCCTTTTAAAAGCCAGTTGAAGCAAATAAGCAGCAATTCTCCAACATACTATAAAACTCACTTTTTGCATAAACTTTTAAATTTCAAAATGCCAGGCCTTCAGATTCCCTAAATATTATAAAAGCACTGCCCAGTCACAGAATCACAAAACTTAACAGGTAGAAAGCAACATCCAAACCAACCAACTCATTTATTTAATGCTTTTCCTTGCTGTTTTCTCTTTCTGGTTAAGCGTTGTCTCTTAAAGAGTAAATTTCTGAAAGAAATGAGGTATAGTATTATCTTGCTTGCTTTACTCTTTACCTACCAAGACACTGTCATCAAACACTTAATGAATGTTTTTCCTTCCTTTACAGATAAGGGAAACAAAGGCTCACAGTGATTTGGCAGACATCAAAACTTAGAATGTGTTCATTTCTACCCAGCCCCAACACTTCACTTTTAGTGGTCTAGTTTCTCTCTCTCTCATACAATGCACAAAACTCCTTTCCAGTTGAAATAGGGCTCCAATGCTAAAAGGACGATTAAATACCACTTTAATTAATAGTCTGTTCTGACAGTGAATTTTAATATATATTCTCTAAAGGAGGTAATTAAGGTCAAATGAGGTCACAATGGCAGGGCCCTGATCCCATAGAGCTGATATTCTTGTAAGAGGAAGGGACTCCAGGGAGCTCTGTCCCAGTGCACAGGGAAGAGGCCATGTGAGGACTCGGAAGGTTTCCTTGGGCCAGGGTGTACTTGTTCCTGAGTCATGTCCTAGCTAAACCCTGTTTCTAAAGCAGTGATGGGCTGCATTAAGTGCTGCCATCCTTCTTTGACAATTCCACCTGTTTAACTGGGACTCTGTGGTTATGAGGTGCTAAGTGCACCTGTCAAAGGCATGACTTTGTTTCAATTTAGCAATGCTCCTACCAATATACCTTATTGGTCCAGGAAGAAAAAAAGGCATTAGAGTATTTTCTGAATGATACTTCTGGTTAGGTGCAAGCATTTAGATTTTCTAAGAAATAACTTGTGTTCTCACCTGTGTTTGCTACATGAAAGAACTGTACTAACAAATCTAAGGCACAATAAATTATCTGTTTTTAGACTTGGAGAGAATAAAGAATAAGAAATGAATGAAAACACAAAGAGAAAAATAAATTCTCACTCCTTCTCCCCACAAATCCCACAAATAACAGCTACAAAGTACTTTCAAATTTCCTGAAAAGACTACATTATATATTAATTGTAACAAAAAGTGTCACTCTGATTTAAATTGTGGTTGATACTGCAATAAAATGTACTTCATTGCCAAAGGTTCCTTTATATGCAGATCATGGTTAATAACTACCATGATGTAATTATTCAAAAATAATTATTTTTGGAAAGAAACCTAAATCCATGTCAGAACTACACAAAAGAAGAGAAATAATGTCACTCAAATTCCAACATTAACATATCTTCCTTCTGTTCCCCAAAATCAAGGCCCATAACATAAATTCCATTTATAAGAATGAATTCATTCGTCTTAAAAGTCTTCTAGAGAGAGCTGAAAGACAGGAAACATGTCAATGGAAGAAAAAAAGGCATCAGTTATATCATTTTCAGAGTCTGTATTTTAGGGAAAGTATTTCAGAATCTATCCGGGCATGGCTAGAAACCTTTGTTTTAATACGGTTTTGTTCATTTAGACCCACAGGCAGAAACACTGATTAGATGACCCATTATTGGCTGAGCATAGTGGCTCACACCTGTAATCTCAGCATTTTGGGAGGCCGAGGCGGGCGGATCACCTGTTAGGAGTTCTAGACCAGCCTGGCCAACATGGCGAATCCCTGTCTCTACTAAAACATATTAGCCGGGCATGGTGGCGCATGCCTGTAACCCCAGCTATCTGGGAGGCTGAGGCACGAGAATTGCTTAAACCCAGGAGGCAGAGTTTGCAGTGAGCCGAGATTGCACCATTGCACTCCAGCCTGGGCGACAGAGTGAGACTCCGTCTATTTAAAAAACAAAAAACAAAAACAAACAAAAAAAAAACTATCATTAAAAACATTCATTAAAGGTTTAATTACAGACAATGTCTTGGTAGGCTAAGAGTAAAGCAAGGAAGATAATACTAAAGCCCATTTCTTTCCAGAAATTTACTCTCTAAGAGACATGCCTGACTGTAAAGAAAAAACAATAAGGAAAGCATTAAATAAACAAGTAAAGGGATAAGCGGAGTTAATGGGGAATGAACAAATTAGAAGTCAGTATATTTGACGCTAACATCCTGTGAGATTTCCTAGTGATGGAACTGCAGTAGCTATGAGAACAGTATAAAAATAAGTTAGCAAGATTACCAGAATTGAGGACCCGGTATAATAATTTTATGAAAGGAGAGTAAAAACGACTGCTGAGAATATATAAACCAGCATAACGGGAAACTGCTCTGTGGTATTCTTAGAAGGGTGGTTGGAATTGTCAATATAGAAACCCGCTAGGCTGCAAAGAACGCACTGCTAGCTGAATGAAAATTATGAACTGAATGATTTTAATAAATGAAGTGCATAGAACAGTCATGCAAAGTTTCAGGAAGACAGAGTACCAGTGACACCAGACATAGGGAAAAAGTAGCAAAGGAAAGTGAAGGACCTACGCACTTGAAAGGGATTCTCCCTCCACTGAAAACAAATCTGAGTTTGCCAAGAGACCACGTAAGAAAAAAAAATGATACAATGTTTAAATAGGTCCTGACTTTTGATAAAAGTCAACTTGTGATAAGTTCCTCTAGAACTTATTTTATTTTTGAGATGGAGTTTCGCTCTTGTTGCCCAGGCTTGAGTGCAGTGGCGCGATCTCAGCTCACTGCAACCTCCGCCTCCGGGTTCAAGTGATTCTCCTGCCTCAGCCTCCCAAATAGCTGGGATTACAGGCACATGCCACCATGCCTGGTTAATTTTTGTATTTTTAGTAGAGACAGGGTTTCACCATGTCGGCCAGGCTGGTCTCAAACTCCTGACCTCAGGTGATCCACCCACCTCGGCTTCCCAAGGTGTTGGGATTACAGATGTGAGCCACCGTGCCCAGCCAAACTTATTTTTTAATATGAGCTAAGTTATAAATATAGAATAATTATTGTAATCAATTAGAAAAAGAGTTTGGCAAATTGGGACAGAAAAATAATATGAGTCAGTTGATAACAAGTAGAAACACATTCAAGAGCATTAGGAGAGGGAACTGCTGAGTAACAGGAAATGTGATTTCTCAATCATGTCAAACCAGTTTTGAGAGAGGCTGAACCAATTTATATCCTCCCACAAGGTATAGGACATCCCACTGATCCATGTCCTCGCCAATATGTGGTGTTTTCAGGCTTCTTCATTTTTGCAACCCATGCAGCTACCAAGAGAGGAGCTTGCAGGTAAGGATATGGTCTTATTTTTTTCTTTCCCCAGGACATGGCATAATCAGAGTCTAGTAACAAGCATTGAGTAAAACTAAAGTGAAGGAGCCTAGTCCTGAACCAAGATTATTTGTCATGTTTTTCATTTGAAATTTGCAATCCTGTACATTTTTCCAGCTTTCATTCTTCTGCACTGCCTCTCCCATTAGGCTACACTATCTTTCAAATAACAGAATGCTAACTCATACTCACTTAAACTAGCATAGAATAAAAGCAATGACCATTCTAAAGAATAGAAAACATATCTACACAATTTTATTTACATAGTCTCATAAAAATAAGAGTAACTACATCTGAACAAGAGACCACATCTAACTTGGAGATAGGAAAATATGCATCATAAGTATTCAATAAATATTTGTTGAATATAAAAGAAAAATTTTGAATTATAATAGTACTAATAAAATACACAAGCGTGATAATGAACACTGGTTCGTTTCATTACAAAAACTAAACTTCTGAACTTTAGAAGAAATAATAAATCCAACACTCAGGAAATGCTGAAGTGTGAAAACTCAAATAAAAAAAGTAAAAATCCACTAAAAGATCTTAGTCATTTCAAGTTCCACAAGCCAATCAGGAGTTTTTGACAAGGTTGCAATTTGGGCCAAGGGCTAATTTAAACTCCATCATAGTCATCCGTTTATCAAAGAATGAACTTACCTTTCAGACCACATAATATTTTGGGGATTTCCATTAAGAGATACACAGAGAAAGAATGAATGATAAACTACATCAGGGAACAAACTTTTTCCGGTTTTAATCACTAGTAAGTTAAAATTCTGAATGAAGGTAGAAACCAAGTAAGTGAGTAAAACCACTGGGAGTATTACCAAGCCTTGAAACAACTATCTAGCAAAGCAGCATTTATAAAGACTTAACAAGTAGCTGTCAAGAACTGTAATACATTAAGTTCCACCAGAGTCTTCTACAAAAAAATGCATTTTATTAAGTGTAAAATAAGTACTAACATATATATTTACATATATGTGTGTGTATATATATTTCATTCTAACTTCACATTTAAAAAGAAAAAACTTAGAGGAAAAATCTCTTGAAAAGTGGTTACTGACAACACGGTTAATAGTTTCTAAAGGGTTTCTTTTCTACTTGGGAATAAATGTAAGCACAAGAGTTCCAACTTAGCAGCAAATTATGGCATTAAATCTAGGTTAGAAGATGCCTATCATGATTAAGGTATTTTCCAATTTCTAACAATTAGCAACATTACCTAAGTAGAAATCAATTGTAATTGAAGAAGACAGTGAAAACTAAACTAATTACCAAAGTCAAATAAAAATAATCAATGTTATTTAATCTATAATTCTGTATGTTATAATTTACTTATTATATACATATAGTACTTATCAACTAAACCTACAGAGAAATAGTTTTAATTCTCTTAACCTCTTAATAGTCTTAATTTTCTTAATCCCATGGTTCCTAAATGAATTTACCTGCTACAAATCTCTGCTACAACAGACTTCTTAAAGGCAATAAAATTTCTTTAAAAACTTTTTATTGTGTGAAAGTCAAGTTTTTGTTATTTAATTTACATATTTATGTTTTTGTATTTAAAATCAATTGAGGAAACTAATCCACTACGATTTAGAACACTGGTTAGCTATATAAGAGATTAGAATGTAATTAGTTCTAATGGTATCAATTTAGTAAGTCTCGGTTAATGAGAAGGTAGGATAATTGTAGTAATAAACTGTTTATGCTTGGAGAAAATATACATAATATTATATCTGGTCAATTCAACAGCATTTGTTTAACTGTTATTCTAAATGCCTCAAATATTATAGAAGTGATGTGAGAAAGGTAAGGTGATATTCTGAAGTACCTAACATTTAGTAAATCCAGGAGTTTCTGCTCTATTATGCGAAAATGCCACAAATATATACTCTGGTTCTTTACAGAGAAAACACACAATTGATATATTAGATATCTGGATCCCAAAAGGTGCATTTTAAAAATTGTGGTAAAAAAATACATAACATTACATTTACCATCAACCTTTTTTAAATGTACCATACAGTAGTGTTAACTATGCGCACATGGTTATGTAACAGATCTCTAGAACTTTTTTATCATAAACTGAAACGTTTTATCTACTCAACAATTGCCCCTTTTTTCCACTCTCATAAAGTACCTTTTTAAAAGTATTTAGGATTTATATTTTTTCTTTAATGGAGGCACCATGGATTCTTACTTTCCTATAATCATGTTATCACAATGAACTGAGCATTAGAATAGATTTCACTCTAGTCATATCATGTTATCATTCAATATATAAAAACATATGTTTGATGTATATGTCTTTCATTTTTTATAAATCATATTTCAGAGACCTGCCAATTCTCAAAGGATATCTCAGACATTGGTGTAAATGAGAGGGACAGATTATGGGTTTGCAATTTTTTCCTGTAAAGGGCCAGAAAATAAGTATTTCAGGCTTTGTGGGCCATATGAGTCCTGTTGCAATTAAAAGTCTGCACTTGTAGCACAAAAGCAGCTATGGGCAATACATAAACAAATAAGCATGTCTGTGTGTCAATAAAAATGTATTTAAAAATACGTGTGCAGAGTAGATTTCTCCAGTAAGCAGTTTCCAACTCCTGAGATAGATAAAACAGAGAGAGGGAGGGAGGGAAGGGAAGAGGGCAGGAGAGGGACAGAGGTAGCGAGTGTGAAAAAAAGAAAATCAAATAAAAGTATTTACTCCTGAAAATAAGTAGCTACTCAGTGGGATTGAGATTATCTGCTAAACTGACTAACTTTAATAGTGAGGCCCTAAAAATGGAATAAATTTCTTTTATGACTTGTTTCAGTGCTGACTCAACAACTGGCATTCAGTAGACCAGCATAAATAATGAAAATATTGATCTTCAGTAAGTATATCATAGCACTTGACTTACCTTAGTAATGGGTGGAATATGACGGTAATGTTTCTGGCTCCAGGTTTGCAGACAAATTTTGTTCCTCCACCTTCAATTAAGTTGTCATCAGGACCCCCTTTCAGAAGAAAGAAAAAAAACAGACTTAGCTCATTGAAACTTTTATAAATAAACAAACCAAGCATATCTAGATGAGTCCTATACTGTCATAATTAGGACCATCTTTGCAAACAGTAACCTTCGGTATGTACGAAATTATTTTGAATGACTTCATCTGGTCTTCCTCACTTGAATAAACAACAGATTAGAATTTTCACTCTAGCCGGGCACGGTGGCTCACAGCTGTGGTCCCACCACTTTGGGAGGCTGAGGAGGGTGGATCACTTGAGGCCAGCAGTTCGAGACCAGCCTGGTCAATATGGTGAAACCCCATCTCTATTAAAAAAAAAAAAAAATTAGCCAGGCATGGTCGCATGTGCCTGTAGTCCCAGCTACTTGGGAGGTTGAGGCAGGAGAATTGCTTGAACCTGGGAGGTGCAGGCTGCAGTGAACCAAGATTGCGCCACTGCACTAAAGCCTGGGTGACAGAGCGAGACTCCGTCTCAAAACAAACAAACAAACAAACAAACAAAACAAAACAAAAAACAGCACTTTTACTCTGAGTAAGAACATGGACTCACAGTAAGAATAAATGCGACATTTAAAGGAACAGTGCAAGGCTACAATTCAGTTAAGGTGAAAATTTTGGTCTCTAATGACCAGTGTCCATCTTGGATAGTATGGCACATAAAGCTTTCAGAGAAAGGATGAAGTGCCTGCCATTCAAAGTTGCTGCATGTGTAAAGATTGGAGCAGAGATTCATATAAGCCTAACTGATCACACTTTATCATATCTAAGACCCCAATGATTATAAGACACACTATTATTTTATGTATCACTAAGAAAAAAAAAAGTCCTGCTATTTAAACTATATAATGCTTTCTTGGAATGTTTCCTTTTCCTTATTGAATAGCTCCTTTGGCTTTTTACATAAACAAATGGTTACCATAAACCTCTCAGGCACATTCAATAAGGAAATATAAGAAAAATAAGTTTGTTAAGGTATTCTTAACACTAAATAATATTTGAAGTCTAGCTCTTCCGAATCACTCTGACTAAAGAGTTTTCAATGTCCTTGTTTTCTAAACATTGTCATCCAGTGTCACCAACAGCGTGTGTTTCATAAAGCAGTGCTCCATGCTGCATCCTATATTTTATTCCACGCTGCTGATATCCATCCTGCAAAGTTTAAAGTTGATGCTTTCTTGATGCTATCAGAAGGTTTAAACAGAAGGCTTTCCTATTCCGACCAGGACTCATACTCTTTCCTCAAATGGTCCTTAATTGCTTCATTAACGGAAACAATGAAGGGTCATGGTGCAAGGAGTAACCCAAGCTCACACACACTGTGTGGGTGACAATTCACCATGACTGGTTTCCAGTAGGCAGCCACTGATTTCAGATACATCCTAATTTCAGAGAGTTTAGAATGTGAAAAGATGTATCACTTTGGATGTTGGGAAAAACACTCTACCCCCACTTATGTTTCTTGCCACTATAATGAAGTTCAACTAATGTAATCTCTGACCTCTCTCCACCTTTTACCCACTCCAGGGGAAGTGATATAACGCCTGACTGATAAAAATTGAAAAGAAAAGGCTGGGCATGCATGGCTTAGCAACTCCCATATTCCACTTTAGAAACTAGAATGCCTGAAGATAGTTCAGTGGTGTCTGGTGTAAGTTTAGCTATAAAGGCCCCGCTTTGTCAGAGAAGGCTTGAAGTGGGCCAACATCTTTTCTAAATGGGTGAGTAAATCTGTTTAATTGTGATGTTCAGTTAGCAAGCTTTGTTTGATTCTCAAACTGGGTTATATCCTTCAATCTAGCATAAATCAATATAAAAGTGACATTTCACTAACTATCTACCTTAATTATTTCTCAATAGTTTCAAAACCCCAGCAGGAAAGATGGCTACTATTTAGTGGGCTTCCTCAAAACCCTAGCAATCTACACTCGCAACATTTGGTTTCCTTCTTCTAAATTAAACATTTTCTTTCTGAGTATAGTTCTTTGTATGTTACCAAACACAGCTAAATCTCCCTTGATTTATTATCTATCTTAATGGTCTCTGGGCATCTTGGAAATCGACTGATAAAAACATGTGAAGCTTCAGAAATCCATACCCTGGATCATCAGGACTTCCCAGAGGCATCAGAGTCTAGACATTTGGATCAGTTGTTTCTACCAACTAATCAGAGCATACGTTTTCTTAAGAATAACAAAAAATACAATGGCATACTCAACCCTTAATTAAAAATCATGGACTGTTTTTTCTCATTTAAAAAAAATCCATCTTGTACAATATTTGCATCAGAGATATGAAGGTGCTGCTAAGTTTTGCTGAGTTAAGGAAAGCATGAAGACTGACACAAACACTACACTTTTAATAAAATCCTCCTTGAAAGGTCATATGGTACGGTTACAAAAATGATAAATAAATATAACTTCTTTAACAACATATTTCCTTTTAAGATTATAAAATCTAGTCAGAATTGATTCATGAAAGAGATGTGTATAGAAGAAACTAGGATATATTCCACACTTCAGGAACAGATAAATAAGTCTACATAAAAATAATGTAATAATCGACTCAATATGAACATGTCTTTTGATAACCTTTACGAGATAGACTAGATGATTTCCAATGGTTTCTAAATATTCTTAAGTGCTACGATATTAGGTACTCATTAATTAAATTCAGACCTGACTAACCTGGCTCCAGTCAAATGAAAACCTTCATGTATAGTTGCGCTCTATGCATGCGCACCTCTATGCCTCAGCCACACTGCGCTACCATCTGGAGGTCCCTCTCCCCTCGTACCATTTCTTTAGGTCCCACATCTATCCCCAAACTGTCAAATGCCCCTGTCTCAAAGTCCACAATTTCATTAACAGTGACTATGTATAAAATAACCCATTATGAACCTTAACACAAGTCACTTCTGTTACTATGTGTTTTCTTCCTTATGTCACTTTTTCCCACCAGGAATGTAACTTCCTGGAAAGTGATTATACAAGAATACATTTGCTGAATGAAAGGAAAAAAGACCTAACTTGCTAAAATGTTATAGCAATTAGATGAGACAGTATGTGTGAAAGCCTAATAAATGTAAACTGTCAAAACCCGAATCAATGTAAGCAACTGTCAAAAACTAATACAGGTAAGCAAATCTCCCTGTATCCTCAAAGCTGTATAGGGAGTAGGTGTGCTTAATAAACGTTTGTTGATGACCATATTACAGAGAACAAAAACAACAAAAGATAAGCTACAATACCAAAAATAAAACGTCAGAGTCACTAGAAATGTCAGTGAGAGGAAGATTTGGCTGTGAAAATATATGCACATTGACAGGGTATGAGATTAGATACTAAATAATACTTTCATTAGTTCTAAACCCCTGCTAGCTACAGAAGGATGACTACTGATTCACATAGTGCAGTTAAGCTAAATAAAAAGTAAAGTTCGGGCAGAAATATGAAAAAAGAGACTCTCCTCCCTACCCCAACACCTAAACAGAATTCCACCTACAGGAACCTCATATACTCTTCCAGTTTCATTACCAAGTGCCATCTATACTGCATTTGTCACGATTTCCTCTTGAAGATGAGAAGTCAAATGTTTCTTACTACATTACCAATAAATAGAGCCAACCCAATGAAAATATTCTTGAAAATCAAGCTGTCAGAAACAAAAGTAAAGGTCACGGCCAAAAATCATAAGGTCTGAGTCCTGACCCCCGGAAATCTACTTCAGCATTTCAGTATTCTGGGTGAGAAACAAAACTCACTTTTCCTCATGAGCCTTCTCATGATCAAATAACCTGGGACCTACTGTCAGGAACCTTTTTTTTTTGGAGATGGAGTCTTGCTCTGTTCCCTAGGCTGGTGTACACTGGTGAGATCTCAGTTCACTGCAACCTCCGCCTCCCAGGTTCAAGCGATTCTCCTGTCTCAGCCTCCTGAGTAGCTGGGATTACAGGCACGCACCAACATGCTTAGCTAATTTTTGTATTTTTAGTAGAGACAGGGTTTCACCACGTTGGCCAGGCTAGTCTCAAACTCCTGACCTCAAGTGATCCACCTGCCTCAGCCCCACAAAGTGCTGGGATTACAGCTGTGAGCCACCGTCGCTGGCCAGGAGCCTTCTTAAGGAACATGTTGTTCAATCCTGGTTAGAGCACTGGACAGGTCAGAGCACTCCTTCCCTTCATTATATTTATAGTCTAATTGCAGCTGTGAGAGGCCAGGTGATAGGCACCAGAGAAAATGTCGAATGATGATGGATGGCTGGAATGCAAGGGAAACTGACAATAGTATTACAAGGACGATGATTTGACACGCTGTCCCAGGCAGCTGGCAACAGGCACCAAGGCCACCTGATAACTGCTGGAATGACAACATCTTAGTGTTCATAGGCTGGTCCCTTCTTTTAGAATTCATTTACTTTTAAGTAATAAGATTCCACATTTATTTATTCCTTGATTCTACCCAACTAGAGTTTAATGTGGTTTGTAATAAATATTGTCATATTAATAAAACACAAACAGAAACCAAAGCCTCAGAAAGAAATAGAAACAGGATTCTCACTGAAATGACTATGGAACAGAGGGAAGAATCAAAATGATCTTGTGTCAAACATCAGACCACTATTCATTATTAGCATAAGTGTGATAAAATTATTTAAATTCTCTGAGCGTCAGCATTCCCATTTATAAAATAAGGATTGCAATAAACTTTTTCAAAGACTTGTGGTGATGTTTAAGGGAAGTAACGTAGATAAGGGCATTCAGTACAGTGTTCTGTGCCTAGTATGCTCTTCTCCTTTTCCATTAGAATTGCCAAACACAGAACGATCTAACTGATTTCACAAACTAGGGAGAAAGAAAGTCCAAATTCAAAAAATGTTGTTCTTGTTACTTTAGGCAACACAATACTAGTCAATATCATTAATGAGACCAACTTTACAACAAATGTGTAAAACATGCTTGCCTTATTTTTGTGGAAATATTACTGTAAGTGAAAGATTTAGAAATTTGCTGGGAACACTTAGCAGGACAGAAAGAACTTTCTCTAGTCTTAATTTTTACTTTTTTTTAATTTATAAAAACATTAGATAGTGTTAGCCATCATTCCCCCTACTCTTTTTTTTTTTATAAGAGATGAGGTCAGGCTGGGCGCGGTGGCTCACACCTGTAATCCCAGCACTTTGGGAGGCTGAGGTGGGCAGATTACCTGAGGTCAGGAGTTCAAGACCAGCCTGAACAACATGGTGAAACCCTGTCTGTACTAAAAATACAAAAATTAGCCAGGCTTGTTGGTACATGCCTGTAATCCCAGCTACTCGGGAGGCTGAGGCAGGAGAATTGCTTGAGCCCGGGAGGCAGAGGTTGCAGTGAGCCGAGATCATGCCACTGCATTCCAACCTGGCCGACAGAGCGAGACTCTGCCTCAAAAAGAAAAGAAAAAAAAAGAGAGAGAGAGATGCAGTCTTGCTCTGTTGCCTAGGCTGGAGTGCAGTGGTGTGATCACAGCTCACTGCAGCCTCAACCTTCCAGGCTCAAGGGATCCTCCCACCTCAAGCTCCTGAGCAGCTAAGACTAGAGGTGCACACCACCATACCTGGTTCATCTTTTATTTTTTGTAGAAACAGGGTCTCAATATGTTGCCCAGGATGGTCTTGAACTCCTAAATCAAGCAATCCTCCCACCTTGGCCTCCCAAAGTAGTAGGGAGTACCCAGCCCTACTCTTTATTTTTCAATTAAAAATAATCAATATTAAATGTATAGATGTTGAAATTATAACCATCTTGTACTAAGTGCTCCAATGAAAATAGCATAAAATGATCATGACTTTTTGAGCCATAGGAAGTGGCATGCCCCATCTGACATTTTTAATGTGTCCTGATTTTTAAATTGGCCTTTCCACGTAGAAAAGAACCACAGTGAAGGTGAATTCTTTTATAGCAAATATTTTGCTTCATAACTACTTTCTAAGGATTATGAAATAGTATACAGTATAATAAATATGGAACTCCTGACTGCATCAATAAATGGGGTCTTTAATTGGCTCTAAGAGCCAGCTGAATGGTTCAAGAGTTCCCTGAATTCACAGCTGTCACCCTGCCAGAGGGGTTCTTTTAGATTACATTCCTTAGTAAGTGCTTATTCTTAAAGCACATGCGATCATTATGGCTTAATGCTGTTGCTGCTCCTACCACCACCACTAAACTTGTCACAAAGGTAACCTTGTTACAAGTATGTGACCTTGGGTTTGTTGCTATATCAAGAAGAAAACAAAGGTAAAATACTTATCCTTGCCCTCAAATGATTTACTATGACAGCAAAGTCAAGTAAATCAGAATTAGTGATGGTACTGTATTACCCAAGGGTGAGCTGCTGCTGGACACAGGAAGAAAATCCAGGCAACAAGCCCCTTCAAGGAAAGAATTACCTATTGCACTCAACTCTTAGGTAGTGTGTCATTATTATTAATAACAACAATACTATTTTGTTCATAATTGTATTCTTTGTGCCTAAGATAGTTTCTCCCGGGGAATAAGCACACAGTACATATTTGTTGAATGAACATATGCACAAACAAAAAACGAGAAAGAATGTCTTTTTAGACCAAGTGAATTCTACCTACAAACCAACTAGGAGCAAATAGTAATTATGTTTTTACATAAAGTTTGCTCAGTGAGAAATCCATGTTTCAAGAAAGGGCTGAAAAAGTATATTGATTACAGTATTATTTATAAAAGATAATCTCCCAAATAGAAATAAATTCATTATTCTCATCATAAGACAAGTAAACGTCTTGTCAATATTGTGCTCAATTATATTTTATTCTTGTGTAGCTCTCGCGTTATACTTTAGGTTAAGACAGGTGCCAAGTTATTATCCTGGATATGTAGAAAAAAAGGAAAAGAAGGGAAAGGGGCTGATTCTGATTTACCAAACATCTACTAAGAAACTGGCACTTTGCTGAATCCTTTACATAAAAATACTCACTTCATCCTAATAATATTCCTATAATATTATTATCTACCATAGAGATGAAAAAATGGAGGCTCATGGCAGGGGATTAAGGGGCATGAAGTGTCTTGCTCAAGGTCACACATAGAGTAGGTTCATTATTCAAACTTCAGTCTGTTTCTCCAAGAACAGTTTTTTCAACTATATATCCTACAATGTGCTTAGTATCATTTTATGTTTCCAAGGAATTCGCAGGTTGAATAAAAGGATCCAGATCACAGTAGTGCAGGAAAAGTCTAAAACGGAGTACTGAACCCTGATATTGTGATGGAGTTTGACACACAAAATATTTTCCATGGAATCAACTCTAAATAAAGCAGCTGGTTATTCAAGACAAAACACAAAAAGCCTCACTATAAATGTAGGTGAAGCTTAAGAGAAACAATATATAGGTTATGTCCTATATATATAAATATAATGATCATGTATGCAACGTTTGGGGGGAAAACACATTTAGTGGTCCAACTGAAGCTAGAAATACTCTCCTCTCTAATACAGTTCCAGCAGCAAGAACTAGAACTCTACGTTTTCCTGTCTCTCCTGACTAGTAGCGGCTATGATGATACTTATCCCATCCTCACCTTCAAATTGCTGGTGAGAGCTCCCTGGATGTCAAAAACATGAAGGGAGGAACAAAAAACAAAGGTTTGCAACCTTCAAGAAAAGAACTGTGAAGAGTTTGCCTGTCATCCCAGAAACACTGACAGAAATCCACCTATTCTGTTTCTCCTACAAAAGAAGAAAAAAAATCGGCCAGGTGTGACGGCTCATGCCCTTAATTCCAGCGCTATGGGAGGCCGAGATGGGAGGATCACTTGAGGCCAGGAGTTACAGACCAGCCTGGGCAATGTAACAAGACCCTATCTCTACACAAAATTAAAAAATTAGCCCAGCATGGTGAGGTGCAACTGTAGTTCCAGGTACTTGGGAGGCTGAGGCAGGAAGATAGCTTGAGTCCAGGAGTGCAAGGTTGCAGTGAACCATGAGTGCACCACTGCTCCCCAGCCTGGGCAACAGAGTGAGACCCTATCTTTATTGGATGGATGGACAGACAGACAGACAGACAGACAGACAAAAGAAAATAGTCAACAGACCTTTCTTGCTTCTGTTACTGTTACCACAGATCATTTCCACATTTCTAATCATCCAAGACCCAAACAACGTCTTGCAGTTTCCTCACAACACAGAAAAAAGCTATGGTTTGAATGTCCCCTTCAAAACTCACATTGATTGCCATGCAACAGTATTAAGAGGTAGGGCCTTAAAAAGGTGGCCATAAGGCTCCAGAGAAATGAAGGAAATAAGGGAAATTCCAAGGATCTCAACCCAGAGGAGAAAGGAAAGATCCTTTTGGTCCTCCCTAGAGTCACTCACAGGTATAGGCAAAATGTCAAGACAGAGAATCTAAATTTAGGAGTACCTAATGATGGATTATTGTGAGAAGGACATCTCTCATATGTTTTGAAGTAAAAAGAACAGCATGTCACGTGTATGTGCAGTATCTTACGTGTGTTGGAAACGTCCATGTCAGTAGACTGCTAGAATGGAAATAACTAATCGGAGTTTTGCTTCAAGTAAGACTCTCTCCTAGATTTTTGGCTAATGACCATAAAATAATTCTCATAAACAAATAAAAATCATATTTTTTTTTGTAGTTCAACAACTGAGTACATTCTAGCTCCTAAATAACAATGAATTCTACAATAATCTACTATTTATTTTGAGGTAGTCTCTTGGTTTAGAAAACAAAACAAGAGAAAAAAAGTACCTTTCTCAATTATCTCCTTACAATAAATTAAAAGAGGAGTGGAAGGACAAGATAACAAGGGAAGAAACAAAAATGAAGCAACAAATTTGAAGGTTAATAATAGCTCATCCTGAGCCATCAGTAAAATGTGTTCACCTGGAGCTCTTCCATGAGCATAAGTCAAAGGAGGATCCATTAGCAGCAGTGCCCAATGTTTCTATAATGGAGTCTGAAAATGGCATGTTCTAGGAAGAGCAAAATGTAAGATATGAGCCAATTACCAAAGGATACACAGTGACTCCACGCATATTTTTAAATGGTTGATCAACAAGGCACAAGGGAGTTTTAATTGACAACCACTGAGGAGCATTCCTACCTTTGTGACATTATCCTACAACTCACTTTATTTTAAGGTTACTTTGGAAGACTGCAGTAATTCTTCTCTTTCCACTCTTTAACTGATTCTCCAGATTTAATTATCTTGAATCTATTAAATATGTTTTAGTGGCTATTTGAGTATATCTAGCTCAGAGATTCTCATGTGTGTGAGCTGGGGAACCCTACTTCTAATTACATTTCATTCTTTTTTCACTAAGCATAATGTTTTCAAGGTTCATCAGTGGTGTAGCAGGAATCAGTACTTCATTTCCTTTTATGGAAGAATAATATTCCAATGGATGTATACACCACATTTAATTTATCCATTTATCAGCAGATGAACATTTGGGCATCTCTACTGTTTGGATTAAATAATGCTGCTAGAAACATCCAGGTACAAGTTTTGTGTGGATGTATGTTTCAATTCTCCTCAGTATATCTAGAACTGAAATTGCTAAGTCATATGGTAACTCTGTGTTAAACATCTTCAGAAACTGCCAGATTGCTTTTCAAAGAGGCTGGACCCTAATGCTAGGTTTTTTGTTTTTAAGTAACTAGTTGGTTAACAGAAAATGGCTGGGCCCGGTGGCTCACACCTGTAATTCCAGCACTTTGGGAGGCTGAGGCGGGTGGATCACTTAAGGTCAGGAGTTCGAAACCAGCCTGGCCAAGATGGTGAAACCTGGTCTCTATTAAAAATACAAAAAAAAACTAGCCAGGTGTGGTGATGCACGCTTGTGGTCCCAGCTACATGGGAGGCTGAGGCACGAGAATTGCTTGAACTTGGGAAGTGGAAGTTGCAGTAAACCAAGATTAGGCCGCTGCACTCCAGCCTGGGTAACAGAGGGAGACTCTGTCTCAAAACAAACTAACAACAACAAAAAAAAACAAACACACACACACACACACACACACAGAAAACAGGGAGACAGAGAAGGTAGGCAGCACGCAGAGAAAGAAAGTATTAATATTTTCTTCTCTAGGCTCTCTCACCTGGCTCTTGTAGGGGTGGTCTTGTGTATGTCAAAGAATCATTGAGAAGGCATTACCAGACATAACAGATGATGGCTACAGCAGAAGCACTGGGGAACTGGGCCAACTAGGAAAGTATCTGTGCTATCTGCATTCTTTGTACTAAGTGTCTATTCTGTTTTATCCCTCACAATTAAAACAGACAATATGGTTTCTCTTCTCACTCAAGTTTCAGATTGCAGAAGACTTTACTGTTTGCTCTGTAATTCCTGTAACAGCAAGAGTGATATGAAGGACAACAGAATGCCATGAAGTTCTCTAATCAGGTGAGCCCATCTCATTGCTGACCTAAAGCGTATGGTTGGCTAGCTGAGAATCCTCTGATGACGGCTTGCCAGTTGGGCAGTAGATTTCTGATGTGAATAAACCTCAAACTGAAAACATGTTGAGCCTATCAATCTTGTTTTGTCTGTGAAAGGGTCCACAAAAGAGCTTAGGCCACTGGAAATGATTAGTACTAGTTCATATAGAAGAAATAGTGTTGTTTAAATGCTGTCATTGTCTTCACGCACAGAGGTGTGCTTAAATCTAAGTACTCCCAAATTTGGAAAGAAATTATTTTGAACGGATTGGCATAACAAGCATAACTCAAAATGACTAAGAGAAGCCGGAGAGATCGAGTGCTCTGTAAATACAAAATCAGAGTCAAAATACAGGTTGCAAAACATGGTGCCATTTAGCTTACTGATAAAGATAATCAGAGCTGGCATCTAAACAGAAACAGCATTATTTCATGACTCATTAGAAGCATCTGGATTACTGAGGCACAGGTGGCTTTAAATAACTTTACCAGCAAACCTATAGTTGCTGTTTAGGCTTAACTGGCAACAGTCAACTTTCCAAACACTCTAGGAAGCAATTTTTGTAATATTCTAACAAAATCAAAATCAGTCTTCCAAGCCAGCAAAATATGAGCCATGACGAGATCAATACTCAAAATTACAATTGCTAGAGGCATTTTTCCTGTTTTCACAGAGAATGTTACATATTATGATATATAATATTACTTGTTGTACATTTACTATGTTCAATAAATAATTGACAAAAATAATCATCATTTTATAGTCTATCCAGACTCAGACTATTTCCCAGATCTCCAAGGTAGAATACACTTTAAATTTTTGCTCTGATGGAGTACTATATTGATAACAAAAGGACATACAGCACTCCTACATATCTACAATCAAAATAATGACACCAACCAATAGAAAAAAGGTTAAGTGTTCTATGTTTGAAGTACTGACCTCCGTCCTTCACTGAATTCAGTAAATTCAATGTCGACCACCCACCAAAGCAAAAAGTAGTGAATTTTTCCAATCTTATTTGCTCCACATTTGTCTAGCACACTTACATGTAAACCCAAAATTTTCATTTTCCATTTGCTCAGTCTTGATTGTTATAAAGCACATGCACAAAGTGTTAATTAACATTTTGAATACTATTTGATCTCAAAATTTCAGTTCTAGGAATTTACTCCCAACCTCATTAAAAAATAATAGCATGGGTGAGATTAAGATTTGGCAACAAAGATGTTCCTCACAGAATGGTATATTGAACTTTAAAAAAAAAAGCTCTCAAAATGCAAAACAGAAACTAGATTAAATAAACATAAATACAGATGTACACACACATAAATATATATATATAACTAGAATATTATGCAGCCATTAAAAATAAACACTGCAATAAAGCAAGAAAAAGGTATAAAAGGCAGGAGTCATTAAGGTGAAAGTTTATTAATTAAAATCATATTAAAAAATAAGCCTGTATCATGTGTCTGATAATTACATTATTGGAAGTCTTTGCTGATCTGGTTCTTCTCCTTTCACCTCTACTGAATCCTGATTAACTTTATCCTGTGTATCATGTGTGTGTATGTTTGCATGTTTTATACTCTCATATTCCTTAGATCTTTATCTACAGCAATTCTTTAAGGCCCGGTTTGAAAGTAGGTCCTATCCCAAACATTAGCAACAGTTCTGCTAGTCCACTTAAGGGCACTACCAACCTGGAACTCATTTTGAACTCAATTCTCACTTTAAACTTTCCTCACACTACCCAGAGGATGTATATTTTGACAAGATATCTAGTTAAGAATTCTTTAGGGATTTTTTTCTCCCCTCAGCCTGTGTCAAGGTGACCAACTTCCTTTTAGTCTCTTATAGGAGGTGGGGTATTATGGGAAAGAGATGATATTTTTAGATGATCCATATGCTTTATGTAGATGATGGGGATGCTTCTGTCAGACTCCCCAGGTTGCACAGGTCCTGGGCTTTGTTCCTGTTCTCCTGTGCCATGCTAGTTCACTTGGGTTTGGTAAATACCCTTAGGGTGAAAACTGGCTTTAGCAGTACTTTGTCTAATATCTCTCTGCAGTTCGTTTGTGTTATTTTGCTTATGTGAATCCTATCTTTCATAAAAGCAATTTAACACATTTTTTAATGTTTTATCTGGCATTTTTAGTTTTTTCATGAAATGATCAATGAAAATACTAGTTATGCTGGACAGAGAAGTCTTCACGCAACCCTCTCTTTATGGAACAGTCTACAAATAACTTCACCTCACCACTCAGTTTTTCCAGTGCAAGTGTCTTTGGATTCTACTCAGATATACTATTACTGTTTTTATGGTTTTAGTCCATTTTCTTGTAATCCTAACTAAGGCAATCACTATAAATAATCCAAAAATAATTAATATAGAGCAGAATACAGCTTTTGCCTTAAATGTTATCGGTTAACTTGATATAGTGAAATATAATGATATATAATACAATGCAATTTATAAATAACAAAATCAGATATTAGGAAAACAAAGTTCTCTGTCTAACTTTGACATAAAGTATACGGTGTTAAGTAAGCTATCAACCTATCTGGGACTTCTATTTCTTGTCAATAAAATAAGGCAACCAGATGTGCTCATGAGAAGCCTCCAATCTATGAATTTTGATTTCTTAGATTATAAAATTTCCTTTACAATATATTCTGTCCAATGGTTTTATTTACATTTTTCTGATACTGCATAAAATGGCATAGTAGCACCTTTTTCAAGTAGATAGTCCAATTATAATCGTTGATATCGATGATAATTCTAGCAGATTCTAAATGAGAATGAACTGTATGTTTTGCTTTGCTATATTAGTAAAGCTTTAGGAATAAATAGCTGGTATCATTTGCAGCTGACAGTTTTACATGATCTAGTTATGATTATTTGATACTCTCTTTGTTTTCTAAGAAGCATCTTAGATCCTGCCATCATTGTCACAAAAATTACCCAATGCAAAGGAAAAAAATGGGCAAAATTCATGACAGGTCTGTGCAATTTTAGTCTAAAAATTTTCTCAATTATTTACCTCAAAACAAGTATCTGAACTTTAAGCAAATCACTATAATCAATGGTTTTCAAAAATATATTTCCTTCAGAATTGCTTTAATAGGGAAACACAATTATTTCATTTCATTCAATAACCCATACTTAGTAATCTATAATCAGCATCTTTGTGACTAGCAGTGGGTTCATGGTGAAATAAACATAAGCAACAGCCATAATCCATGACCTCATGAAGTTCACATTATGATGTATAAAAAGGGTATAAAAAAGAGCACACACAAAATTACAAGCAAAGCTATTACAAGATAAACCAAAGGAATAAAAAAGCCTTCCAACAAGACAAAATGATTGTTCTTGAGTTTGGAAACCAACTTATATATGCATAATAAAATCCAGGGACAAACATAAGTTACCATTGTTTGGTAGAGAAAACAGGACACTGTTCCTCTACAAAATAGGCCAATATTAATAAGATAGGTAAACAGACTGGCAATGGTAACACATAATACAGAACTCCTAATATTGGTATTCAATACATACTACGTTTGACTGATCAAAAACAGTGACTCAATCACAGAACAAAGAAGCTACTTATCAACAGTTTCTAAACACATCACATAAAATTACTGCTACAATCTCTTCCTGGAAAAACACTTTTTCTTTGTATTTCTTTAAAGATTGGTGATTCTGCTTTTTAAATGTTGTTTTTCAAAAGTCTGAAATACAGATAAAGCTTTTATTAAAATGTACTTGTCGATTTAGCTGAGGAGAGAACAGAGACAGGTAGAGGTTACCAACGAAAAGGCTCTGATAATACTAGACAAAGCAACTTAAGCCTAAAAACTAATGGTCCATGGAGCACAACTTCAGCATAAACACTTTTTATCTCAATCGCCAAGCACCACTCCACCAATAGAGAACGCAGAAATTAAAACAAAAAGACTGCAGACAGATTAAATTCAAATATAGCTAATCCTTGAACAAAGCAGGATAGGGTTGCTTCTCCCATTCCAGTCAAAAATCTTTATGTAACTTTTCACTTCCTAAAAACTTAACTGTTAATAGCCTACTGTTGACCAGCAGCCTTACTGATAACATAAACAGAAAAATAAACACATATTTTGTATGTGTGTTATACTGTATTGTTATAATAAAGCTACAGATAAGGAAATCATAAGGAAGAGACAATTTTACTATTCACTAAAAGTCAATCGTTATAAAAATAAATCACCCTCGTTTTCTTCATTTTGAGTAGATGAGGGGGGAGGAGGAGGAGGGAGAAGAGGAGGGGTTGGTCTTGCTGTCTCAGGAGTGGAAGAGACAGAAGAAGTGGAGGAGGTGGGGAAAGTAGAAGGGGAGGCCGGAGAGTCAGGCATACTCAGTGCAACTTTACAGATGCTTTTTCATTTCTCTAACAATGTTTCTACATGGTACCAATCCTTTTACAACTGTTTGCTTTAGTTTCAGTGACGATATCATAGAAGGGTCCATGTCATAAAAGAAGTCAAATGCAGTCTTGGATAATCTGAACCCTTCTGCCAGATTATCTAATGTCAATTTGTTTTCTGGCAGTGCTTCTTCTAGATCTTCTTCCTCATCATCTGGCACTGTTTTGAAAGGACTCAACACCATCAAGTTGTCTTTTGTTAATTCCTCTGGTATGTTGTCTGCTAGCCCTTGAATTTCTCCAAGATCTCTATCTTGAAACCCTTCACAACCACCATCTTTTTTTTTTTTTTTTTTTTTTTTTTTGCCATATGTACAATTCTTTCATGACTCGTTTGATCGGCTCTCTTGTAAATCCTCAAAAGCCATGCACAATATCTGAACACAGTTTTCTCCAACAAGAATTCACTTTGGGTTTGGTGGTTTTCATGGCATTTTCTATAACAATGCATCTTCAATGGTGTAATCCTTTCAGACTTTCATGATGTTCTCCCTGTCAGGATTCTCTTACATAATGCTGACGATCCTTTTCATAGAGTACCATGTGCAATGAGCCTTAAAGGTCTTTATGATTCCCTGATTAGAGACATTCTGTTTGGGGGCAAGTAGAATATTTCTCCTTCAGTGTTGAACTTACGGAGTTCTGAGTGGCCAGGAGTATTGCACAATTAAAAGGCAGTCCCTTACTGATTCCTGACTTCAGGGACAAAGCATCAATGGAACCACCCCAGAAAAAGGTTCTTGTTATTCAAGACTTCTTACTGTACAAACAAAAGACTGGCAACTGCTGTTCATCTTTTCCCTTCCAGACTTACAGATAAGGGCAGTCCCAATCATAAATCTCACTGCATTTGCACAAAAGAGTAGAGTTAGCCTATCTCTTCCTGCCTTAAATCCTGGTGTTTGCTTCTCCTCCTAATAAACATCCTTTGTGGCATTTTTTCCCCCAGTGTAGGGCACTTTCATCTGCATTAAAAACCTGTTCAGGCCGACATCCTTTTTCCTCAATGGGTTTCTTAATGATGTTTGGGAACTCATCTGCTGTCTCTTGGTTGGCAGAAGCTGCTTCTCCTATTAACTTGACATTTTTTAGGCCAAACTTCTTTCTAAAATTATCAAACCACCCTTTGCATCCTTTTAATTTGCATTAAATTCTCCAGCTTTACATCCTTCACCTTCCTTTTGCCTTAAGTTACCATATAATGACTTCCCTATATCTGGAATCATATTAGAGTCTATAGGTATGCCTTTCTTATAGTAGTCCTACACCCACATAAAAGCTGCCTTTTCAATACCAGATAAAAAGGTATTTCGTGAAAAGAACAAGGTTTTCATGCCTACTGATGCAGCTTCAGTGACAGCTCCACAAATTTCCTTTTCTTTTACAATGGCCCTTACACTGAATTCATTTATCTTGATATGGCAAGAAACCACAGCTGCAGACCTCAATGTATAGTACCTATCAAGCAATTCAGCATCTTTTTTTTTTTTGTAATGTCATGACTTTCCCCTGCTTCTTGGGAGCACTTCCACTGTGACTAACGGTGCTTTGTATGGGTTCCATGGAGTTATTCAAAGCTTACAGTATTGCACTAAACACGATGGAAAATACATGAGAACTGCCAAAGATCACTTCTCACTGCCGTATGAAATTTACTGGAGAGATGGACTGCTCACAGGGAGATGATTAGTATCACACAGCAGTTTAAGCAAACACTCGCAACGCTTGAGCTCACGGTATCAGCAACAGGAGGTGACTACGAAATTGCTGCAATAGTACAGTATGCACTGTAGTTAATTTTATGCAGTTATGATTTAACACTGCATCTTCATGTTTCTTTACATTTCTTTCTACTGTGAATGGCACCATATATGGTCTGCATTTGTGTAAAAGTTCTGATATATTTTAAATTTTATAATAGAGTCATATATTTTCTAATAAATGATAAAAATAGACTAATATCAATATATAGTTTGTGCATTCATGACATATCTTTTTTTAATTTTTCTGATATTTCTAGACTACACACTTTGTCTCTTGAGTTTTTTCAAACTACAGGTAATCTCCAAACATTTGTTCAATATATTTATTTTTTAAAATCCACACATAAATGGACCTACACAGTTCAAACCCATGTTGTTCTGGGCCAACTACACATCCAAAAAGTATTTATGAAGTACCAACCATGTACAGGTACAGTACAAGGTCCTGGTAATGGTAAGAACAACCACCTTTAGTTGTTCATGTCTAAAACTTTGGAGTCATCTTCACTCTTGTATTTTGTCTACCTCTCATCCAATCCCTCAGTAAATCCTTTCCATTTTGTCATCAAAACATAAAGAATCCCAGTACCTCTCACCACCCTCACTGCTACTACCTTCCAAGCCACCACCATCTGCCTCCTGCATTACTGGCCTCCTAATTGGTCTCTCTTCAGCCATCCTTGTCCCCTGTAGGTGGACTGTCATACATGCCAGAGTGATACTGTTAAAATACATGCCTAATCCAGTTACTCTTCTCTCCAGAATGCTCCAAAGGCTTCACATCTCATTTGAAGTAAAAGCCAAACTCCTTAAAATGACCTGTAAGACCTGTGTTCATCTTGTTCCCTCTGCTGTCAACACTCTTTCCCCAGAACTGCAGACCTCACTTCCCTACCTTCTCAGGTCTTTACGCAACTACCTCCTTCTGAGTAAGCCCTTCCTTGGCATATAAAGAGAGTAAAATCCAATATAAATAAGATCATTTAAATATTAAATCTAGTCAGCAGAAAATGTATACTTCTATATACCAGCAAGTAAGAGTAAGTTCCAGAAATCTGCCCATGAAGATATGATTGTGAGAGAGATTACCAGGGAATGCTCACTAAATGCCCACTAAAAGGAAACATTTGCACAAGCTCACAACTCACATAAAAATTGAAACCATATATATATAAATGTCTGAGTCAGCTTTTTCCTCCTAATAATATATCCTAAGTGTTTTCCCATGTCATTAAATATTCTTAAGAACATGAATACTAAAGATTACAAACACTGTAGGGAAGCACCAAACATTCACCCTTCAATAGTTGTTATTAAACAGCTTGCTGCATACCAGGCACTATGGTAGGTGTGACATGGTCCCTGCCCTCATGGAGTTGACCATATTGTAAATGAGATTATTTTCATGTAGTAAATGATATTCAGCAATAGTGCAAATAAATATGTAATTACAAATTGTCTTCTGTGTTATGAAAGATTAGAAGAGAATGGCAGGAGAGACCCTAATATCTCTGTAGTATTTAACAATAATCTCTAAAATATCTATTAGGGGCTAATTTACATCAAGGCCAGGGAAACCCCTTTCAGGCTTCATTTCATGGAAATGACACACAGAGACCTGAAGAATGGGTAGGAGTTAGTCTGTAAAGAATAGAGGAAGGTGTGTTCTGGGCAGAGGAAGAGCATGTGTGAAGGCAGTGACACATTCAAGGCAGTGAAAAAAGTTGAGTGTAGAAGACTAGGGATGAAGGAGAATAAATGAAGAAGGGAGGTAGGCAGACCAGATCAACAGGGTGTGGTAGGTCCTATGAAGGAAAAGACATTTTTTATCCGAAGTACAATGAAAAGCTATTAAAGATTTAGAGCAGGCGAGTGACACAATGAAAATGTCAGAAGATCATGTCTTTAAAAACTCAGAGTAACCTCTGACACAATCTTTTCCTTAATTTTTACCCTGATATAAAGTCTAGCTTCAAAATGCTTTTCCTATCTGCTCCAAAGCAAAGTTATCTGAAATGTCTCCTATTCTCCCTGCCAAGCAGCACACAAGGTCTATACCTTCTGAGACCATCATCAACCACGCTAAAGTGACAAAACCTCTGCCACTACACCAAAGCCCATCACACTTCTCATTCCTATTTCACTGGCTTATTTTCTTGGGGAGTAACAATCTAACAATTACCAGTCTATAATCTCTCTCACAATTCTCTCATTAAATGAACAAATAAAGGCCAGGCATGAGGGCTCATGCCTGTAATCCCAGCCTTTGGGAGGCTGAGGCAGGCAGATCATTTGAGCCCGGGAGTTCAGGTGAAACTCCATCTCTACAAAAAAAAAAAAAAAAATAGAGAAAACAGCCAGGAATCGTGGTGCATGCCTGTGATCCCAGCTCCTTGGGAGGCTGAGGTGGGAGGACTACTTGAGCCCAGGAGATCACAGCTGCAGTGAGCCCTAATCACGTCACTGCACGGCAACCTGGGTGACAGAGTGAGATCCTGTCTTAAAAAAAAAAAAAAAGTAAAAAAGAACAAATATATTGGTGTTAAGTTCTTAGTAAAATTTTTATAAAGGACATTATAAATGCTAGTTACTGTAACATGGAAACACTTGTGTGTTTTGCTAATCCCTGCTGTGAGGCAATCACAAGAGTTGAATCCTCAGAGGAAAGCAGGTTTAAGATTTAGAGCTCTATTCAAGAATATAAAAAAAAGTGGAAGAAATGGGGAATGTTTAGGTGAGAGAAATGGAGGTGTGGGGAGGAATATGATTAGTATCTTGTGACATGTGAAAAGCTACATGATGAAAAAGGAGTTAAAATTATATTCTGTGGTCCTAGAAGACAGTATTAAAATAAACAGGTTGGAACTTTCAAGAAGGCAGATCTGACTTTATAAAAGCAAAAACTTACTAAGAAGGGCATGAAAAAGTAATGACTTTCTTATGAGACAGTTTCTTCCCTGAAACTTCAGTCTTTTGTTTGTTTTTCCTAAGAAAAGCTGAAAGTCCACTTGTTGTGGTCTCATAAAGGAGATTTAAAGCATTGATTAGAATGTTAAGAATCAATTCCAACAGTGAGATTCTGGGAATTCATCAAAATACCCTGGGATTACATCCATAAATATTAAGTCAGGAACCATTACCAAGGCTTCTGCAGCAGGTGTCAACTTCCCTAAAGAATTCTCTGTCCCAGTCATGGAGGATCATGGAAAGGAAATTAAATTTATAACAAGTTTAATTACATCTAGTTATGTCTATCAAGAACAAAAAGGAATATTGCACACATTAAGGAACAGGTGATTATGAAACAATAAGAATAGTGTTTTAGAAGACTAAGATTACAGAACAATAAAGCAGCATTTGAGCCTCTCATCCTATGGGTAAAAAGTTGTTCATGGACTATAACTACTGATGTCTTGGTCAATGTTTAATAACCAGCTCTGTGAGAGAGGCTAGAGTCCTGTTGTAGCATTTGCTGATTTCTGTTGTGTAACTACACCCATCGTGGCCAATTCTAAGCTACCAACATGATGTCACTGAAAGCAGAATGTTCAGTGGGAAGAGATGTGCACCATTGGCTCCAGCGAGTCAGCTCGACCCCACCTGGCCCACCGTGTCTATCACTATTCTCATGATTCTTATAATTTTATCACTCCCCCATCCCCAGGATAAAATCACATGTAAGGCAATGATGTTTAAATACAGATTTTTCCCAGTTTAGTTATAACTATGCTTTACACATATAAATGTTTACTTATGTGTCAATATGAGAGTTGCAGTTGATGGAAAATATTCCTCCTTTAATGTTTCTTCTCAGCTGACTTCTACGTATTCCCTGTGCTTATCACACAATCGAGAGAAGAGGGCAATTGCCACATAGCTATTATGAATTAGTAATATCAGAAAATTATTTTCCAACTCACTGCAGTCACAATATACATGTAATTGGAATATGCTATATTCACAATAGCCAAAAACTCATTTGGCATAAACATCTGAATCAAGACCTGGAACAGCTACAAGTTCAATTTAAGTATGGAAACAGTCCACACATAAAATAATAGGAAGAAGTTCTGTACTGTCATACTGGATTCCACACAACAAAAATTATTCCTTTTTTATTACCTCCTTTAAATCAGTAAACCCTAAATGGAGGCAAAATGTATAATTACAGTTCCCCACACTCAGATATCCCAATTGATGGATTTGTGGCTATCTAAGAAGGTGCTCTTAGGTTTTAAAGATGTGAATTCAGGCAAGCAGGGGTAAAATGACAAAATGACTGGAAGTTGCTTTAAAATACCTCCAAAAAGAAAAGAAATAAAATAAAATAGATGAACCCAATATGGTAAAATCTTGATAACAATATGACACTTAAATGTGAGAAATGAACATATAAGTTATATTTATACTATTTTCCCAAATTTTGTGTTTATTTGAAATTCTTCCAAAATAAGTAAATAAAACTACCAGAAATACACCGGTTAAGGTTGGGGGTGATGGCTCATGCCTGTAATCCCAGCAGTTTGAGAGGCCGAGGCAGGCAGATCATGAGGTCAGGAGATCGAGACCATCCTGGCCAACATGGTAAAACCCTGTCTCTACTAAAAATAGAAAAATTAGCTGGGCGTGGTGGCACGTGCCTGTAATCCCAGCTACTCAGGAGCTGGGGCAGGAGAATCGCTTGAACCAGGGAGTAAGAGGCTGCAGTAAGCCAAGATTGCCACTGCACTCTTGCCTGGCAACAGAGCAAGATTCCATCTCCAAAAAAAAAAAAAAAAAAAAAAAGAAATACAGCATATTTACTTCAGATAACAACCATTTATTAATTTTCCCCACATCCACTAGGGTCTTTAGTACAATGCACTCCTAAACACTGTTGCAGCAAGTTTGAATACCACATTCTTTTTTTAATCCTATTTCAGTATAACGCCTAAATCTCTAATAGTGTTCAGTAGTTGATGATCATAACAAATATAGATCTATTCTGAGAAGGCAGAAAGAAATTACCACAAACTCAAATGGGGTAATCAAACAAACTGTTAACCTAAATATCTTAAAGGAATATAAGAGAAAATATTCACTTTACTCCTCATCCTGTTTTTTCAAGGGAAAATGTATTTCCATTGCTGTTTTCGATTTACCTAACAAAAAATAAGTCCCAAACTCAGATTAAATTGTTCTATATTAAACCAATATCCCAGAATCTAGCTTAACAATAAACCCCCAGGAAAATTCTATTATGAAATTCTGAACAACTTTGAGTTGAAGTATATTCTACTAACAAATGCCGGATTTCAAAACAAAATTTCAAAAGAAAATTTTCTAACTCTATTTACAACTGAAAAAGTCAATAAAGGATGACTTAAAAATGACTTACTGATAGCAATTTTGGCTTGCTCCCCCCACTACCCCTTCACTTGGTGAAGATGAAATTCAAATTTCAGAGCCGTGCTTCTTTGCTTTTCTGAAATCTGTTTTTATACTTAAGGGGTATGTAGTTTTATGCAATGGTCCATTTTATATCACATAGCATATAGCAGGCACTAATGCAAATTTCTCCATTATAATAACCCGCACTTCTACTTTTAGTATTTCTTATGAGAAGTCTATAAATCGATTTACAGTCTTCTGATCTTCTTAAAGCACGAGAGAGATGGAGAAATTAGAATGATCACAGAATGCTTGTGATAGTGCCAATTCACTCTGATCTCTTTTATGTACAACTCTGTAGAGATCTTGAAGGCTCTTTTTGTTGCCCTATAATTATTTATTTACTACATATTGGAGCTTGATGCTGGGAAATGCATTTAAATATTGTTATGCAGATAATGCTTAGGTACAATGTCCTTTTGATGCTGCCGAATCTATTTTTATTTCCAATACTATCTTGTCTGAGATCCAACACCATATGCATTGAAATAAGTTGTTCTTCAATGTTTCAAAACCTGATTTATTAGTTGTTCACATTCCATCTGCCTCGGAAAACTGCAATGTGCCTTTACTTTCACTGGCTGCCCAAAAGGTTGAGGCTCAATTTTCCTTCACTTTATCATTTGATCAGCTTGTCAGACACATGTGTTAAGTTCTCCTTTCAACTATACAAACCATTTAAAATTCATGCATTTTTTAAAAATCAGGGCCGTATGGCAGGAGCCTGATTAATGCATTTGTCATCTTCCATATTTACTAGTGTCTCAGAAAAACTGCTCTAGAAACATATCCTCACTATTGTAAACCACATAGAAGCCAGGCTGTGACAATGATGCTTGCCAAAACTCGGAAAATAAATTACTATTAGCAAATACGCATTGTAGGATCTACAGCTAGAAAAAGGATCTACAGCTAGGGACAATCCTAGGGTCTATAAATGAGTACAAGAAATAATAACAGATGGAATAATCCGAAAGTATGGGAATTTTTAGGGAGAAGAGAAAGAAAGCGATTTGTAAGAGACAAGGAAGACACCTATCACACCAATGTGCTGGAGACGAGCCACCATTTAAAACAGTAGCAAAGGGCCAGGCACAGTGGCTCACACCTATAATCCTAGCACTTTGGGAGGCTAAGGTGGGCAGATCACCTGAGGTCGGGAGTTCGAGACTAGCCTGGCCAACATGGTAAAACCCAGCCCCTACTAAAAATACAAAAAATTAGCCAGGTGTGATGGTGCACACCTATAATCCTAGCTACTCAGGAGGCTGAGGAAGGAGAATTGCTTGAACCTGGGAGGCAGAGATTTCAGTGAGCCGAGAATGCACCACTGCACTCCGGCCTGGGCAAGAGAGTGAGACTCCACCTCAAAAAAAAAAAAAAATAATAATAATAATAATAATAAACAGCAGCAAAGGAAGCAGTTTCTCAAGAGGGAGATTGTGTTTAATTCTAACTGCTCTAGGAAGTAGGTTAAAGGAGTATTCAGTGAAGATATTCAGGATATAAGGGATTTGCAATGATGAAACAGGGAAGTTCAAGTAATGCACACTGGAAGGAAACAGAGATGTACAGAGCAATATTGGGGATAAGGGGCCAGAAAATGGCAGATAACTAGTGAACCCTGGACTCTCTGTGGTAGCTTACAGGAATGAGGTAAAGGGCATGATGAGATGGAACAGACTGTAAAGGTGAGGCCAGAAGACTTGTAGGGGATTAGGAGCATGGGAATGGTCAGGAATATGCACAGCTCTCAGGCCCTCGCTTTCACTCTTGCCAATGCTAGTGTGGAAACTACCTTCTTAAAATGGTCTTAGTCAATGAACAATTCCCTGTCCTTATCTTTCTTATTTTCTTATTGGATCTAGCAGCATCACTTCACACAATTAACCATTCCTTTCTAGAAACACCTTCTCACTTAGCTTCCAGGACCTTATACTGTCTTGATTCTCCTCCTGACACACTAGCTAGTCCTTCTGGGGTCTCCTGGCTAATTCCACCTCATTTTTCTGACCTTTTAGCATTTGAGTGCCCCCAGGCTCAACTCCCGAACCTCCCTCTGCTCTACCTATACTCCCTAGCAGATTTCATTTAACCTGGTGGCTTTAAGTACCATCTATATGCTAATGACTCCTCAACTCATATCTCCAGCCCAGACCTCTCTCCTGAACTCCAGACTTCGGTTTTCAACTAGCTTCTCAACATCTTCACTAGAATTCCATTAAGCATGACTCTAACTTAGTATGTCCAAAAACAAACTCTGACCCACCTGCAATCCCCAGCTTGCTCCTTCAATGGTCATCCTTACTTCAGGAAAAACAAAGTACTGACTCATGCTATACCATGGATAAGCCTTAAAAACATTATGCTAAGTGGCGGAAACCAGAATAAAGGCCACACATTTCATGGTTCCATTATACTTAGTGTCCAAAACAGGCAAATCCATAGAGACAGAAAATAGATTAGTGGTTGCCAGCGGCTGTGGGAAAAAGGGATGCAGAGTGACTATTAATGAATAGCGGTTTCCTATAGGGGTGATAAAAATGATAGAAATAGATAGTAGTGATAATTGTACAATTCTATAAAATATTATATTATAAATTTTATCTCAATGAAATATTCAAAAAAATTAAAAGATTGCAGGAACTTTGTTTTGTTTGCTCTTGTATCTCAAGCACCTAAAGCAGAGTCTGACAATAGTGTGTACTAAGAAAACATTTGTTGAAGAATTGATGAATTAGTCTCTAATGTTCATACACAGACACACCTACTATTTCGCTGCTCTCTTTCATTCCTACATGAATACCTAACAACCTATGAAAGACAAGAAGAGGTTAGGCCAGAAGTCCATTGTTTCATCTTGAAATCAGAGCTAGAGGCTGGGTGTGGTGGCTCATGCCTGTAATCCCAGCACTTTGGGAGGCCGAGGTGGGTGGATCACCTGAGGTCAGGAGTTCTTGACCAGCCTGGACAGCATGGTGAAATCTCATCTCCACGAAAAATAAAAAATATTAGCTGGGTGTGGTGGCACATGCTTGCAATCCCAGCTACTCAGGAGGCTGAGGCAGGAGAAACACTTAAATCCGGGAGGTGGGGGTTGCAGTGAGCCAAGATTGCACCACTGCACTCCAGCCTGGGCAACAGAGAGAGACTCTGCCTCAAAAAAAAAAAAAAAAAAAAAAAAAAAAAAAGAAAGAAGGAAGGAAGGAAGGAAAGAAAAAGAAATCAGTGCTATAAGTTAAAGCAAAGATGAAACCAGAGCTGAAGGAGCAGTACCAAGTGTGTCAAGTTCAGAACTCAAAGAAAAGATCATTTTAATTACAGTCATGTTCCATACATACAGTGATGTTTCAGACAATGATGGACAGCATATACCATGATGGTCCTGTAACATTCTAATGGAGCAGAAAAATTCCTGTCACCTAGTGATGGCATAGCTGTTCTAACATCTCACAATGCAATGCAATACTTACATATTGTAGTGAGGCTGGTAAAAACAAACCTACTGAACCACCAGTCATATAAAAGTATAGCACATACAATTACAAACATTATACATTACTTACTAATGATAATAAATGACTATGATATGGTTTATGTATTTACTATACTACACTTTTATCATTATTTTGGTTGTACTCCTTTCACTTATAAAAAAAGATAACTGTAATGCAGCCTCAGGCAGGTCCTTCAGGAGGTATTCCAGAAGAAGGCACTGTTATCATAAGAGCTGACAGCTCCATGCATGATATTGTCCCTGAAGATCTTCCAGTGGGACAAGATGTGGGGGTAGAAGACAGTGATACTGATGATCCTGACCCTGTGTAGGCCTGGGCTCATGTGTGTGTTTATATCCTAGTTTTTAACAAAAAAGTTTAAAAAGAAAAAAAAAAAAATTCTGAAATTAGAAAAAAGCTTACAGAATAAGGATATAATGAAAATATTTTTGTACAGCTGTACACTGTGTTTGTGTTTTAAGCTGTGTTATTACAAGAGTAAAAAAGTTGAAAAATAAAAATTTATAAAGGAAAAAAGTTACAGTAAGCTGTTTATTAATAAATTATTTTCTATAAATTAAGTGTAGCCTAAGTGCACGATATTCATAACATCTACAGTAGAATATAGTAATGCCCTAGGCCTTCACATTCACTCATCACTCACTCGAGAACTTCCAGTCTTGCCAGCTCTATTCAAAGGGTAAAGGCCCCATACAGATGGACCATTTTCACCTTTAAACTGTATTTTTACTGTAGCTTTTCTATGTTTACATATGTTTAGATAGACAAATACCCGTTTTGTTACAATTGCCTACACGTTGTGCATGTAGTACAGTAACATGTTGTACAGGTTTGTAAAGCAGCAGGCATATCATAAACTATATCAGGAGCGACAGGCTATACCATATAACCTAGGTGTATGGTAGGCTATACCATCCATGTTTGTGGAAGTACACTCTATGATGTGCATAAAATGATGAAATCACCTAATGATGCATTTCTCAAAAGATACCCCCATCTTTGAGTGAGAAATGATTGTATTTAGGTATCTGCATGAAGATGCATTTGAGTTTAAAAATTATTTTTTGTAGAGCACAAAGAAGCAGCTCTAAATCAATCCAGACAGGCATTACAAAACTATTTTGAGTATGGCACCTAGAGAGAAAACAAAGAGTCTAAAATACAGTGCTCTACCTCAAGCACTTCATAACCTACAGAGGTAGAGAATCAACACCTAAGTTCTAGAATTTCCAAGGTAAAAGACCAGCAGATGAAAGAGTAAAATTATGTAAAATTTAAATTTGGTAGCAACTAAAAAACAAAAAAACACCTAATATATTCTTGATTTCTAAAATCCTGCATATTTTTTCAATGTGGAAAAGAGCATATCATTAACTGGGGTAGTAGTAGACATTAAATAATTGTTTTCAGACAAACATAATTCCACAATACATCTTAAAACCTAGGGAGCCATGCCTGCCACCCAACACACACAACACTTATTTTTTCCTACATATTATATAAGAATGGAGTTCATTTTCCATTTCCCATTGGCATGCAAAGAGATCATTCCTAACAGCACGGGCTTTCCCAAGTGAGCTGCTCATGCCAAGGCACAGAACACACCTGTCAAGAAGAAAGGCCCAGCTGAAGCTGAAATATATGATTGTCTAGACTTTGCCCTGCCATATCATGTTCCTCAATCTGTTCATCCATAATCTCTTTTAGAAGGGTTTCTCTACCTTCTCATCATGGCAGCTTTGTTTAGTCTGAAATTCAATCACAGATGAATTAGGCTTTAGGAAACATTCCCATTCTAGTTTTGTAGTCACATCAGAAACCCTAGACCCCGTGTTAATTTTGTTACAGCTTTTAGTTCTCGCATTTCAATGTGAAATCACTTCCCCCTAGAGAATGCCACTGATACTGACAAGAAAGCACAACGGGCTGCCACACAACTCAATCGCCAATAACAACCTGGGAAACTCAACCCTCAGCAGACATTAGTAATCATGGGAAAAGAGCCAGAACTTTAATCACAATTCTTTCAAAAACAGTCAGGGATTTGGAAATGCTGTTATTCTAGGATATGACCCTACTACACTGCTTAATCAAAGCCATTGCCAGTACAAGAACTACCTGCAGATTTTAATAAAAACCAATTTCATAAAAGCCAGTGTGTCAGTATCATGCTGGACTCAATTTAGCAAAATTCCAAAACCCTTTTACATATATGCACCTTCTATAGATACAAATTTGTTTATGATATCACATACAACCTCTCTATTTGGAGTTGTATATTTTTACAAACATACACACACATACACTGCCATTTAGGCATGCAGTCACCCAACTGAGGTTATATAGTTAACAAAAGTACTGAAAAATACGAACCTGTAAAATTGGTGACCAGCTGGGTGGGCAGGTGCAGGATCTGGATTGGATTGCCTCCATGCCCCAGAGATGTTCTGGAGGCCTTCTTCAAAACAGAAATTTGGGATAGAGCATTTTCAGTGCCAAGCTGGCAACACACACACAGCCCCGATGTTCAGGAAGCCATGTGGCTTGACTTAACTCCACCAGTAGCTCTATTTTTGGGCAACATCCTGGTGAAATGGCAAAGGCCACAATTCACACCTTAAGATACAGCAGGTGCAACCACTGCTACTGTGGCTGGTGAGAGCACAGGGGAGCTGTTCTCTGTCATGATGGAGGAAAGAGAAGGAAGGCAGAAACTGCTAGCCCATCCTGTCTGCTCCACTCCCACTTCTAGGGGATTTCTCTTTTTCCAACTATGAAAGAAGTAGGGAAAGTAGCAGTGGGAAAGGAACATGAAGATGGGGAGGGAGAGGCTGGATTGAAATGTTTTATTTATTTATAAAGATCATGTCCACCAGGAAATGTGAATATAATGGTGGGACAGATGCATAACAATTCAGAGTGATTTATGGCCTATTAGAATTGAAGGGAATGAACTAATCCTTAATTTTTGAAAAATATGTATCTTCCTCCAAAAATATATATATAAATATATACACATACATGTACACACACATACATACATACATACAGGCCTCCAAAGATTTTCACTATATATTTCCACTAATAAACAGAAAGCTATGTCTCCAAATAAAAATAACAGGACTATCAGTAAGTATGCCAAGCCAAAGGACACCAATAAAACAACAAAATCCAGCATTTCAATGAATTAAAAAAGCAATCAGATTTTTACCCTTGAAAAAAACCCGATCACAAAGAGGTCTACGAAAAGAATATGCCAAACAACTTATTCCTCAATTTTTTAAAAAGCAGCATATAAACAAAGGGGAAGCTGGGCAACGCAGTGTACATCTGTTGCATTTCTAAGTACTCTTACAGGACAACCCAGGATTATTCCCTGGATAGGTGATTCACTGCAAACTTGCTTTCAAATGTACATTGACAGTATTTAATTACATACTTTCTTAGCATAATCTATACATAGTTGATACTGCTATAGAAGCTGAGAAAACAAGATAGACACTTCACACAAGTCAGTTCCTGTCTGACTAAAGGTTTGAAATGTTAAAAAATAAAAATAAAAATAAGCCAACAATGCTGTAAGCTAGAACTCTGCACCGGTTAGAGACATAGATACATATCTGTCCCACAAAAGGCCGCTGGGAATAAAGGGCAAAGATGGCAAGTTGTAAAGCTTATTTTCTTCTGAGTCAGACTTTATTTATTTATTTATTTATTTTGCTTTTCTTTTCTGAATTATGAATTCTTGGAACACAAGAGAGACCCATATGTAAATGTAAATGCTGAATTATTTTCTGAATGATTTTCTAATTATTTGGCGTTCTGGAAAATTTGCAACATCGATTCTCTCCATTAGTGCAAGTAATAGAGGGTACACTGCACCTAGGTGATTGGGAAAGTAGAAAACTACACCACTCTTATTTCACTGAAGAAGAAAATAGGTCTATGTAAATAATAGCTTATAATAACGTAGCTACTAAGTGTCCAAATTGCCTTTGCAATTATATTCTCCTCTGAGCCTCAAAGTATTATGAGGTAAAGCAAATATTACTGAAGCAACCAGTGAGAAAACCAAGATACCAAAAGGTGAAGCATCTTGCCCAAGATCCTCACAGATGGTTGGTGGTTGAAAATAAATAAAAGTGCTAGGCAATGCAAGCAACATTCAAAGACCTCAAAAGTCACGGGAGAGTGGCTTATGCCTGACTTATCTCAGCACTTCGGGAGGCCAAGGCCAACAGATTTCTTGAGGCCAGGAGTTCAAGAATCTCCTGGGCAACATGGTGAAACCCTGTCTCTACTAAAAATACAAAAAATTACACAGGCACAGTAGCACCCACCTGTAGTCCCAGCTACCTGGGAGGCTGAGGTGGGAGGATTACCTGAGCCAAGGAGGTTTAGGATGCAGTGAGCCATGACTGTACCACTGTACTCCAGCCTGGGAGACAGGAGTGAGACCCTGTCTCCCAAAAAAAAAAAAAAAAAAAAAAAATCAGAGATCTGTTCAATTTCTAATACTTGCTCCATAGTTAACATGTAGTGTGATATTTTGGAGTAATAATGTCAAGGTGGACATGAGTTTGTACTTTATAGAATAAGAATCACACCACTTTACCCACCAGAGATACCAAAAGAAATGAAATAGTAAATAAAAGGTATGCTCTGGACACAATATACTCCACACAATTTCAAAAAATAAAAGGTTTGGTCTCTGCTCATTTATCATCTCAGAAATGACGAATGTCCAGAAAAGGTCCATCTAGCTATGGAAATTATTGTCTGAAAGGCTAATTTGGTAACTGTCATCAAAGAGGCAATGATACATCATATTCAGCAAAGTATATCACATGAAGATTACACAGTATGGTCATCTTCTGTTAAACAGCCATTAGAGAAGTCCTATTTCTGGCAGAGGCAGGGTTAAGGGGAAGGCTGAGAAAAGGATGATAAAGTGAAAGAAGTAGAGAAATACAGGAATATAAAGAAAGAAGAAGACAGTAGCATTCAGCAAGGACATTATGACAAAAAGATAATGCCCAGCTGTATTCATCTTGGAAATTTGTTTCTTCTGAAATCAGGAGATACTAAGAAGCCTTTTCATTTGTACACAGAGTCATGTCCTCTATTAAGAGATGAGGCTTTATAACAGTGCCAACCAATGGAACTATAACGTGGGTCACATATGTAATTCTTTATTTTCCAGTAGCCACATTAAAAAGGTAAAATGAAACAAGTGAAATTAGTTGCATTAATATTTTCATTTAACCTAATATAGCCAAAATATCATGCAAACAGGTAGTCACATTTTAAAACTGAGATATTTTATTCATACTAAAGTCTTTGAAATCCAGTTTGCATTTTATTTTATTTTAATTAATTAATTAATTAATTTAGTTATTGGAGATGGAGTCTCACTCTGTCGCCCAGGCTGGAATGCAGTGGCGCGATCTTGGCTCACTGCAACCTGTGCCTAGTGGGTTCAAGCAATTATCCTGCCTCAGCCTCCAGAGTAGCTGGGACTACAGGTGCCTGCCACCACGCCCAGCTAATTTTTTGTATTTTTTAGTAGAGACAAGGTTTCACCATGTTGGCCAGGCTGGTCACAAACTCCTGACCCCAGGTAATCCACCCGCTTCAGCCTCCCAGTGCTGGGATTACAGGTATGACCCACCACACCCGGCCCAGTTTGCATTTTATACTTAGAGTACAACCCAATTCAGATGTTAAATGTTCATCGGAAATACCTGATCTGTATTTAGATTTTATAAAATGTACAGTTGCAAAAGTAGACTCACATACCCTAGTTGTTCTAGACACAATTAAAAGTTTCCAAAAACTGAATCAAGTGTCAGTTTTTAATTTAAATTACATTTAAAATTTGGTTCCTCAGTTGCATTAGCCACATTTTAAGAACTCAATACCTTCAGGTGACTTGTGGCTGCTATGCCAGACAGGACAGCCACATACAATAAGTTCTGCAGTCTCTAGAACATCAGACATCATTCTGCTGATATTGGCACAGCTTTCAAAAGGACAAAGGGAGATAAACAAAGTCCAAATACTAAGTAATTGATCATCTGTTCACTAACATAATTAACTCAGGTGATTAGATGAGGGTGCAGCAGAAACTGTTAGCTGTGGCCAATAATTATTCTCCCCTGATTTTTTCTCAGAATTAAGACTACACTTCTGGCCCTCCCTTGTAGTTAGGTAAGGCTTTTGTCCTGTGAGACATAAGCAGAAGTGTTACGTGGTAGCTTCTTAGAATATTCCTGACATGATAGCTGGTATAAGCCTTTTGTCTCCATTAGGGTGGTGCAAAAAGTAATTGAGGTTTTTGTCATCACTTTTTTTTTTCTTTATTTGAGACAGAGTGTTGCTCTTATTGCCCAGGCTGGAGTAATGGCGCCATCTCGGATCCTGGGAGGCGGAAGCCTCCCAGGTTCAAGCAATTCTCCTGCCTCAGCCTCCAGAGTAGCTGGGATTGATTACAGGTGCCCGCCGCCAACATGCCTGGCTAATTTTTTGTATTTTTAGTAGAGATGGGGTTTCATCATGTTGGCCAGACTGATCTCGAACTCCTGGCCTCAGATGATCTGCCCACCTCAGCCTCCCAAAGTGCTGGGATTACAGGTGTGATGACATCACTTTTAATGGCAAGAACCGCAATTAGTTTTGCACTAACCTAAATACTGTGTTCCTTTCTCCATTCAGTAGCTGCAACGGCCACCATTTTGGACCACTGTATAGCCGAAGAATGATCTAGAAGAAGCCTAACTTTCCAAGGATTCGGGGTTTTTTTTTTGGGTTTTTTTTTTTTTTTTTTTTTGAAACAGAGTTTCGCTCTTCTTGCCCAGGCTGGAGTGCAATGGTGCGATCTCAGCTCACCGCAATCTCCGCCTCCTGGGTTCAAGCGATTCTCCTGCCTCAGCCTGCCGAGCAGCTGGGATTAAAGGCATGTGCCACCATGCCTGGCTTATTTTGTATTTTTAGTAGAGACGGGGTTTCTCCATGTTGGTTCAGGCTGGTCTGGATCTCCTAATCTTAGGTGATCCACCCGCCTCGGCCTCCCAAAGTGCTGGGATTACAGGCGTGAGACACCACGCCCAGCCTCCAAGGATTCTATGCAAGAAGGCTGTCATATCAGCCCTGAACTACACCTGACTTGTAAGTAAGAAAGGGAAAGGTCCATCTTGTAGAGGCCGTTGTTTAGGTCTTTGCTACTTGCAGCAGAATCTAATCCACACCAATAAAGGTGAGGAGGGGGGCTGCTCCAGTGACATGAATTATCTCTGCACTATTCACCAAACTTGATCTGGACAATCTGGCTGGCTGAGGGGATATTCCACATATACTGAAGACGACAAACTAAAAATTTGGCTGTCAACCTAGATTCATATCCTCCCTGATTGCTTCCTCTAAAAAGAACCCTGATTGTATTCTTCTGGATAGCTGGATGCTTCATGGGAGGCCGACCCGAAGTCCTTGGCCATAAATAGATACAAGCAAGGTCTACAATTCAGGCTAATGAGACGTAGGGTCTTCCCGTAAAGGCTCACTTGCTTTATAAAGGAGAGTGAGAAAGAGATGAGCCTTTGCTGGCTCTGAACGTCTTGAGTGGATTTTATAGCTATGAGAGCTATGATGCTGGGCACACTAGTGCCCATCCTGGAACCAAGCTGAAGATGAAGTTTGTACTTGGAAAAGGGAAAAACCATGATATTGGCAGGGAAATGAAGCTGGAACCCACCACCTATGATGTAACTAAAGCTCACCCTATTTGAGAGACATCTTGTTGCACTTATGGGGGAGCCACATTATTGGGGGGAAGAGTGAATTTCTCTACAAAAACATTTCATTCTTTTACCAAGCTCCAAACACAACAAACAAACGATTATAAACAAACAAAAATACATAGCTGAGTTATGGAAACAGAGGATAAAGAACGGGAGTTTAAAGCAGGAAAATCTAATTTTAAGTAGTTCTATTAATTCATTTTGCAAATATGAACAATTCTATGCACATTTTCCCTAGTTGTAAAACAAAGTTAGCCTATTTTTGTCTTTTCTCCAAAATGAGGCAGCACATTATGAAACATAAAGAAACAGCCAGAAATCACACAAATTCTCAAAAATCCATGGAACATTTTCTTTTTCCAATGTGAAATAAAATAACCAAATAGAGTTTTCACTAAATAGCAACAAAGAAATCTAGATTAGGTCAAGGATTGAGACACCAAAGAAATGCACCATTTAGGCTGTGAAATGAGAGAAAGAAATTACACAGATGAAATGCATATGAAGACAAGGGCGGAAGCGGAAAACATGTGAATAGCATCATACAAAGATAGCATGTTGGAGCAAAGCAAATGGGAGTGTGGGGAAAAGGTGGGGCTGGTTGGGAGCTACACTTAGCCAGGACAAAGACAGGCAGACAGGGGTGCCAGAATCTGGTATTTGGCTCTGTAGGAGAATCCAGAGAAGACAGAGGCAAGGTGGGTAGATACAGGCGGAGATACTAGAATCTGAGCCTTTCCATCAGCTTCTTAGAAAACCTCTAAGAGTAGAGATATTTGGTGAGAAGACAGTGCGAGGTATAGGAAGGAACTTCTTGTTGCTAGGAGTGAAAATTTTAGAATGAGAAAGACTGAAGTTTAAAAAAATAATTCTGCCACTGACTAATTATGTGACCTTGCACTGATTTCTAAACCTCTCTGATCACTATTTTCCATATCAGTAAAATGGGGATAAGGGGAGTTATAGCTCATAAGGCTATAACAAGGATTAAATGAGATCATGCACATAAAGTGCTCAGCACAATGCCTGACACATAGAAAGAACTAAAAAATGTTTTTCTGACATACAAACACACAAAACAAAATAAGCACATCAGAAATAATTCATCCCATAAAAGCAGATGCTAATCTAATGAAGTATGCAAAATAGACATTTGTGGGAAAAGTCTTAAGAATAGCATATGCAATAAAAGCAAATTATTTATAGAAACTAAAGATCTCATAGCAAGGGACAAAAGACAGGGGAAAGGTAGAGACAGACTTTCTAGGTTGTAGGACCAAGAACTTTGTTCACTACTTCTGGGAGTATCATCAGCATTTGACACATACTATTGATCACCTCCCTTCTTCTCTTGGCCTCCAGGATACCACTTGCTCTGATTCTCCTGCATGTTCCTGCACAGTCTTCTGGGTTCCATCCTCCTTCTCTTCCTTTCCTCGATGGGGAAAAAAGTTCTCTCTGATTTCATCCACCTACTCTCCCCATTACCTACACTCCTCCATCCACACTGGTTTCCTTGCTAGTCCTCAACAACTTCCTCCACCCCTGCCTCTATATTTGCATGGTTCTTTGACTTCCTTCAGTTCCTGCTCAAACCTCACCTTATCAGGGAAGCATTCCCTGACCATTGGATCTGAAATAGCAACTGACACCTACTACCATCATTACTCTGTCCCCTCAACTGCTTCATTTTTATCATTATACTTCCCATAATCAGATCTGCTTATTAATTTATTTTTTACTTTTTTATTCCGGCAGGCTCTTGAGCCAGAGTAGGCTTAAAAAGACTCAAACTTGGCCGGGAGCACTGGTACATGCCTGTAATCCCAGCACTCTGGGAGGCCGAGGCAGGTGGATCACGAGGTCAAGAGATTGAGACCATCCTTGCCAACATGGTGAAACCCCATCTCTACTAAAAATACAAAAATTAGCTGGGCGTGGTGGCATGCACCTGTAGTCCCAGCTACTTGGGAGGCTGAGGCAGGAGAATCGCTTGAACCAGGAGGCGGAGATTGCAGTGAGCCAAGATCACGCCATCGCACTCCAGCCTGGTGAAAGAGCGAGACTCCGTCTCAAAAAAAAAAAAAAAAAAAAGACTCAAGCTTATGTATTTCTTGTCTCATCAACTCTCCATAACAAATGTAACCTCCATGAAAGCAGAGACCTTGTGTGTTTTATTCAGGGCCTATACCCCTTGCCCAAAGCACTGTTTAGCACATGGTAGGATCTCAATAATATTTGCCAAAGGAAAAGAAGAGAGAAAGGTCTTCAAATGAAAATATTATTCATTCTTTTTTTACTCTATCTCTCATTATCTGATTTTATTTTCTTCCAGTTACTTTTTAGCCACTGTCTCTCTAATATACAAAGACTCACACATCAACTCTCTTTTTGGTTAATGGGAAGCAACAGATACTTTGCATCAAAGTGGTTCACATTTAAGGGTTCTGACAATTCTTAGATTCTAAGATTACTGTCTCAGTTCATCTTAACACAGTTTTGCCTCAATAACACTCAGAATGGTCAATATGACTATCTCAGTTTGAGGATAGTCTCTTTAATTGCTTCAATTTTACTTGTTAGAAGAACATTACTTTAATCTACAGCTAGGCACAGGCATTTTTTTGATAAATTCATTCTTTAAAAATAATTAAACTTTCCACATTGTCACATAACTACATAAAATGTGTGTTCCAATACAAAACTCTTGTTTTAATATTTAATCAGAATAAAACACAAAACTGGTCTACTTCTGTTTGCTTAATAATTTTGCATATTATTCTTAAGAATGTTATCTATTTTACTATATTTGCTCAAAATATGCTTGCTCATCTATTATAGAAACACTCTTCCAAAAATGTAGAAAAGCAAGGTGCAGGAGTTGTGACAAGTGGAGGAAAGGATTATCTTTGAAAGCCTTTTGATGTGTGGGAAATGGAACTGAAAAGGAATCTAGAATCAGGAGAGAGTTCTATAATTCAAGAGCTTTCATCCATAAACATCCCCTATGATAATTCACCATATAGATCTGACAACTGAACTTCATCAGTTATTCTTGTCAATCCAGACTCCCCAAAACACATTGATTCCCATTTTATAATCGCACACGTTATAATTACACATTAGTGATTCAGGGAGCAAGATGGCCTGTGGCTTAAAGATTTCTAGCTGGATTCTGCTAGACTCTGAAGGTTATGCCTGCTGGGTAAGGATTACTGGAGTTAATTTCAGATAGTGAACAAGAGATACCAAGAACTAATGAAGAAACGTCAGACTCCACAACCAAAACAAGGAAGCAGCATCTCCAATCTTGCCTTAACAAACCTCTTCTTGCTGATATGTGATTCATTCTCCTGTTTCACTTGTAAAAACAAAATGAAATAGCATCACAGTGCTTACTATGGTACAGAATTGACAACTGTTCATACCACTTTTGCTCTCCAATCTTTCACAAAAAAATCAAGAATGACAAGAAATACTGACACCAAAACAAAAGACTTGCCTAATTTTGAAAGTATAAGCTTTAATATCTACCAATTTAGGCCAGGCACGGTGGCTCATGCCTGTAATCCCAGGATGTTGGGAGGCCAAGGTGGGCAGATAACTTGAGGTCAGGAGTTTGAGATCAGCCTGGCCAACATGGTGAAACCCAGTTTCTACTAAAAATACAAAAAGTAGCTGGGCATGGGCCAAGCGCAGTGGCTCATGCCTGTAATCCCAGCACTTTGGGAGGCCAAAGCGGGTGGATCATGAGGTCAGGAGATCGAGACCATCCTGGCTAACATGGTGAAACCCCGTCTCTAATAAAAATACAAAAATTAGCTGGGCATGGTGGTGCGTGGCTGTAATCCCAGCTACTCGGGAGGGTAAGGCAGGAGAATCGCTTGAACCCAGGAGTCGGAGGTTGCAGTGAGCTGAGATCATGCCACTACACTCCAGCCTAGCGACAGAGTGAGACTCCACGTCAAAAACAAAAAAATAGCCGGGTATGGTGGCACACGCCTGTAATTCCTGCTACTCAAGAGGCTGAGGCACTTGAATCACTTGAACCCAGGAGGCAGAGGTGGCAGTGAGCCGAGATTGCACCACTGCAGTCCAGCCTGGGTAACAGAGTGAAATTTGTCTCAAAAATAAAATTTAAAAAAATTAATAACTACCAATTTAGTTGCTGGGTAGATCTTTCTAGGACTCTCCAGATATTCCCAGGTATAAACATTTCTCTATGCACTAAAGTAGCCAAATGGAAATGTTTTCCATATTGTGGGAGGCCAAGGCAGGAGGATTGCTTGAGCCCAGGAATTCAAGACCAGCCTAGGCAACATGGCAAGACCCCATCTATACAGAAATTTTTTTAAAAAATTCACTGGATGTGGCGGCACACACCTGTAGTCCCAACTTCCCATGGGGCCGAACCAGGAAGATCACTTGAGCACAGGAGTTTGAAGCTACAGTAAGCTCTGATCATGTCACTGCACTCCAGTCTGGGCAAGAGAGCAAAGACTCTGTCTCAAAAAAACAAGAAAAAAGAAAAGAAATGCCTGCAAAGAACTCAAGTGCAGATTTTGTCACATGTTGGCATACTTTTCTTTAGCCAAAGAATAATCCCAGGAGGTGAATTTTAGAGTACTGAGTGGAAAAAAATTCAAAAACTGTTTAGCTCAGCAGATTCAAAGGGCACTCTCAGGATCACAGCACACATCACTGCTCCATGTGTATCTACCTGTATCCACCTTGTTGCCACAGCACAGAGAAAATGAAAGTGTTTTTAATTGATTCCCCAACCTACATGCATTCGTTCCACAAACCCAAGTGTCACCTTTTACAGAGCGGTCCCTTCTGACCAGCAGTGCACAGACCTGAAGAAACTCACTTCTGCAGAAAAACTGTTAGTCTCAACAAATTCATATCGGCCACTTAGATCCAAAGATGTATTCTTTACAAAAAATATACAGAGTGCAAAATGAAAGAAAAGAGACAGTGTTGCTAGAAAATACACACACACACACACACACACACACGCACACACACACACACACACACCAGATCTTTAAAAAGTTCACAGAAAATGCATATGAAAAAACTATGCATGGGTTTCAAACATTTTTGTATCAAAATAAGCTTGCTATAGCATGCCTGAACAGGATCTAGTTTGAGGCACTAAAAAGGATAAAACATCAGTTTGAAAAGAGCCTCTAACAGGGCAACATGAATTCTGTTAAAATTGAGGCAAGAACGAACATCAAAATTATGGTGAAGGCTGGGGTGCCAAGGCTCACCCTGTAATCAGCAGCACTTTGGGAGGCTGAAGTGGGAAGACAGTTTGAGTCCAGGAGTTTGAGGCCAGCATGGGGAAAATAGTGAGATTCCATCTCCAAAAAAAATTTTAAAAATTAGCCAGGTGTGGTGGTACATGCCTATACTCTCAGCAACTCGGGAGATGCTGCAATTGAAATAGGATAGTTCCCTTGGCCCTTTTGTGGGACTCCGGAAGAGGGTGGCTTCTTTACTCAGCCCACAGCCCTCAACCCCTCACAGGAAGGGGAGCACACAGGTCAGCAGGTGCAGGGGCTGGGGCAAGTGCCTTTGGGCACCAGCAGGGCTGAGCCCTGTATCAGCCATGTAGCAGTGTCTAGGGAGGTCCCTGCCCATGATCTGTGATGCCCCAGAGGGAATGTTATACTGTGCCCTCTTAGCTTTGCTGTCCATCGATGGCTAAGTGTTTAACAGCTCAGTGTGACAGCCCTCTGTATCCCAAGGTCTCGTTTGGCATCCAGGAAGAATCAAGTCACAGGAATGAATTGAAGATGGTAGATGCAAGGGATTTTATTACTGACGAAAGTGGCTCTCAGAGGGATGGAGAGCTGGAAAGAGGATGCAGTGGAAAGGTGGTCTTCCCCAGAGGTTCGGCCATCCCCAGCCAAACTCTTCCCCGAAGTCCCGCCATCAAGCCGTCCCTCTGAAGTCAAGCTGCTTCTCCCCGACATATGGTTGCTTCTTCTCTTCTCTCCTTCTCTGCCACTCTGCCCTGCTCCTCTGCCAGTGGAGCCTGGGGTTTTTATGGGTACAGGATGGGGCAGAGCAGGCTAGGGTAATTTTAGAAAGGGCAGCATTTGGATGAGAAAACAGGACTTTGGGCTGCAGGTTCAGGCTTGAGGGTGGAGCCTTTGCCAGGGACCCTGCCGTTTTCTACCCAGTATTTCCCTGCCTCCTGTCCATATCAAAAGGAGCTATGATTGTTACACTGCACTCCATCCTAGGTGTCAAGGTGAGACCCTACCTCTAAAATAAAAATACTAATTAATTTAAAAAATAGAAAAAAAATATAGTGAAGCTTGGGTGGAAGAGTGGTGAAATTGATAGACACAGGAGGCAGAGAAAGGAACCTGCACAAGGTCTTGCCTGAGCATGCCCACAACGGACCAGGGGCCTGCATGTGCACTGGGAAAATGGAGTGGAGACATCGGAAATTCGAGACTTAGACAAGGAGAGGAGCCAGGGGTCTTCAGCTTGTGTGTGGTGGCCTGGTATTCAATCTGTGAGGTGGGAGCCTATTAGCAGGAACCCCCTCTTTTCTGCTGACAGATTGCTTTTAATAAATTCCGCTCTCCTCACCTTTAAATGTGTTCGCATGCCTAATTTTTTCTGGTCGTGAGACAATAACTTGGATTTTAGCTGAACTAAGGAATAAAAAATCCTGCATCAAAATTATTGATTCTTTATGTAAAGATGATGGAGATAATGTCCCAAAGAAATCAGCAGTTTATAAATAGATGACTTGTTTTCAGAAGGGAAAAGACAATCTTGAGGATGATGCCTACGGCAGCAGACCATCCCCATCCATTTGTGAGGAAAAACTCAATCTTGTTCATGCCCTAATTAAAGAGGGCCGACAATGAACAGCACACACAATAGCCAACATCGTAGACATCCCATCTGGTTCAGCTTACCTACACTCCTGACTGGAAAATTAAAGTTGAGCAAACTTTCTACTCTGCATGGCAAAACTGTTGTGCTCCGATCTGCTGCAGACAAGAGCAGAGCTTTCAATGGAAATTTTAAACAAGAATAATCAAGATCCTGAAGCACTTCTCTGAAGAACTGTAGCAGGAGACAGGACATGGCTTTACCAGTGTGATCCTGAAGACAAAGCACAAAGCAATGCCTCCCAAGAGGTGGAAGGGGTTCAGTAAAAGCAAAAATGGACAGGTGAAGAGCACAGGTCATAGCAACAGTTTTTTGAGATGCTCAGGGCATTCTCCTCATCAGCTTTCTAGAGGGCCAAAGAACGATACCATCTGCTTATTATGACAGAGTTTTGAGAAAGTTAGCCAAACTTTTAGCAGAAAAATGTCCAGGTAATCTTGAAAAATCTTTAAAGGCCACCCATTTTTCTTCAGTTAGTAATGTAAAAAAGATGGCACTGACACGGTTAGGTTCCCAGTACCCTCAGTTCTTTAGGGAAGGACTAAATGGCTGATACCATCACTTATAAAAGTGTCCTGACCTTGATGGAGCTTATGTTGAGAAATAAAGTTTATATTTTTATTTTGTATCTTTTAATTCCTTTTATCCATGACCTTTTGAAGTCCCCTTTGTGTGTGTATACACATACACACACACACACATATGTGCACACACACATATACATACACACACACATATACACACATATATATACACATACATATATACACACACACACACTTTTTTGAGACTGAGTTTCACTCTTGTCGCCCAGTCTGGCATGCAATGGTGGGATCTTGGCTCACTACAACCTCCAGCTCCTGGGTTCAAGCGATTCTCGTGCTTCAGCCTCCTGAGTAGGAGTCACCATGCCCAGCTAATTTTTGTATTTTTAGTAGAGACAGGGTTTTACCATGTTGGCCAGGCTGGTCTTGAACTCCTGACCTCAGGTAATCTGCCCGCCACCACCTCCCAAAGTGCTGCGATTACAGGCATGAGCCACCACACCCGGCCATATATTTAATTATTAGTTAAAACAGAATTACACCCAAAAAGCTGAAAAGAAGGCCAAAAAGTGGTAAGTCTTCATTTCCCTTTTATTTGGACATCACATTTTTATAGAGCAAATAGAGAATAGTGGCAAAAAAAATCTGCTAGTATTTTTCTTAATGGTAAGCAAATTATTAACCACTAAACAGAAAACCACAAATAAGCAAACCATAAATACTGAAACAAAAAGCATTTGGTTTGTATTTAGGATATCATTTAATATTTTTAAAGGGTGAAATGGGAAACCCTGGGGAGAAAGAAGGGAGGAAAGAAAATCATTCATTTTGTGTCCATGGTATTTAATTCCTTTTTTGGAATGAACTGAGAATCTGGGTCTCATGAATCTAAATGCTGCCACATGGCCCAGTTCCTAATGATTGGTCTATTACACTATAGTTGAATTTATTTGAACAATTAAATGGCTTGTCCAAAACAGAAGGCATTCCTGCCTTCCAGTAGATAAAATACACAATTTCCCTTAGGGAATGAATATAGGGCAAGAATACAAAGAAGTATGTCTAACAATAGTAAAAATGTCAGGAAACAGAAAATGTCAAATCCTCAAGGGAAAAACAAACTCAAACTTTGCTTAGAGCTCAGGCACCATGTTTTTTGTGATGAAATTACAGTCTATAGTCTCCCCTAAGGGGAAAAAAAAACCTGCTAGAACTAATCAAAGTGTAGTGTTTGGTGAATTTTTTTTCTTTTTGCAAAGTTCAAAACAAAAGCAATAGCAACAACATAGCTTTCATGTCATCATTGGCAGGAAATTTAACTCTTCTCTGGATAACTTCTTTGGAAAAAAACTGAACCAGAAATGAGAGTTTCACATCCTGAGTTCTTCTTTCTAATTCCAATTTCCTGCCTGGTATGCTAGAAGCTAAAACAAATCTGGAGGACAAATTTAACTGTTAATTACATATTCAAGCCATCTGATTTTGCTGATAGGTTCAAACAATGATGTTAAAACTTGGGCATTTTCCATGATTTTTGCTCAATCTGACATGCAAACACCTTTTATAAAAGACAAATGATGTGAATAAAATTGGCTGCTAACTCCCCACCTGTCCAAGGCCCGTCTAGTTTAGTTTGACTCTGAGCACTGGAGCTTCAGTTAGTTCTGAGATCAAGCAATTTCTCCCCATAGTTCCAGTTTTCATTATGAAACTCAAAGACACTAACATCCTCATTCAAAATCTCCAAAGGGCAATTAATAATGCCTGGTAGAGGCAGGTAGTCTTTATTCTTCTCGTTTTCATTTTGCAAGTGTCTGGACTAATAAAAACTGGACAAAACAAGTATTAAATATTTAACTTTCATAGAATTCCACCAGTCTCTTCCTAGATGTGAAGGTCTTGCCTCTTCCATTATTTCCTGTTCTATTTTGATACCTTACCAATTCCTTGTCACTACACTTCTACTGCAATAAAAATGGGATCAGGGCCAGGCATGGTGGCTCACTGCTGTAATCCCAGCACTTCTGGAGGCCGAGGCAGGTGGACCACTCGAGGTCAGGAGTTTGAGACCAGCCTGGCCAATATGATGAAATCCTGTCTCTACTAAAAATACAAAAAAAATTAGCCAGGCATGGTGGCGTGCACTTGTAATCCCAGCTATTCAGGAGGCTGAGGCAGGAGAATCACTTGAACCCGGGAGGCAGAGGTTGCAGTGAGCCGAGATCGCACCATTACACTCCAGCCTGGGTGACGGAGTGAGACTCTGCCTCAAAAAACAAACAAAAAAAATGGGATAAGGAATACAAAGAGCCCATAACAGAGGTGAGGGCACAGCTGACAGAATGAGTATATCTAGATAAACAACAGCATGTCAAAGACTGTGTACTATGAGTATGTCATGTGTTTCCCAATTTCTGAAGAGAAAACTTCTGAGAGGCCTTTCCCATTCAATCTGTCTATTCAACCCAGCAATCCCATTATTGGGTATATACCCGAAAGAATATAAATCATTCCACCATAAAGATACATGCACATGTATGGTCATCACAGCACTATTCACAAAAGCAAAGACATTCCTGGAATCAACCTAAATGTCCATCAATGGTAGACTGGATAAAGAAGATGTGGTACATATACACGACCATGGAATACTATGCAGCCATTAAAAATAAAAAAAGTAAGATCACATCCTTTGTAGCAACATGGATGGAGCTGGAGGTCATTATCCTAGTAATGGAGGACATTATCCTAAGTAAACTAACACAGGAACAGAAAACCGAATACTGCATGACCTCACTTGTAAATGGGAGCTAAACACTAAGCACACATGGAGACAAGGAAGGGAACAACAGACACCAGGGCCTGCTTGAGGGTGGAGGAAAGGAGGAAGGTGAAGATCATCAAACCACCTATCAGGTACTATATTTATTACCTAGGTGGAGAAATAATCTGCACATGAAACACCCATGACACACAATTTACCTATCTAACAAACCTGTATATGTACCCCTGAATCTAAAATTTAAAAAAATAAAATTTCAGCCATCCCTCTTGATACTTCATGCCTGCCTTTCCTCCTTTTTCTCCTTAGCACTTACCATTATTAAAACTGTATATATTTCTAGACCAGCTGTGGTGGTTCACACGTGTAATCCCAGCACTCTGGGAGGCCGAGGCAGGCAGATCACTTGAGGTCAGGAGTTCGAGACCAGCCTGGCCAACATGGTGAAACACTGTCTCTAATAAAAATACAAAAAATTAGCTGGGTGTGGTGGTGCATGCCTGTAGTCCCAGCTAAAAGGGAGGCAGAGGCAGAAGAATCACTTGAACCTGGGAGGCAGAGGTTACAGTGAGCTGAGATCGCACCACTGCACTCCAGCCTGGGTGACAGAACAAAAATCTGTCTCAGAAAAAGAAAAGTATGTATTTCTTATCATTTATCTCCTCTTCTAGAACATAAGCTCCATACTGACAGCTACTTTTTTTTTTTTCTAAGACAGGGTCTCACTCTGTCACCTAGGCTGGTGTACAGTGGTGTGGTCACAGCTCACTGCAGTGTCAATCTTCCAGGCTCAAGTGATCCTTCCACCCAGCCTTCCGAGTAACTGGGACCACAGGTGTGCGCCACCACCCCTGGCCAATGACAGTGATTCTTGTTCATTTTGTTCACTGCTGTATCACCACTGCCCAGAGTAATGCCAAAGTAAATACTTCTTAAATGAATAAATACATGAATGAGAGTGCACAAAAGGGACCGAGATCAGAAAAAGTAACCATGTGCTATACACTTCATTTTATTAATTTAACCTACACATGGTCTAGTTTACACATAAGAAACCTAAAGTTTAGGAAAGTCCGTCACTTGAAGTTACACAGATAACACAAGGATTTGCAGAAAGCTTTATAAAATACCACACTGCTTCCTCTTCGAAGAGGAAATGAGACTTGAATTATTGCATTTGACCTTTGCATGTGTGAGGAGTAAAGAAAGTAATGGAAACAGCATTTTAAAAGGCAGACATAAAAATTCAGGAAAATTGAATATCACAGAATGACAGAAGCCTAAGATTTATGCTGAGATTTACATTCAAAAAAATAAATTAGATAGGGAGAGACTCCAAAGAGCCTTGAATGCCAGGATCTGTATTTTTATAAACGAATACTTTCAAACTTTTTTTTCACAGAACTCTTGTCAGTGGAAATCTTATATGGAACTCTGATATATTACAGAGATAAAAGTCTGGACCAGGCACGGTGGCTCACGCCTGTAATCCCAGCACGGGAGGCCAAGACGGGCAGATCGCCTGAGGTCAGGAGTTCGAGACCAGCCTGGCCAACATGGCAAAACCCCATCTCTACTAGAAATACAAAAATTAGCTGGGTGTGATAGAGCGTATCTGTAATCCCAGCCACTCTGGAGGCTGAGGCAGGAGAGTCACTTGAACCCGGGAGGCAGAGGCTTCGGTAAGCTAAGATCACACCACTGCACTCCAGCCTGGGCAACAGAGCGAGACTCTGTCTCAAAAAAAAAAACAAAAAAAAAACTGAAATACGTAAAAAACAAAGGCCTGAAAAATAGTGACACAAGTGGGAAAAAATAAGAAAGGGCAGATCTAAAAGGTACTGCACAGGAAAAAAGCAAAATAATTTGATGAGAGATGACGCAAAGTTAATTGTCAGAGAAGACTCCCAACTCTGGCTTCCAACTACATTGAGAATGATGCAATCTTGAGTGAATAAGACAATTTAGTAAGAAAAGGGTTTTGGGCAGATAATGATGACTATCTCCTCCACCTTCAAAATCCCTCACCTGCAGGGGTCCCCAAGATTCTGTTCTCAAGTCTTTGCTATTCTTACTGTATCTCTGATCAAATACACAATCATGATGTCAACTCAATTAAAACCTGAATGCTAATGATACTCAAAGCCATGTGTGGCCCAGACCTCTCTCCCAAACTCCAGATTTCACCTAAACAGCCCATATATCCCAAATTCAACAAGTTCAAATCCAAATCTGAGCTCTTGTTCCCTACATCCTGCCCTTCTTCCACCAAAGTTAAACCTCCAGCATGCAATTTTCTGAGCCATAGTCATCTCGCACTCCTCCTTGTCCTTTATAACCCTTCTTCTTCCCCGACCCACACAGTCACTATCCTCCAGACACAGCCACAGTTCGTTATCTCTAACTAAAGCAACCACAATCACCTCATAGACACCCTGTCTCCTTGCCTTGGCTTACCAAATTTACCTTCAGACCTCCTAACATCTCATCATACCAATCCTCTGCTTAAAATCCATCATCAGCTTTATCATTTCTTCCTCCACTTAAAATCTTTCAGTCTATCTCTGCCTTCAGGATAATGGTGATATTCCTTAGTATGGCATTCAAGGCCTTTCAAAAATCAGGCCTTTCCCCATCTCTCCCTTCAGCTGCACCTCTCACTTTTTTTTCTCCTAGACATGCCACTGAATGAACTGGTTGCTTTCCTCTAAATACAACTGGTTCTTTCAAATTTTAGAAGCTTCATATATGATAATCCATTTGCTTGGCATTCTCTATCTAGTACATCTGGCTAACTCTTACCCAGTACTCTGAGATTCAGCTCAAGAGTTCTTTCTCCTGCAAAATCTTGCCTGCACCTCTCAAGTGCCCTTCTATGTTCCCAGAGCATCCTGAACAGCATTTCAGTCCCTGGGGTGCCACCATTACTTCTTTACGTAACTGTCCTCCAGCTAGACCAACATTCTTCAGTGCCCAGCACACAACAGGCTCTCAGTAAATGCTGAATGAATGCATAAAATAGTAGGCCACATAAGAGATTATCGGAGTAATATTAAGGAAGTGAGAAGAACAAGCTAGAGTGTAGGACTAGTGTTTAAAATCCAAGTTAACAGTTGAAACAGCCAAAAAAAGTAGGCAAGATCTCAAAGAAATAAAATGTAAATAAAGAAGAAGAGAGGCTGTTGGTGAGAATATGAAGAAACAAAGAAAAAAAACACACTCTAAAAGAAAAATATTGTAAAATTAGAACGGAGCAGTGGCTGTACAACTCAGTGAATATACTAAAACCACTAAATAGTATACTTTAAATGTGAAGCATGCATGGCATGTGAATTATTTCTCAAAAAGCTGTTAAACAACACTAAAGAATACGTAATACTGATGTTTCTTAACTTCTACATATACTGTTATTTCCCAAAGGATGCAATTCATCTGCAAAGAATGCAACTTTTCAAAACCCCCATGAACTCTTTTGTATTTCTTTAGACTCCATTTCTTTTTTCTGTTAACATGTTAATTATTGTTTGGAAAATTTCTGATTGCTTGAGAAACAGGGAAATTCTGGTCCTTGTGATTTGTTTCGGTTGCCATTTAAAATGTCTTTTTCTTAATTTTTTTATTTTTAATCATTAGCCCCATGATCATTATTCATATTTATACTAAAATGGCAAGGTATCTAATCATTTTGCACATGTAAACAACATTACGAAAAACTTTCATTTACACTTCACCTTATTTAAAATAAAAAAAAAAATAGAGCAATTGTGACCCCATAAGGACTACTGAAATGTCATTAGGTAAATTTTATTTGATTAATTATGTTTGAAAAACTGATTTTAACAACCCCGCAAAGCAGTCTCTTTTATCTTGGATATGGAGGTTTCAGTAACATCTATAAGGACACTTTAACAATTAGGCTTTGAAAAATAAAGAGCATTGTTTAAAAGTGCTGTTCTTCAGTAGACTGGATAAAGAAAATGTGGTCATATCCACCTTTGAATACTACACAGCCATAAGAAAGAACAAGATCATGTCCTCTGCAGCAACATGGATAGAACTGGAGGCCATTACCCTAGGTGGAACTAACACAGGAACAGAAAACCAAATACCACATTATGTTCTTGCTTATCAGTGGGAGCTAAACACTGAGTACATGTGGACAAAAAGAAGGGCCCAAGAGACACTGGGGCCTACTTGAGGGTAGAGGGAGGGAGGAAGGTACTATGGTTTGACTCTGTGTCCCCACACATATCTCATCTCAAACTGCAATCCCCACATGTCAGGGGAGGGGCCTGGTAGGGGGTGATTAAATCATGGGGGCAGATTTCTCCATGCTGTTCTCATGATAGTGACGGAGTTCTCACGAGACCTGATGGTTTGTTTAAAAGTGGCAGTTTCCCCTGCTCTCCTTCTCTCCTGCTGCCATGAAAAGACGTGCCTTCTTCGCCCTTTGCCTTCTGCCATGAGGCCTCAGTTTCCTGAGGCCTCTCCAGCCATGCAGAACTGTGAGTCAATTAAACCTTTTTCCTTTATAAATTACCCAGTCTCAGGTCATTCTTTTTTTTTTTTTTTTTTTTTTGAGACGGAGTCTCACTCTTTCGCCCAAGCTGGACTGCAGTGGCGCTATCCCGGCTCACTGCAAGCTCTGCCTCTTGGGTTCATGCCATTCTCCTGCCTCAGCCTCCCGAGTAGCTGGGATTACAGGCGCCCACCACCACGCCCGGCTAATTTTTTGTATTTTTAGTAGAGACGGGGTTTCACCGTGTTAGCCAGGATGGTCTCGATCTCCTGACCTCGTGATCCGCCCGCCTCGGCCTCCCAAAGTGCTGGGATTACAGGCGTGAGCCACCGCGCCCGGCCTCAGGTCATTCTTTATAGCACTGTGAAAACAAACTAATACAGAGGGTGAGGATGAAAAAGTACCTGTGGGTACTATGCTTATCATCTGAATGATGAAATTATCTGTACACCCGTGGCAAGCAATTTACCTATCTAGCAAACCTGTACATGTACCCGCGACCTAAAATAAAGGTTTAAAACAAGTGCTGTTCCTAACAACAGTAGAAGTCTTTGACTATGTCAGTCTCTTCAGCTGTCAAATAAGGTTCTCAGTGAATCATCTCATAGCTTCCAGCCAACTTCAAACTTCCATAATTCTGAGCCAGTGTTAATAAATCAGAGAACAGTTGGGGGGTCCAAACATTTTCTGATCCTGTATCAAAAGCAGCAGGAAACATAGGCCCAGTCTTCACAGGCCCAGTGTGTACCCTAAAGCAATATATTATACAACACGGAAAATGCATGCTCAAAGCAACACCAGCATGAGACTGCTTATACAGCACTCGGAAGGAAAGAGGCCTATGTTAGTTACTTCCTGAAAAGTTCCTCCCAGACTGGACATGTGTATTCATGTATCATACCTATATTGAACACCTATGACTTGCCAGGCACAATGACTTAGGCACTGCTGGTGCTATAAGGTTGAAAAACATATGGATAGTACAGTGTCTGACACGAATCCACATTCAGTAGCATTCACTAAATGGAAGTCACTACACTAAGATGCAGTACCTTAAAAGAGAAGCTCAAAAGAAAGGACAGTTATCTACACATATGTGCGGGAGGTATTAAAAAGCTTTCTTAGGAAGATTTTTAGAGGAATTTGAAACCTCATCTTGGATCTGATTCAATCAGTGTTAATCAATGTTTTAAGAGTCAAAGGGAAAATAAAGAAGGATTTTCAAGTTTACTTTACACCTCTCTGAATCGTTTGAATCTCTACAATACGCAACTTTTGTAACTTAAAAATCAATATATTAAACAGAAATGTAGGAGCGTTGGCGAGGTTGTAGAGAAATTGGAACCTATGGGCACTACTGTGAAAAAGTCAAATGCTGTAGTCGTATGGAAAACAGTAGGGAGATCCCTCAAAAAAATAAAAATAAAAATTACCATATGATCCAACAATTCCACTTCTGAGTAGATATCCAAAAGAATTAAAAGCAGGGTCTCAAAAAAATATTTGTATACCCATGTTCGTGGAGCAGCATTATTCACAAAAGCCAAAAGCTGAAAGCAACCCAAATAATGTACACGCCATGTAAGTCACACATTTAAGGTATATGTCCATCAATAGAAGAATGAATAAACAAAATGCGATGTATACATACTTTGGAATATTATGCAGCCTTAAAAAGTAAGGGAATTCTGACACATAGTGTCACATGGATAAACTTTGAGAACATTACGCTAAGTGAAATAAGCCAGTCACGAAAAGGCAAACACTGTATTATTTCACTTATATGAATCAATGGAGTCCAGTTCATAGAAAGTAATATTGTGGGCCGGGCGCAGTGGCTCACACCTGTAATCTCAGCACTTTGGGAGGCCAAGGCGGGCAGATCACAAGGTCAAGAGATCAAGACCATCCTGGCCATCCTGGCCAACATGGTGAAACCCCATCTCAACTAAAAATACAAAAAATTAGCTGGGCGTGGTGGCGCGTGCCTGTAGTCCCAGCTACTCAGGAGGCTGAAGCAGGAGGATCACTTGAACCCGGGAGGCGGAGGTTGCAGAGAGCTGAGATCATGCCACTGTACTCCAGCCTGGCGACAGAGTGAGACTCCATCTCAAGAAAAAAAAAAAAAAAAGTAAAGTTGTGATTATTAGGGTATTAGGGACTTGAGGAAGGGGAGAATGGGGAATTATTGTTTAATGGATATGGCTTCAGTTTTGTAAGATGAAAAAGAGTTCTGGAGACAGATGGTGGTGATGGTTGAACTACAATATGGATGGAGTTAGTAACACTGTACTGTACACTTTACACTTAAAAATTTTTTTAAGTCTAAAAGTCAATTGAAGCAACTAAATGAAACTCTAACTACATGATAAAGATAAATACTAGTGCTTAAAAACATTAGAGTATTTCAACACCAAAAGATATACATACTGTGTCCCTGTTTTAGTCTATACAAGAAGAGAATATTTTCTTATCAAAAGAAATGATGAATTATAAGAGTAAGCAAATTATTTACTCATGTCAGGTACTACATTTTCATTTCAGAGACAAAATGCCAATATATTATACACTATGCTAAAGTATCCCTTCACTGTTAGTCAAGTTTAAATGAAACTCTTTATGGATGGCTAGAGACCTAAAACTAAAGTATCAGTATACCATTAATATTTTAATTGACCATGAATATTCATAGTCATTTATTGCTTTAAAGAACAAGATAGGATAACTAAATTTTTCTACTATGCAAATTTCAGTTCTGACAGGACATCTTACCTTCATCTACATTACAAAAACCAATGAATTTTTGCATCCATTCATTATTTATGTAATTCTAGAGTTTTTCAAGTTAACAAGAGCTACCGAGCACAAGAAGCATTTTCTCAGATAGGGGCAGAGCAGTCGTGGCACTGCAAAGTCATTTTGCCCTAGCTACCTCAAAGAGTTGTATTTTATTTTTTCATGATTCCAGACTAATTTCAACACCACCTTAACACCTGTGCTTCAATACAAGCCCAGGAGAACAAGCAGAATGTAACACTATTAAAGATTTGTTTCTTTGCTTTTTCTTTCAATGCCCTGGGAAATTCTAGCTGTAACACTGCAAAGAACATTAAGAACTTTGACAGCTATGCCAACTGTTTTATAAAACTAATAGTGCATTACTTTAACTCTCAAGCATAAATACATTTATGCAAATTAATCGATAATCCTCTGAAGTGAGGCAAGTCTTTTTGATACAGCTGTACAAATAACCTGCTAATACAAGGAGCTTTCAAAAGTACATCACCATGTCAGGGTTATATATATTTTAAAATCATGTTATTATATTCAAGCTAGCCATAGTGATAAGAAATATAATGGCTGGAAATTCTACGATCACTCATATGAGATATAAAAATTTATCTTAAGATCCCAAAATCACATATGTGACTGGAGAACAAGAAGCTATATTTTTAGTCACCAAATAAATAATTAGCCATCTGGGAACTACACTCAAAATTTTGTAGCATTAAGTAAAGTGAAAAGAGTCTTCTTTTTATGTACCAAGGATAGTCAGGTACATTCATAAAAATCCCGATAAGTCTAAGATGAGAGGTGAAACTGATTTAAAAGGGATAAATAGGACCAAAAGGGGATACAGAATCATAATCTCCTCTTCCTGAAAAGCAATGTTGCAATCACATTACAAAAATACAACAATTTCAACAAATTAAGACAATAATATGGGTAATAATTCAAAGGTATGTTCAATTGGAAAACTATTTGCATCTATTTATTAGGGGGTTATTAAAAGAATCCCTATGCTATTCTGAAAATCTATCATCTTTACCATGCTGATTTGTCTGTGATAATGAACACTGACTTATATAATGTGACTGCGTTGGTATTTCATTACACAATAATGTCCTTCCAAATAAGCCAGATGGATCCATTTTGGTTTCTTTTCTGATTTTAACTTTTTTTTTGAAAGTCAGAAAAAGTGCATATGTCAAACAAAACTACCAGCTTCATTCACTCAGTTAATAAATATGTATTGAGCATTTTTTACATATATGACCTACGGAAAACAAATTTTATCTCTACAATTCTATTATTAAAACATGGATGACAACATTGATCATAATTGCTAAATTAGACTGCAAAGAGCATACCCTTGATATTTTACAGCCAACTCATCCAGACTGAGAATGTGATAGGAGGCAACATTAGAGCCAAAAGGACTGAACAAGGATGAGAGGATCTAGGTTCCTCTCCATACTCTGACTTAACTTGTTGTGTAATCTTAAACATGTAACTTAACTTTTGGGGACCTTAGTTATCTCTGCTATAAATCACATTAGATGCTATTTAAGAGATCTTCTAATTTGATAGTAATCATTGGAATAATTTGTAAAAATAGTTTCCTTAGAAATAGTTATTAGAAGAAAGAGAACGAAAATTGAGAGAGAGGTGATACAGGACATTGACACACAGTGGCATTTTTAGACTTTAAAAGTTTTTTATAAAGGAAAATATTACTAAATATTACTTACAAAGAAAATACAAATTTGTAACTTCAGAATATACTTGCAAGCTTCCTGAGGTCTGATGAATACATTAAATAGAGTGAATGTTTAAAGATAAGTAGAGGTAACACATTTTACTTTTCTAATCTACAATATTACCCAAAATTTAATAAAAGTCTGTTCCGGCCCTATCACTTTTATAATTCACTCTTAGATTGCGTCTATCATAACTCACACTGTGAAAGACTGCTATGTTGAAGCTTCTGTACCTACAAGTATGTGAGCATCTTCTTCTACTTAATAATAAATGAAAACAGACATCCAACCCCGGGCATATTATCTTTCTCACTCTCACTCACCTACCCACATACACACATGCAGTGAATAAGAGATCTGGAAAGCAAGAACAAACAAGTTAATTTAATCTTAAAACACATTACCCGATGAATTCATCTTAAAACAGATGAATTAATTGGCCCTAAATCTCGAGGAGTTCAGTAAAACTTGCCATGCACAGAAGGGCTGTCTGGGTGTAAAAGCCTCACAGTTACCTCTCCAATAGTACCCTGTAGACCAATATCCTCTATCTCCATGTTGGCAACAAGTCTTCATTGAGATGGTTTCACGGCTCCCATTGCTCACTTCTGATTGTTTCTTTTTCAACTGAGTGAGATCACATTTAGCAATAGCTAGGTGGTTATCTCTACCCCCTTGAGAAATCCGCTTTATAGATCTGGGATTATTGGGATCCTCTCCTTTGCTCATTTTGGTTTTGCTTGCTGTTACTAAATTGGCCATGTAAGAAAACGTTTTAAATAAATCAAATGCAACCGACAGATGCCCTCTATAAATGGGTTAAATAATTTTTTAAGTGTAGTAATATACTACATAATGCTAATTTGACTGTGACGGAGACAACAGATTAAAATGAAAGAAACAAGCCAACCAATCACTTTTCTTAAGGTGTGATCTGCCAATTATCTCAACCAACACAGATCCTAATATTATCATTCTAGGCCATATGTGTAATTCTCAGGCAAAAAATAAATCTTTTAACAAGTCTGTAAGAACTATTGGCACCCATTCATGCCAGCCTGCATTAACATCTTGAGAATTTTCTCTATTCCAAAAAATACATAACGGGGGTTGGGGGTAGAAGAGGTGGGAAAGAACCTAGCCATACATGTGATTTAGTTATAGGTCCAAAAAGATGTAAAGATCCAAGCAATTCTTTTTAAATTTGCTAATAGATAATAAGAAAAGTGCTGGCAGTGCTCAGCACTCATGAGCTGAAGGAGTAAGCGGAGGTCCAGAACACTTTCAATATTCACTGTGCCCATCTGTCAGCAACACAGTCACTGAAGAGAACGAGCAATTACCAAAGCCCTTTTCAGATATAATCTGTCAACCACATGTAGTCCTCCTGCCAAAAGAAATCAGAACTGAGGAATGCAAAAACAGACTGGCCTTATGGGACCAAGGAGAGGTTCATTTAAGATGAACCTGGAGATGAAGAAAAGAAAGGGGAAAATCAGAGAAATGTTATAACCACTCATCAGATATTTCTGAATTGTATACCACTGGGCATCAGGGAAGCCAGGGAGGAGAGAGGCACCACTATGATTTAAACCCTCTTTGCTTTGCTGTGCTTATTACAATGTTAATTTCAAGAAATGCTCTACTCATTACCAGAACTGGTTCTCTTCGGACAATGAACATGCCACATACCAGATGTGCTCCTCTCTAGAATTGTCCCATTACCCTATCCTACCATCATAGCAGAATTTTTAAATCAACAAACTATTTCAATTCAATAAATATATTAAATGTTTTCACCATCTAAAGCAGTATTGTATACGTTATAGGTCCACAATTATTTTTTAACTGGGTGGGGGACTATTTTAAAGTTAGTGTTCTAAAAATTACAAACCAATACCTCTCTTGTGCACTTTTTGATGGATTATGCCTTCTAGTCTAGAACTAAAATCTTATCACCACTATCACCACCATGGTAAATAAATGTGTGCTGAAGTATACAGTATATAGAATGAACCAGAAACAGGAGAGACAAGCATTAAGTGTACAGTAACTCAGGTTTCAGGTGATGAAGACTCGGACAATGTGGTAGCAATGAAATTAGGAAGCCACAAGGGGTAACTCTAAGCTAAGAAGGAAATGACGAGAAAAAATGAATACATTCTGACTTCTTTTGGGGAAAAAAAAATCAATTTAAAACTTCCATAGCTGTGAATTGAATGCATCTCTTTTCAACACGTGTGTATTATCATAATTATCTGATCCTGTGGAGCACATCACCAATACAGATAATATAAACGCATATGAAACAATCAGGTCATCTGTTTCACAAACAGTTTCATTTGTATTACAATATCCCATCCAAAAATTTGTTTGTAACAGGTTTGTCATCAACGCTGAAGATAAAGGACACTCTTAACCGTTAAGAGGTTTCAAATCTTCACCAAATAGCATCTCTGCAGGTGACAACTTTTCGGATGTATCTGGGTGCAACGGACAAAGTTATAATGAGAAAGATCATGAAGAGAAGAAGAGGAGAGTAGCCAGCATGAGGTGTAAGTATGATATTCACAAGAGTGAGAAAATTTACATTTCTGAGAAGCAATGGTCATGCTGACCACGAGCTTCATTCTTCATTCGTGTAAAGAACAGATACTTCAGGGTCAAGGCAGCTATCAGTGGTTGCAGCTCAGCAATCCTCTAGACAAAGTGACTGGCTTATACACACACAAAGTACGCTGACCTGAATTATCCTTTAGAGAAATATAACAATTTACCCAGTCCCAAAATCAGGGCAAGTAACAAATGTTTTATTCAGTGTCTATTAAGTAAAAAGAACAAGAGAAAATGTCTACCCTCAAGAAGCAAACCCCTTAGTGAAGAAGCTTATAATCTAGATTCAATCTAATTCATTCCCTAAATATCTAAGAAAGCAAGTAAGTGTGTGCATTTTGGTGTATGTGTAAACATGTATGTATATAGAGTTCATATTTATATAAATCATATATAATTATACATGAGTATATGATTATGCATGTATACATATACATGCATGTACACACATACGTGTGCACAAACATACACACACACTCTCTTTTCAAGAGCCAGAGCTACTTCTTATATATATTACACACTTTCTACTTACATCAGATATCAGTCATAAATAATTAATAATTACAAACTATTAATAAGCACAGCAACTTATTAGCAGTCTTACTTAATAACTCATGATATTAAGAAGCACTGTGAGAATACAAAATGTTTTAGATATACTAAATAATAACTGGAAAAAATAACATGTAACCAAAGGTATTTTAAGATTTCACAAAGCTGAAGAATCTCTCTACACAGTAGAAATACATGAAGTCCCCAACATTGTTAATTTGTACTTAACACAGGAACCTACAATGCTGACAGCAATGAATCAAACCGTAGGCTGGCAGTTAAAGACCTGGCTTGGCAAGGTGCAATGGCTCATGCCTCTAATCCCAGCACTTTGTGAGGCCAAGGTGGGAGGATCACTAGAGGCCGGGGGTGGAAGGTTGTAGTGAGTGAGCTATGACCATGCCACTGCACAACAGAGCCTGGACAACAGAGAGAAACCTTGCCTCAAAAGAAGAAAAGAGAGGAGGGGAGGGGAGAGAGGGGAAGGAAGGAAAGGAGGAAAGAAAGAAGACGTGACTGTAAATGCACCAAGTTCCACAGGACTGTATACTTTGGGGCGTATTACCACAGCTTTCCAGGTACCTGACTCCCCATTACAGAAGCTGCCTCTGGTGATACCTCAACTAAATGGGCCTAAGTAGAGGACCAGAGATGATGACTTATCAGAGAAGGCAATGAGGTGAGTGAAGGGCTATCCTAAGCATACTATCTGGCGCTGAAACTGGTTCTTCCTCTATTCTTCTAAGTAGCATCATGGTTTATCTGCACTGGTGCCCAAAAGATCTGGTGCCTATTTATCTCTGTCAATAGCTAGTCAATTCACCTCTCCAGAACTAAGTTTTGCCATTCTGTAAAAATGCGGTTGCTTCCATCTCTAACAATATACATAAAGTGGTAAGTATCCTATATATCACAGATTAGTATTTTTTTGTTTGTATTAATCAGACAACTCCACAGAAACATATTAACTATACACAAGATCTAACTATTCATGTATTACCACTGCTATACATGACCACATCCTTTTATTTGTTTGTTTTAGAACTGGTATAGTTTCAAATTACCTATATATAGTAAGTGCTTTGCCATATGGTTATATCCTGAAACATAATCTTAGAATCTGGATAGTGCTTTCTGGTGAATGGAAGACGTCTAACTCAAAAATTCAAAAATAACAGACTCTTTTCCCCAAGCAATCCTCATTTTCATAGTGGGAAACTAAGATTATTAAATTGAAAACTGTCTAGAAGTTTCAAATGAGAAGCTGGTCATAAGCCTTTTTAAATCACTATAGACCATATTCAGATATCACTATTCTTGGACTATTAATCAGCAATCACAATCATGCTGTTTCAGTGGAATGACATTTAAGGACCCCAAAAGCTTCCCTGGAATGCCAACGGCTCTTCAATTCAATAATGTATCTACACTAAAGTTTATCATTTCATGAAAGCGATTTTTGTTATGCTGGAAGGAATTATTTTTATGTATTTTTTTGCTTGTACTTCCTTTATTCTGCTGTAACCTTTCAAATGCTAGAAATCTTTCCTGTACACACAGGAAGACTATCAATTTTTTTAAAAAAAAATTATATTGTTCAAAGTAAAACGATTATAGAAGCAACTTGGATATTTATTATTCTTGATTTATTTTTTTTATATTGAATAAGCTTTTACAAGTTTTTTTCCCTAAGCTTATTGATTTTTCAGTTCCAGTCATCTTTTCCAGTTCATGTTTTAGCCTGTTCAATTATTCACTACTATGATTCAGATTTACTGTTTGCCTTGGTGCAAATTTGGAGGAATTGACAAAGCATTTCAGACAAGAATCTGAGTTATTCCAATAAGCTGTAACAATGTAGAAACAAAAGTAAACAGACTGGGGTGGTGCAGTAAAGAACCTCTAAGCACAAGTATGACCATCCAAATAATTGCCTCCTTTCTTTGATACCTATTGACACTTAAATTCTTTATTCACAAACACTACCACACTTTCATTACAGTCATTGTATATTTTGTATACACCACTGTATATTTTCACCCAGTAACTCACTAACAAAGAAAATCCCTGTGCCTACCTTCCCAGCAAATACTAATTTTTCATTAACCTTCTGCTATGGTTTCAAAGTATCCCTTTTAAAATTCCGGTGTTGCCAATGTGACGATATTAAGACCTAGTGCCTTTCGGAAGTGATTAGGCCATGAGGGTCCTCACTTATGAATGAGATTATGTTACTTAGAAAAACAAAATTATTGCAGCTTTCAGCTCTTTTACTCTTCTGCCTTTCACCACGTCAGGACCCCTGAGTGTCCTCCTCACTGGAGAATGCAGCTCTTACCAGACAGCCAAACAGCCAAACCTGTCAGCACCTTGGTCTCAGACTTTCCAGCCTCTGGAACAGTGAGAAAATTAATCTTTTTTTTTTTTTTTTTGCTTTGAGGCAAAGTCTCACTCTGTCATCCAGGCTGGCATGCAGTGGTGCCATCTTGGCTCACTGCAACCGCTGACTCCTGGGTTCAAGTGGTTCTCATGCCTGGCCTCAGCCTCCCAAGTACCTAGGACTACAGGCGCATGACACCATGCCTGGCTAAGTTTTTGTATATTTAGTAGAGATTCACCATGTTGGCCAGGATGGTCTCAAACTCCTGACCTCAGGTGATCCGCCTGCCTCAGACTCTCAAAATGCTGGGATTACAGGCATAAGCCACTGGGCCTGGCCTAAATTTCTCTTTTTTATAAATTACTCAATCTGTGGTATTTTGAGAAATTGGCACAAAAGGGTGAAGACACGTTTCTTCATTTTTATTAGTAATTTCCACACTCACTGGCTCCCTTCTGTCTGATGTCATTTGATCAGACAAGGGCTCCCTTTCAAGTTAAGCCCCATCAAAGGGGCTTATTGCAACACAGTTCTGAAACTTTTCTCTCCTCCTCTAAACCATTACATGATCTAGAGCTACATAAGTAATCATTTAATAATCACTTTAAAAAATATCGTTCTTTAAATCTGTTTATAAGTTGTATCTTCTAGAAGATTCTAAGTTACTTAAAGGCAGAGTTTGAAATAATTGTAAATTCCACTGTCACGGAAGATAAGGCCACCCAGGTTGCTCAACAGGAGTAAAGATGGGATACCAATACTTAAATCACCATTGATAATCAGTTCTAAATTAAATCAATTTTCAAATATTAAGTAGCACAGTCTTACTTCTTTAAAATGCCTAATTAAAGCTGGCTCATGCTGGACAATTTTACTTCTTATTAATAAACACACATCAGCCTAAGAACTGGCATCATGTTGATTTTAGATGCTTCTTAAATCTTGTTCCAAACCTCTAGGTAGAGTGAGTCACTTCAATTTCTAGAATGCGAAAAACCATACATCAAAAAAAAATATTGAGGAGTGGATAAGAGTCCTGGTTTCCCCATTTCCTACATGTGTGACCTTGGATATTTAACTTCTATGTATTTCAGTTTCACGCATGACATGGTCTAGCCTTCTCAAAGTGTGCCTGCCACAAGAGCCATCTGCATCTGAGATTCTTGGGCTCATATCCCAGACCAGCTAAATCAAAATCTCTGAGGTTGGAGATCAGGTTATCTGCACTTTTCCCAAGAATCACACATGGTACACTGAGAGCTGAAAACCACGATGGTGAAAGAGCACGACATGTGCTGAAAGAAAAGCAATGAAACAAGACAGAAAACCTGCCTGTTAATCTCTGCCACCAAATTTGCTTTGTACACACAGAAAAATTACTTCTTTAGGTTTCACTCTCCTACTATAAAATAATGTGACTAAACTGGATGATCACTAACTGGTGAGACTGTAAGACCTCCAAGTCCCAATCTTCAGTCTAAAAAGCCCCGGCAGCCCCTCTTCCTGACAATATTAAAAGTGTACAGAGGCTCTAAATGCATGAGGTCATCTATTATACATTATATATTGACACTGTGCCAACTATTATACATTATATATTGACACTGCTAACTTCTGTATACCAAATTTGAACTGTCAAATATTTCCTGCTAATCCACAGCAGCCTCTCCTGCCAACTCACAATTCAATTTCGGCAGCACTGACATCTTGGTACAGAAGGGGCTAGGCAACTATGTGATATTTTATTGCGTTCCGCCATTATCTTATAAAAATTAGTGGCGAACAGAAAGACAAGTATGTACACTGGTGATAAGCCCAGATCTCATAAACATATTCCAACGGTGACAGAGATGTAAAATATAGAATCTGTAAAATACAGAATCTCTAGCAGAAGCCACACATTCACTGGAAGCAGCCTGGAAACCTGGGCATTTGATTACGAAGGAAAAGAATAATATTCATCTTCATGAATGAAAGGCAAAAGACTGTCAAAATTTGAAGGATAGTTAAATATTTTATACTTCTTTTGGTTCTCTGGAAACAAAACCCAACACTCCACCATTATGTGTGTGTGTCTTACACACACATACCTACGTATATACATTTGAAATATAATCCACACATCTTTCCTCAATATTATCTTCCTAATTCTTTACTCTCTCAGTAACACTGAATGAATGCATGTTTAATAATAAAGTTACATATCTACACTTGGTTTTTAAAAGACTTTCATATCTTTCTAGTTGAAAATAACTGCCTGCTTGTACCTAACATGGGAACTGTATTCACTTTCCTAAAGATTATGTCAACTTACACATTTTATCTTACTTTCAAAACTGAAGCGCTTCTCTTACTAGTCATGTCCTTTGGGCATATCTAACGTATTTGTTGTCCCTTGCATTAAAGTCCTCTACAGGACTGAAAATTCTTACTTGCTTTTATTGGCTGTACAAAGTATTATACATTCGTGGACATGATTAAATTTCTTTATTGTTATCACCTGGCAATTTATTCTCTCACCTTTCAAGTTATCTGAGGCTTTTCTTGCTTAATTATTAATCTGGCCTTTTAAAAAAAAATCTTTATTAATTATTCTTTTTTTTCTCAAAGGGAGTTCCAAAATCACACAGTTGGGAAGTTTGTGTTCTCATATTACTACCCTCTCCAACATCTTGAAAACTGACTCTCTCAAATTAGTTTTCTTAGCCCTATTTATTTGCTTACTTATTTTTACTTTGCTAAAAAATATCAGTAGAAAGCTGCCAGTCTTAACAAACGTGAATCATATCAGTTGATCTATTCACACGGTACATCAACATTCTAATTCAGACTGTATCTGTTCTTCTAAATAAATCCTTCAGTTTCATAAAACTAAACTGTTTTAAGATATTCCTGATTTCAAAAATGAGTGTGGTATAAATATTTCCTTATTCTGAGTCCTGTTCTTTCCCATACAAAGAAAGGATGAATCATTCCTGTCTATGCATTCCCAAACATCTCTACCATAACACTTCTTATGCTTTTTCATTCATTATTTGTTTTGGAAATCCTAGTCATCCAACTAAGTTTTAATATGCTCTATGAGGGACACCCACCTAATTTCCTGGTACATAAATGATACTCAATGAAAACTGGTTGAAATAGTGAAGTCATAAATAAAACAAACGCAAGGCAGAAGTCGAATGATTTCCTCATAACCTATGCCTAGATAATTGCCAAACAAATTGAAAATTTAAATGTAAAACAAACTATAAAAGTTATTTTAAAATTATGATAAAATTCCTCATTTATAACCTCAGCTGGTGGAAGTCTTTTATAACTGTGTCACAAATGTAGAATCCATCGAAGAAAAGTTTGTTATACTAAATAAAATAAAGATTAAATATTTCTGCATGGCAAAAATTATGCTAAGGAAAGCCAAAGTATAAATGGGAAAAAAATTGGAAGCTCATATCTCAAATTGCTGTATTCCCAGATTAAAAAAAAAAATCCTAGAAATCAGTAAGGGGGAAAGAAGAGGCAACTGAAAATTACTCAAAATAATATGAGGAGACAGGTTGCAGAAAAGGAAATATAAAAAGTTCTTCAATATATGAAAACGTGCAATCTCACAAGAGAAATATAAATTCAAACTAAAACATTTTTACATATCAGAATGGGAATGAGTCAAGAATTTGTTAACACAATGTATTGATAAGAATGTAAAGAATGAAGAACATTACTTGGTAAAAGTGTAAAATGGTACACTATGGTGGGCAGTATGGCAATGCTATGGCTTGAACATCTGCACCATAACTCATGTTGAAATTTAATTGCCATTGTAAGAGGGTTGACAGGTAGAACCTTCAAGAGGCAGAGTCCTCATGCATGAACTAGTATTCCTATCACGGGAATGAATTAGTTATCACAGGAGTGAGCTCAGAATAAAAGAATAAATTCAGGCCCATATTTCTGTCTCCTGTGTTCATTTCTGCCTTTTGCCTTTCTGCTACGGAATGACCCTCACCAGATGCCAGTGCCATGCTCTGGGACTTTCCAGTCTCTAGAAGCATGAGCCAAATATGCTTTTGTTCTTTATAAATTATCCAGTCTATGATATTCTGTTATAGCAGCAAAAAATGAACTAAGGCAGTATCCATCAAAACTACAAATGCACAAACCCTGGAATATAACGGTTTGGCCTGCAAACGCCACTGCCAGAAATTTATCTTACAGACATATTAGCACATGCATGCAAGGATGGTTATACTGTGGCATTGCTTGTGATAACAAAGGACTAGAAACAACATGAATGCATATCAACACAGGACTGGTTATATAAATTATGGTGTAACAATACAACGTAATACTCTTGCCATAACAAAGAAAGAAGAAATAAAACTCCATGATATACAAAATGAAAAAAAAATGATGTTCAGAACAGTGTTCATAATGTTACCATCTGTGTAAAACAGGAAAAAAAAGAATATATATATATATTTGCTTATATATGCCAAAAAATTTCTAGAATGATATATAAGAAACTAATGATATAAATTAACCTGTGGGAAAGGTAACAGGGTATCTATTGGAGAGGAGTTTTAAGGAGATGTTTAACATGTATACTTTTATACTTTTAAATTCTGAAGCATGGGAATGTATTGCCTATTTAAATTTACTTTTAAGAATAATAAAGCTGGTTTTCTTAAGCCAGCATAGTATATCAAAAGGTTAAAAAAGGAGAAGAAAAACCAAGTGACTGTTCTTACATCAGACATCTAAAACATTTCCATTTTTCTTGACATTCTGTATGATTCTGTTTATGTGTCCAGGTTCATTGTTTGAGATATTCTGAACCTTTAGTCTATTGTTATATCCATGGGAACATAATCTTCTGATACAACAACTTTGTCTACACATAACCATAAAATCATCTAAAAACAGTTTATTGAAAGCATTTACCAGTGGTAGTCACTTTTTGTTTTTTCCACAAATATTTATTGAGTATCTATTCTATGAAAGGTACTGTTTTAGACATTAAGGATAAAACAAACAACAAAGCAAGAATAGTCTCTGCTATTGTGGAGCTAATACTGCAGTGTATAGTAGACCAAGTAACCAAGTTCTAATATGTACCTTCCGGTCTACCATGAATCAGTGATGTTTCTTAGTCACAAAAACAAAACAAAACAAACAAACACAAACTTGGCTCAGAGGATTTGTTAACAATGTCTTAACAATTTACCCACTAAATTGAGGATTTGAGTTTTATTAATCCTAATCCTATTTTAGTCTGCACTTAAGTGCTCACTGTATGCTAAACCATGTTTTATGTGTACTCTTGCACATCATGCTCACAACAATCCTATGAGATAGGTACCATTATTATTTTCACTACACAAATGAGAAATAACTCTAAAGCCCATGAAATAATCACTCTCTACACTGCCTCCTGTATGACTCTAATTACTGGCTTCTGACTTATAGGGATTATAGATAAAGCACAGATGAGTTTAAGGTTTCACCCTGGGCTCTCTCATTCCTAACCCCAAAAATAATTCCTGGCATTAAAAAGCTATAAATTTGAAATTCATGAAGGTGTAGCTCAATTAAAATCATGACAAAAAGACAGAATCTATATTTTCATATAGGCCAATACACTTAGTTACATACCTTTATAAATGATCTCAAACTCATGTTCCTTATTTTAAAGACTTAACCACAAATATATAATAACCCCCAATAAAGTGCAACTATTTAGACACTAACATTGTTGCCTTGTATCTTGGGTATACTTTGAACTCCCAGGGAATGTGACACCTTCTGCTACAGTTATTTGTAAATGATTGTCAACATACTCCTCAGATCCATCCAGCTGCAGGTATCCAGAGGTTCTCAAAGTGTTGTTCTGAACCACCAGTAGGATCACCTGGGAAGGAACACATCTGACATGCCAATTCAAACTGCCCCACCCTAGACTCAGTTTTCCAGATTTAGTCAAACAAAAACAAAAACCCAGAAGATTCAAACTTCAGATAAACAATGAATTTACCACAGTTAAATTAAAATTTCAGATAAACAGTGAATTATTTTAGTATAAGTATGTTCCAAATATTGCATGGGACATATTTAAAAGATTGGTTACTGTATATCTGAAATTCAAACTTAATTGGGCATCTGTATTTTATCTGGCAACTCTACCCTAGGGCTACTGAATCACGAAAACTCTGAAGGTCAGTTCCAGCAATCTGTGTTTTAACGAGTCCTCAAGGTGATCTCTAAACAACTCTGGGGCCTCAGGTAAAAACCCATACCTTTGAGTAGGTAGCATCTGTAATTGCCAACATATTTACTGAACACTCAATATGTCAAGGCAGTATTTTACGTGTTACTTATGGATTTTCTTTTTAATGATCATAACCCCATGAGGAGACTATAATTATTGACTACTGTCATTTCACAGATGAGAAAACTAAGAGTGGAGGCGGTTAAGCTCAGGATTCAGCATGCTTCGGAGAGCAAACTAAGCCTATGGTCTTCCCTATCGAGCCCACCACACATGTCCAATCCTTGGGAATTAGCTCCTCCCTTGGCTCCTAATTAGGTTACAGTTCCCCTGAACCTCAATCCATTTTGCCATGGTTCTGAAAATGGGAGAAGTATTTACCAAGGTCACTAATTGGGATTCTAATTCTAACTCTAACTAAAACTCGACATCCCAACACCACTATTCACCAAATTCGATTTCTATCGCAATTCCACTCTCACATGTTAGACCCCGAGGTTGTCTGTACTTGGCTGGGTTAGGTTTGAGTTCCTGGAACCCCTGGAACACTGTGATTCAGACTACTGACCTTGACCTTAGCAACCTTTGCTCACAGGCCTCAAGGTTCAGTTCCACGACAATTTGCAGTAACTCCCAGGTTAGAAAATATTTCCACTCATTAAGAGTAGAATTAAGATGTCTCCTTTTTGTCTCTCATATTACATATCAAAAGCTTCATACATTACAAATCTTAAAAAATATTAAGGGAACAGTGAAAAATCTTAGTCTGCCTCCTACTGGTCATCAAAATTCAGCATTTGACTGGGCCTTACCTTCAAAATTGATCACTAAAAGAGGTTTACTTAGGTTTAAGGTATGGTGTAGTTGGTTTGGTAAACGTATTTCATAATGACTAAAACAACTTATATTCCATCTTTTCATTTCCAATTTAAAATAAGTGGAGAAGGAGAACAAAAAAAATAGGAGCTTGAATTTGACCTGTGATATGGTTTGGATCTGTGTTCCCGTCCAGCTCTCATGTAGAAAAATTTTACTCCCCAGTACTGGAGGTAGAGCCTGGTAGGAGGTGACTGGATCGTAGGGGTGGATTTCTCCTGTGGTGCTGTTCTCATGATAGTGAGTGAGTTCTCATGAGATTTGGTTGTTTGAAAGTGTGTGGCACCTTCCCCTTCTCTCTCTTGCTTCTACCCCGGCCATGTAAGATAGGCCTGCTTTCCTTTCGCCTTCTGCCATGATTGAAGGTTTCCTGAGGCCTTCCCAGAAGCAGAAGCTGCTATGCTTCCCATACAGCCTGCAGAACCGTGAGCCAATTAAATCTCTTTTTCTTTATAAATCACACAGTCTCATGTATTACTTTACAACAATGTGAGAACGGACTAATACAACCTGCTACTGAGTAGGTAAAATAAAAAAATTTCTATGAAGTGAGTGATCTTTCCATAAAACTCAATTTGAATCATACTCATATGTCAACAAGAATAAAACATTCTCAGCCCTTCCTTTATCTTTAAAGACTTCCACTCTGCAGAATTATGCCCAAAAGAGTAACTCAGCAGCAAAATTCAAATGGACAAAGTGGCCAGTGTCAAAAATCAGTGGTCTCAATGTGTAATATAATTCCTGGCAGTTCTGTAGAAACAAATTTCTATCTTTACCCAATTTGTAATTCACGTAAAAGTATAAGCACGTATATTTGAATTGTATGTTTTAAAGCCCTATTTTGAAAGGTCTTCATCTAATCTAAGATGTATCTAAATTTTCCCCACTAACTTATGCCGCCTAGTTTTACCAATCCATTTCAATGAAAAGAGAAGACAATGTATCAGACACCTCCTACTCGAGCTACACATAACTAGGCTACAGCTGGTGTAGATTAAATTCAACTCTTAACAGGTGCTTGGAGGAAAAGGCTTTAACAGATAAGCATCCTTGTCTTTGGGATCTTAAAAATAACTAAATCATCTTACTTTTTCGACACAAGCAAATGCATGTGACCCAGGCAACATTGGAAAGAGGAAATAAAGTGACATGTAAGATGGAGGAGAAACGAGTAAAACTAGAAACCGCACAGCCAACAGCAGCTGCAGGGCAATTAAAGTCAATGCTTTACAGATGTTCATGAGCAGAAGCTCATTTGCCCAATTTTGATTGACTTCTTTAACGCATACATTTCTTGAGACATTCTTTAAAATTCCATTTTTATTTGGGATACTTTAATAATTAAAAAAAAACCTAACTTTCCTTCTTTCCAACACTTCAGTCTCTTTCAATTTCATATGCCATTAGAAATGGCCATTAAAAAATGACCACTAATGCCAGAGTGTGACAACCCACTAGTACAAATAAAACAAATGAAATCTAACAGTTTAAAATATAACACTCAGCCTCCCAAATGCTGACCACAATAGTGCTCCTTGGCCTGAAATATACATTTTAAATAAAAAATGTCACTGAAATGCCCAAAATGATTTCATCCTCCTTTCGTGACTTCATGCATCACCACAGTCATCCCAGCAGACCAGTGCATTCCTAATGAGTCTTTCTATTATTAAAATTAATTAGGATAGTATTCAGTTTGGCCACAGCAGGGCTAGCAATACCAAAATGTGATGACTCAGGGACTAAAAATTAAAAGCTCTTATTAAGAGGCATGAGGATTACTAAAGACACATTAAGATCCTTTTATTTTATATTTTGTAAGTAACAAGGTCCCAGTATGATACACGAACCCAATAATGTATTCGTTGTATCGTTAGAAACTACAATGACTCAGTGCCCTCAATCTTTCTTTCAATTTGTTGCCTTAGTACAAAACAAGAATATTTCAGCTGTGCTTATCTGAAACTAATTGCAAATTTCCAGGTCTTCACACACTTGTGAAAACAGCTCTAGTTAAAGTAAAGCTAATATTTTTCCTAGGTAAGAAAGAACTCTATTTGTCAGGAGAATGGCATAACTGCTGAAGCAATGAGACCTAATAAAAATGACAAGTCTGGAAGTATCAGATGAATGGGATTGAGAGAACCACACTAACCGGAAGCAAAAGGCGGCAAGGTCAGGCAAGCCGGGGAACCTAGCATTGCAGAAACCAGGAACCAGAGCAACACCATGAGAACCCTAATCCAGAGGTCAGGCTAGGGCCCTGTGAGAATTCTCATACTGCCTTCATATCATAGGAGCAGAAACCAACCCCTGGGCTTGGATAGCCTAGAGCAGCACACAGTGGACTAAAAGCAACTGCACCCTTCACAGAAGTTCAGCTATTTCTTCACAGTAAAAGCAAATAAATAAGCAGAAATGCAACAAGTTCTTCACTTAATGTCCTCTATAGGTTCTTAGAAACTTCAACTTTAAGCAAAATGATGTACCACAAAACCAATTTCCCCACTGGCTAACTGACATAAACAAGAGCTGAGTTGTTATGGCATATTTCTGGTTGCAAAAACATCACCAAACCTCTAAATGAAGACAAAAACACTAATATTAAATACTGAAATAAATGTGAGCTATGCATACATTTGAGATAAATGACACCAAGTAAGATATTTACCTGCTTAATCCAGCTCTGGGTGGCGGGTGGCAGGAGCCTATTTCGGCAGTTCAGGGCGCAAAGCGGGCACTAGCCCTGAACAGGACACCATTCCATCTTGGGGCACGCGCACGCACCCACACTCACTCAGACTGGGATAATTTAGACATGACAATTCAAAGAACATGCACAGCTTTGGGATGTGGGAGGAAACTGGAGTATCTGGAGAAAATTCATAGACATGGGGAGAATGTGTTAACTTCACACAGACAGTGGGGCCCTCCAGGAATCAATTTCTTTTTCTCATCAACGTTATAGCAAAGCAATGTTATTCAAGAACCTGCTGTAGAGTCAGCATTCCAGCTCAGTGAGGAATGCCCAAGGCAATTCAGTCTTAGGCAATCAAGAAATAGCATTTAAAAATGAAGGAAAACACACTATAAATGATTTTTCGGGTTTTCAGGACCTTTTCCGCACTGTATAAGTGCCAGGCAAATAGGGGTAATGGCTTCCTGGAAATCACTGAGGGAAAGAAATGAATAAATTAAGGGGCTTAGAAAAACACTGGTTTGAGAAGACGTGGAAGAACTTATCCACTGTCTAAAAACTTGGCTTGTAAAATTTAAGATCAAGAGTAATTCTGGCCTTATTTGCAAAGGCAGATGGTGTTGACTGGCTACCTAAAGGCCAATCCAATCCCACTTCCCACAACAGAGATTAAAAAGCCATGTGCTTGCTTGTCAACCTTACCTGCATGGAGAAGAGTTCATGTGACCAGGCAGAAACAGAGGTACCCTAAAACAGCTTTCGTTTTACTGACAACAAGGGAACAAACTGACGTCAAACATCTGTCACCCTCTTGCCTCAACCAGGTACATAATGACTGTCCTAGTAGCAGTCATCTTGTGACTACCAGAGCAAGGCCAAAAGAACTGTACAGAATCATCTTTGACTTTACTGAGTCACTGATCTAGTATCTTTAAACCTCTTTGATTATGAATAATAAAATCATACTCTTAGCAGGTTTCTTTTCACTTAAATGGGAATGCATTCCTGATACAAATGCCAATTCATTGTATCCTAAACATTTAATCTCTGTGGAAGATATAGCACCATGATATGCCTAAATGTATATACAGTTATCCTTAAATGACAAGATTATAAGAAAACTTTTTCTTCTTTTACTCATCTTTGCTTTCTAAATTATTATTATTCAATGAAGTTTTATTTAATTAAGCAGAGATTAGTAATGGGAATTCATTTGACAGAAATACAGCCACACCAGCCCACTTTACCATAAAAGAAAGATTTTTTTAAATGGAAAGGCACACCATGATTCCGGAAAAAAAATCTTGGCCCAGCACAGTGGCTCACGCCTATAATCCCATCACTTTGGGAGGCCAAGGCGGGAGAATCTCTTGAGGCCAGGAATTCCAACCAGCCTAGCCAACATGATGAAACCCCATCTCTACTAAAAATATAAAAATTAGCTGGGCATGGTGGCACACACCTGTAATCCCAGCTACTCAAGTGGCTGAAGCATGAGAATCAATTGAATCCAGGAGGTGGAGGTTGCAGTGAGCCAAGGTTGCGCCACTGCACTCTAGCCTGGGCCACAGACGGAGACTCTGTCTAAAAAAATAAATAAATAAAATAAAATAAAATCTCAAAATAAGAAGGCAAATTTCCACTTAGAAAGCTATAAATTCAATATATTCCCATCAAAAAACATGGGATGTATACTGGAACGTGACATGCTGATTCTACATTTCATTGTGAAGAATAAATACCAGCCAGTAATATTTTGAAAGTTAAAAAAAATGAGAAAGTACTTGTCCTACAGTTTTCTAAGCCAAACATAAAACTACAGTAATTGACGTAATTGACACAGCACTGAACTGAAATAGGCATGGATAAACAGATATAACTTCTAGAGAGTCCAGAATGAGATATATGTACCTAAGCTATCTAATTTTTCTAAAGAAGAATTAGCCTTTCATCCACATGGTTATGGTCAGGGCTGGCTATGTTTTTAATGACTTCATTTCCAGAACACAGTGAAGGTCAACTGACACAAATCTGAGATTTTTCAACTGGTAACCAAAAAAGTGATTTCTGAGTAGATGAAACACTCAGGAACCACTCAGAAAAAGTGTACAGTGAGAAAGAACAATGAAGCCGATATATGAAAAAGAAATGAGAAATGAAGACAAAGGAAAAAAGAAAGAGAATGAAACCTGATGGTATTTGAGTTCCTGTAAATAGTTGTTCCCAAGGCACAGCCACCTGCTCTGTGGTCCTGAGGAAAAGCCTACTCTCCTTAAAAATTACCCAACTTTGTTTATGCTCATTAAGCTGAGTCCTTTACAACTGAAATCAAGAAATTCTAATTACGCATTTGGAATTGGGAAACACAGTGCATTTCAAATCACTGGGAATGGACAGAACTGACCAACAAAAGATACTGAGACCCTTTTTTACATCAGGAAAAATTAAATCAATATCTTACAAAGAAATAAATTCTATATAGATTAAAGGCCTAGATGTAATACAGAAAAATTAAACAATGAAGTCTAGAAAAATGTGTGTTTTCAGTATTAGTGTAGAGAAAGCTTAACCAAAGAAAATTTAAAAACCAAGAAGCTATAAAGAAAAAAGAATTCACGACACAAACATTATACATTTGCATAGTAACAGATAACATAAAAGTTTAAAATATAAGCAACAAACTGGGAGAAAATGATTTGTCACACTTGGAAAGGATACCCATAATATATACAAATATACACAAATCAATAAGAAGTATGGAAATATGGTAAAGGGATAAGAACAGGTAATTTGGAAAGATAAAAACAAACACCAAATGCACACCAAAGTGGAAGTTCAAAGTTTGGAGTATTTGGTTTAACGGCTTAAAATCATAAACCTGAGAAGCATTTTACATAGCCCCCATATATTATCAAGAATTTCTCCTCCTATGCCTTAAAAGGCAGGAAATTTCTCCTCCTATGTCTTAAAAGTAAGGAAGGCTAATATGGTTGGTCATATGATTACCCTGGAGGATAGGTGGGCACAGGGTTTCCTCCTTCTGCCCCTTAGGCTTCTCTTGGAAGCAGTCATCAGTAGCATTTCTCTTCTGAGCAAATGAAAGTGTATTAAATGATTTGAAGTGTTAACTCTGATATCTTAAGATGATCGGGACTCCATGGAAAACAGTTTATATCTATGTCATATCCTTTCAGTAAGCATAGTCACAGCCTACGGAAAAAAACTAACAAAAGAAAAATAAAATCTATATGTTTAAAATTAAAAAAAATAAAAAGACATTTGAAGAATACGTACATTTGTTTGTAATTTCCAAAATTATCGCTCTACATTAAAGGAGGGAGTAGATTAAACACGTTTCTCATTAAATTAGTCAATGTTTAACACACCCCTCTCCCCGGTGCCTCAGGTACTTCATCAACTTAAACTATTATTTGTGCATTTAATTAAAGAAATAGATTATTGTGGTGTTATACATACAGAATGAATATAAAGCAACATATGTAACTCTTTAAATTCCAAGTTATAGCTGAATTCAAAGAAGCCATAATTCTGATACTTTATTAGATTTCCCTCTTACATATTTCACAGGATTTACATTTATAACAGATTACAGGGCAAAAAGTGCTTTTATTTGAAAAGAAAAGAAAAGAAAAGAAAAGAAAAGAAAAGAAAAGAAAAGAAAAGAAAAGAAAAGAAAAGAGAAGGAACCAAAATACCAGCTAGCATTTCCTTTCAGGAAGTATTTCACCGTGGGTGTTTTAATAGGCATGTTTCTTTGATCAAGGAATAAAAAAGCAGATAAATTAAGACACATATGACACAGGTCAGAAACAATGCATGAGGGGAAAACACTTATCATACTAATTTCCCATATTTGCTGGGGTTTTTTGTTTTTGTTTTTGAGAAGAAGTCTTGCTCTGTTACCCAGGCTGGAGTGCAGTGCTGATCTTGGCTCACTGCAACCTCCGCCTCCCGGGTTCAAATGATTCTCCTGCCTCAGCCTCTTGAGTAGCTGCGATTACAGGCACCTGCCATCATGCCTGGCCAATTTTTGTATTTTAAGTAGAGATGGGATTTCGCCATGTTGGTTAGGCTGGTCTTGAACTCCTGACCTCAAGTGATCTGTCTGTCTAGGCCTCCCAAAGTGCTGGGATTACAGGTGTGAGCCACCGCGCCCGGCCATTTGTGCTGTTTTAAGTACAATAGAGAATAAAATGTTGGATTTGTGCATTTAGGATCAGAAAGACTTTTACTATTCAGAATGCCATAAAAATCATTTATGTTTTATTCACCACACATCTGTGATTCCAGCATGCTGACAAGCCCTAACACTATGAATCTATTGACTCTATTTATTCAAAATAAAATAATTTGAAGTTCATGAGAAATTGAACGTTTTGATTTCAAAATCAAAGCACTAACCTTGGGCCCATGAAATCCCTAGGCCATTAACAGAATGCATATGGCATATACCATTTAACTGGCAGAGAATCAATACACAACTTAACAATTATTATGTGTCAATTATATGTCAATTAAAAACAAAATAAAACTGAAATATAGAGTATAGTGAATGAAAAAAAATGCAACCTAAGACTTTTGTGTTTGGTTTATTTGAAGGGGAAGGTAGGAAGGGAGGGGTTGTGGGGGAGGGAGGAGAAACCAGGGTGGTATTTGAGAGTTTAATGACTACAACATTCTGAAAAAGTCAGGTGGAACAAAAGCTCTAATAGCTAGTTAAAGAAAAGGGTACCTGTCTCCTTGGTCCAACATTCCAGTTAAGCACTTTAGGTTAGCTGCTGTTTTCTGAAGAGCTCAGTGACCACAATGATGCTGAGGTGAGAGGCACTTAGAATTTCTAAAGGTGGTCCACCCTCTATCTGCCTAATAACATCTTCTTTCTCTGACTTATCCTTTCATATCCAGTCACTCACTCACTCACTGAAACAGAGGGACGCAGAAAGGATTCAAGAAGGCCCCAGGCACGGACCTGTCCCAGGGTATCAGGAAGGTCTCCTTGCTAGCTGGGCTCCAGCTCTTTTCATACCTACATCTAAGTACAGATTCCCCGAAGATCAAGCCCTTAGTCCTCTGATATTGAACTCTCCCACTCCTTCAGCAAGTCATCCATCATTTTCAACAACACCCACAGAAAAATATTCCATTAGTGCCTTATCTCCCTCATGTCCAGCCCCATAATTCTTCCCAAAGTGGTTAATTCCTATCGTAACATTCCCTGTGTAGGTCTCTAGCAACTAAGCAGAAATGTTTATCATACACACTGAAACTAGATCCCATCCTTACCGCGGTACCCCATTTTGGTTTCTTCCAAAATCTGACATGGTATATTTGATTAAAGTTGGTGCTTTACTATTTCTTTTTGGACAGTGTGGGAGTCATGAATTTGGCAGGGATGTAGGATTTGAAGATGGATAAGAAACAATAAGGAACTGAACACTAAAATAAGCTAATCTTAATAAAATGAGATGAAAAAAGGTAGGGCAAAAAATCTCCTTTCAAAAGAAGAAGACTTAACTCTAGATATGTATGGAAATTCCATTTAGGATAAGAATCAGGACAGGAAACAGCCAGAAGGGACTATTTGTACTGAAATACAAGCCATTAACTTGAGCCAAGCTAACAGCAAATGACTGCAGTGGCGACTGCTGGCCACAGATAATTAGTTTAGAACCTATTTGAACATGAATATTTTATCATGCAGCACAAAACTCATTATGGAGAAGAATTAGAGAGCTAGGACGTCTGAAGGCTCTGGAGAGGTGATCTGTCAGGTCCCAATAAAGAGCCTTCTAGGAGAGAACAGGTTTAGTGATTCAGCAAGACTAGATTTCATTAAAGTTACAACAAACAATCCACGAAGAACATAGCTGGTGACAAGTTAAAGGGTGTAGGTACCAAGCTGCACTGCAACAACTTAACTAAAGGCAACAACTAACAGGTAAAATGAAGTTTATGAAAAATCACGTCAAGTGGTTATAATTTTCTAAGTGATGCACACATCCTATTTCTATCAGAAACAACCTAATGTATCTGGCCAATCTTCTCACAAAAGCAGAACTACCTTACATATACAAGGTACAAAAATTCAAAATTTTGAAAATTCAAAATTGCATTTGGCATGCTATGTAGCAGTATGCCAAACTGGAATTTTTATTTTAAAAATACTTGTCTATCGAGCATATGTTATAATAGCTAACAATCTTATGGGCATTATCTCATTTAACCCTCAGAATTACCCCAGAATGAGGTGAGTACCACTACTGCCATTATTTTGTAGATGCCAAAATAGCAAAAAGATGCTAAAGTAAGTATTTCTAAAATCATATAGCTGGAGTAGCAAAGCCAAAATTTAAACCCATGCAATTTGATTATCAAGTCTGTGCTCTTTCTGTCTGTGTGTCTTTCAAATAGTCCCTAGGGCTTCTGAATATAAACCTAGGTTCTTAGAGGAATAACTTAAATGACTTTCAATTTTATTAAAGAAATAAAAACAGGAACATATACATATTACTCAAAAACTACTATAAAGAAAAATATAGCTAACAAGAATAAAGTTATAGGTAATCTTTGAAGTTGAAACATAAAATGTCTTACCTGTGAAAATAGTTAACACATCGCTAACATATTACCATCTTCTTAACCATTACATGCTCAGTGACCAAGAAAAAAAGGTATTTTAATATTACTAGTTTTTCCATCTATTTAGATGTCTTGGTCTATACAAAGAATAGTCAAGTGCAGCACAGTCCCTTAGGCTGAGGGGGACTCAATATTTGTTCACTATTATTTAGATAAATAACTTGCCCAGGCCATTCTCTGTCACAGGAATTAATCCACACCCCACAGGCTAGATTCAATTTTTCCAATCATTTCTAATTCACTGCTTTCCCCAATATTTTCTATCCATAGAAATCATGACATGCTGCTATACCTAAGGGAAACAACAAGATGAGGTATCTTACAATCGTTAATCCATCTTTTAATTCCACAAACATTTACTACATGTAATGTGCAAGGCATAGGATTAAAGAAAATTAATAAATCATAATCCCTTACCCATAAGGATCTCACAGTCTAGTTGGAGACATAAATGTATAAATGCGAAATTATAATACAATGTGCCAATTGTTACATCTAAGGAGCTACTGGGATAGGAAAGGTCAGGTGGGGCTCCATGGATGAAAAGTGACGTGCAGGAGGCTACAAGATGCCTGAAGCAGCAGGCCTAGGAAAGGACAGGTTTCAAATAATGAGGAGGAAATGACAATGGCCACAAAACCTAAAACTCAAGGGGGCCCTGTGATTGCCATTCTGATTCATGGTGATTTTGTCAAAGAAAAGGCATCAATTTAGTAGCATTTTGAAACACAGATCAGGCAGATAGGTACAGATACTGCCCCAGCACTAGATTAAGGTTGGCGAGCAGAGCAATAAACAACTCTTTCAGACCTCAATTTATTTTTAAATTGAGAAAATGTATAACAACAATTCTATTTTTAGTGTAAAGAGCTTAGGAACTTAGAATTTAAACATAGATGGCTGTTCTGTTGACATTTACATTATTTTTGATACTCAAATAATATTAAGAATGATTTCTAGGGAATAGTATTAAATTACTGAGAAATAAAATAAAACATTTCATCAATCTATAGTAGTACAGTCTACAAAGATTTTAATAGTCTCAGGAATAGGCCTGGGCTGTAAAGTTACTATTTTCCTAAAGATCCACCTGAGATAAAGCACGACTTAAGAAAAGCTAATATAAAGGAGTCTACATAACAGATAAACTGTGAGGTTTTTCAATGTAAAAACTGGTTCTTTGCTTTCTAGATAGCTCACCTCTTCATTCCCCTAAACAGCTATTTCCTATGGAATTTATATTATATGATGTATTAAAAATTTATTATCTATATTACATAAAATAAGAATAGATCTACATAAAATCCCCTGATCGGTAAAGTACAAATGTAAGCACCAAAGAATAGACATGGGTGGAGGCGGGAGAAACTGGTGACATGTTACGTGAGCGATAAAAACTTACCACAATTTTAAATTCTCCAACAGCAAAATAAAACCTAGGATCACCTCTCACTTTGTTGGGAACAACAGAAAATCAAATTCGGTAATACTTTCTCTCCCCGGCTGCCATCCCCATTCCTACCATTATCTATTCCATTTCCATAAAAGAAACATCAGGCCTGGCAAAAGAGGAAAAAAAATTAAGGGACAAAGTCATATCTGAGATGAGTCTTGAGAGACAAATCAGATTTTGTTGAGTAGAAACATTATGAGGTTAGAAGGGAGAAAGGATTTTAGGTAGAAATAACAGCACATGCACAGGCACGTAGGTGGCAAGCATAAAGAGCTCAGGAATAGCAAGGAGTTCAGGGAATGAAATCGGAGGAAGGAGTATAAAGAGAAGATAATGGCTACAAGAGTAGACAGGTGGTACAGCAAAAAGCCTTGAAAAGGAAAGTAACATATTTAGAACATTATTTCAGGGCTACTCAACACATCCTATAAAAGCAAGAGACGGAATTGATTTAGCAGAAGATAGGAACAATCCAAGTGTGAGATGGCAAAAGGCCTGAATTAGTTGGGGCAGTCAGAATAAAATAAGACGTAAATTACAGACACACTGTGATTAGTAATACCCTTTATATGTATATCACACTTTATAAAACACTTCATATCCATTATCTTATTTGATTCTCATAATCATCCTATAAACTGGGATATATAATACTACCCCTACCTTATCAATAAAGAATCAATCAGTGCCTGAGATATTGTAAGTTGCCCAGTGTCACATACCCACTAGTAAATGGCAAGGATAGTACTGGAGCTCAGTGCATGTTAACCCAGTCAATGATCCTTCAATTATACCAAAAGCAAATGGATCAGACCTTACAAAGGTAAGTCCTCCTCCTTCCTTTATTAATGCACCAAACTCATTTTATTCAAATATTTAATAAAAATTTAAGAGGAGGCCAAAAACAACAGTAAAAATACACATTAATGGGTAAAATACACCTTAATGGCAAACATTTAAGTGTGAAAAAATATGATTTGTTATTATCAGGAAAATACAGTGTTTTGTACTTTGCACCAGATACTGTGCCAGATGCTATGAATACAGTGGCAGATACTTCCATGTAGCTGGACTGTGCTGATCATACATGTATGATCATTTCTATCACTAGTTAAGGAAACTATCCCTCCTCATTACTCCCATTCTAAGTCACTACTGAGTTTCAGCAAACAGAGTCTGCAGAAACAGTCCAATCTGCCATCTCTCCCTAGAGGTGGCTGTGGTTGAAAGGAGGTAATGCCTAATATAGATGGCTTTTGAAGTAATTTCAAATATCAATAATTATGGCTCAATTTCTCTCACATGTTGGATATTAATAAAACACCTGCAGTTAAAAATGTCAAATGTCTGCTAGACTGTAGACAAGTAGCACCTTTTTGTTTTTGCGTGACAGCAGTAACACAAAGACATCTTCAATGATTTCTGCCCTGTCTATTAAAACAGCTGCTTTGAAGAGAGCCTAAAATATTTAAGATGCAATGTAAAACAATGCTAGCTGACACATAAACCAATAACTCTGCCTCAAGCTTAGAGAAGCATTTTTATGAGGTCTGAATACCATGGTTCAATTGAGCCATGTTTTTCTTTCTCTGTTTCTGAAATCAAAGGTTCTTAATGATATAAAACAACTGCAATATCATGTAGTCAGAATGCAACCAGTTTTATTACTTTTTATATTCAATCAAAATGCCAAGTGCCATTCACAATATCATTATTCCTGAACCATGAAAACATATTTATATTCATTACTATTACTTTTAAAAATGTCCAAAATGATCTAACTCCATCTTCTCACGAAGACTCAATAAAATAAAAAAATTAATTTCCCTCTCCACGAGTCAGAAATGGATACACTGTTCCCTGCTGTTAATGAGGTGATAGAAACACTACTGCTATATTACTAATGCACTCCTCTAATCAATCTTTTTTTTTCTTGGTAATCACTGTAATAACAGTAACTCATCCCAAACTTCGGCATTTTAACACAGGCATATTATTTTCATTTCCTTATTTAGTTTGCTTACCTCTTGGACAAATTTAAGTGAATGAAAATCAGCTAGATTACAGGTGGTATAAACCCCAAAAGCAGCACCATATGGAGATCCATATGCTTTGGCACTATATCAGCATGTGACAGAATCCTGGAATTTAACTTCAGAGCAACTGACATCCCCCTTTGTATCAACTCTCTGTACTCGTGCTCTAGAATATTCACATTTTAATCTTTGAGCTAACATGTTATACATTTAACTACTGACTACAGTAAAATGCACGGCAGTTACGTTTCTCCTTCCAAAAAAGAGAGCAATTTTGAAACAACTAAAATAATCAAAATATTATTTCTCTGTACTCTAGACAAGAAAAATAACATGATGAATCTATCCTTAGAAAAACCTAGAAATTAAAAAAAAAATCAAATGACAAAATCAGCAAGTATACAATAGTAAGGTTTGTGGCAGCTGTGCAACTAAAAAGTACGTTTAGTCCAAGAATTCAGCATGCAACAAGGGTCTTTTTTGATATGTTGCATAGGAATAGAATGATTAACTAGGAATCATGCTTAGCATCACACTATTTCTTATAAAATTATCAGGAGCCATCATTCTGATTGGGTAATATATCAGTCAGGGTTCAACTAGAGGAGGAGAACCAATGGAGATCCAGATTAAGAAATACACGGCAGGGTACTGGCTTAGAATAGTGTGGGAGCTATGTAGGCAAGTACGAAATCATTAGGACAGGCTGTCAGGAAGGTGGGGCCTAAGTCTCGGAAATCAGCTGAAGATGCTGTCCACAAATGAAATTTCTTTTTCAGGGAAAGCCACAACTCTTCGTGTAAGAACTTTTTGCTGACTGAATTGGGCCCACCTAGAGTATCTAGTATAATCTCCCATACATGAAGTCAACTGATTATGGATTTTAATCATATCTATAAAATACCTTTGCAGCAGCACTTAAATTAGTGTTTTGCTGAATAAATGGGGGTGGTAGTCCAGCAATGTTAAATCAAAAAGGCTATTACAGGTTCTAATGTGGAAGCTAGGAACATGCCCTCATTTGTGAAGTTAGGGAACTCTGGACAGTATTCTTGCAACTGCATCTCAGTTAAGGTTGGTGCTTACGCTTATCTCTTATTTTCTGATATTAATAAAAATGAGTGATAAAGGAAAGTATAAAAAGCCTTATACTTATAATACTGTTGGTGGTAATAAAACACAGTAAGGCCATTACTTTTGAGCAAAAGCTAGATGTCATTAAATGCTAGATTTGCTCTGAGATATAGATTTTATAGTCTCAAACTTAGAGTTACATTTTTCAAGAAAATCTTTATTATTTAAATTCCTGCAGGAAGAATAACTCTGCTATTGTGAGTAATAGCCACAAATGTATAATAAAACAAGTCTAAACAGGGCCTGATATTTAATACAACAGAATACAGTACATTCGGGTATGAAAGAGGTTTAGGCTAGAGTCAGAGATTCTGATTTGAAGGTACCTACTATGTACTTGGCATTGTGCTTGATTCTGGGGTCACATTAGTACACAAAGGAGACACGGTGCCTGCTCTCAGAGGGCTCATTTAGTAAATATAAATGATTAATATAAATGATTTCCTACGTAACACCTCTCCCTGCCAGTGTAGGGCTGTTTAATACCTAATGAAGGCAACAAGGGCTTTGTAACAAAAAGCATGGCTTCAATTCAAATACAAAAATATACTTTAGAGAAGATTTCATTCATAAGAAATAGCCAACTGAGAAACAAAATCCACTGGTTTTGTACAACTTATGGCTATGGAAAGTATCAGGCACATAAATTTCAAACTTAAAAATGTGAAAGAACAAAAATGACAAAGAAAAATGTGAATTTCAATAAACAGTGTGCCAGATGATACTTTCAAAGTCACATTAGTAGGCAGAAAAGGTTACTAGACTTTTATGTAATGGAAATCTAGGCTTAAAGTCATGTTCCAGATTTCAACATGACATCTGCCAAGATTTCTTGTGCTGTCCTTGGTTAAAATACATGTACCAGCACATGTTTTTTGAAGTATGCTTTGCTTTATTGCATTTTTTACAAATTGAAGGTTTGTGGCAACCCTGTACCCAGAACGTTTATAGGTGCCATTTTTCCAACAGCCTGTGTTCACTTTATGTCTCTGTATCACATTTTGATAATTCTTGCAACATTTCAAACTTTTTCATTATTATTATATCTATCCTGGTGATCTTTGATGTTACTATTGTAATGGTTTGGGGCACCACGAACCACACTCATACAAGACTGCAAACTTAATCAATGCATGTGTGCCTTCTGACTGCCCCACTCACTGGCCATCATTCCCTCATCTCTCTCTCTCTCCTCCGGCTTCCCAATTCACAGAGACATAACAATTTTGAAAATATACCAATTAATAACCCTACAATGGCCTCTAAGTGTTCAAGTGAAAGGAAAAGTCACACGTCTCTCACTGTAAAAGCTAGAGGACGGGCGTGGTTGCTCATGCCTGTAATCCCAGCACTTTGGGAGGCCAAGGCGGGCAGATCACTTGAGGGCAGGGGTTCAAGACCAGCCTAACAACACAGTGAAACCCGTCTCTACTAAAAAAAACCAAACTGGTGATGCATGCCTGTAATCTCAGCTACTCAGGAGGCTGACGCATGAGAATCAATTGAACCTGGGAGGTGGAGGTTACGGTGAGCCAAGATCGTGCCACTGCACTCTGGCCTGGGTGACAAAGCAAGACTCTGTCTCAAGAAAACATATTAACTAATTAACTAATGAAAAGCTAGAAATAATTAAGCTTAGTGAGGAAGGCACGTAGAAAGCCAAGACAGGCCTCTTGCACCAAACAGCCACGTTGCGAATGCAAAGAAAAGTTCTTGAAGGAAATTACAAGTGCTACTCTAGTGAACCAAGAAAAAAGGATAAGAAAGTAAAACAGCCTCATTTCTTACATGGCGAAAGTTTTAGTGGTCTGGATAGAAGATCAAACCAACCAAAACATTCTCTTAAGCAAACGCCTAATCCAGAACAAGGCTCTACTCTCTTCAGTTCTTTGAAGGCTGAGAGAGGTGAGAAAGCTGCAGAAGAAAAGCTTGAAGCTAACAGAGGCTGGTTCATTAGGTTTAAGGAAAGAAGCCATCTATATAACATAAAAGGGCAAGGTGAAGCAGCAAGTGCTAATGTAGAAGCTACAGCAAGTTATTCAGAAGATCTAGCCAAGATCATTGATGGTGGCTACACTACATAACAGATTTTCAGTGTAGATGAAACAGCCTTCTATTGGAAGAAGATGCCATCTAGAACTTTTCAGAGCTAGAGAGAAGTCAATGGCTGGCTTCAAAGCTTCAAAGGACAGGCTGATTCTCTTGTTAGAGGCTAATGCAGCTGGTGACTTAAAGTTGAAGCTAATGCTCATTTACCATTCTAAAAATCCTAGGGCCCCCAAGAATTATGCTAAATCTACTCTGCTTGTTCTCTATAAATAGAAGTGGAGCCGAAAGATGGACTAAATTGCTGCAATCTCATGACAAAATTTGAACGGACAAAGAGTCCTTATAGTCAAGCAAAGAAAGTGGTTTCTTGAGATGGAATCTACTCTGGTGAAGATGCTGTAAACACTAGTGAAATGTCAACACTGTTGACATAAAAACGAGATTGTTTTCATGTCTGCTAATACAGCATCTGTTCTACAGCCCGTGCATCAAGGAGTCATTTGGATTCTTAAGTCCTATTATTTTAAAAAACACATTTCATAAGACTATAGCTGCTATAAATAGTGATTCTTCTGATGGATCCGGGCAAAGTAAATTGAAAACCTTTTGGAAAGGATTCACCATGCTAGATGCCATTACAAACATTTCTGGTTTATGGAAAGAGGTCAAAATATCAACATTAACAGGAGTTTGGAAGTTGGTTCCAAACCTCATCGATGATTCAGAGGGGTTCAAGACTCCAGTGGAGGAAGTAATTGCAAATATGGTAGAAACAGCAAGCGAATTAGAAGTGGAGCCTAAAGATGAAATTGCTACAATCTCATGATAAAACTTGAACAAACAAGGAGTTTTTATAGTCAAGCAAAGAAAGTGATTTCTTGAGATGTAATCTACTCTTGAAGATGCTGTGGACACTGTTGAAATGACAACAAAGGATTTAGAATTATATAAACTTAATTGATAAAGCAGTGACAGCGTTTGAGGGGATTGACTCCAATGTTGAAAGACGTTCTACCGGGAGTAAAATGCTATCAAACAGCATGGCATGCTACAGAGAAATTTTTCATAAGAGGAAGAGTCAATCCATAGGGCAAGCTTCATTGTTACCTTATTTCCAGAAATTGGCACAGTTACCCCAACATTCAACAACCACCATCCCGATCAGTTAGCAGCCACAAACATCAAGGCAAGACCCGCCACCAGCAAAAAGATGACAATTTGCTGAAGGCTCAGATGATCATCAGTATTTTTTATCAATAAAGCTGATCAATAAATTAAGATATATATTTTGTTTTTCAGACGTAATGCTATCACACACTTTACAAACTACACTATAGTGTAAACATAACTTTTATATGCACTGAGAAACTAAAAAATTCATGTGGCTTGCTATATAGTGATTTTCACTTTATTCTGGTGGTCTGGAACTGAACCTGGAATACCTCCAACATATGCCTATATAAGTATGAACTGAACAATAATAAAGTTTAGTGGATTAAAGCACAATATCAAAAGAGAATGATTAATGAATAAATGTCACCTTCGATAATGTTGTCTAGTGTCAAATAAGGAATTTTTGTGGGTTTTTCCTCGTTGGCTCTTATCTTTGGCCTTTTATCCCCAATAACATGGAGGATCAGCTAAAATGCATATCAAATTTATGCATGTTATGAGATAGGGAAGAAAATAAAAACAGAATTGGGATTAAAAATATCATGACAGTCTAGAGCTATGTATCCAAACTAAGATGTAGAAATTTTAAATAAATAAAGTTTTATACCAGAGCAGAGAAGCCAACCATATAAGAATAGAATGGTATCTACAAAATACAAAATTATATGGACAGGAATCAGGTTGCCAGAGGCTGGGGGTGGGGAAATGGACCGGCTGCAAAGGGATACTAGGGAACTTTTGAAAAGGAAGGAAACAATTTATATCTCAATTGTGGTGATAGTTATATGACTGTATACATTTGTCAAAACTCTTCAAGTTTTCCAGCTAAGGCCGGGTAAAGTGGCTCACTCCTGCAATCCCAGCACACTGGGAGGCTGAGGCAGGCAGATCGCTTGAGGTGAGAAGTTTGAGACCAGCCTGGCCAACATGGTAAACCTCATCTCAAACAAAAAATACAAAAATTAGCTGGGTATGGTGGCACATGCCTGTAATCCCAGCTACTCGGGGGGCTGAGGCAGGAGAATCACTTGAACCCAGGAGGCAGAGGCTGCAGTGACCAAGATCGTGCCACTGCACTCCAGCCTGGGTGACAGAGCAAGACTCCATCTCGGAAAAAAAAAAAAAAAAAAAGTTTTCCAGCTATTATAAAAAGGGTGAAATTTTGCTGTATGTAAACTATATATCAATAAATCTGATCTTAAAAAATAAAATAGATATAGTTTAAAAACAGTACCCATAAGAAAGAATTCTTAAAAGTTACTATGAATCAACAGAGTGACTGGCTATAAAACATTATCTAGAGTGATATCAGGCTACATTAACAGAAGTATCTAGAAGAGAAGTAATCATCTCACTCTCCTCTGGATTGGTTAAATCATATCTAGACTAGAATCCATTCCAATCCAAGAGCAAGTTAAACCAACTGAAGCAGCAGGAAATAGTAACCCGAATGTCAAGGCACTGGAAACCCCAAAATATAAATTGGTAATCAGGGATTTTCATTTGGAAAAAGGGAGGCTCAGTGAGAACATGCCAACCATCCTCATGTATTGGAAGGGTGCCACATGAAACTGAGATCTGACATTCTTTGTGGTTATATAGGGTCAAACTAGCACCAGCACATTTAAGCAATAGATATAGACTGCAAAGTAACTTGAAGAAAGGATGCAGACAGAATTCAACTATTGGGACAGTAGTCAAACTAGATTGCTTCTAAGACTCTTTAATATTGAAAATGGTTCAAGTGAATGATAAAGAGAATGTGAACTGGAGAATCTGTAATAAATACAGAAAGGAAAATTTTTTAAAATTTGAATGTAAAATCTAACTGATTTTATGACTATGAGTGTAGGAAGAAATAAGAAAAAGATAATTTAAATCAAGATATGGCATTTAATGGGAAAAGGGAAAGAACCTAGTATTTATTGATCAGCTATAAGGTATCCAGTTTTCTTGATATCTCAAAAATACTAAGTTTTCTGCGGTTCTAGGCATTTTACACTTATTTAATCCCCTGAACAAATCATTAAAATAGGTATTACATGCACATCTTTAGAAAAGAAGAAATGGAGGGTCAGTGAAATTTATAACTTGTTCAACATCTAAAAATGGAGGAGCTAGTATGATTCCCAGAGGTAGGATTTAGTTATCTGGAAAATTAACTTTTGAGAGACATTTCATTTCTTAATGATACTAACAAATGAGGCATTACTTTTTTCTTCTATAATGCAAGAGTGGGGGAGGAAAAGAATAACTCATTTATGAGTATTTGGCAGAGAAATAGCGACCACATAGACAAGGGAATTGTTGAAGTAACCTTTTCATCCCTCACAAATTTCCAAATACTAAACACATAAATACATACACACATACATACGTACACACACATATGCTTTTAAAGGCCCAAAGTGAAATGAAATTTAAAAACATAATAATCGAGACAAAAAGTGAAGAGTTATCCTCCCATTCATTCAAATCTTCTTTTCATATTATTTCATGTACAAGATACAAAGAGCCCTGAAAAACAGTGACCAGGGGAAAAAAAAAAAAAAAGGGAAGGAAACCTACAAGTGGAAGACAACAAGGTTTTTCAAAAAATCAACCCTGCACAGCAATGTCCTCTTGCTTTAGAAACAGAACATAAAAAGGTTATTGCTTTAATTCCCTCGATTTGGTTAAAAATCACATTTGACAAAATATCTAACAAACTTACTAACATGGTCCTAGAGATTAAGAATAGAGGAAAGAAAAAAATGACAGTATGACAGTATTGGAGTTCTAAAATGTCAGTGAAAACGCAGAAGAAAAAGGCATTTGACACTGTTAGGTGACCTAATTTAGTTTCTTATAGGAGTTGATACAAATGGGTTCTGAAGTCCTAGATCCTGATTGACAAAGAAAAGACAATTTCAGAATAAAGATACCAAAAACACATGTAGAAGTAAGGTAAATCAGTTTCCTACTAAGAAAACAAATAAATGGTGGAAGTTACTATAAAAGTCACTTTACCAGCAGGAATTATATTAGATTTCAATTTAATTTGATCTTTAAATGATTAGGCAACTAAAAGGAAGACAGATAAAACAATGAAGACATTAGTCCTAAACGTGCTGTGATTATCAAGATTTGGAACTTTATTTTAGATCTGAAAAAAAAATTCAAAGAACAAATATTCAGTAAAATTTACTTTGAACATATATTTCTCAGGCTGCAAGTATAGATGGTGAGGAATCTTTGTTCTGTTTAGAAAATATATGCTGATTTCTTAATACTTGAATTTTCCCAATGCACCATTATTTGCTGATAAAAGGCAAAAAATATATGTATGTAATAATAATCAAAATTTAGCCCCTAGCCTTGGCCATTTAACTTTGTTCAGAAAGAAATAATTCAAAATTTTCTAAGTAATGCTATTTCTGGGAGAAATAAGATAAACCTAATTTCATTTACAGGCAAACTAAAGACTGAGGGTCCATTTATCATTTTTAAAATGCTAGCCAGCAGATAAGATTAGTTTCTGTCACTCACAGCACTGTCAAGATGACTCAATATGATTGCAAAGTCGATTTTTATGGCCATATTTGAACAAATAATAAATGTTCCCATGGATGCTTCAGTTTGAGGATCTCAAAGAATTTGACGGCTATAGAGGAGAAGTGACAAGCACACTTCTAGCAGCAGGTTCGTTTTATAATCTCACACCACTCTTTTCTAAAGAAGATCTAGAAGAAGCCACTAAAATATTAAAGGCTAGATAAAAGCAGGATAAAAATAAAGCTTAAAGGAACTGGGATTATTGTGGCTGAAGAAATGACAGCATAAGGATAACCTAATAATAGTTATTAAATATATGAAAGCTTGTTGTATGAAGGATGGATGAGGCTGTTCAAGGGGGCAGCAACTCAGGAGAAATGGAATTAAGAGACCAGGTAAAATGAGGGGAAAAAATGCCCACAGTATAAATATAAAATATAGAGATGAAAATATAAAAATACTCCTCTGAGACTCAACACTAGGGAATATCAACTGATAAGAGCTTGGGTGGAATAAACAGAATTAATTAAATTATATCATCGATGCTTGAATTAGCTTAAATAAATATTGAACAGAAACCTAAAAATTTGCCTTAGGGGAAAACCTTAGGCTATTGAGATTATGTCAGGACACTCAACTTATACACAAAGTATATTTTGTGAGGATTATATCAAAAAAAAAATTCTCATTACCTTTTAAAATCAATACCAAAGGGTATTAAATCCTTTACCACACCATCCAGAAAACAACTTGCAAAGCCAATCAAGAGTTCAAGGACAAATCTAAAAAGCTCAAGTTTCTCAATATATTCAAGCTGTTATGTTTGTGGGATAACTGAAAATAAGCAAAACATTCTTTTGATAGCTATGGTCGTCTTCAGGCAGTCAATTAGCATATTTCTAGTCTAAACACACTTAATATTATTAACATTTATAACCTGTAAGTTTTTATTCTGCATCCAACAATTCAAAAAAAAAATAAAATTTTTCTGAATACATAGAAGAAAAACTAAAATGGTACTGACAATCAAACATAGAATTAAATGCCATTCATTAGATCAGTTTCAAACCATTTCAAATCATTTTCTGAACACCTTTAAGTGGGCCCTCTCCAAGTGACATGTATTAGGGCTCAGAAGACAATACCCCCAAAATGAAGGGTTCAGAAGTGGCCTCAGAAGCTGCTTTTTCTCTGATCTTCTCCCCTCCTCAGTCCTATTCTCCCCCAAGGCTACCCACAGAAACTAGAATCCCTCTTGCCCAAGGCTGGTCACAGAAGCCAGAACCTTTACCCCAAGGCCAGTCATAAAACCTAAAAATATTACCCTAACTTTCTCTCCACATTTCTGTGTAAAAACTGGCCAAAAGTAACTTATCTGACCAATCTTGTTTCACTATAGGTCATAAAACCTTCCCCTGCCCAATTCCAGAAAGGGTCCTGCCCTACACCCAGAAGGAAGGCATGCATGCTCAGAGAGGATAGGAAGAATCTAGAGACACACAGGCCTTGCTGGATTTCCCCACTCCTTCTATGAGAATTAGGATCATACTCTTTTGTCCAATCATAATTATACATGATTGTCTATACTTTGTTGAACCTAAACATAAAAATGGACAATTTCCTCCATTTCTTTGGGTCTTCATTCTGAAGGCACACACACACACACACACACACACACACAAGATAAAATTTGTCTGCCTTTTCTCCAATTAATCTGCCTTTTGCCAGTTGAATTTTCAGTGAATCTTCAGAAGGCCAAGGGTCTTGGCCTGTACACACATTGCTTCAAAATAATTTTTAAAATAAGTTCTTAAAATGCACTTACACTGTGTCCTAAAAAAAGATTCCTAACAAGAGCCCTGGAACCTTGAATCTACCGGAAAGCAAAAGTGTATGACCACCACAAATGGGACTTCAGCCTCTGCTGGAATTCCTCACTGGACACCCACCCCTCACTCATGACACAGGGTACAGTGCCTGGGGAAAACTTCTTTCCCAAAAAATTAGTCCCAATATTACCCCGAATTTTTAAATCTATCATTCTGCTTATTCATTCACCAAATAGAGGCCAACATCCACTAAGAATTTTCCTTTAATATGCAAATATACTTGAGCCCAGGAGTTGAAGACCAGTCTAGGCAACATAGTAAGACCCCCATGTCTACAAAAAAAAAATACAAAAAATTAGCCACGCATGGTGGTGCCTGCCTGTAGTCTCAGCTACTTGTGAGGCTGAGATGGGAGGATCATTTGTGCCCAGGAGGTTGAGGCTGCAGTGAGCCATGATCACACCAGTGTACTCCAGCCTGGGCAACAAAGTGAGATGCTCTCTCAAAAAATAAATAACGTAATGTAACGTAACATAACATAAAAACAAATATACCTTGGTGGATGATTCATGCCTGAAAGTAGTTATTTATGAGGCAACTATTTAAGGAGAAATCATGCATCGTTATTCCCAAGTGTTTACAGCCAACAGTTTCTATAGCTATCAGGGAGATTCTAACCACAGTGCCCCAGAATGGAGAGGTAACAGTGACCAATATTCAAACGTGAAAAATTAAGCTGAAGGCCATTTGGGCATAGGTTCTCAGAAACGGCAACTGATACTTCCTAACTATACTTCTAGCTGATACTTCCTGCATAGTGCACAATTTCTCAAATTGTTTGAAAAAATATGGAGAACCATTTTCAATATGAAAAAGGTAAATAATGACTATAATTAGCTTAATTAAACCTAAGGACACTATATTACAAATAACTCAAAAATGTATTTTCTCAAAGATTATTTCATGTAGACATAAATATTCAGATGTGCCACGGTTTTCCTTATTATTGCATATCTTAATGTAAAACCTTTCCTTTTCCTAGAATTAAAAAAAACAAAATTGTTAATAACGTCAAAAAAGGGGAAATAGCAAGAAGTGCTTCGATTCATTGTGTAAAAATATTCCAAACATCAAGATTCCAAATTTCAAAACAAAATTTTTTTTAGTTTTCTGATGAGCAGTAAATAGAGAATTAATAACTGTGTCTATGTAACAAAGCCTTTCTCTACTATATAATGGGAAGCTATTAGCTTTGCAAGTAAAACTGGCAAAGTCTATCAGGTCAATACATTGTTCCATAACATGCAAATTGATAACTGCTGGCAGGAATTTTTCAGAATAAGAGACCCAAAGCTATTGAATAAGGAAGGCATAACAATTTACCAGGACACACACACATACATATATATATGCAAAGAGCTTTGCATTAGTAAATGAAAGCACAGACTTGGAAATTGTTTGTAAATTTGAAAGTGAATAAAAAGGCAACTTAGCAATTTAGCAATTGGTTATAAAAATGAACCCATGCATGGAAAACTTATTAGTGTTCTTTTAATAGTTTTCTGAAGTAATAAGAACTATGATGGGGTAATCAGTTGGAGTTACACTGGTTTTTAATATATTTTCTTTTCCTAGGCATCTAGTACAGTATGTTCCTAAGAAATTTCTATTAGTGGTTCGTTGACAAATAGGACAGCAACAGTATTCCAGGGCTGGAGTTTGAAGAAAAAAGAAATCCAGTGGCAACATTTAGATGGTATGTGGTTTACCACAGATTACATAATGACAGAAAGTAGCCATCAGGAGTAAAATTGCAGCTCCTATAAGCAATTGCATTAGTGAAGCAGGTGCTACATAAATGATAACAAGTAATGGCAATAGTAATAACAAAAAATGCCTTATGTTTATCTAGTGCCTTCCTTCTAAAGTCCTCAAAACTACTACCAGCAAATAGCGAACTGCTCCTCCCAGGTTTTAGAGGTTGCTGGTGGTGATTTTTTTTTCACACCTGAATTACAGAATTATCAAAAAATCATCAAGCAAGAAGGGATTGTGAGATTTCCTCCAGTGAACTCATTACCTCTACAGCACATGTGCCCCTAGGGCATGCCTCCTTAGAATCTTCTGGGAGAGCATATAGACATTTCCTTAGTAAGATAATGGTAGAAATTCTCAGGTCTAGGGATTCATAAACTTCACAGAGCAATGATCTCCTTCGCAAAGACCAACTAAAAAATTCAGGCCCCATCAATGATGGGATCTTCAAACAGGTTTCATTTTTATAAAACCATATTATAATTTCCTTTCCTATACTTAAAAACTGCTAAGTCACACAAAAAAAGGAAAAAAAACCTCCAAGTTATTAAATCATGCAAGCTACTACATTGATTTTATAGTTAGCTTTTAGAGAGAATATATATACCCCCCCACCCCACAGACTTTCCTATTCTTGATTAACAGGTACTAAGACAGCCTGTCTTTACTTAAATCAACATGGAAGAGAATGCAACTGAGATCTAGAACTCTGTTAACAATCAGTCTTGCCAAAGGAAGTTCATTTCAGAGTTAATAATTTGAGTTGAATTTAAGGTTCAGACATTGCAGTTATGCAATAGGAAAAAAATACAACCCAGCAGAAAAGGTTAAGGGTAAAAAGAGATACAGGAGAGACGGCCATTTTTGTCAGACAATAAAATAATAAAACAATAAAAAGAAGACAATACAAGAAAAAAAAAAGTCTCATACCAAATCGAAGCATCACATTGCTTAAGTAGGACAGAAAGAATGCTGCTCTGTCCATTCCCAGGGAGGGCAGGACACTCTGTCACTGCCCTCTGTCTCACTCTCTGTAATATAAGACATGTATGTGTGTGTCTAGGTATAAAATTGTTCTTTCTAGAAGTAATGAGGTAGAGCAGAGGCTTAAGCATACCACAGGTACAAGACACCTGGGTAAAAGATAAAGACAGACAATGAAGTAAACATTTCCAGAATAGAGAATGACAGATCAGCAGCAGTTTATATTAAAAATGTACCAATAAAGAAGACTAAGAAAAAAAAAACCCAAGCTATTTCACAGAGCTAAGTGTAATCCTTCCTTCCTTCCCTCCTTCCTTCCTTCCCTCCCTCCCTCCCTCCCTCTCTCTCTCTCTCTCTCTCTCTCTTTCTTTCTTTCTTTCTTTTTCTTTCAAGACACAGGGTCTTGCTCTGTAGCCCAAGCTGCAGTGCAGTGGCAGGATCACAGCTCACTGCAGCCTCTAACTCCTGGGGTCAAATAATTCTCCTCCCTCAGCCTCCCGGCTATCTAGGGGTACAGACACATGCTACCTCACCTGATTGAGTTTTTTATTTTTTTATTTTTATTTTTTGTAGAAACAAAGGTCTTACTTTGTTGCCCAGGCTGGTCTCAAATTCCCAGCCTCAAGTGATGCTCCAGCCTCAGCCTCCCATAGTACTGAGATTACAGGCATGAGCTGCCACTCCTTTCCTACAAATCCTTTTTCATACATGTATTATGTGTCCCTGAAGAGATTTAAAATTCCTTGAGAGCATATATACAACTGTTAAAGAATATTATGCATTCAATCAGAGAAGAAAGGGGAAAAGGTCTAAGAGTAAAATATTTTAAGAACCAGAAAGGAGATGTTTGTCAAGCTACGGATGGAAAGGAAACCATTTAACAGCAAATAAAGGGAAACAATTCTATCCCAGCTGAATCATACTGTATAGAGATGAGGGCTCTCCCATGAAGGATGACCGATAATGAAAGAACAGCAATAAAGAATTTTGATAATTCAGTCTCTAATATGCAAAAGAATGCTCTTATTTTCCAATTCTTGTACCATAGTGAAAAAGGAAGTGAATTTGAATTCAAACGGCCTGGGTTTGATTCTGGGATCTGCTGCTTGCCTGTTATAGGGTCTTGGGCAAGTTATCCAACCTCTGAACTCAATTGCCTCATCTTTAAAATAAAAATACTCTTATGGCCTCAGATACCTGTCAGTCACAAGAAAGTATACCAAAAAAAACAGGGAAAGCTCTTGTAGTTGTTCCTACTAAAGAAAGGAAACATTTATTTATAAAAGAAAACAAAATGAACCAAAAATATGTATTATTGTGATCAACATGTAAAACTCTTTACAACCCCATCTTCAATACAGTTTGGTTAGTTGTTCTTTCACGATGACACTTGAGCACTGATATATTTGAAAAATGGAATATATTTCCACAGATGCTTTGATAAAAATAAATGAAAGAGTGTTATACTACCATTATTTTGGTTTAAAACAACAGTAAAATCCATGTTGGACTACTTTCAGAGGAATGTGGGGGAAAAAAATCCAATATGGCATTCTGCTAGATTTGTCTGAGTCTTAAGACTACAGTCACTGACCATGGTGGGTAGTTCAGGAGAAAACAAAGAATCTGACTAGAAGAAACACTTTTCTCTCGGCAAGAAAATGAACAAAATAGAGTACAGGTGGTATTCTATGTCCATAGATAGTGTGGACTTAGAAAGATAAAGTATGGGACAACAATAGATAACTATATAGTATGAAATTAGGCCGGGCGTGGTGGCTCGTGCCTGTAATCCCAGCAATTTGGGAGGCCGAGGCAGGCAGATGACTTGAGGTCAGGAGTTCAAGACCAGGTTGGCCCAATATGGGGAAACCCCATGTCTACTAAAAATACAAAAAAATTAGTCAGGTGTGGTGGGGGGGGGGGTGCCTGTAATCCCAACTACCCAGGAGGCTGAGGCACAAGAATCACTTGAACCTGGGAGGCGGAGGCTGCAGTGAGTCGAGATCACGCCACTGAACTCCAGCTTGGGCGACAGAGTGAGACTCCATCTCAAAGAAAAAAAAAAATCAAGATATATAAACAGTGTGAATTTAAAGGATTTGGTTTCCTGAAACCTTGGCTAAGGATATAGCACATCTCACATATTACCAACAAGGCAGACAATGCCAGTTGTCCTCAAATAGCCATTCTCTCCTTTTAGGCATGTAGATAATTGAAACAGGATACATTTCTGAGTCTTCACTGTATCTAGACATAGTCATGTAATACAGTTCTGGCGAATCAAATCTAAGAGTTAGTCAGTGTGGGCAACTTCCAAAGAGAAGCATATGTCTTACTTTTGCCCCGTCTACTTCCTGCTGCCTGCCCCATCTACTTCCTGCTGCCTAATATGTAGATACAATAGTAAGAGTTCAAGTACCCACCTTGGACCAGGAGGGGACCTTAGGAATGGAGCACACATGTGACGAAGCATTAAGACAGATCAAAGTCCCCACACCAGCACTTGACTCCCACACTTCTATGTGAGAAATAAAATTCTGTCTTGTTACATCACTATTATGCTGAGTCTCTGTTATTCACAGCCAAACCTACTCCCATAGCCAGGATAAAGGAAGCCTGTCAACTAGATAAGGAGGCCTTTAAAATGGACTGACAAGAAAGAAAGAAACAAGAACAGATAAAATAGGTAACGGGGTAGACAATGGGTATGACTGGAAAAAGTAGTGTGATAAAAATTGCTACCAGCAACATTTTGAAGAAGGCTGGCTGGAAACATACTATTTGTATGATCAGAGCATGGTCAAAGTAAACTTCAAAGTGGATGTACGTGATCTCAAGAATTACTAGGACTTCGGGGCTGTAAACAGAGAGAGAAGAAGAAAAAGAGGAGGAGGGAGGGGCAAACAGAGGGAGTAAAATATCTAATTAAAAAGCATGAGAAACAGTACTGCAAATAAAGGAGAATTGTAATTTGTTGAACATTTATTCTGAGTAAGGGACCATGGCAGGCATTTCTCTTAGGTTGCCCTATCAAATCCTCACAATAGCACAACCAACCCCTATTTTATGAACAGGACAGTGTGACTAGGAGTATTTGAGTAACTCAATAAAGCTAGTAAGTGGAGCAGCAAGAATCCAAATTCAGGTCTTTGTCTCAAAAGCCTACACTCTTCCCATTACCTGATGCTGCTGCCTCAAAGTTTCATTTCTGAACAAAAACTACTAAACTCAGAATAGAAGCAAAGTTTTAAAACTCAGACTGTCATAAAAGACAAAAGAAACAAATGTGTTAGCACTGCCTGCATTAATGTGAGCCATCAGAAAAGAAAGAGATGATGTTGACAGTGACAGAAATCTTGGAAGAAAATGATGATGCTTATTCATAGTTTCTAACAGCAACAAAATGTATGCTGGAAATATTTAAACGTGTACCACTAGCCTTGAGAGGAAGAAAATGACATGTGTGGAGGATAGATATGTATGATTCCAGGGCTGAAATCTATAAAAGAAAATTAAAACGTATAAGGTAGAAATCATTTTTAATCATATAAAAGAGTTGATATTGCTTTAAAAATATGCATTAAATTGCTTTCCATAAAACAGTACCAGAGTCCTGATTACTCAGGCTGCTCTTGGTCTGCATGCAAATCCTCTAATCCTCCCACAGAATGCTGGTAGACACTGTGATGCCATCCTTGCTTTCTACAGTGTTTCCAGTATTACTGCTTATCTTGACTGAAGTTAGGATTCACACAGCTGTGGTCATTCAGATAGGATTGTAAACTTCCAGGTATGAGGAATTCTTTTAAATGAAATTCTTCTCATAATTATCTAGCATCATGTTAGCCACATAAACAAGGCAGCTGTTACACGGCTGAAAGACAAAATTACTGTAGCTGAAGTCAGAAGGCCTGCATTCAAGGTCTGGCTTTTACTTACCGGGAGGGTAACTTTGGACAAGTCACTTACCTGCTCAGAACTTCATGAGTAAAATCGGGATAATGACACTTAACCTCCCACAATGAGGCATTAAAAAACATCATCTCAAATGTCAACTACCACAAAGACATTCAGTTTTACAGTGGGCTCTCAACAGATAAGCATTTGACACTCAAAAAGATTGTTTTCAAAAAATAAAATACGGTTCTTCCACGTGCTCACACAGATATTGTGAGCACAAATGAGGGCCCATCTCGTCTCCAAGTAATGACTCTCATGCCCTTTTAAGTATTCTGCCTCATAGGCACAAAACATCAAATCTGTTGACACATCTATACAAGTATCACTGAGAAGTAAGCAACAGATACCACATGGGATAATAACAGCTCCAAGCATAAAATTCACCCCGCTTACCCCATACTTTTTCAGTCCACGTCACCAAAGACAGCATACTTTTAATCAAGCAGTTCTTCAGCTGGATATGAGGATATCAATGAGACCAAAGGAAAATATGCTGTTTATGTTTGCTGACTAAAATCACAAAAAAAGTCATCTTCAAGATTTATTTCCTTCTTTTGTTTGATTTGGCCTGATTGACTTTGAACATTGATGTAACACTACTATGTATGTGTATGCGAGTGTATATACATGTTAATGTAATTCAATACTACTAGGTTAAACTGCAGAGAAAACATTTCCTAGCCCTTGATTAAGGCCTGCATTAAACCATCAGGCCCCATCACAAGCTTTGCTGATGAGTAGCTATTTGGACACACACAGAGCTGTGATTTCCATCCTCTTTACTAATCAGCAAGTTCAGATTTGCTGCTAATGTGACATTGATGAAGAGGAATGATGTTAATGTGACAGTGATGAACAGGAATGACAACTCAGGGCTGATTGAAATTAGCTAAGGTTCTTTAACCTAGGACAAAATGGAAACAACTACAACCAAACAGGCATCTTGGAAACAGAACAAAAACATATGTTTACTGATTATACATAAATTTGTGCAAATGTACATTTCAATGTGACATCATTTAAAATGTATGCAGTCATTAATCAAATCCTACACTAAATCAAAAATGGCAACAAAAACATGAATACATAGAACCAAAGTGCTGACCAAAACAAAACATCAAAAGGCAGAGGCTACGGTTTGATTATGAAAATACAGGGAACACTGGAAACAAACGAAGTTCTTACGTGAGCTGAAATAAAATTCTCTGACCTAAACTGAGTTATTCAGAAGAGGTATTCTCAAATGCCTTGTGGACTTTTCTCATTTTGTCATTTGCAAAGACTTGAAGTTAGATCCTTTATCCAAGGACAATTCAGGACAATTACCTCATCTTCCTTCCCTTCCTTTTTCTCACCAGCTACTCCCATACCATCAAGGACAAATCATTAGATTAACACATCGGGGAAACAGAAGAGTCAAACTGTACTCCTGTTAAGCAGGTAACACATTTCTCTTTTCCAACATACTGTACCTAATCCAGCCACCAATGTTTCTGACATCATACTATAGTTTCTATAAAACAAAATTATAAAACAAATAAACAGAAAATCCATACAGAGATGGCACAGTCAGCCGAGCACTACCCTAGCTTTTTAAAGGTAACACAGAAGACCTGTGGCAAGGAGTGGACCATAAATAATCCATACTGCACATGCTACCCCTAGAGCTAGGTATAGAATAGCGTACAATACCAATGTCCCTTTTTTAAAAACACTAAAGTCCATTAATATATTCTGCCTCTGTTAAGCTCTACATAAACTAGCCAGATTCTCATTGTTGACAGTACTGAATTTAATTCCGAAAGATTTACTCAAAATATTAACCTGTACCGATGAGTCACTTGAAAAGAGTAGGCATCCACAAGCTACAATGTCCTGGCACAGGCTGTCATTCCATCACTTAAGACCAAAAAGCATTTCAACACAAGCGTTTATAGAGATGAGGTTCTACAAAGAATAAATTAGAGAAGTATATTATATACCAGACATAACAGTCTCAGAATCCTAGTACATTTTAATTCAGGTTTTCTTTGTTACTATTCATATTGATTGAACTGGTAAATACTAAACAGAAATGGTTAAGTGGCCTTCTAAGAATCCAAAAATCTATAGATAAACCAGACACATTTTAGAAGCATTTCTGAAAGGAGGCAACAAAGGAGATAAAAGACCAAGATACATTGCTCAGAGCTTCTGTAATCAGATACTGAAAGTCAATCAACACAGGCAAATCTTCAATTACTGTATTCCCAGTGGCAATCAATGGCAGGGCTGTTTCTGGGTCATGCTCCAGCCATGCAATTTTCACCCTGAAATCTCAAAGAAAAAACTACATTCAAAGCAAATCTCTAGTTTTAAACTCAAACCACCTATAGCAACCCTATTTCCTGTTCAGTAAATAGTTATTTCTCACACGTAATTGTTTAAATTATCCTTTATTAGAATTCCTCCTCAAAAGTAAATTTTCTAAAATTATCTGAATTGCTTTATTGCTGCTAAATAAGTCAATTACTGACACCTCCAAACATCTTTATATTGGAATAAATAATTTATTTATTTTTCTTGGGCTAAGATTCAAAATCAAACATGGCTTCCAAGCTTAAAACCTGATGTGGCCAACTTTTAAACTGCCCACACCAAAGTCCTATTCACTTCTAGAAGAAACAGGTATTAAAAGCAAGCTTTCTCCTAGAACTATGTTTTCTTTTAGCATTATGCTTCATTTTTTGCCATTAAGTTATGACCATAGCTCCATATATAAAAACCACTTGGCACCCAGGAAAATAAATTACCTACAAAACGAAGCACCAACTCTTGATCAGTGTGGTTACTCTGCTCCTGTTTACAGTGGGAGAGTGGAACTAATACTCATTTCCTAAGAGGAGTTTCACTGAAGAAATTTATCATAAATCTTGTCTTTTTGAGCCCATCCCTCCTTTTACGTTTCTAAAATATTACTAAATGATGGGTCATATATTGATGAATGACAATATAAGAGTTAAGTTCAAGGTAATGAAGAAAGAAAAAGTTTAGAATATTTTTGGAATTACTGGCTTCCCCAACATTAGAAATAGTAAGTATTGGGTACAGACTGAGCATTCCTTATCTAAAAATTCAAAATCTAAAGTGCTCCAAAATCCAAAACTTTTTGAGCATCGTTACGACACTACAAGTAGAGAATTCTACACAAGTACTTAACATAAACCCGTTTCATGTATAAAATTATTTAAAATATTGTATAAAATTTCTTCAGGCTATGTATATAAAAAACAAATGAATTTCGTGTTTAGACTTGGGTTCCACTCCCAAGATACCTCAATATGTATGTGCAAATATTCCAGAACTTGAAAAAGTCCAAAATCCCAAACGCTTCTGGTCCAAAGCATTTTGGATACGGGATATTCAATCTGTGCTTGTAGGTCTACCAGGCCTCTAGTCCCCAAAACTAATTTCTAAAAACAATTCAAAAGGAAGATTTTTTGAAAATAAAAAAGCTATCACATTATTAAAAGTAAGGTTTACTGCAAAGAAGCAGTACAACTGAATTCTCAATCACAAATCCAAGGAGGATTTATGTACCTAAGGACTACTATACTTTTCACATAAGAAGAACTTTTCTCATGTCTTTTTTTCTTCCTAACTTTGGACCCTGACTGTGGTAAATCTGCTTGCAAGTCTCGCCTGGGTCTCAAATAAGTGGTAGTGCCACAGTCCATGACTAAAGACAAGTCTTTCTTGGTTTTACTAAAATGTTCCTTTGTCGTTCCTCCAGTTTTCACCTACTTGTCAAAATTTTAAAATTGGATATAAATTCACTCAATGATCTGTAGTCAGAAGCCAACTAGACCATATTATAAATCTAAAATGCTAAACATGAAACGGTTTATTACATCAGAACTAATTAAAGCAGCACAGACACTCTCCAACATGGATGGTTGGGTTCTGTACAATACCAGTGTTAGAATCTGTGTTTCAAGAGTTAACTTAGGAAACATTTCACTAGTACATTTATAGTCAATAAAATAAAGATACCATGTCTTATAAAGATAATATCATCTATATTTTAAAGGAAATGAATACTAATGGGTACTATATTATTATTTCCATTAAAATATATTCCTTACTAAAAACTTTATTTTATCCTTTTCCTACAGTTTGGATTCCTTACAGAAAATACATATCTGAAGAAGTATTTGTATGTATATGTATACTAATGATTTTAGCCTCCGTTAAGTCCTGCCTGTATGAGTCTGGCCACGATGTCAGAAAGGCCAACCTTAGAGACACTTTAACTAGAAAAAAAAGAGTAGGATAAGCCCCTTGACTACATTCAAGGTTATGCAGTTAATTTGCCAAACCATATGACATCACTCTCTCCATCATCACAGATGCCTTGGCATGAAAAGTGAACTGCAATCCTTCACATTCCCTTTGACAAAGTTGAATACGTGCCAAACCCATTTAGCCTTTCTCTGCCACTGCTTTAACTTTCCTTTTTTTACTCTCAAAACCCCTAGGTTCCACTTATACCGAACAGGAGTGATTTAGAAATCATGTAACTAACTTTCTTGGATTAATAAAAAGTTACCAAGTAACTCTACATGTGCTTTCATTTCTCTTTAGGAGATTAGCGTTTGAGGATGGATAAATGTATAGTTGTGTGCGGCATAACAACATTTCCATCAACATCACACTGTACATACAGTGATGGTTCCATGGGATTATACTATGGTATTTTTACTATGCCTTTTCTATGTTTATATACACAAATATCACTATGTTACAAATACCCTATTCAGTACAATAACATGCTGTACAGGTGTGTGCTCTAGGAGCAAAAGGCCAAACCATGTAGCCTAGGTGTGTAGTAGGCTATGCCATCTGGGTTTGTGTAAGTGCACTCTATGATGTTTGCACAACTATGAAATCAACTAGCAACACACTTCTGGGAGTGTGTCTCCATCATTAAGTGATGCATGATTGTATATCCATTATCTCAATATTTCTTCCTGGTTGATGGAAAAACAAAATGTCCAGGTGTTCAAATAACTTACCTCTCTTTTTCTAGGTTACTATGTCACACGACTTCCACCTCTTAAACTGCCATTCCTCGGCAGTGTAGCGTAGTGATTGAGAGCCTGAGCTCTGGAATCAGATGGCAGCTCTAGCCCCAGCTGTACACTTGCAGGCTATGTGACCTTGGGCATATTATTTAAATGCATTGGACCTCATTTTCCACATCTACTCTCACACCACCTACAGGATTAAATAAAATAACGCATGTATGTGGCTGGCACATAGTAAACTCCCAATATACATTAGTGGAGAGGTTGGTATTTTCTTCTCTCCAGTTGCAAAGAAAGCACCTGGTTGCTATTCCTGAACATCCCTGCCTATTTCATTTGTAAAGCCTGAATAACTCTCCGAATAGAAAAATGATGACCTAGATATAAATCTGAATCTCCAGATAAAAGTGATATTTTTAACATGGTTCCTCTTATCTTTCTTTTTGCCCTAAATAATCATGCCACATAAGCAGACAACGATGCCACATAAAAAATGAATACAGACATCTAAATTTATACATAACTCAGCAACAGGTTGCATAAATAGTACAGAGAGATGACGGAGCCAGAAAGACAAAGATATGAATACCTGCTTCACAATTTACTAATTGGGTTTTAGATCTTTCTGATGCTTAGGGCCCCATCTACAAAATGAGATAATAATTCTTATATCTTTATGTCTCACAGATTTATTGCTACAATCAAATGGAGTAATAGGACTAAGCATCTGATATAAAATAAAAACTCAAATATAAGTTCCCTCGCCTGATAAGTATGAGAAACTTAAACTTGCAACCCTCTCTCCAGCAAAGTTGCTTTTTATACAAAAGGGAGCAGGGATGTCTGAATGATAGGGGTTTATTGTGAAAATCTGTCCTTAATATTCTTTTAATTACATAACCAAGTGATATGTACTAATTACACTAGGGTTTTATTTTTTAAATACAAGGCACAGCACACACCATAAACATAATAAAAAGGCAAAGAAGAAGGAGAAAGGATTAAGAAAAGGAACAGCTGGCATAAACTGTACACATCATTCAAAGTGGCAATGGGGCCAATAGAGTTTTTCAATAAAAGGAAGAGAACACTAGGTGGTAACGAAAGGGATACTTTAGATCTCAGGAAGCAAAACATATTCACTACTCTTCAGGATGCCAGGGGAGGCTTGGATAACATCTCCTGTCTTAATGAGCTATATTCCATTCCCAGCTGTTGAGAACAATGACAGAGTTCACTGCAGCAGGGTATCCATATACAAAACTCCAGGGTCCCTAGAGCCAGAGGTGCAGGGCAAATGCTAAATCATACATCTGTTGATGTTGGGATGTATAAATGAACAGAGATTTAAGAAGAAGAAAAAAACCCTTGCACATTCAGGATCTTTCTTCTCCAAACTTACGTACATTTTCTCACCTCTTCTCCTTTTGTTCAGACAAATGTGTTGGCTCTGAGTACTTTTTTTTTAATTGACTTAAAATTTTAGAGCAGTTTTAGGTTTATAGAAAATTAAGCTGGTGATACACGGAGTACTCATATATTCTCTCACTCTGAGCACTTTCACATGTCCTGGTTGACTTAAAATATTATATGGTCACTCAGTATTTGAATGAATCAACATATAAAAGGCCATAGGAGATAATTTGAAAGCCTCTTCCCGAAAACCAACTGACAGTGACAACAATCTGAAGAGAATACAATGATCAGCCACCAGAAAAAATATATATAGCTGTAGATCTCTATAGCTCCTATCAAGGAATCACTAATTCCAAATTCAAAAATCACAATCACTGATGTCGCACTTAAGTTTATTTGTAAAATCAGAACTTTCACAATTAAAAATATTAACATCTCATTGACCCCCATATTTCCTAAGACTATAAGGAAATTTCTCTCGAATCTAGAGGACTTTGAATGTTCCTGAGATCAAGGCTCAGAGTTCCATTTAGGTTTATTATACAGCTTCTTTCAACTGTGAAACTGCTTCCTCTTGTTTTTAATACAATGAGGTGTTCTATCATGTCACATAGATACCACCTGTCATTAAGCCAAAGATTATCAGGTGAGTCTTCACTACTGCTAGGAAAAATTAAATGGACAATATAGTGGTTATCAAAGTGTGGCAATTAGAAATGCAAATTATTGGGTCCAACTCTTGACCTAATGAATCAGAAATCTGAGGATGGTACCCAACAGTCTGTGTTTTAACAAGCCTTACAGGTGATTCTGATGCAAATAAAGTTCGAGAATGACTGATACATTCAAAGATGTCTGATCAAGTACAAAAAGGAAGTAAGCATGAACAGTAAATATCTCCCCACTATATCACACTCTCACACACAAACTGTTTTGGCTAAAAACAAGAATGATTCTTGATTATCAGTGTTGTATTTTATTTGGGAATACTGATGACTGTTTTGTAGGGCTTCATAAAGTGGCCTACTGAACACAACTCTTTCAACTACAGCCATTTTTTTAATGTAATTCACATTTTCTATGCATCACAAAATGAACCGAAACCTACTGTTATAATTAAACACAATTTTTCTCTTCTACACAACTTGAAATTTATTCTAACTAGTTTTTAACCAAAATTTTTAAATTATTATTCCTTTACCTATTGCTCAGAGTGTAGTAACAGCAGACTTACCATAGGAAGATCCCATGTTTGGATAAATCAGATAAAAGTTTCTAACTGTATGCTCTAGTCTTTAGTTAACCAACATAGAGGGCCCATCAACTGGATGACTGAAATACATATTTTTATTTATTTTATTTTATTTTTTTTGGAGATGGAATTTCATTCCTGTAGCCCAGGCTAGAGTGCAGGGGCGCAATCTCAGCTCACTGCAACCTCCACGTCCCAGGTTCATGCGATTCTCCTGCCTCAGCCTCCCAAGTAGCTGGGATTACAGGCACCCATCACCATGCTCGGCTAATTTTTGTATTTTTAGTAGAGACAGGGTTTCACCATGTTGGCCAGGCTGGACTCGAACTCCTGACCTCAGGTGATCCACCCACCTCAGCCTCCCAAAATGCTGGGATTACAGGCGTGAACCACTGGGCCCAGCTAAATACATATTATTTTAAAACAACTACAGTTTGATGTAAGAAAAATCCAGTTAACAGGGGTGGTATTATGGTTATTGTCCCTTTGTAACTTTGCCCCCTTTTCCATTATCATCTATATCTACTTCTTGTTTTTGTTTTTGTTTTTGTTTTTGAGACGGAGTCTCGCTCTGTTGCCAGGCTGGAGTGCAGTAGCGCAATCTCGGCTCACTGCAACCTCCACCTCCTGGGTTCAAGTGATTCTCCTGCCTCAGCCTCCCGAGTAGCTGGGACTACAGACACATGCCACCATGCCCAGCTAATTTTTTTGTATTTTTAGTGGAGGCGAGGTTTCACCATGTTGGCCAGGATGGTCTCGATCTCTTGACCTCGTGATCTGCCCATCTCAGCCTCCCAAAGTGCTGGGACTATAGGCGAAAGCCACTACGCCCGGCTATATCTACTTTTGATTACGTTTCTACAGTAAAATTAAAGTAATTGTATTCTTACTGCTGATTCTCTCTACTGGGCCCAGGGACATGAAATGCCTTTGCGAATCTATGTGCTAAACCAGGTAGTCATGATAAATTCACTGGCTTCAGAAAGTCACATCCTGGTAAGCTTCTCTCTTGAGCAACAGAATGTAGGATCAATGGATAAAATTTTATAAAATCTTTGTTTGTTCTTGTTTTCATTGTTTTTAAAGAATTCTCTGCAAGCCAATTTGATCTTTCTTCTTAGTCCAGTGAATAACTGGTGTATTTTAAATTAGCAATCCCATATCGCAAATTCCTAACCTGATATCAACTTGAATAAAGAAAGAGTCATCAAGATTTATAAATAAGATTAACATTTGAGCATATTAGAAAGAAAAAGACTAGGGATTTCTGAAAAACTGATTTATCCTTTGGTTTATACCATTCCAAAGAAATAAGAATTTCTCAACAGCCTGGTAACAATATTGTATTGGTCTCTCAAAACAGAAAGAGCCAATTATCTGGGAAAAAGAAAATAATGTACCAACCAAGTGTCTCTTCTGGCAGAATAAGTGAAAGATACTGGAGCCTCAGCAGCACTATAGGCCTTGTCACTAATGTTTGGGGAACTCAGCCCTTTAGGAAAGAAAGGCAAATCGCAGTCTCTCTCTCTGGAATATTGGCTCAGGAGAAATAGTAATCAGAAAACCAGGAATCCCATTAGAAAAATACTTCTTAATCTGGAATCCATGGAAAGAATTCAAAAAGGGCATGACCTTAGAGGGGGAAAACACGTATCTTTTATTTCACTAACCTCTACTGAAATTTAGCATTTCCTTCAACTATGATTACAGACAACTACAACAGTATTAACATACCTGCAATTCTGTCACCAACAGAAATAACAAATACTTTCATACTATATTACAGGTGTTGCAGGTATCTCAAAATTACACCTATACTCATAACTACTTTGAAATTATAGTATTATTAGACTTGACACTAGATCTTCTTATTTATTGTACCTGTATTTCAATATAGTGGGTTTCCTTTTGTACTCTTTGCATTCATTAACACAGTAAACAGCATTATCCTGACAGGTCAAAAGGGGTCCATGACTTAAAAAGTATTAAAAACTCTATTTCAGAAAGGCATAAGATGGGGAAGAGGAAATGCTCTGAAGCAGTCTCACCAACTCCAGCATAAACCACATCATGAAAAAGAATCTGCCAAGAAACATATGCAATTGTTCTGTTCTGAAATACACACACAGAAAAGTTAGGAAGCAACACTAGCTTATTATTCTCACTTGAAAATTACAATAAAACCTAAGTAAAGGTTGAAATGGCCTAGCTGATCTCAACAGGAATAATTTCTAGCAATCAGTTTGACCTTAGAAATATTAGCCTACCAGCAGTGGCTATTCTAAGAAAAAGGCAGCTCAGTGATATTAATAATTCAGCAAACACAATATCAGGAGTCACATTTTCCTCCATCCAAAATCCTGCGTCCTCCATCCTAACGTACCCCAGAAGGGACACTATGAAGCACTCCAAGAACCATAGCTCTTACAGTATGGTAGACAATTCAAGAAAGCTATATGTTACACTTACAAGATGTCACAGACTCTTCGTAAAGAAAGGATTTCAAATGCACTGACAATAGAGTAACTTTGTGAAAGACAAACTGGATATTAAAACAATCACAACCTAGAGTCTTTATAATAATCAGGTATGCTTGGATCTCTATATAAGAGATATTCTTGAAATAGTAGTTTATAAGCCAGATACACTCAAAGTACTAAGGAAGAGCTCACTGTTGAAAGATATAGTAAGAACTGAAAGGTATGGTGCTGGTACCAAAACAGAGATATAGATCAATGGAACAGAACAGAGCCCTCAGAAATAACACCACATATCTACAACTATCTGATCTTTGACAAACCTGAGAAAAACAAGCAATGAGGAAAGGATTCCCTATTTAATAAATGGTGCTGGGAAAATGGCTAGCCATATGTAGAAAGCTGAAACTGGATCCCTTCCTTACACCTTATACAAAAATCAATTCAAGATGGATTAAAGACTTAAATGTTAGACCTAAAACCATAAAAACCCTAGAAGAAAACCTAGGCATTACCATTCAGGACATAGGCATGGGCAAGGACTTCATGTCTAAAACACCAAAAGCAATGGCAACAAAAGCCAAAATTGACAAATGGGATCTAATTAAACTAAAGAGCTTCTGCACAGCAAAAGAAACTACCATCAGAGTGAACAGGCAACCTACAACATGGGAGAAAATTTTCACCACCTACTCATCTGACAAAGGGCTAATATCCAGAATCTACAATGAACTCAAACAAATTTACAAGAAAAAAACAACCCCATCAAAAAGTGGGCAAAGGATATGAACAGACACTTCTCAAAAGAAGACATTTATGCAGCCAAAAAACACATGAAAAAATGCTCATCATCACTGGCCATCAGAGAAATGCAAATCAAAACCACAATGAGATACCATCTCATACCAGTTAGAATGGCAATCATTAAAAAGTCAGGAAACAACAGGTGCTGGAGAGGATGTGGAGAAATAGGAACACTTTTACACTGTTGGTGGGACTGTAAACTAGTTCAACCATTGTGGAAGTCGGTGTGGCGATTCCTCAGGGATCTAGAACTAGAAATACCATTTGACCCAGCCATCCCATTACTGGGTATATACCCAAATGACTATAAATCATGCTGCTATAAAGACACATGCACACGTATGTTTATTGCGGCACTATTCACAATAGCAAAGACTTGGAACCAACCCAAATGTCCAACAGTGATAGACTGGATTAAGAAAATGTGTCACATATACACCATGGAATACTATGCAGCCATAAAAAAATGATGAGTTCATGTCCTTTGTAGGGACATGGATGAAATTGGAAATCATCATTCTCAGTAAACTATCGCAAGAACAAAAAACCAAATACCACATATTCTCACTCATAGGTGGGAACTGAACAATGAGATCACACGTACACAGGAAGGGGAACATCACACTCTGGGGACTGTTGTGGGGTGGGGGAAGGGGGGAGGGATAGCATTGGGAGATATACCTAATGCTAGATGACGAGTTAGTGGGTGCAGCGCACCAGCATGGCACATGTATACGTATGTAACTAACCTGCACAATGTGCACATGTACCCTAAAACTTAAAGTATAATTAAAAAAAAAAAAAAGAACTGAAAGGTATATATACTCTTAATTTTCAGATTAGATCATACGTATTCCAAACACCTGTGAACATACTTTGGAAAAACATGGCAGTGAACTATGACTTCAATGTTACATGGACCTCCCCAAACTAATTTATAGGAAACTAGTAACCATTAATATACTTAAATCCTTACTGAATTTAAAATATAGAGTCTGCTTTAACAGAACTAGCTGGTTATCTTCCATTTATTCTATGATATCCTGAGCTTTAAACTTTTCTTTCTGGTCTGATCTTTTATTCTAAAATATCCTAGAAGGGGGCAGTCTCAAGCAATATGAAGCTGTGGGCACATCAGACCCATTAGCTAGATTTTTAACTGAGGGCAAATAATGGTTATCATTATATTACAGCTTTCGATGTATTTCTTACTGGCATCAGGCAACAGCAAACACAAGGTGGTGAGTTAAATGCCAGCAGTCAACTTGACTTGGTTCAGAAACGAAGTATTGCCCATGCCCTTCAAATGGGCTCGTACATGGTAAGAGTTAAAAACAAACCAGTTGGTCATGGTTTTTATATGGTCATATCAGAGATTCTTGGGAATGTAGGCTCCCATTTCATTCTAGTCACCCACAGAATGAAAGCATTTTAAATCTTGTGTATGCAAAGATCTTTCAAAGGGATATTTCTGAGACAGATTTTGTGCATTTAAAATGCTCTTCAACTGGAGGGAAAAAAAACCCTCTCTTCCAACAAAGAATTTTCTCTTTTCCATACTACTCTGTGCCGTATGCCATCCTGGTTTTTTCAAAATCTGCACACACAATTATGATTCAGTTGAAAACAAAGATAGTAACACTATAATTGTGCCCAATGAGCCCAAAATATTAAACTTTTATTTTCAAGTTTGGCTTTCATCACTCCCTCCCCCAATGCGCTATATATGATAATATATTATTTGTTATTCAGAAGAGGAAGAGTTCCATACAAAATGAATGACTTCAATTGCCTTATAAATAAAACATGGATAAATGTCTTGGTAAAATAAATTAAAGGAGCATTTGTATTTGATCACTCCATCATATTACTGTCTTTATCTACAAGCGGAAGAAGCTGTTGTTGTGTATTTCCTGAAATTCATTATGTGCAAAGTCTATAATGGAGAAAAATCACTACTAAGTTATGGCTGAAACTCAAACAAATAACACGTATTATGCATCTCAGAGAGACTCAAACACATTAAGGCACAACACTCAGAAAGATAATGAAGGTCCACAACTGTAGTTCAGGGGTTTGTTTGTATGTTTGTTTTGGAAGAGGTATTACTAGCTTTACGACTGGTATTCAACTCCACTTTAACTTTCTAAAATTTACTAAAATGTTTGAAGAGGACAAATATTGATGAAATACTTTTGCTGATTTTGATTTAATAAACAGGAGTCATAAACTACTCAAATCCAGTTTAAAAAAAAAAACTGAATCCACACCATTATTATTATATTGTTAAAGTTACAAACACATACATAAAACAGAACTGAAATGGGGCCGGGCATGGTGGCTCACACCTGTAATCCCAGCACTTTGGGAGACCGAGGCAGGCGGATCACGAGGTCAGCAGATCGAGACCATCCTGGCTAACATGGTGAAATCACGTCTCTACTAAAAATACAAAAAATTAGCCGGGCGTGGTGGCACGTGCCTGTAGTCCCAGCTACTCGGGAGGCTGAGGCAGGAGAATTGCTTGAGCCCAGGAGGCAGAGGTTGCAGTGAGCCAAGACTGCACCACTGCACTCCAGCCTGCTGACAGAGTGAGACCCCGTCTCAAAAAACAAGCAAACAAACGAACAAAAAAAAAACACGGAACTGAAATGAATCACAAATAATAAATACAGTATATTTTGCTCTGGGAATGTAATTCTAGGTTATCCTTCATTTCTCCCATTTTGCTAAAATACATTGGGGGAGAATACAAATTTCAAAGACTACAGAAATAAATAAGTGTTAACAAATAAATACTTTCCAATTTTATAAAGTAACAGCCTTAGATAGAGCCACTTTTATTGTTTAAAAGAACGTATTTTTAAGTAGATAAGACGAATTATTCTCAGTGAGAAAATCATGGAAGAAAAATTTGTTTTTTTCTCCTGTGCTTTGGGAGAGTGACTTACAAACAGAAAATTATAATTACAACTAATACAAAAGATAATGTTAAATAAAAATCATCTAATGTCTAGGGTTTTCAATTTCCAACTAGTGTTTCCCATAGCATAAAGCAGCTCTAGAAAAATATTAAAATAAAGTAAGTGTATTCGATACAATAAAAGCTAAAGCCTGACAGATACAAACGTCATTTTGAAAATTTATAAACACTGTCATTTCCAGTAGCTAATATTAAATTCACTTAGTTTACCATCCAGACCACGTAATGTGCATTTACAAGCCCTGAAGGGTCAACATTCCACATAACATCCCTCCCTTTATTTTATACATCATCACCAACAGTAATCATCCTGCAATGAAAGCTTATTTCCCTCATCATACTGGTGCTATCTAAAAGCATCCTTGGTTGATTTTTATAGCAAAACAGGGAAAGGCATAAATGAAACTCAAAAACTTCACTCTTTTACTGAGCTGTTGTGGAGAAGGCGATAGAGAAAGGAAAAGAAAGGAAGGGAGAATAGAGAAAAAAGGAGGTAAAGAGAAGGGAGCGGGAAAATTAAGACAAGAGGAATGAAGGTAGGGCTTCAGCAACTGGAAGGAGGAAAAATTAAAAATGGCACCAGAAAGATCTCCCCTGTAATTGATTCATATAAACTAACAATGTGTGGTAGCTGCATTTTGTAATGTGACTTCAATAGCCACCAAATATTTTATTGGAATATATATTTCATCTTTTAAAATATTTTCCACCAAGAAAGTTAATGTATGCTGCATTTGCACAGTAACTTAACTGAACATTTTTCTATCCCCTTCTCAAATCTGCTTCATCGATTAACAAATGCATTTGTCAGCATTTCAGACCTCAGTAAAATAATAGCCCCAGAATCCAATTTGTTCATACTCAGACATTTACAAAATGCCTTCTGGACTAGACTTTGTGTTTGTCCCTGAAAATACCAAGATCTAAAAGGTACACACACACACACCCCACCCCAAGTGAGACTGATACAAAAACAGTAACTATAAAATATTGTGGCAAGAACAGGAATAAGATACATGCTCAGGTTTTCACCCAAAAGAGGATTTTATCTGGTAAGAACTTTAGCCTTTCTGTCATATTTGTGGCAACATTATTCAATTAAATTTTTTGGCTTTTAATTTTATATGTTTGGATTATTAAAAGTTTTACATTTTTGTGGTAATATTAAGCTATCATTTCCTCTTAGAGTTCTTTCATTACGCAAGAAGTATTTGTATATCCAAGCATTTAATAAATATTTACTTTTACCTTCTAATTTTTTTGTTTCATTTGTTATATTTTACTACTTAGCTATCTGTAATTAATTTTATCAGCTAATGTGAGGTGAATTAAACCACACATTATCTGTGAGATTTTTCCAAATTTCTGTAGTACCATTTACTGACTACATCCTTTCCAGTAAGAACCTACTGTTCTTATAGAAACTGAGATGTGTATTCATTTCCATTGATCTGATGGTCTGCTTTACACTGGGAAGTTCATCTGAAAACTTCCTAACGGTACTGGCTGGACAACTTGACTTCCGACAAATGCTCAACTTCTCTAAACTATTTTGAATTCTCATTTGGAGGCTAATTAGGTTGTACTCAACTTCTATCATATTTTTCTTTTCTATTAAAAAGGCTATGGATTGATTCCTCTTTGGCTTTTTTTCTCCTATTTTTAAATAACTGTATCTCATGGTTTGAAAGGCAGTACATACCTGTTTTTATGCATTTTATTTACATGTTTGAGGCTGTAGTGTTTAAATTTATGCCTTGATTTTATTTATGATGTATTTTCTCTTATTAAATAGTCTTCACAAACATTTAAATGAGTAACTAATACTTCCTTTTTTTTAAGATAGGGTCTCACTCTGTTGCCCGGGCTGGAGCGCACTGGCATAATCTCAGCTTACTGCAGCCTCGACCTCCTGGGCTCAAGCGATTATCCCACCTCAGCCACCTGAGTAGCTCCTGAGTAGGAACTTCAGGTGTATGCCACCACGCCAAGCTAATTTTTGTATTTTTTATAGAGACAAGGGTTTGCTATGTTGCCTAGGCTGGTCTCAAACTCCTGGAATCAAGCAATTGACCCACCTCAGCCTCCCAAATTGCTGGGATTACAAGCATGAGCCATCACACCCAACCTAAATTAATAACCAATATTTACTAAAACTTAAATGAAATATTTACTTAGCTACCTTTTCTCTCTTGTTAGATATTTAGAAGTTGCCAATTTTTCACTGTTGCAGTGAATATACTTTTTTAATTGAGGAAAAATATACATAACATAAAAATTACCATTTTTACTATTTTTAAGTATACAGTTCAGTAGTATTAAGTACATTCATGGTGTTGTGCAATCATCACCATCATCCATTTCCAGAACTTTTTTCATCTTCCCAAGCTGAAACTACCCATTAAATAACTCTCCATTCCCTTATTCCCCTCCATCCCACCCCTTACAGCCATCATTCTTTCTGTTTCTATGAATGTGACTACTTTAGATACCATCTATAAGTGGAGTCATACAATATTTGTCCTTTCGCGACTGTATTATTATAATGTCCCCAAGGTTCATCCATGTTGTAGCATGTGTTAGAATGTCCACCCTTTTAAAGGCTGAGTAACATTCTATGCTATGTATACACTACATTTTATTTTTCCATTTATCCACTGATGGATATTTGGGTTGCTTCTGTCTTTTAACTAATGTGAATGATGCTGCTATGAACATGGGTATAAAATATCTGTTTGAGTCCCTGTTTTCAATTCTTTTAAGTTATTTCTTCTATATCTCACACAATTTCCTCAGGAAAGAAACCTAAAGCTACCTTAGGAGAAAGAAAAAAAAAATAGGAGAGGCCATGAATGAATAATCTCAACATAAAACTACCTTAGGAGAATGAAAAAAAAAAATAGGAGAGGGCATGAATGAATAATCTTAATTCTTTAGACAGTATAGAAGACTGTAACGAAAAAAAAAAGGGGGTGGGGGGCAAAATTTCTTACCATCTCTGCGTGCACACCGCTTTTGGACTTTGACTTTGCAGGACCTCCCATCAAAAAATACGGCCGATTTCTCCACCCATCAAATCTGGGTTAAACTACAGGATACTAGCAAATATGATGCAAGCCCAAACGTGAAGACTGCTTGAGCACAGCAGGCTTGCTCCCATGTGAATAAGCCCCAGCTGACCTCTTCAAGGATGAAAACCAATGCAGAGAAGAAGACCTCAGCCCCTAAGCATCCCATCTGGCACCATCCTAGATCATCCAACCCTAATCGAGCCAGTCCAAATCATAAGAACTACATAGTCGAGTCCCAGACCAATGAACAATAAAAATGTTTGATGTTTTAATCCACTAAGTATGGGGTGATTCATCACGTAGTAAAAGCTAACTGATATATGCATATGCCCAGTGAAAGACTAATTTCTAATTTGAGTCCAAAATAAGTTAGAGACAAGATTCAAAACTCTTACATGGTGATATGGTTTGGCTGTGTCACCATCCAAATCTCACCTTGACTTGTAGCTCCCTTAATTACCACGTATTGTGGGAGGAATCCAGTGGGGGGTAATTGAATCATGGAGGCGGGTCTTCCCCATGCTATTCTTATGATAGTGAATAAGTCTCGCAAGATCTGATGGTTTTATAAAGGGTAGTTTCCCTGCACAAGCTCTCTTCTCTCATCTGTGGCCATGTGAGATGTGCCTTTCACCTTCAGCCATGATTGTGAGGCCTCCCCAGCCATGTGGAACTATGACTCCATTAAACCTCTTTGTTTTGTAAATTGCCCAGTCACAGGTATGCCTTTATCAGCGGCATGAAAATGAGCTAATACACATGGAGCGGGGGAAGGAACTCAGAGAACAAAAATTATATATTATCTTTGTTAATATCTTCAAATGATTAATAGATTTGTAGGCTTCATTTTCCCATCTCAACAGACAATTGATAGTAGCAGGTACTACCTTTTCCTTGATTTTTCTGTTATTCCCTGCACACTTCCTTTATTAAACTTCCAGACTCATTGTGGAACTGCCATAACTAATCCTCCTTCCCAACCCTACACTTTCTATTAATCACACTCCCTCCCATGCAGTTTCAAACATGTCTTCCAACTGTCTTAATATTATTTTTACAAATCAAATATTTGTCTTTTAAATAAATGTATAGAATTCCTTTTGCTCTGTGAAGGACTCATTTACTCTCATTGTCCAAATTAGTATCAATCTCATTATGGTTATGGCATACTTATGTCCCTTGGTTCATCAGAAAGATAAATAGATATATGCATTTTAGAAAGAATAGATTTAGGTGGATGTGTATAAATGGTATATTTACATTTACTATTTGTGATGTGATGACTAATCTACATCACAAATGGACAAGTTCACACATCAAAGAGGGAAGAATAAACAACTCACCTTGAAGACAATGGCCTAAAGTAAAAATATCTTAACTAAATGTTTTCGACTGTAAATAAGTGGTATAAATTCTGTAAAAAAAAAAAAAATGAGCAGCTAGTTTGGCAGTTTCCCAAAAGAATAAACCCCGAATGACCATATGATCCAGACTTTCCACTTCTAGGTGTTTACCCAAGCAGAATGAAAACATGTGCATATAAAATCCTGCACCTGCACATGAATGTTATTCATAGTACCCAAAAATTGGAAAAAACACAAATGCCCATCAACAGTTCATGAAGAGATATATAAAATGTCCATACAACAGAATATTATTCAGCAATGAAATAGAGACCAATGCTACAACATGCATGAACTTGAAGACCTAAGTGAAAAAAGCCAGTCACGAAAGACCACATCTTATAAGATTCCATTACATGAAATGTCCAGAAAAGACAATTTTTTAGAGACAGAATAATTTTGTCTGCCTAAGACTAGAGGAGAAAAGAAAGAAGAGGGAGTGACTGTTGACAGGTACAGAAATTCTCTTGAGGATGACGAAAATGTCCTTAAATTGACTGTGGTGTGGTTATATACTTTGTGAACACCCTAAAAACCACTAAATTATACATATGAAATGGGTGAACAGTATGGTATGTGAATTGTATTTCCATACAGCTGCTTTTTAAAACGTGAAAACAAAATAACAAAACAAAAAAGTCCCCAAAACCTTGTAGTGGTGACACAGTTGCTAAGACTGTCATATTATCCACCTTAGAGACTGTAATTTCAATAGTGATGCATCGATAGTCTTCCAGTATTTTAAAGCACTGCCATTGAGCAATGGTTCAATTCGCAGATACACAGATAATAAGTCAATTAACACTGAAGAGCAACTAGGTGACAAATTTTCTATTCAGATTGATGAAACCACAATTACAATAAAGCTCTTCAATACATTTGTACACAATTTTGATAATGACTATAAAGAATGACTATATAAGAAGAGATGTTGTTGGTGAATTCTTTAGAAACTGGCTATAGTGAAGCATCTGTTTTTACTTCTGTAAAAACTTGATTTGATTAAAAAAATCAGTGCCGGTCAGGAACTCTGGCTCACCCCTGGAATCCCAGCACTTTGGGAGGCCAAGGCAGGAGAATCGCTTGAGGCCAGGAGTTTGAGACCAGCCTGGGCAATGTAGCAAGACCTTGTCACTACAAAAAATTTGAAAATTAGCCAGACATGTTGGCTCTTGCCTACAGACCCAGCTAATGGGGAGGCTGAGGTGGGAGGATCACTTGAGCCCAGGAGTTCTACCCTGCAGTAATCTATGACCTTGTCACTGTAATCCAGCCAAGGTAACAGAATGAAACAGTCTCTCTCTCTCTTTCTCTCTCACTATATGTATATGTATATGTAAAATACACACGTATAAATGTGTGTACATATATACACGTGTATATATATGTATATATGTGCATATATTTATACATAATTACACATATATGTATACGTGTGTGTGTGTGTGTGTGTGTATGCACACTTGGGCTACTGATTGGAGTAATCTCCATGGTTGGAAGATATACAGGTTTTACAAACCCACCTAAAAAAGTATGTCCTGAAGTTCTTGCAATATACTGCACTGTGCATCAGCATTAACTAATTGCACAAACAATATTGGTCCAGTTCTTTATCCTCCTCTCAGTATAATAATCTAAAACAATCAAGTAAATCCATATTCCACATATAAAAAAGCTGAGCAGCTAGTAAGCAAAATAAACTATCTTGTAGAGATGTATACAAAAAAGTGCTCTAAAAAATTGTTATTTTGACATTAATATATTAAGAATAATAGTTTAATATTACTTTATCAATCTGAGCTTCTCATTAATGATAAAGACTGAAGTGGTGGTAGCAACAAAAAAGTTCAGACTATCCTTAGTCTAATGCATCAGATTAAAATGCCCTTATATGAAATGATATCATTTATCATAGTACAATGAGCATAAAGTACTGGATCAAAAATAATTCACATTCTCCTGCAGGGCCCAGATTTTTCTCATTACAATGCCTAGTTCCTAGCACTCCTAAGTATAAAACCTCAAGTTTTCCTTGCTATGTAATCAACTCAAAAAATGTTAACCTATTCTTCTGTACAAATGTTTATATTTTCATTAGTCTCCTCTTAAGAACTCTGGTACATCTTGCTGCCAGTATGGAAAGTCTCTAAATCTAGATTAAGGAGTCTCTCCTCTCATCAATCATTTAGATACTGAAGGGGTTATCTAATGCTGCTCAAAAGCACCTCTTGGTCAAATTTTCTAAAACATTCATTCCAGGAGTGGATTTATCAGAAATTACATGGAGAAAAAGAAAGTTACTTGTTTTAAGTATAAAGATGTTCCAGGCCGTGCACAGTGGCTCACGCCTGTAATCCCAGCACTTTGGAAGGCTGAGAAAGGCGGATCATGAGGTCAGCAGATTGAGACAATGCTGGCTAACACAGTGAAACTCCGTCTCTACTAAAAATATAAAATTAGCTGGGCGCGGTGGCATGCGCCTGTAGTCCCAGCTACTCAGGAGGCTGAGGGAAGAGAATCGCTTAAACCGGGGAGGTGGAGGCTGCAGTGAGCTGAGATCGCGCCAATGCACTCCAGCCTGGGCGACAGAGCGAGACTCCTGTCTCAAAAGAAAAAAAAAAACAAAAAACGATGTTCCAATAAGATGGATATTAGAACTAAATTAATCAAATTGATTACACAATAGAAATAAAATATTATCAATACCATTAATACATGTAAAGCACCTAGAACAATGTCTGAGTATAACAAACAATAAATGCTAAGTATCACATTACATACATAAATTAATAAGCATGATATAGCGCCCTGAGCCAGCCAGCCACAATGTGCTAGGAAAACACTACCCAATGGAACAGCCAATTTTCTCCTCTGTCCAATTACTGTCCGGCAAATTGGAGAGCAGATACAGCTCACATATCCAGCAATTTCATGAATCTTCATAATAACCAAGAATTGAAAGTAAACAAAAATGGCCTCTCAAGGGACAAGACAGATGTTAAAATTTCACAAGCCTTATTACTCACCTCAGGTCTATTTACTTTAACTTTACAAAGAGCAACACATTCTTATATCCAATTTCTAACTCCAAAAGAAAGAAGGAAACAAAGACTACTAGAAGACAGTAAGCTATGAGCAGGAAGAAAATGCCTGACAATAAGGAAACAAATAACAAATTAAATACAAATCAGACCCAAGAACACAAAAAGACAGGATACTGGATCATTTAAATCAAGGACAATCAGACCTAAACTTTAGTATAGTATGCTGTTTGAAGCTGATAATGACAACCTGAAGTTATCAATAAAAGGTGTATCATGTTTAAAATATTATGTTCAAAAAGACAGAAAAATGTGTAAAATATCTTAGAATGCTTTTCCTAGAAAACAGGTAAAACTTTTAATGATAAAAATAATATCAAGCCGGGTGTGGTGGCTTGTGCCTGTAATCCCAGCACTTTGGGAGGCCAAGGCGATGGATCGCTTGAGCTCAGGAGTTTGAGACCAGCCTGGACAACATGGTGAAACCCTGTTTCTACCAAAAATACAAAAATTAGCCAGTCTCATAACCCAGTTAAGTCTCAAAAATAAGTAAATATATAAAAATTTAAAAATAAAAATTTTTAAAAATACCAGACATACAGTTAAAAGTTTCACATACTTTATTTATTTATATATTTTTTTGAGATGAAGTCTTGCTCTGTCACCCAAGATGGAGTGCAGTGGCGCGATCTCGGCTCACTGCAGCCTCCATTTCCCAGGTTCAAGTGATTCTCCTGCCTCAGTCTCCCAAGTAGCTGAAACTACAGGTGTGTGCCACCAGGCCCGGCTAGTTTTTGTATTTTAGTAGAGACGGGGTTCTGCCACACTGGCCAGACTGGTCTCGAATTTCTGGCCTCAACTGATCCGCCCGCAGGCGTGAGCCACCGCACCTGGCCAGTTTCATATGATTTATTTTCCATTTTAACTGCCTCCCTGAAGATGAGAATGATCAACCTTAATGTAACAGACTGAGGCGTAGAAGGAGTAACTTGCCAAAAATCAGATGACTAATACCACGCTTAACCACAGCGCAGAATGACCTAAGCTCAGTTAACTCTCCAGTTTGTTTTTGTTTGGTTTGGTTTGGTTTTGAGCTAAGCTCTCCCTCACTACGCTACCTTCTTTCAATTTCTTGTGCGCATTGATCTTCTTCTTCACTGGGAGCCTTCACAACTATCTTCCCTATGTTTGGCATGCCCTTTCTTGCCTCTGCTCCATCTCCCTGATGCTAGGATCCTTCAGAGATCCTCCCCAGAGAAGATTTCTGACTCTGTAGACTAGGCTAGATCCTGTACTATGTATTTTCTTTTTTTTTTTTAAGATGGAGTCTCACTCTATCGCCCAGGCTGGAGTGCAGTGGCGCAATCTCGGCTCACTGCAACCTCTGCCTCCTGGGTTCTAGTGATTCTACTGCCTTAGTTCCCGAGCAGCTGGGATTATAGGCACGAGCCACCACGCCTGGCTAATTTTTGTATTCTTTGTAGAGACGGGGTTTCCCCATGTTGGCCAGGCTGGTCTTGAACTCCTGCCCTCAGGTGATCCACCTGCCACAGCCTCCCAAAGTGCTGGGATTACAGGCGTGAGCCACCATGCCAGGGCATTTTCAAAGCACTCTATACGTTCCTTTCACAGCAGTTATCACAACTTAACAACTATTTGTGTGATATTTGCTTAATATACATTTCCCCTGCTAGACTGTAATCTCCAGGAGAGTAGGATCCATTTTGTCTCATCGACATCTGAATTCTCCAAGCTGAGCAGGAGGAGAAAAGTAAGAATGCTGCGCTGTGGCTAAGCGTGAAGTGGTGGGAAGGAATGAGAAGGGCGGGGAGAGGAGCATTTCACACAGGACTAACATTCACTAAATATTTACATCACAGGTACTGTGCCTGCATTTGCTCTACAATGATTATACTTAAGGGAACCAGAATATGTCACCCCAAAAAGTAAGAATGCTGCACTGTGGTTAAGCGTGAAGTGGTGGGAAGGAATGGGAAGGGAGGGGAGGGAGGATTTCACACAGGACTAAATTCATTCACTAAATATTTACATCACAGGTACTGTGTCTGCATTTGCTCTACAATGATTATACTTAAGGGAACCAGAATATGTCACCCCAAAATATGCCACATTGGAATAAGGATGATTTTGAGCTGAAGGCAACTGAGAAAAAACAGAAACAGGAATAGCTCTCTGCCCTCCCCCATCTGCCTAAAAGTGGGCATTAATTCTCTCTTGTGAAGGCCCGCTCCTACTCCCGTGCCAGCAAATGAAGAACAATCCTTATCACCAGAGACAGAGAGAACACTGAAATGAGTTTGCATAATCAACCCTTACGAAATAACCCTTACCTGTCATTAGTTTCCCCCATATATCTCATCTTCCCACAATATTTTTTTTGCCCCTAGAAACCCAAACCCTCTTTGTCTAGTCAATTCTCAACAATTTAGTACCCTTTGTTAAAATTGTATATAAGCCCCCCAATCTAACTACTTGAGATTTCACTTCCTTTCTGATTCCACACATGTAAAATTTAAAATAAAACTGGTGTGCTTCTTCTTTTTTAATCTTGTGAATTTGTCTTTTTTATTGTTTAATTCACAGACCTCAGGCACACACCTAAGAGGGTATAATAGAAAATTATGTAGCCAGGACGCCTGGAGCCTAAATGTTCTGGATTAATAATATGTCCAAACTTTAGGTATTTTACCTACCAGTAAAGAAAAGAGAAAAAAAAAATGATGCAGATCTTGTGGATATACTCTTTCGGCTTTTCCTTCTTTTATAAATAAGTTATAAGAGCATATTATGTACCGGCACACTACAATTCTGAACTTTAAGATGGTTCTTACTTGCCAAACCATATGAGCAATGAAAAAGTCACAACTTGTGCAATACCAGGACTATCACAATACAGTCACTACAGCTTCTGGTGTGATATGTACCACTCTGTCCTTAGTGAATGAATAAACTATCAAGACAATACTAAGTAGTTATTTGAGGCCCTGTGGGTCCCACTATCACCACCCACAGTGCATTACTGAAAATCACTATAACAGTGAGGGTTGTTTTAATACATGCTTTTGAGACAATTCTATTGCTCGTATGTTTCCAGTGTTTAGATTGCTAAACAAAGGATCTCGTAAGGTATTTCATTTAATCCTCACAGCAACTCCATGAGGAAGTCTGTATGATCACCTTTTAGAGATAAGAAAATCACAGGTTTTAGAGACCAGTAGTTAGGCAATTTGCCAAAGGTCACCAGCCTATTGAGCAGAGCTAAGATTCAAAGCCAGGTGTGTTAAGGACTTGAAGAGCAATGTTCACAGCAGCATATTCACAATAGCTGAAAAGTGGATGCAACCCAATGTCCATTAACTGATGAATGGATAAACAAAATACAGTATACTCATTCAATAAAATACTGTTCAATAATAAAAAGGAATGAACTATGGATGTGTGCTAAATTATAAATAAACCTCAAAACATTATGCTCACTAAAACAAGGTAATACAAAAGACCACATCACGATTCTATTTATAAGAAATGTCCCAAAAGTTAAATATATAGAGAAGGAAATTAGATTGGTGGTCTTCTGAGGCTGAGGTGGGGATTTACTGCAAACAGGCACAAGGGATAACGTAAATGGGTTGACATGTTCTAAAACTGAATCACGGTAATGTTTGTAAACCAGTAAATTCACTAAAAACTGCTGAATTGTAAATTTAAAAGCAGTGAATTTTATGTTCTGTAATTACGCCTCAATAAACTTGTTAAAAATAAAACAGGTGTACCTGACTCCAAAAGACACACTATTTCACTAGGTGAAAAGAAGAAGAAAGAAAAGATGTAAGATGACGGGGATCCAGTGATACATGTGGAATAATTTACAATGAACTTACAAAGTCACCTGTGAAAACACCTCGTAGGTTTTAAAGAGACACCCCTCATTAACAAAGACAGACAATGCCATCTTCAACATAAATGGCAAGGTTTGCTTACAAATAACAGAAAATCCAAATAAACTGGTTAAACAAGAGAGACATTTATTTCTCTCTCCAATTTGACAGTACATAGTCCAGGGCTGGAAATGTTCGTCTGTGGTCATTTGGCATCAAGGCTCCTTCCTGCTCTACTAGTGCTTGGCTTCCAATTTCAAAGTGGCCTTAGAGTCCGGGATGGCCCACTAAGACATCCAAATGCCAGGGAGAGAGGAAGAGGAAGGGTTATAAAAGAGAACCTTCCAGCTGAGCCTTCTTTAAGGAATTTTATCAGAAGCCCTACCCAACTACCTCTGCTTATATTTCTTTTTTTTTTTTTAGACGGAGTCTTGCTCTGTTGCCCAGGCTGGAGTGCAGTGGTGTGATCTCGGCTCACTGCAAGCTCCACCTCATGGGTTCAAGCCATTCTCCTGCCTCAGCCTCCTGAGTAGCTGGGACTACAGGCACCCGCCACCACGCCCGGCTAATTTTTTGTATTTTTAGTAGAAATGGGGTTTCACCACGTTAGCCAGGATGGTCTCGATCTCCTGACCTCATGATCCTCCCACCTCGGCCTCCCAAAGTGCTGGGATTACAGGCGTGAGCCACAGTGCCCGGCCCCTCTGCTTATATTTCAATGGTTGCACCCAACTGCAGAAAACACTGAGAAATGTATCACTGGAAACACTGCCACCTTAAATACAATAAGAAGGGGTAAAAAAGGAGGAGAAAAGGTGGGTAATTGGATACTAAGCAACCAGCAGTTTCTACTATGTGCCTTTTAAAATTGCTCAGGACCAAAAATAATCAAAAGAAAGTCTGGAATAAAAACTCAACAGTAACGTACAACAAAACATGTAGCACAATGATAATATCTCTCTATAGCATTTTATTATTTTTCAATAGTGTGGTATGCCTTATAAGAATCTAAACTGACTAATCATTTTCAATTCAAAATTAGTATGAAATCTCTATTGGAGTAACAGTTTGGAAGCTACTCCTTCATCCTCTTCCTACTTTCCCATCTCTAGTTTTATAATTCATGCATAAAACCCAAATGGAGGAGACAGGTACAAACACCCTGATAATTGTTAACTTGTGACTGTAGCTACAGGTTTTATGTCCTTTGATGGAAATGTCTCTTTTCAAATTGCTCTAGGTCCAAGGGAAAAGGTGTAAGGTTGATGATCTCTTACAGCGCATGCATAATTCTATTAGGTTTGATCTTCTCCAGGGGAAATAAGATAATTCCTAAGTGCTACAGTGTTAAAGAGGAAACAGAAGTAGTTGGTCACAGGCAACAAGGCTATCCTGATTAGCATCACCTTTCATCATTTTTATCACAAGGTTTAGAGTAGTGGTTCTCAAAGTGTGGTCCCTCCATCAGCATCATAAAAGGACTTGTTAGAAATGCAAATTTTCAGACCCCATCTCAGACCTACTGAGTCAGAAATTCAAGTAATGGGGTCCTGCAAGCTGTGTTCACAAGACCTCCAGGCATTTGATGCACCCCAAAGTTAGAGAACACTGTCTCGGGAAATACTTCATATTTCATTTCTTTCATTGAAAAGACTTAAGTTCTCAAGGACAATGATATAAGAAATATCATGATGTATTATTCAGTTAGGTACCTTTGTAGTCATGGATAAAAAAAAAATCTGTGTATTTGTTACTGATTTTTCTTTTCTTTTCTTTTCTTTTTTTTGAGACGGAGTTTTGCTCTTGTTGCCCAGGCTGAGAGTGCAATGGCGCGATCTTGGTTCACTGCAACCTCTGCCTTCCAGGTTCAAGTGATTCTCCTGCCTTGGCCTCCTGAGTAGCTGGATTACAGGCATGCACTACCATGCCCAGTTAATTTTGTATTTTTAGTAGACACAAGGTTTCACCATGCTGGCACAGCTGGTTTTGAACTCCTGACCTTAGGTGGTCCACCTGCCTCGGCCTCCCAAAGTGCTGGGATTACAGTACTGATTTTTCATTTTACCAGAAGAGGAATTATAACGCTGCAGTTTATAACTTAACACTTTATACTTCAGAACTAGCCAGTGGTGATAGGAAAAAAAGTCAACTGGTCATGCTAAAATTCTTCCAGTCATGTTCAGCTATGGTCATCAACATAGGAGTGATTCTCATTCCTTCTACAGGAAATATATGTTGGGCCACATACTGGGCCAACCATTGCTAGACAAGAAAGCTATGCCCTATTTGCATGGCACATGTATTTTATCTTGAGAGCACATCTCAACAGACTGAGATTCTAATTTCTGATTCTGCAACGGTACAACCTTGAGTAAATTATTAAATATCTATTCTTCCCTTCTGAAAAGTACAGATGCTGCCCACTCACAAATTATCCAGAAGGATACTATGATGCTGACAGTTTATAAAACAGATGAATTTTAAGAAGAAAAGCAGTCATGTTGCTACTTAGTAACAAAAGATTTGAGATTTAATTTAAAAACTTAATGAAATCTTGTAACTTCATGTTAATAGGAAATTTTTTTAGAGTACCAAATAAGCAAGATAGGTATATCGACTAATGTAGGATGTTAATTAACACATTTATTTTTTTTAAGTTGAGAAAGTTAATAAGGACTGTGAGACACTAGAACAGATTACCCAAGGAAAACTGTAATATCTACTTACTTTATGGTCTTTTAAAAACATCCATCTAAAAGAAATCATAGTATCAAAAAATACTACTCTAATAGCTTTGAAATTATTTTTAGAAAAATCATCTTTGTCCCCAAATTAAATCTTATCTAAATGTCTGACTAGGAGGAAAAGTATTTAGAACACATTTGTATCTAGAATATATAGAGTATCTAAAAATCAGTAATAAAAAAAAGTCCAATAAAAATAGGAAAGAGGTGTTAGGGATTATTTTTAGACTCGATAATAATTCAGTGAAAAACTACAAATGTCAAATAAATGCAAAAAATATGCTAAACCTGGCTAGTAATCAGGTACACACTCTAATCAAGTTGGTAAATTTTCAAATTTTTAAGATCTAAAATTTAAATTAAAAAAATGGTAATATTAAATGATGTCAAGGATGAAAAGAAATGATGTTTCCATAGATTTTGAAAGAAGTATAAACTAGGAAACACTGTTCGGGAAGTAATTTGGTAGTCTATCAAATTTTAGATAAGACTATCTTTTTACCCAATGATTCATCTTCTATATTAAAGGAGTATCACAGATGTTCATAAAAGTCTGTACTGCAACATTTTTTGAAATAGCAAAATTAGAAAATATGTCTGTGTGAAATCCCAACATACAAAACCAAAAAAATTAAGCATCCCTGGATGAAGCTTTCAAGAGGGAACTGAGAATTCTGATCACCCAATTTCTTATACCTTTCCAGACCTCTAACTGTTCTAGGGAACATACACAGTTTTAAAACTGCTAGTGTAGATTAACTCAGAAGATGCTTCCTAGACCCAGGGAAGAATGTAATTTTTTGAGGGGTTTAATATCACTAATGATTATCCAAACTTTAATTACATACACGAGTACATTTAGATTACTAAAACATTACCATGAGTGCCATCTACAACTTAAAACAATCATATTAAAGAAATATATCCTCCCTAATTTATTCAGGTATTCTAAAACATATCCTGTCATCCAACTGCCAAATATAATACAACTAACAAATAAGCTAACCACTATAGAATATGAATATTTTTCAAAGTATTTTTCCAGCGTATCTCTCATTTTTAAAAAACTCTAGTTGAAGAAGGCCATTTGAAAGTATTTACATATTCCATTGAACATAACAAAAAGGAATCGTTCATTCATCCTGTACTAAATGCTGCTGATGGACACTGCCTGCACGGTGAGTAAGGAGGAGACTTCAGCAGTAGCTAATGGCAATTAAGCTGAACACAACAACAAAATCATAGCAACTGAAACTCCCAGAGAGAAATGTAAAAAGTCATCCAAGCTACAAATCATTTATAACTTTTTTTTACATTATTTAAAAGAATCTAACTACAGAACATCAAGCTTTTGTTATTACACTATTAAGCTTGTGTTACATTATCAAGCAATTAGAGAAAAATCTGAAAACCTTAATGTGATCTAAAATAGTAGTAAATTCTTAGAAGAATCAGAATGGGCACGAGATATCTAACTTAGGACGTCTTGCAATTAGCTGGACCTCACAGAAGGTTCATATAATATACAAAGAGAAGTTCTTGATGTTACATTAGAAAAATTTTCATGGCTATGGTTTCATGTCATTAAAACAAAATATTTCCATTAAATACAGGATGTCATAGTTAACCAAAAATTCTTTTTCACTGACCATTTTCATAGAGGCTGCAAAAATCATACAATTCAAACTCTGGAAATTACAGACAAGAGCAGACTATTAAACAATTAAAATGAAACCATAATTTTGAAAAAAATGGGCTCAGAGACAAAGGTACAGTTATCAAAACTGACAGGAGGGCACAGGAAACAAAAGCCAAAATCGGACTGTGGTTCCTGGGAATCATTAAGAACTCATTTAAATGTGTTTTTCAAAAAGCAGATAGAAGATATTCACACTATAAACCTTAAGTGTCCATTTGCCTGCCCTTCCCCTAACTTATTCAAGACACTCCTCGAGTCTCACAAGCTACTCTTCTTCAACAAACTAGTAGCCTTTTCCTTATGCAGAGTCTAGAGTTTTTCTTTCCATCTATTACTGTTTTAAAAGCTCAACAACTCCAGTGTTTCCATCTATCTCATAGATGACTCACAACATTTCAATCTCCGACCTGACTCTGCCAACCCATTGCTTTGAACCCTGAGGTTTCCATATTTCATTTCACTGGGCTACACTCTACTTTCATGCTCACAAAAATCTAATTTCATAGATTGACCACTAACCTAAGAAAACGGGGTTCTTTGTACCTACACTACTTCTGCTAGAGTAGGATATTCTTATTAAAGCAAGTATTCAGATGGGAAGTGGAAAAGAGTCCCAGAGACTCAATAATAACACAGTTACCCCGGCAGAAATATCAATAATATATATTTAATAAATATCTATTCAGATATAATCATATAAACATACATTAGTCGATCACTATTAAAGATTAATTATATCATACTAAAAACTAAAGGCATTCTTTTCCACCCATCACCAGCAATGATTTTTAAATAGCCTTCTTGCACATCTGTCATCTACCACGATATAAACTGAGCATACAGCAAATCAAGCAAAGCAAAAATGCGCCAGTAGAACAGCTGACACCCTCACCTCACCACTGGGAATTCAACATGATAATATGATTATTATCAATTGCGAGCCTCTTAAAGCAAATCAAGTTCCTTAATTAAACGATCAATTGAGCTATATCAAACTGTACTTTTAAAAATCTTCACATTAAAGGAGAAAAAACAAACAAACCAACCTAGAATAGCTTTGCTTTTCTGTTTTTCTACTCCACTAAATAATCCTTGCTTTCTTTAAAATGATTCACACTTAATTACTATGCCTCTCTTGATTAATTTTCTCAATTTTTATAAATTCAACTTTTCTGCCTACCTGTGATGTTAATATAATTAATATTAAATGTTACTAAGCATTTAAATATAGGTTAGATGTATTTCATTCACATTTATTACAAAAGGATATCATTTCATATGCTTTTACTAAAGTTGTTACATTGTTTTCCTCTGTTGATAATAAGGCTCTCCAAGTCGGGAACTGTATTTGTACACGTATTTGTGAGTGTGTGTGTGTGTATACGTGTGTGTATGTATACATATATATATATACACACATATACATACGTGTGTCTATGTATACACACACACATGTAACAATAGCATTTTGTAAACCTAATGAAAACTTGGTAACTTCTTCCTGCTCCCCACCCCTCTAATCTGAAGACACTGCTGGGTGTCACAGATTCCCTGAAGGCTACCCACGTACCCTCCCCCAAACCACCCAACACATAACACACATAGGTTAAGAATCCCTAATTCATACGCTTAGGCTCCCTTTGCTATGGACCTGGAAATGCAGGAACATTTCCCAACAAAGGAAATATCCATAAATATAACTATAAATTATTTCCGCAAATGTTTATTGGATGCCGAAAAGCATGTAATCATCAACATCTAAGAACATGAAGATCAGCACTGATAACTGATGACTATAAATCTGACAAGATCAACTCTTCAGCCTCTGACTGGCAGTTTTCTTCCTTTTTCCCCAAGATTAAACTGCAGCCAATTTTCATCCAGCCAGTGATAGATACTCTTCATCAACAAAGGAAGGAGGATTAAGCAAGACTGACAAATAAAGCTGAGAATCCATAGTAGGATTGCAAGAATGATAGGCTAGATCAATGGATCATGTTCCTAAACCAGAGGGGCTTTAGAGAGAAAAATGCCATAGCAACAATCTCTGATTATATAAATGACGTATGGTCTCTTCCATTCATTTTTGGTGTATTCTGGAATCTGCTTATGAAGATGTTTTTTAAAATAACTCCCCAGATTGTAACAAAAAGCCCCACCCTTATTTAAATAGAGAAACCAATGCTAGGAGAATATGAGAGAAACCAGAGTCACACAAGACTATCAACCAATTCTCAGTCCCTCTCCCACCCTGGGCCAAAGACACATTGATCACTTGTGTTTCCTCTTAGAACTGGATGCCAACAATTTCCCTAAGACCAATAGGCAAGCAATCTATAAATAGTACATATTACTATTTTAATATTTAGATTGTACTAGTCTTACACTATTTATAGATAGGCAATTCATCATACATGCAAATATGAAAACAGGGCAATGAAGAGAGGGTTGGATGATTCAAAAATACTGACAAGGTCTCTTAAAAATCTTAGAATCTACTGAATAAAGAAGAGATGCATATGAGTTTTAACTTGGCAGAATGAATTAAAAGATTTGCTGCTCTGCTATTTCTCCATGAAAATTAGATGTCCAAATTAAGAGGAGACAAGATGAAAAATATTTTCCAGAACAAATGAATTTTCATTATGTTGCATTCCTTGGGGAGCACCAATTACACTGATGACAGAATACACTTTGTTTTACAGCAAACCTGCGGTTGCCTTACTTCTTATCTCAGGCACCTAAGCTTGACAAGGCCACTTAGCAATAAGTGGTCATCTATGGCTTGACATAACTCACTACCTAAACTGTGTCTTGAGTGACTTGAAAAAATTAAAAACACCAATGAAAAGAAGCAGACTCCCCCCACACACAAAAAAGCAAATTAGCATTTAGAAAAGAAGCTCTCTTTTCTAACAAGAAAAATTTTGGCCTCTCTCCAACATATATAAACATTTTAAATATTTGTTCAGCCACTGAATATCCAAGAAAAATTTATGAGAGAAAAACTGAATAATAAGTAACAATGAAGGAACACAACAATATTGCTGTGCTTCTAAAACATACTTCCAGCAAACATTTACAACAGATATTGTGCATAGCAAATAGGCCACCAAAGAATCAGTCCTTTCAGGTTCTTCCATTTCAGATTTTTTGTTCTTTCCCTCCTCTGAATTTCCCATTGTCTTAATAGCAATCTCAGAATCAAAATCAAACGACTCTTTTTTCTTTTTTTTTACATATAATTTCACACTCCCCCACTCCCACTTTGCTGTCAAGTGTCTGACCCTGGTTTGATAATCTCATTTCCTGAGAATCAAAAAGCTGGAAATTTAAGCTTCCTCGAGTGTTAATTGCGGCCCTGCTCCATTGCTAATCAAAAAATTGGATGTTGTGCATGAAAATGCTTCTCTAATTAATTCTCAGTCATAAATCGCCCTGGTTTTAATAACCCCTCCTTGATTGGATAGCCTTTGAAGAGACAGTGCAGCTAATCCGCTAAACCAGAAAAAACACACGCAGAGGAAATAATAAGTGGGCTTACAAGGTATGAACTAGATGATTGCATTAATACTGTCAAACCAAAAAAGTGAGTTTCCTTTCCAGGTCTTCCAGACCTCACCCTGTACCCCAATAAAATAAACCAGGAAACTAGGAATCATGAACAAAGGCAACTGTCAAAGAGGTCATGCATCAGAAGTCAAATCTTTTCACCCAGCTTCCATAAAACAGCCATTCCCATCATTTTTTTAAAGAGGTTTCCCTTGACATTTTTTCCCCTAGAAACCAGAGATTCAGCAATGTCCACTTGTCACAATGTCTATTTTAATAAGACAAGGTTTGAGCTTCTCCCCTTCTCTCTGTTTCTGACTGACATATATTATCACACATATCTCTAAGAGGTGCTGAACTGAATTTCATTATCTAAAATGTCAAGATTCGTTTTTGTCATCAGAGAACACAGCTGGTCTACACCAGCAGCCCTTTGATTAATTCAAATGGAACAAGTCACCTATACATAACTTCATTTTCCCTAGACTAGGCCTTACATTCTGAAAGTTTTAATCTACAGTCTGTCAGTTTCAGATACCATTTGCTGCCATGGTGGCACTCAAAGAAAAACATAAAGTCTTAATTATCAGAGCTTTGCATTAGCCCTGTGATTACTAATAAAGCAACAATTTAGAATTTTTAGCTTCAAAGCAGGATTTATTCAGAACTTACAAACTTTCAGAAGATGCTGGAAATATAGATATATACAATAATGAGTATGAGTAGTTTTAGTAAGCATTATTTTTAATGAATAATTATATATACATATATGCCATACACACACGAACATATACATACATGTATGGCTTTCCAGTTGACTTGTAAAATAGTTACATGTATTTTCTCTGTATTTAAAAACTTCATGGAGGTAGACACAAGTTATTCTAAAAGACATGACATATAATAAGAGGTCTAGATGAATTCTCACAAGAGAAAAAGGATTTGAGGTTGATTCTAACTTCCAAGGCCTGAATCCACATTTGTGTGGCCTCCTACATCAATAAGATGTTATATTAAATATAAACCACCATAATGAGATACCACTACACACCCAGAGTAATGTCTAAAATTAAAAGAACTGACAATACCAAGTGCTGACACACATTGTTGCTGGGAATATAAAATAATACATTTATTTTACAAAACTGGGAATTTCTTTAAAAGTTAAACATACACTAACCATATAACCTAAGAATCCCACTCGTATGTGTTCCTCAGGGAATACTGTCCCACACAGAGACCTGCACACAAATGTTCAGGGCAGCATTATTCACAATAAGTAAAAACTGGAAACAACCCAAATGTATATCAACAACTGCAGGGATAAGCAATAAGCAGTATCTCCATACAACAGAGTCCTACTCAGCAGTGAAAGGAACAACTACTGAAGAATGCAACACTGCGGATGAATGTCAACATCATTATGTGGAGTGAAAGAAGCTGATCACAAAATTGTCTATTGTATGATTCCAGTTATATCAAATTATAGAAGTTGTAAGCTCATCTATTATGACATAAAGCATTTTACCAGTGACCAAGGGCTTGAAATTGAGGGAGAAACAGACTGAAAAGGATACAAAGAAACTTCTAGGTAATGAAAATGTTCTGTATCTTAATAGTGACATTATTTTCACAGGTGTATATATCCTCCAAAACTCATCAAACTGTTCATTTTAAATAAATGTGGATTATATAGAAATTATCTCAATAAAGTGGAAAATACACAAGCCATTTCAAATGCAAGTTATTTTGCAAACCCTATATAATAAAACTATTATGTAACATCTTTGTCCTTTATTGGTTTTGTGACTATAATCAAGTAACTTAACCTCCATGAGCCATGTTTTTTTTTTCCTTAGCTATAATAGAAATGAAATAATAAGGCATATTAGTCTGTTCTCACACCGCTATCAAGAAATACCCGAGACTGGGTAATTTACAAAGAAAAGAGGTTTAACTGGCTCACAGTTCTGGAGGCTGTGCAGGAAGCATAGCGGCTTCTGCTTCTGGGAAGGCCCCAGGAAATGTATAATTATGGCAGAGGGTAAAGAGGAGGCAGGCGCTTCTTACATGGCATGAGCAAGAGAAAAATCTCAGGAGAACCCTATCACAAGAGCAGCACAGAGGGGATGGTGCTAAAGCTTACACGAGAACTCCGCCCCGTGATCCAACCACCCCCATCAGGCCCCACCTCCCACACTGGAGATGACAATTTGACATGAGATTTGGGCAGGGACACATATCTAAACCATATCATAAGGCCTACTTGACAAAATGATTATGAAAACAAAATAATTATATACATACCCTAAATAATTCCATCTCAGTCACTGCATCCTCTTCTCTCAAGTAACATTAGTTTCTCTTAGCTTCCTTCTTAATATAATTTAATCTATGATACATTCCTAAATATCCCCAAATATTATCCGCTTATGGAAAAAAGCTCTAAACTTGAAGGGAAAATACCTAAGCTACTGTCTAAATCAGGCATTTGTTTAATAATATTGAACTTCTTTTACTTTTAATAAGCATGATTATTTATTAGGTGCTTACTATACCAGTGATTGGTATATACTGACTTGGTCCCTGACTGCAAGGAACTTAAAATGAATGATAAACACACATTTTAAACAACAGCAAATAATTAAATTACTAAGTATGCCAACTGAATAATTGTAAGTATGCCATGTGCTACAAAGAAGGAAGTTGACCTGGTCTGGGGTAATTTTTTTTTTTTTTTTCAAAAAGCTCCCCCAAGAAAATAATGGTTAAGAGAATAAAAGAAGAAGACATACTACCGGTAAAATGTTTTAGAATACTGATTGACACATGGTAAGTACTTAATAAGCACGATATAAAATTCTTATTATACAGAGAACGTTATCTTAAAGATGGCATTAATTATCAAGAATATGAAAGGAAGCCAATTCCATGTATAGACAGCAGCATGCAAGGAGCCTCCAAGGCCTGAACAAGCACAGCATGTTCTGAGAAGCCCACAAGGTTATGATTTTCAAAAGAGGCCAAGAAGCTGCTGCACGTAGTGGTGGCTAAATCATGCAGAACTTTATTAGGCATATTGAGGACATGGGGTTTAGTACTAGTACATACGAAATTATTAAATACCTTTAACTCACTCTAGTTCTGGTATAAAGAATGGTTTGGAGGGATTAGAGATAGAAGCAGGAACAACCAAGAGATGATGGCAGTTAGAACCTGGGTAGAAGCAAGGGACATTTTATTTTTGTTTGTTTGTTTGTTTGTTTTTGAGACGGAGTCTCGCTCTGTCGCCTAGGCTGGAGTGCAGTAGCATGATCTCGGCTCACTGCAAGCTCCACCTCCCAGATTCACACCACTCTCCTGCCTCAGCCTCCCGAGTAGCTGGGACTACAGGTGCCTGCCACCACACCCAGCTAACTTTTTGTATTTTTAGTAGAGACGGGGTTTCACCGTGTTAGCCAGGATGGTCTCAATCTCCTCACCTCGTGATCCACCCATCTCAGCCTCCCAAAGTGCTGGGATTACAGGCGTGAGCCACCGTGCCCAGCCGCAAGGGACATTTTAAAAAGAAACAGTAAATGGGTTTGTAAGGCACTTAGGAGGCAGCATCAGTAGGATCTGGTGACAGATTGTCTATGGCAAAGAAGGAGGAGTCAAGGATGCCTTTCAGGTTTATCAATAGTGCCATTTAACAAAATCAGGTGCACCGAAAGAAAAGCGGGCTTGGGAGTGGTAGGGAGGAGGAATCATGAGTCTGATTTGGGCATGTTCAGTGCCTGGTTCTCATGAGACAGCCCAGAAAGGTAACATGATAATCTGTGCTGCTTTCCTCAGGGGGCTATCATCACAACGATGTCTTTACTATACCTATAACTACAAACGTTTTCAAAATGGGTATCTCATACTATAAAGCCCACAGTAACACAGAAAACCTATTAGACCTCCATTCTTTCCCAAAGCCCCTTTCAGCTTCCAAATTAAATAAAAGCCATAGAGAACTGGAGGGGCAAGGAGATATTTTAAGACTGATAGACATGTCTTCCTCATTAGTATAGTGATATCCCTGCCTGTCACGCGGGAGACCAGGGTTCGATTCCCAGACAAGGAGGCAAAGTGTTACTTTGGCCAGGGCGTGGTGGCTCACCCCTGTAATCCCAACACTTTGGGAGGCTGAGGTGGGCGGAACACGAGGTCAGGGGTTTGAGACCAGCCTGGCCAGCATGGTGAAACACCATCTCTACTAAAAATACAAAAGTTAGCTGGGCTTGTTGGCAGGCACCTGCAGTCCCAGCTACTCAGGAGGCTGAGGCAGAAGAATCGCTTGAACCCAGGAGGTGGAGGTTGTAGTGAGTGAGCCGCAATCATGCCACCGCACTCCAGCCTGGGCAACACAGCAAGACTCCGTCTCAAAAAAAAAAAAAAAACACTGACAGAGAGTTGGAATAAATTTAAGGTAGGGAAAAGAGTTGTTTGCCTTTCTTACAACAAGAGAGCTAGCCTAGCAACTTCCATCCATCAGTCTTAGGAACTACATGGGAGTCTCAAAGGGACAATTTCACAAATTTAACAGCTCAGAAAAACAAAAATTGATGATCTCACAATTTCTGTGGGTCAGAAGTCCAGACATGGATTAGCTGAGTCCTATGTTTAGGGTTTTACTATGCTGAAATCAAGGTGTCAGGCAAGGTCACAATCTTATCTAAGGCATAGGGACCTGCTCCTAGCTCATTCTGATTGTTGGGAGAATTCTGTTCCTTTTGGTTGTAGGATGGAGGTCCTATTTTTCTGTTGGCTGTTAGACAGAGATGACCCCAGGTCCTTACAACATGGCCTAATCTATTCACAAGAATTACTACTTTGAGGCTAACAGAAGAGCACCTTCTGCTGCTTTTTGTCTCTTTTAAGGGTTCAAATGTCATGTGAGGCCCAACCAGGGTAATCTCCCTTTTGATTGACTCAAATTTAAATTATTAGGGATTTTAATCACACTTGCAAAATCCATTCAGTGTTGCCATATAAAAAACTAACCCCGAGAGTGACAGTCTGTCAGAATCATGGATACCACCCAAAGGGGAAAAATTATAAATACATGGGCATGGGTCTGGTCATTGGGGTCATTCTAGAATTCTGCCTACTACCAGTGGGAATATCAGTAAGAAACATGCAATAAAAAGATCATTCAAAATAGAAAACCACTGGCCAAAAAATTACAAAAAGTTGAAAGAGAGGAGATACCTTTATCTTCCACCTCGAAGGTGCGAAGAAATATGGTAGGTGATTTCTAGTAAGAAAAGCCGCTAAAGAATTCTGGGTAGAAACTGTATGAACATGATCAGGACTTCTTCTAGAAGGAATACAAGATCACTGAACTATGAAAAACTATATTGGCTGGGTGCAGTGGCTCAAGCCTATAACCCCAGTGCTTTGGGAAGCTGAGGCAGGAGGACTGTTTGAGGCCAGGAGCTTGAGACCAGCCTCAGCAAAAAAGTGAGACCTTGTCTCAATAAAAAAGCTAAAATTGGCCAGGTGTGATGGTGCATGCGGTGGTGCACACCTGTGTTCCTAGCTACTTGGGAGGCTAAGGCAGGAAGATCACCTGATGTCCAGGAGATCAAGGCTGCAGTGAGTTATGATCACACCGGTGCACTGCACTCCAGCCTGGGGGACAGAGCAAGACCGCATCTCAAAAAAAACCAACAACAACAACAAAAAATGCTGTACTGTAAATCAGTAAATTGGCAGATAGTCTGTATAGCAAATAATCATATCCAGAAATTCCTGCCAGTATGGGGGCAGGGGAAGAGTAGCAGAAGTAAGGAAAGCTTAGACTCTTTTTCTTTAAAAAAAAAGAAGGTATACTACACACTCAAGAGAATGGTAAAAATTTGAGCCCATAAAAATACATTAGTGAGAATGTAAAGCAACTGATATTGTCATACAATTTCTTATCAATTTCTATAATGGTAAAATCCTTGTATCTCCTAAAGCCAAACACATGCCTATGTTATGAACCAACAATTCCATTCCTAGGTATATTCCCACGAGAAATTAGTGCATTTGTAATACAACTGTTCATAGGAGAATTATCTATAGTAGCCCCAAAGTGGAAACGATGAAAGTCCATTAAAAGGTGAATGAATGAATTGTCCTATAGTCATAGAATAAAATACTATGCAATAATAAAAACTGATATGCAAATCCACAAGAATGAATGTGCCAGACATTTTGTTGAGTTACAGAAGCCAGAAACACAAAACAGAGTATGATTCTATTTATTTAAAGAATAGGTAAAACTAAGAGATAGAGTTAGAAATCAGAATAGTGTTGACCCTCAGGGAGTGTTAAGAAGCATAGGAAATCTTCTGGGTGGTAGTTATATGGGAATACATATGTGCAAGAATTTAGCTGTACATTTAAGATGAGTGCACATTACACACTTCACTGCAGGTACATTCACCTCAATAATAAGTGAAATCTAATTAAAGTGTAATAATAATATTAATAAATAAACTAAGGTTAAAAAAGGGGAGAAAGAACAGAAAAGATTCAGTGTACAGGCATCTAAAACTCCAGTGTTACGCACAATTTTTTTTTTTTTATTGGAGACAGTTTCGCTCTTGTCACCCAGGCTGGAGTGCAATGGCGTGATCTCAGCTCACTGCAATCTCCGTTTCCCAGCCTCAAGCGATTCTCCTGCCTCAGCCTCCCTAGTAGCTGGGATTACAGATATGTGCCACTATACTCAACTAATTTTATATTCACCATGTTGGCCAGGTTGGTCTCGAACTCCTGATCTCACGTGATCTGCCCAGCTCGGCCTCCCACTGTGCTGGGATTACAGGCGTGAGCCACCATGCCACGCCCAATTTTTTTAATATAATGTATATTATTATTACTTCTAAAAGTATTATAGGAACTACAAATTTCAAAGTGTAAAATGCAACAAATATGGCTAATAACTAAACAGAAACCATCTAAAACAGATAGAAAAGTAGACGTTACTTAAAAAGAGCTAATTATTCCTCTTGGGCATTATACTTGCCTAAAAAATGTCCTGGAAGTGACAGTAAAAAGAAGATCATACTGATTATAATTTGGGGATGACAAAGGATTTCAATTGGTTAGAATAAGTTAGACCAAATTCTGTATCTATTTTAGGGCAACTACATCTATTGTGTTAGGGTGAATACCATAATTTAGAAATGATAGTCAACCACTCAATTTACATGTTAAAGAATTCTTATGGAAAAAGTTCTTGTCTTGAGAAATTTTAAAAAATGATTCATGACATATTTAAGTGGATATGGAGTTAATGGTCCTCAATAACATTCCTATAATCTAGAAATGGTAGATAATCATAAATGAGCGAATGATTCATCCCATCAATTGCCTTGCTTTTATCAGTCCTCTTTCAGCAGACATGCTGTGGGGAATGATATCCATAAACAATTTATTGCTTGCTTTCTAAGCCAAGTCAAAAATTTCCCTTTCAGATCAGCTGTAACCTTTTTTTTTCAAACTTTGTTTCTGTGATGGTTACCTTTATATGTCAACTTGACTGTGCTAGGGACGCTCACAGAGCTAGTAAAGCATTATTTCTGAGTGTGTCTATAAGGGTACTTCTGAAGAGGTCAGCTTTCCAATCTGTAGATAGACTTGAAGAAAGAAGCTCTCCCTCACCAACGTATTACCCAATCCGTTAAAGGATTACAACTGCATTTTTATTTTTGTTTTCACAAGCAGCAAGAAAGTGATGTCAAACTGGAGGCAAGAGGAAGGCAAAACAATAATGTACATAAAACAATGCCAAATTTTCAGCTGCCATTAATTCATAAATAGAAGGGCTGTCCTTTCCCTTTTAACCTCTTTACTAGCCATATTCCAACCGTCCTAAATTATTTGTGTAGTAAAATTTAGAGTTCGTGCCACTGCAGACCAAATGGTTTTGAAGAAAAATGGCCACGTTCATCATGGCCATTAATATTTATCTCTGGGGTGAATATAGGCCAGAAAGACAAATTCACTAAAGGTCACCAAGTGTGGCCCTCTTAGTTAGAGGTATATGTGAATCACAACTACATTCTCAAAATGGATGTCACTTAACATTACAAGATTGGGACAATCTCTGAGGTAAACACATTTTCTCAACAGTCTAGAAAGACTTCTGTCAGAGAAGAAAACAGGAAAAATGGGGGTGGGGGGAGGAGTTTCTAGGGACCATTCTAAGAGATACTACTAGAACTTACTTGTTCACTAACAGGCTTATTGGTTCATTAATTTAAAAAAACATTTACTGAGTGCCTCCTATGTGTGACGAATGATGCCAGGTGCTACAGGTTACGGGTAAAATAATAGTTGTTAACATTTATCTGTACTTAATATGTGCCAGGCACAGTTTTTTGTTTTGTTTTGCTTTGAGACAGAGTATCGCTTTGTCGCCCAGGCCGGAGTGCAATGGTGCAATCTTGGCTCACTGCAACCTCTGCCTCCTGGGTTCACGTAATTCTCCTGCCTCAGCCTCCTGAGTAGCTGGGACTAGAGGCGTGTGCCACCATGTCCAGCTAATTTTTTAGTAGAGTTCAGTATTTTTAGTAGAGACAGGACTTCACCATGTTGGCCAGGTTGGTCTCAAACTGCTGACCTCAGGTGATCCACCCACCTCGGCCTCCCAAAGTGCTGGGATTACAGGCATGAGTCACCGTGCCAGGCCCAAGGCACAGTTTTAAACATTTTACATGTGTTAACTCATTTCGTCATCACTATGGCCCTATGAGGTTAGGTATATTATATTCACAGTTTAAGAAAATGAATGTGACACATAGAAGGAGTTACTGTGCCCAAAGTCACCTAGGTAGTAAGCCCAATTCCAGAGACCCACCACTCCGAACCTCTAACTAGTCCCCAGACTCTGCTGTGAGGAACATATAGTGGGCCAGTGACTGATAATCCAAGAACCTAGAGCTTTGGAGATAAATGAGATTCCAAAAAAAAAAATCACTTACCTTCTTCCTTTTACAACTGAGAAAACTGGTTAAGTGACTTGCACAAAGTCAGAGCAAGTTATCAAGAGACATCGCTAATAGTTTGATTTTAATAATAAAAATACAGGGTACATCAAGGAATAAAAATTAAAGAATTCATATTCTTAAGAGACTAAAGTGGGCACTAAAACTAATACATCAACGAAAGCCTAGAAAAAAAAGAAAGTAGTATTTGCAATTAAAAAATAAAAAGAGGAAAAGGGATGGAAGAAAACCGTAACTCCATTACTCTGAACTTGAGAAGAGGAATGGTTATGAGTAATCACAAACTGCTGAAAGCCTTACACTTGAGGGAAAGATAAAAGATTAGACTATGTAGTAAAATTATATTGGGCTAGATTAGATTAGACAGAACTAAACACAACCAAAAGAGAACCATAAAAGCATACATAATGAAATGCTATCTTTACCCCTATCTAACACTCCATAAAAACTACTCCTCTTTTTATATTTCCTGTCTTAACAAATGACATCATTACCTACCCAAGACACCAAAATACATCTCTTCTTGCTGAAACACCACACAGAATGAGTCACCATGTCCAACTGATTGTACCTCCAAAATAGGTTCTGGGTCACTTCCCACCTCACCTAAGAATTCTTCTATGAGCTCTCACCTGAAATAACAAAACTTGCCTCTTTGTCTACACTCTCATTCCACTCAATTCATTCTCCACACAGTCATCAGAAAACATTTTCTAAAATGCACATTTCATTATGCGACTCTCCTACTTTAAACCTTTGGAGGACTCCTTATCACCCGCAGGACAAAAACCGAACCTTCTTGCTATGGCATACCAGGTCTTTTGAGATCTGCCTACCAGTCTTCCATGTCTATGTTCAATCTTCCCCATACACTTTATGCTTAACCACAATAAAATATTTCCAGTTCCATGAGATTCTCAAACATCTGTGTGTTCATCCACATCTTCTCCCTACTTGCCGCGAGTTCCCTTCCTTTGTTCAGTGTGGTCAACTCATCTTACCAGTTCGGCGTAAGAATTCCACCTTTGTAATACCTCCTATGACTTCCCTTGAAAATGTTAAGTGTTTTCTCTTCTGTACTCCCCAAAGTACTTCTAATATTCACTGAAACTGTGACTGTTTGCATGTCTTATCTTCTACAGCATCTAGAACCCCTCTGCACGCAGAAAATGTTCCAGGAACAGGCCCCAGAATATAGTTGGCCTAGAAATGTTGACTGTACACCATAACCTCCAGTGTGTCAACTGATATGACAGCCCTAAGAACTAACCAGCATTAACTTCATTACACAGATGAATAACCTAGAGCTCAGAAAAGTAAAGTGCCTTGCCTAGAAAAGCTAGGATGAGTAACAGGTGATCCTTCTACTAAACCCCAAGCTACTCAAAGCCCAAACAGAGCTGCACCAATATTCCACATATGAACATCACTAACCAACTGAACAGGATATGTAAATGAGTTAGCTGGTGCTGAAATCAGACATTAATGTGCAAACAAACAGGGACTTATTTGAGCTAAGTGGGCATGAATATGCAAATTACTGGCTGCAATTCAGTAGATGTCATCACAATTCTAGGAATGAACATCCTATATTATGACTATTACAATATTCATGTCGCATTCATACATACTATCATATATTACTGTAATATGGGCTTTTCCAGTTTAAAATTGTGGAGAAGCCAAAAGTAACTTAATGCATATTTTCATCCACACCAAAATTACAAGCTGGAAATCAGATGTGAGCACACAGAGCTCTGCAATCTCCATATAGAACCAGGCTGCCATCATGATCACTTGCAGTTCAAGCTGAACATTCTATTTTTAACGCAAGGTACTTTAGAAATAGGTTGTGCCGTGGGCCCTACCAATATTTCCAGCCTCAGCTACCATGCAGAGTCTAATATAATATGCTATAATAAGTGCATTTAAAACAAAGTTATTTTTTCCTATAGAATTTTTAATAATAAAGCTGCATAGCTACAACACTTGAACAATACTCGGAAAATCCTGTATGTGATTACATTTATTCTTTGCTCAGGTATAATAATGACCTTTATTTTCCCATATCACCAGTACACCATTGGTTCTTATCAATTCTTAATCTCTTACTAGGATGAACAATGGCCAAAGCCATTCATAATAGCTTTGATGTACTTTCATCTGACTCCTGAAAGTAACAAATTATAATCAGTAAAAATCTGTATATATAAACTGAGTTCCTTAATTAGTAGAAAAATATCCGATTCATGTTGTGAAACTCTGATGAGAGAAGAGCCTATACTCTCATACTTTCATACATTTACCCATACTGTGCCTGATGCCTGAAATGCTTGCCTCAATTTCTTTACCTGGAAAACTTCTCTTCATCTGTTATAACCGAGTTTAAGCTTTAAATACTTATAGATGCCTCCCTGCCTTTCCCAGAACTTGTATATGCATCCCAGTTGTCTATATACATACACACAACTCCGTGATAGTGTGTATCACAGAGCTGTGATCACTTGTGTTCCTGCTGAATTAACTGGGATATAAGTAGGGCTGCATGTAACATGAATCAAAACACTAGTGAATTAACAAGTCAGAGTTTACTCATCTCTCATGCAGAAGTCCGGGATGATGCGGTGACTCTGGTCCAGGAAGTTACTGAGGTATGGCACTACACAGTATCAGAAACCCAGGCCCCCTCTGTCTTGTTGTTGTAGCTTTCCTTCAGTGCTGCCTCACCTGCATGGTCTAGGAGGACTTACCACATTCCATTCATATCCACACCTTCACACACAGGCTGGGCTGGGAGAGAAAGACAGCCTCTTTCTTCCCAATAAGAGAATGACCCAAAGTTACACACATTACTTTCAATCACATCCTATTAGCCAGAATTAAATTACACGTCCATGTTGGCTGCAAGGCAAGTTAGAAATGTTCCTATTTTGGGTGGCCCTGTGACTAGCGAAATATCAGGGACTCTATGAATTTGGAGGAAAGGGAGAACAAATGCTGGGAGGCAGGTGACCATATAAGTGACACATTTATGGTCCCTTTCTTTTCTTTTGGCCTTCAAAGGCAGTCCTGTTCATTATTTTATCCTGAGGGCCTAGTGAAGTATCCAGCACAAGTAAACATACAATAAACCTATACAGGATTAACAAATAAACAGAAAGTCCCTTAACACAGGAAACAAAAGTATAATCGCTGCTGACTCCAATTAATGTTAGGTGTCTGACATCCCAGATGGAGGATGATGGAGGGAGCAGGTAAGTTGGGAGGAAACTCTTCTAACCACAAAGATGCCTTCTCATGGACGACTTAAGGTACAGTACTCGTTCAGGGGTAGTTCACAGCTTTGGCACATACCAGGAGTTGCAACAAAAGTGCTGCTGTCCAGAAAACTCCACATTTGTTCTCGATTTCTAAACAGGAACATTAAACTACATACATGGTTTTGTCTCTAAAGCTTTAAGAGGCTTCTTAAAAAATTGTTTATATCTGTACATTTTATGAAATGTATGAGTGCATATGACATTTGTACAGTTTTTAAAAGAATAAAACAACAGTATTTCTGTAACAGCTTAAGAAAGAGAACATTACTAGGATCTTTGAATCCCCACGAGATCCTCTCTTTGGTTACAACCCTCCTCCATCCTCTCCAGAGGTGATGTTTTCCTTGACTTTTATATTTATGCCCTTACCTTCTTCATTTTTTTATCACACAGGATATATTCCTATGAAATAGGCTATTCAGTTCTGCCTGCTTCTGACCTTCATACAAATGACATTAGATTTTATATATATTAAATATATTAGATATTATATATTAGATTCATATATATTACATATTAAGTTTACATGTGTAAGATATTAGATTTATATTAGACTTTATATAGAGATTTTATATATATTACATTATAAATGTTTACATTTCTATATATAATCTAATTTCTAATATATTATCTAATATTTTCTTATATGACTACCTTTGAGATTCAACCAACTCAATGTATAGCATAGTTCATTCATTTTCATTGCTACATAGTATTCTACTTTGTGACTCTACAACAACTTACATATCCATCCTTCTTTCTATGGGCATTTGAGCTGTTTCTCGGTTTTTGCTACTAAAACAATGTTGCTATGAACATTCTGAATAGGTTTGCCTTTCACATTTGAGTTATCAACCTATTGGAAATTTATTTCCCTAAATGATATGAGGTACAAATCCAATTTCTTTGTTTTTTTCCTATATGCATGATCAATTGTCTCACCATTCTTTATTGACTGGTCTGTCCTCTTCCTAAACTTTGTAAAGTCATTTCTCCCTCATATAATATTTCCATATGTCTGCCTCTGAGTCTTTAGTGTTTTAAATAGTACCCTGGGTGCCCACACAGAGGAAGGAAAAAGAAAAAGATGAAGTGAGGTTGAATCCTCACCCCCACTTTGTTAAACTATCTCCACTTTTACCTGTTGTCTACCTTGAACTGTGAAATAAGATTAAATAGAAGAAGAGTTCTATAACTAAAAATGAATTTAAAAAGCACTAGACTATGAGTTCTAAAGCACTTTCTAGCACTAAAATCTACTGTTTTATTTTCCAGATATCACATTACCTGCATGTTTACATAAATTTCTTCTGAATTTTGTTAATTAATAGCTCCCTTCATAAAGGAAAATTTCTATTGATACTATTAGTATTCCTAAAAGGATCCAAACTTCATTTTCAAATATAAAATTATCTTATGAATTGTGTTTATTGGGACAATAATAAATTCATTATTTAGTATTTTCATCTGTTTCTAATAATTACTTTCTTTACCATATGCCATAAATGTTTGTGGTCTTCTCCATATTTTAACAAGGCTTAACTCATAATGAGTGGTATTATATAAACTATTAGAATAGCCAAAAATATACTTTCTTGTGGGCCTAAAAAATGTCTAATAAGATGAGCAAAGCTGTTATTTTTACCTTATTAAAAAACCAATGTGAACCAAATAATTGAAAATATGAGATATAAGTTAACTTTTAAATTTCCCTGTTGCATCATTTCAGAAGTTTTTGTTCTGAAAACAAAAACTTTTTACACAAATTTCGTTTTTTTTGTTTGTTTGTTTGTTTTTTGAGATGGAGTCTCACTCTGTCGCCCAGGCTGGAGCACAGTGGTACGATCTTGACTCACTGCAACCTCCACCTCCTAGGTTCAAGCAATTCTCCTGTCTCAGCCTCCTGACTAGCTAGGACTACAGGTACATACCACCACACCCAGCTGATTTTTGTATTTTTAGTAGAGACAGAGTTTCACCATATTGGTCAGGCTGGTCACGAACTACTGACCTCAGGTGATCCACCCACCTTGGCCTCCCAAAGAGAGGGGATTACAGGAGTGAGCCACCATGCGCAGCCATAAATTTGGCTTTTTTAAAAAACCATATAATATAAATGTAGAGAAATGCATTTGTTCAACTTTTAAAACTCAAATACATTACGTTTCATTTACCAGCATTCCTTCTTTTCTCACATCTGTATGAATGAATAGAATATTTTTAGAAATAAGGTTAGATGTCATCAACTGGTTCTGTGTGATGACCAAGTATCATATCTCAAGAGCGAGGTTCTTAGGCTTCACTGAGTAATCGGCTTTGTGATGGTTATTTTGTATTCTCAAGATCCATTTTACCATAAATTCCAGGCTCTTCCATATGGTTCAGCTATGCATGGTTTGTCTACTGGCTAGACAAAATACTGCATGGATCAGATTTATTCAGAAAACAAATCCAACTTATATAAAGTAAATCCATAACTAAAGAATATTTTTAAATAAATGTCTACATCAATTAAGGCTAAAAAGTAGTACACTTGATAACAATCTTGGCATAAGAATATTTTTATTTCCTAAATGATTTGAAATAATGCAATCTGTTCATGACTTGAGGAAAGTATATTTATTAGTTACAATGTCTTAGGGATAGACAAAGAAATGAGCATTTGTAAAAATTCTATTATAACTTTATTATAAGACAAATCTTACATATAAGTAAGTTAAGGTCATTCTTTTAAAAAAAAGCAAGAATATAAATCCATGAAGAAAAGGGGAATCAATTTTTAAACACTATTTTAGAGGCTAAAACAGAAAAGATGACTATGAAAGATTAAAAGTTATTTTGTAATAATTATATGCAATTTTCAGAAGAAAAATGTACTTTTTTTCATGTTCCCTGCATATTGTTGCATAGTTATTAATGAAGTCATTAAGCAAATTCTAGAAGGCAACAAAGAATTTTCTAATCAAACTTCAGGGTATAAAGTTTTGAAAGTGCTTCTTATATTTAAGGCTGCAGAACAAATATATGTCATAAGCATAATATTGCTATACAAAATAATGCACCTCACTTCAATCAAAGTGACCCTGAAAATGTGTGCAAAAGTGAAATATTGCCTTAAATGCTCCATTATAGAACAGCTTGCTATATAAGAGACTCCTATTATAAATCCTTTTAGTAGAAATGGATAATCAACTCAGAGTGAATCTATCTCAAATACTGTCTTTTCTTAAGGCAAGACACCCCCGAAGAGATTAATTACATACAAGTATTCACAATCCCAGTCACCGACAACCCATTAGAGAGAAAAACTCAGAAAATTCAGGTTAGGCCAGTATAAGAGCTTTTTTACCTATGCCAGTATGTCCATATTTACTATGTAATGCAAATCATCTTAAAGAAGTGAGGTCTCAAGTGGTTGGAGATTTACAGAACATTTTAATGTCAGGGCTATAGAAAGGCCACTCATTAAACTAATGGAAATAAAAATGGCACTCTAAAGGTAATATCATTGAATAAAAACAAAAGTATTAAGTAGCCCCGAGATAGAAAAGAAAACATAATGGAAATTGAGTATACATTTCTATTTGAATCAATGGCAATTAATATACTCTTACTCATTCATGAGTTTTATTATCCTTAAAAATGAGAAAAGACAAATCACAGGACTCCCAGTCTGTTTATTTAAACAACCACTAGGGTTTCTCAAATAAGTAGGCTTGTACCTACAAATAAGGAGATATTAAAGATAGAATCATATGTGTTCATCATATATGTCTTAAAGCGCCTAATTCAAGCCAAGCATTATCCTAGGTACTGAAATGTACCCGTGAATAAGGCTTGCACTCTGGGTCAAGGGAAGTGAAGGAAGTTAACAAAGTTAAAAAAGACATGTACATATTAAGAAAAGTACAATGAGAAAATTTTTTTAAATATTGTGATAAAGAATTATATTGTAGGGAGACGGGATGCTAGAAAAGGTTAGACAACAATGAGAAAAGGGCAGGAGACACAGACATGGAGGTCAGCTGTGCTCGGGCACTGAGTGAAGCTTGGTCTTGGCTGAGATCATCTGGGGAGAGTCTACAAAGTCAGCACAGAAGAAATCCCAGGACCAAATCATGAGATACTCCAACAGGCTTTTGACAAGACTCAGAAAGAACATGAGGATAAGAAAAGAAAAACAGCGGAAAGATCAAGTGAAATGAATGTCAGAAAAAGCTAATATTAAGTCTACCAAGCAGAGGTCACTGGTGACTTGGAGGAGAGCTAACTCAGTGGACTGGAGTTGAAGAGAAAATGGGAAGTAACGAAGTAGATGCAGCACCCTTAACTCCATGATGATACTTTTTAAATTTTTATTTATTTATTACTGACTCATTTATTTAATTATTTATTTATTTATTTATTTATTTATTTATTTATTTTTTGAGACGGAGTCTCGCTGTGTCTCCCAGGTTGGAGTACAGTGGCGCGATCTCGGCTCACTGCAACCTCCACCTTCCAGGTTCAAGCGATTCTCCTGCCTCAGCCTCCCAAGTAGCTGGGATTACAGGTGTCCGCCACCACGCCAGGCTAATTTTTGTATTTTTAGTAGAGAGGGGGTTTCACCATATTGGCCAGGCTGGTCTCAAACTCCTGACCTCAAGTGATCTGTGCACCTCAGGCCTCCCAAAGTGCTGGGATTACAGGCATAAGCCACTGTGTCTGGCCCAAAATGATTTTTTAAAACATCACTTTATCATTTAAATCAACATTGCTAATCTAATGTTTCTAATTTAGAAATTTCTAATACTAATAATTTAATATTTAAGTTAATAGTCACAACATTCCCCTAAAGTAGTCAGGACTGAAAACAGTTCTAATTTTTTCCTATGAGAAATCTGAGGCAGAATGTCATTGATAAACCTGTGAGCTTATTTTGGTCATGAGTGGTAGTCTTTAGATTGTTTTTTGTTTTTGTTTTTTTTTAACCCTCACCAGATAATGTGTTCATCAATTATCTATTCCCCTGAAGAATTATACATTAAACCTGAGAAGCTATATTCAAATAAAATGTTCATTAAAACTTGTATCTTTCTTCACTCCCAGCACTGCTAAGTACAATGAAGCGGCAGAGACTAAAACCACAGGAAGCCTATGATTAACACTGACACACCCACAAGTTAGATCTCCACCTGGTATCTCACACATTTTGAAGCAGCACCCACATCTCCGCAGCCCAACTGCCAACAGCAGACTATATAATGAACCATCTGTACCATAACAGTTAGAGCCTATTGAGATGCATTGATAACACCAAAGAAATCTCATTTTTTTAATCCTTTTATCCTCTTGGGTGTTGTTAGACTGAGTCACATTTCTAATTGTATGATAAATTGAAAATGTTGGCAGGAACTTAACTTTTGTAAAATTTGAGCTTTTTAATGTTACTTTGATTGTCTTTCTGGTGGATTTCTTCGCCGCTACCCTGCAACGGAAGGAAAAGTTGACGTATGAACCGAAATTACTGGGAAGCAAAGCCTGCCGCTATATGGTGTTAACAGAAGAAACAAAAATCTTCCCTTAGTCTCTTACGGTTTGACTGAACTATTCAATTATGCCTTTTCAGGGACAAGCTGAAATGCAGATCTCATTGTGGTCCTTGGACCAGTCATTAATGGAATAACTGAAAAAGGACAGCCGTTTTTAATGGAAGACAGGTATGATTTTCTTCTCTTTTTTCCTGTTGAAATGTTAAAAGCATTCATCAGAGAAACTTTTCCTCCTGAATGAAACACCATCAGACTTTTACAAAAACTGGTCCACTGATTTATTCTCTCACCAAGTGTGTAATATGTCAGCTCACCTAAAGTATTTTTAATGATTATTAGGAACATAATGTGGTTGCTAACTATTACTTTTCTTCTGTTGTAACCAGAAATATTCCTTGCTGAAAACTGGTAAGTTCAATCGACTTGTGCTTGAAAGCCCATATTTCAATTAACTTTTTGAAGGATGGGAAAATTCCTAGTTAGATTGTAGTGATTTCTCCATTAACCATCCTCACAGAGTAAAATTCCTCTGTCACTTAGATTTTAAAATGTTTTTCAATTACATACAGTAGTTTTGTCCTGGGCCAGAGAGCTCAAGGGCAATATTTCTATTTAATAAAGCTTATAACTGCAGAGGACAAAACCATATATGTATACCCTCTACTTTGCCTTCAACTTAAAGACTAATGGAAAACTATAAAGCTGAAAGTGGTTCCTTTCAGGCCCTTCCTGCCTCTCCATGGTGCTCTCTATCCTATTTTAGATCCTAACTGTCCTCATTCATTCTGTCACTAAGTCAACCAGTATTTATCAAACATTTATTGTACCAGGTGCTGTGAGAAGCACAGGAAATAAAATAGTATTTTGCTCTTGCAGCTTATAGTTTCGTGGCAAACTCAAACAAGAGAGCATTGTTCCACAATGCAGTATGGAAAGTACTCAGAAGAACATCATTAAAGATGTGGCAGTAACACACAGCAGGGGCCACAACCCCAGAATGTGTGTGTATTTGTGACAGGCTGAGAGAGGAGGGACCAACAGGGAAGCCCATCCAAATGAGCGATACCTAAATTTAACTTGGAAAGCTCAGGAGGGCTTAGCCATATAAAGATGACAGAAAGGACAAACAGAATGTGTGTGAATACTCTGAAGTCACACCACAGTACTAGAAATAGAGGAGAAGAAGAAAGGCATAGCATTCACTATATGTCAGACACTTTTTGAAACACTTCCTAGCTTAACTCACCTAATTTTCATAACCACCTCATGGAGTAGGGAGTGTTACTTTTATTCCCATTTAGAGAAAAGGAAAAAGAGGCACAGAGACCATGGAACTTGCTGGAGGTTACAAAGCAAGTGCTGGGGAGCTAGGTATCTAAATGGAGGTGACTTGGGCCCAGAGCCACCTACTCTGCACTGCCACCCTATACTGTCTCTCAAGAGAGCGTGGACCACTGGGGCAGGACTGAAAAGCCTTCCCACGGCTGCTGCAGAGTGCTCTCCATTCTCACTCATACAAGCATAAAGAATCTGCCACTAGTCCTGTGCCCTTGTTGACTATTTATGCTTGAGTGTGAGTGAGCGATGAGAGGTCCTCGGTCCCTATGTAACCATAGGGACATGCTCTGCCTGTTCACTAGAAGGGTCAAATGGAAGGCTGCACTGTGCTGACGGATGTCGACACTGGAGGAAGGTGGGCATGTGTGGGGACAAGGGCACACAGGAACTCTGTTCTTTCCACTCAATTTAGCTGGGACCTTATAACTGCTCTAACAGATAGTGTTTATTAATTTTTAAGAAAGAAAATAATTAGGACTCAACCTAAAAAGAAGAAAGGAGATGCTTTGTCACCATCAAATAAATTTATGTGTATTAGAAGACAGGTGTAGAGAAAATATGGAGGCAAATTTAAACTATTCCTTAAGGCAAATCTGAAGAGAAATTAAAATTAGGATACCGTGAGTGTGGAAGATACACTAGCCTTAGATAGCCTGCTAAGGGCAGTTCGAGCACAATCCTACCTCCTGCAATAATGTATGTTCTGTTATCATCATTTCCTTTCACTCTTGGCAGCCTAGCCTCTTCTCCTGGGAGGCAGAGAAAGCCTGCTAGAGCATGAGTCACCCTCCTCCTTCACTCCTTTCTGTCCTTTCACTTGTTCCAGGTCTAATGACAGTCTGTACTCCTCTACATCAAGACTCTCGACATGCACATTGCATGTCTTCCAGAATGCATGACAACCCTTTCATATTAAATAAAATGTTGGTAGGCTAATCTCCTCTTCCTAATACCCTAAACATACTTCTAGGCTTTTACTTCTGGTGACCACATTTATGGGCTGTAGAACTATTACTGTGATATAAATATGAGAGAGTACAGCAGCATCTTTGGAAAAACTTACAGGTTATTCTATTAATAACAAAGGTGAAGTTAGGAATGACAAGGCAATAGTCTTTAAATCAAGAAAGGTTGAGTGGTTACTTCATAGTGTTTTGGTACAGAATTATGAGTCTTAAAGACTAAATATTTAATTACACAGGCCAGTCACTGCAAAATGCTACGTGAGCCCAACGCATCAAGACAGTAAAAGTATTCGTTCCCATCCCTCATGGAGAAAAGCCCAGAGTTCTAAAACAATTTATGTAATCACTCCTTTCTTGTAATTTCTCTAGCAATTTATCCATACCACCCACTCAGTTGTTAGTATTTACTTCCTGATATTGTTATTGACGTGTGTGTGTGTGTGTATCTCTGTGTGTGTATGTATATATGCACACACACATATGTATACTTTACTTTCATAACTAGATCTTTAAGCTTTATATTTCTTTGTACCCAACTTCCACTACTTCCAACACCTAAGATGTCTTACACTTAGCAGGCCCTCACCAATGTGGTTTTGTTGTTTTTTTTTTTTTCTTTTTTTGAGACATGGTCTCACTTTGTCACACAGGCTGAAGTGCAGTGGCATGATCTCAGCTCACTGCAACCTCTGCCTCTCAGGCTCAAGCAATCTCACCTCAGCCTCCTGAGTAGCTGGGAATACGCACGTGCCACCATGTCCAACTAATTTTTGTATTTTTTTATAGAGACAGGGCTTCGCCATGTCGCCCAGGCTGGTCTTGAACTCCTGGACTCAAGTGATCTGCCTGCCTCAGTCTCCCAAAGTGCTGAGATTACAGGTGTTAGTCACCACACCTGACCTCCAAACCTTTCTTAACTCATTACATTTACATGATCAGCATCTTTTTGTCACAGAAGGAAATGTTATCAGTCTAATATATTTATTTATATTTAATTTATTTTCTAAATATTTTCTTCTTCAGCTTACAACTCTTTGGTAACTATACATGGGTATCAAATAGCCTGTTCATCACAGTTATATTGATTATAACATACTATTTAGAGGCATCTTTTTCCCTTTAAATAATGACAGTGGTTGCATTTTCCCTTTCCCAAATCTCAGGTACTCCTGTCATATTCTAGAAGGTGTCAAAAACAACAATTAGAAGTAACAGTGGCAGTCGCAGAAGACCAACATTCTCCTAGATTGTGACTGGACTCAGGTCTTCTGTTTAAGCAAGACGAGCCTGGCCTCATCTCTTTTTGCTTTGAATTCCCACTTGAACAGTAGCAGGTCTACAAGTCCTATGGCCACAGTAATAGTTTTACCTGCTTGGCAGCAGATGCTGGGAAATTACAGAAGAAACAAATTATTAAGTCACTAAGTGTTTGTTACCTTGAAAGGATCGTGTGAATGCAGGACACAAACTCATGTGTAATAAAGGAAATACTCCTCCAGAAAATTAATTTTTCCAGAGAAGCTCAATCACTCACCTTGCAGTTCTCCACTCCGACTATAGAGCTCCCTTCTCTGTTCTCGCAGATAGGCGCTCATACTGATGGCATGGGAGGACGATTCGAACCTGCAGAGAAACACAGGGGAAACAGACAAGCAGGTGTAAACCAATTAAGTGCTGACCAGCTCTGTATTCCACATTATTCTACTCTGGTCTGTGTGGTGCTCCCCGATGTTCCGTGATGAAGACACTTTGGCTATACCATGACAGGGCCAGGGCCAGCTGCCGCAGACCTTGATTTATGAGCGATATTCCTGGCTAAGGCTCCTTTACAACCGTATTTGGATCTTTTGCTTATTCTGCATTTCAACTGGTACAACTGTGATCTGTCCCAACTTCCTTTTGCTTTCAGACCCCCATCAGCCTTTAGCCAGGATCCTTATACATGCAGCAACGAAAGCATCCTATGAAGTCATTCTAATTACGTTACCATCCAGCTCAGAAGTCACCAGTGACTGCCAGCTACCAACACAGACACACTGGCTCCTCAGAGCAGAACTCATGCCTAACTTCCACAGGTAGAGGACTAGACAAAGGACATACTAGAAATGTGGCTGAATAACAGCACCAGAAAAGCAAGGCAGCTATAATCTCTCCCTAAATGGCCTAAAAAACAGTTTCTTTTCTAAATGGCTGCTAGTTTTTTGACGTGCTGCCTACAATATAAAATACTCTCAAAAATACCAAGCTACGCAATATTTGTTCACACCTACCCAGGAACTATTTCAGAGGTTAGAAACACTGGTGAAGGAGGGAGAAGGAGGGAGAGACTCATGATAAAGAACAGGTTTCTAAAACCTAAAATAATAACTACAAAAAGAAATAACAAAAACAAATCAGTCTTAAGATAAACGTGCAAGTAAGAAAAAAAACAGATAAAATTATGACATATCAAACAGTAAATCCTTTGATGTGATAAGAGATCCCATTTCAAACTGAGATTTCAAAGGCAGGATAACAACCTGCCAGATGGAGGAATCCTTCTAAGAATGACTGCCACTAAGGGGTAAAAGCAGCAACATAGTACGAGCAACAGTGCTAATGGGATAGGTTTCTGGCAACAAGGCAGGCACACCATCATTTTCTTAATTATGCCTTCTTTATCCTTTCCTTGACAAGGAACATGAATACTGAGATGAATGTCAGTCTGTGAGGGAAACACTTGGGTTACGTGATCCCCTCTCTGCACCCTGCCAAGAACTAAGAGGGTACTAACAGCCAGAAAGAAGGCAAAGTGTGCAGTACTTCAAACATGCCACCTGCCAGTCAAGTGCAGAAAAGAAGCCACTGACCTCCAAAAAGCATGCTGACAGCTATTGATCAGATACGGCAAAGAAAAAAAATAAATAAACTCTTAAGCAAAGAATAGAGAGGCACACATAGCACAATAAGGCAGGACTTAAACAGACTTAATTAACCTTAGCTAAGGGTAATTAAAGAGGGTAATAAAGTCCTCCACAGATGTGATAAAAACAGTCAAAATCTTAATCCTTTATGACTTGATGTATTTTTGGTACTCAGGAATTCTTTTTATGTCTGCAACAAGTCACAGACTGATATAATTTTGCAGTAAAAGAGGCACTAGAGATTGAGTCTCACCTCCTTAGTTTATATCCAGAGATACTGAGACCTGCTCAGACACACATGGGCTCAATGATAGCACCAAGACTGGAAACAGACAAATCTGTAATAACGGCCTAATTCTGTGTCTGTGATAAGTTTCATTACTGCCCAATAATAAAAAATGTGTAATAATTATTTAAGCCAATTTGTTCATTTCCAACAATTTCTTTTTTTTTTTTTCCCAATACCACAACTTCAGAAGCACTGGCTAAATGTTTGAAAATGTGTATGTGGTCTGACTGAGGTTGAAAGTCAGCGGTGATGGTTGAGAGCATGAACTTTAAACCCTAAAGCCTGTTTTCTGCAATGATTCCATATTTAGAAGGTTAAATTGAGCTAGAAATAGAGAAAAGAAAAAAAAAAAAAGAAAAGAAAAGGGCCTGCTTAGGCGCATCTGAGACAGTGTCAGTTGCCTCTACCAACTACCTTTTCCTTCTACTATCTTTGTGCTTGCTGGCATAGCCCTGATTCCATCTGGGCATTCTGCTTCCTTGCTCTTTACTCAGCCATGTGCTCAGAAAAAGTGGCTTCCTCTCCAGCTGGAAACCTAGCACCAGAGAGAAACCTGCCTAGTTTAAGACAACCACTGAGATCTGCTTCCCCTTGCCAGTGACTAGTTTAGGAATGGGCTTACGACCCAATCCTAGAGCTTAATAGGAACTTGCTGAAGAGTTTTGTCATTAGCAGAAATGATTAATAAACTGATAATTCGTAAGTACTAATTTAAAAAGATTTAAAATGGTGCAGCCACTTTAGAAGACAGTTTGACAGTGTCTTATGAAGCTAAACATAGTATCACTGAATGATCCAGTAATGTTGCTCCCAGGTATTTACAAAAATGAGTTGAAAATTTATGTCCACACCAAAACCTGCATATGAGTGTTTAAAGCAGCTTTATTCGTGATTGCCAGAAGCTGGAAGCAAGCAAGATGTCCTTCAATAGGTAAATAAGCAAGCTATGGCATATCCACACAAAGGAATGTTACTCAGCAATACAAAGAGACACCTATCAAGCCACAAAAAGATGTGGAAGAAAGATAAATGCATATTGCTAAGTGAAAGAAGCCATTCTGAAAAGGCTACACACTGATTCTGACTATACAACATTCTGGAAAAAGCAAAACTTATGGAGATAGTCAAAAGATCAGAGGTTGCCAGGGGTTAGGGAGGGTGGAGGGATGAATATGTGGTGAATGGAAGATGTTTAGAGCAGTGAAACTGTTCTGTATGACACTGTAATGGTGGGAACTTATGCCTTGTCAAAACCCATTAGAACTGTACAACACAAAGAGTGAACTCTAATGTAAACTATGGAATTTAGTTAATAATGACATCTCAATACTGGTTCATCAATTCTAACAAACAGACGCTAATACAAGATGTTAAATAGGGTAAAATGCAGAGAAGCGGGGAATATAAAGGAACTCTCTGTACTTCCTGCTCTACTTTTCTATAAACCTAAAACTGTTCTAAAAAATAAAGTCTATATGTTTTTTAAAGAGAGAGATTCACAGGGAGAATCACATGCAATTTTCTTGCCCACACTGTCTTTACTGGACTGGAACTGATGGATACACCTCGTGATCGCAATAGAAAACATTACTAATGTGTTGAGGATGGCAATGCAGAGAGATGGAAAGGGCTGAGTCCTTTATGATATTGTACAGTTGAATTAAGGAAACCTCCACATTCATCCTTGTTACGTGAGATAGTAACTTTCCTATAGTTCAATCTATTGTATTTAAAGTTTTATGTTACTTGCAGCCTAAAGCATTGTAACTGATATTGCATCCACTCTCTGAATAAAACTGTTTAAAAAGGAATGCATTCAATAAACAGAATAGATTTCATTTCTGGCAGGGATATACTAAATAAATCTCCTCTCTGCTAGATCACAAAATAAATAAACTGTTGAAGCTTTAATTATTAAAAACACTAAAAATCTAAGATAAAAACAAGCCTCAAATGTGAATCAACAGAAGATATTAGATCTCCAACTGCTGAAAAAGAATAAATTCAATATACTGGGATACTTCAGTGGTGGTCACTTTACATGCTTATATTTACAGACACAACTTCTTAAATATCTACTAAATCCTCAAAAGAAAACAGATCTAAAGTAAGACTGCCAGGATTTAAATCCTCCTTCTACCACATGCTAGCTATGAGACCTTCTGTAAATTACTTAACCTTTCATGTCTCTATTTTTTTATATGTACAAAAGTATTAAAAATACAACCCTTGCCTATAAGGTTGTTGTAATTAGTAAATAAAATAAGCTATGAGAATAATTTAATGCCTTGATTAGCACTTAGTAAGAACTCAATAAACGTTAGCTACTACTGCTGCTGCTAAAATTTAGTATACTCAAATTTAAAGTATGTTTAACTGAGATTATTTTGGGAAACTCACCCAGTACAGTGCCTGATACCTAGGAAACACTTAATCAGTGGTACCTGTTGTTACTATTGAAGTTATTATCAATATTATTAACTATTAGCTGTTGCCAAGAGATATACACTTTGGGCACATGGGTTCATGGAGTTAACTAAGGTTATAATTAGATAAAAAAAAACCCAGATTGTTCTTTTATTAAACAAGTAACCACATAAGGCCCAATACTGCTTAGCTAGAAACATTTGCATAACTTTATTAACAAAGGTTGTTTCTTGGCTCTTGGGGCCTTTTCAAGGCTAATATATTTCATTTCCTTTCATTTCATATAAAATTCCCCAGAAACAATTGGGGAGTTTCATTTCTCTTAATTTTAAATAAAACTCCCCTGAAACAAGTTCAAGAAATTTTTATTAGGAGTTCCAGGTAGTCCAGTAACTGTACCCAAAACAACCACTTCACCTGACAGAAAACAAAAATAAATAAAACTCAACATATATTCACTTCCTCTAAATTACTTCAATCAACTTAAGCTAGACAAAGTTATGGCTATTAATAAAGTAGGAAGTCATCTTACTTCAGTCTAACAATTCTTAAAACCTATTAACAGCAGAATAATACTTACTTGAAAAGAGAATTTTTTGGCCTTTGAGGTTTCTTCTTGGCAAAAAAGGCTGCAAACTCTCGTCCAGTGCTGGCATAGCTTAGTTGAGCTGATGGTTCAGAGGCCGTACGAGTATTTTTCATATCCAAGTACTCAGTTAATAGCATCTGTACAACCAGATAAATCAGTTAATGTTAATATACACATTTTTAATGTGCAATTAAGAAAAACTATTTTAAAACCATGCAAATCTAATTCTAAAACCAACATTCAGGAGTATATTAACCTGGTCATTCATTTTCCAAGTTGGGGATCTAAGAAAAGATTCATTATAGCTAGTAAGTCATCTACTTGTTCCTATTCATGGGGAAGAGGCGGGGTGGGCATTTGAACATGGGAGTAAAAGGAACGTTTTTATTGGGTATCTACTATGTGCTAGATATTGTGCTGAGTGAGTTAATCAACATTCCTCTTTAATCACAATTTAATCCTCATATTCCAAACTACAGCAGCATTAGCAGCAATGCCATAACATTTACTGAGGGCTTACTATGATGCAGGCAACATGCTAATCCATGTAAAATGTATTATCTCTTTTAAAGCACAAAATTTTATCAGATAAATTCACAGATTATAGATAAAGAAATGGGGCTTACAGAGGTTCAAGACCTGTAAAGTGATCCCTAGTGTACTAGGGAGTGCATGCTGTTACCACTCACTATTACACATAGTGGATAAATACTAAAACAAACCTGCAAAAAGAGATATAGAAAGGCCACAGGAAGCTACGAAGTCCTGACCTACAAAGAATTTCCATAGCCACTACTCATATTGAGAGCTTCAACACAAGAAAAGCAGCTGCTTTTTAAAAAATCAACTACTAGCTAGGCACAGTGGCTCATGCCTGTAATCCCAGCACTTTGGGAGGCTGAGGTAGGAGGATCACTTGAGGCCAGAAGTTCAAGACCAGCCTGACCAACATAGTGAAAGCTCATCTCTACTTTAAAAAAAAAAAAAAAATTGGCTGGGCATGATGGTGCACACCTGTAGTCCCAGCTACTTGAGAGGCTGAGGCACAAGAATCACTTGAACCAGAGGTTGCAGTGAGCCGAGATCATGCCACTGCACTCCAGCCTGGGCAACAGGGTGAGACTCCGTCTCAAAAAAATTAAAAAGTTAAAAAATCTACTACTGCCAATAGGTTCTACTTATAAAATCAATCCAATTTAAAATCTAAGAATTATCACAAGGCAAAAACCCATAATAGATACACTAAAAACAAAAGGCAGCAAATTAAAACATGCTACCAGAGAGATCATGTAACCACAAAGAAAGATAATAAGAAGGAAGAGTTATAAAACAACTAGAAAACAAGTAACAAAATGCCAGCAGTAAGTCCTTACCTATCAATAATAACACAATGTAAGTGAACTAAATTCCCTGATTAAACACACACAGTAGCTGAATGAATTAAAAAACAAGACCCAGGCCAGGCGCAGTGGCTCACACCTGTAATCCCAGCACTTTGGGACTTTAGGAGGCCGAGGCAGGCAGATCACGAGGTCAGGAGATCGAGAGCATCCTGGCTAACACAGTGAAACCCTGTCTCTACTAAAAATACAAAAAATTAGCCGGGCATGGTGGTTGGTGCCTGTAGTCCCAGCTACTCAGGAGGCTGAGGCAGGAGGATGGTGTGAACCCAGGAGGCGGAGCTTGCAGTGAGCAGAGATCGCGCCTCTGCACTCCAGCCTGGGCGACAGAGTGAGGCTCCGTTTTAAAAAAAAAAAACAAGACCCAGTAATATTGGTGCATTCAAGAAACTCACTTCGCCTATAAAGACACACTGACTAAAAGTAAAGATATGGAAAAAGATATTCCATACAAATGGAAAACACAACAGAGTAGGATTTGCTATACCAATACCAGACAAAATAGACTTTAAGTCAAAAACTGTACAAAAAGACAAAAAAGGTCATTAATAAAGGGGTCAATACTGCAAGAGAATACAACAATAGTAAATATATATGCACCTGACACCAGAGCACCCAAATAAGCACAGGTCTATAGGTGGCAGTAAATGTACTTTATTTAATTTTCTGTCCAATAAGGATTGCACTTGGAAAATACAAAACATGTCAACAGACTGGTAAATATTTTTTATTTATTTATGAAGCCACTAGAGTATTATTCGGTATGTGGATGAAATAATATAATGATAAGTACTAGCTCTGTTAATACATCACCCAAACTACCCAATGATCAGGGAGAATATTGAGTTGGGTCTCTAGTAACAACTCAACTCAGGGACTAAATTATACTGTATATTTGGCACTGCTGCTAATAAGATTTTCAGCAATTTGTGATCAAAAAAAGACTGGTAAACCAGAAAAGAATTTCAAATTAATATAACACAGAAAGATGTATATAAATGCATTGTTTCACTCATATTTCAGATGGTTAACATCAACATGACAGAGTGATGTTTCTACCAAAGCATGAAAATACACTAATCCAAGTAACTCTTTTGAGGCACTTGCTGTTCTAGAATCCAATGACTGGGGCCTTGTATAATAAAATACTGACCTCAAAACACAGGTATTTTAAGATCATTTTTCTTTTTCTCATCATCAGTAAAGTCCCCTTATCATCAGTAAAGTCCCCTTAATTGTTACCTCTCAGCATTGTTAGTCTATTCCTATCCACCCACTTCTCCTTTCAATCTGCAAACACACACTTTTCCTACTTTCTCAACAAAAATCTTGCATTGGTCCTTATGCTTTATCTGTAATCTTATTTTCCTTCTGTCTTTGAGTCCCAAACTTTAAAAAGTAGCCTTTACATCTACTGTTCCCTTTATCACAATGTGATTTATTCCTCATTTCTCTCCTGAGCTCCAGTCCCACATCTGTGACTGCATGCTTGATATATATTCACATATTTCACTAAGAAAACCAACTCCTCTGAAACCTAAATCATCTTCCCATAAAAACATTAATTCCTTCTGTCTCCTTTTTGTTTGTTGGTAGTTTCTTATTTTCACTACTTTCCAGGTTTAAAACTTCAGAACCATCTTTTGATACATTTCCACATCCTTTGTGTCCATAAGGGAATTAGTCCTCAAGATCATTAATGACTGTTCCTCAACTCCCTATTAGTTTGCCCACTCCTGTCCATTTTGACAGCCACCAACTTAGTTCAATTCATGTAGTTTTCATTTAATTTTCTGCCTCTCATCTCTTTCCCTTCCAGTCCTTCTCACGTAATATCAACAGACTGACAGTCCTAAAACACTGCTGCTATCATCAGAAGGCTACTCCTTTCATCATCTACAACATTCTGACTTTAGTACATATTTCCAAGCGTATCTTATTCTCTCAAACGTAAACCCAACACTGCAATCAAAATTACTTAACTCTTCCCTGAATATATGTGGGCATTCTCATTTCTAGAAGGCCTAATCTGGATTACCTTCTCTCCTAAATAAATACCAACAAATACTTCCAAGAATAATTCCAGTGTTTTTTCTTCAAGGAGCCCTTGCCAGGCCACTCTAGTTGGCTATACCCTTTCCTGAACTCCTAAAACACCCATTTTCTACATCATTCAATAAGTATTCATCAAAAACTGCCTGATATTATTAGTCCTTATTTAATAATAAAGACATCTTACTACCCCCAATTTATATGTTCCTTAAAGCATTACATTTCTTTACTTCCACCATAGGGCCATGCAACAGACCAGCAAATCAAAAAAATACAACAAATTGCTGAACTTTTTAAAAAAAGCATAAAGAAGCTTTAATGAATATGTTGTTATATGCAAATTAAAAAGTCTTCAAAGTAGAATGAACTCTGTAAATTAATCCTCAGTACAAAAATCTACAATACAAATAAAATTTAAAAGAAAAAGGATGGGTGTAATTTTTAACCACAGGCTAAATGTTTGCAATTTGTGTTTGTTTGCTTCATTGTTTGCCTCTCTTGTCTAATACCATTCATCACCAGCTGGAAAATACTATTTTAAATTTAGGTAAAGTTTTATTTTGATATTCAAATTAGTAAAGGGATTTTTTTTTTTTTTTTGAGATGAAGTCTTGCTCTTGTAACCCAGGCTGGAGTGCAATGGCACGATCTTGGCTCACTGCAACCTCCACCTCCCAGGTTCAAGCGATTCTCCTGCCTCAGCCTCCCGAGTAGCAGGGATTACAGGCACCTGCCACCACGCCCAGCTAATTTTTGTATTTGTAGTAGAGACTGGGTTTCACCATGTTGGCCAGGCTGGTCTTGAACTCCTGATCTCAGGTTATCTGCCTGCCTCAGCCTCCCAATGTGCTAGAATTACAGGTGTGAGCCAGCACACCCGGCCAGAATTTTTTAGTATCTCAAAGAACAAAAAAGCCTTTATTTCTAGGATACCTGAAATTTATTTGAATTGGGCTAAATCTTCTACTACACAGTCTTGACACAAACATCAGATGCCTAGTATTAAAATATAACTATATAATTTATTGATGATTCCACATCATGGTGGATAATGTACTGCACCTTCCAAATTGTATATATTCTAAGCACACACCTATGGGTTCAAATTTTAATTTTCATAAAAGTAAACAAGCTATTCTGATTAACATTTGCGTGAAGAAAATCACCCAAGATTGAAATTCTGGAACAAAGAGCATTACTTACAATATCAAATACATTCTGTCTACAGAAAATGTGCAGGATCCCACATTCTTGTTGGCTCTCAATTCCTTCATATCTTAGATACTAATCTCTTTACTATTTTTAAGTACCATGAATTTCTATTTGTTGTTCATCAAGAGCCCCAAAAATAATAGTCAAAATTGATGGGTGTGTCAACTTAAAAGGTATAATCTGTAAAAACTAAAGGCAAGAAACAACAACAACAACAAAACAGTTGGAAAGCACTTGGAAGTCTACATATTCCAGTGATATCATCATTCACTGTTTTTTTCTGAGGACCTATTACGTTGAATGGCTCTGTGGTCAAAATAAAGATACAGAGTGTTTTAAAGAACATATAAACTAGGTTGGTTAGGCATCTCTTCTGCTATATTTGATTAGTAGTTCCTAAGATGTTACTTAGCAATCTCACGGTATTAAAGCAGGACAAAAATTTTGAGATTTATAACTTGCTAACATTGGTAACATCATTCTGAATTAATTCCTCATTTACCATTTAATCTCCTTTAACCTTTTGCCTATAACTGTTTGTGGTTATACATGCAGAGGTTTTTTTTAAATAAATATGAGAGTCATAGGCTTAGAATTAACACATCTTCTGTCTTTAGCTTCTCCATTTATCCCAGCTACTCAATTAAACACTCAGATCTCTGAGGTATTTGATGTGGTAGATCCCTTTCAGGCAACTTTTCAGCTTACAAAACCCTCTCCTCATCTAAGAACTATTCCCCAACCACATAGTGGACTCTGGTAGCCATGCTTATAACCTGTGATTCCACCCTCTCAGCCACAGCCAAAATGTTCACCAGGGAGACAACCAACCCCTAATTAGCCAGTTAATTATCTTTCTCAGGAATGTGTTGGGGAATACATTCTCTACTGGCCATGTAAAGGAGGAGATGTAAATTCTTTGGGGCAACCACCTTTTACAGATAGAAAAATCAAAGAAGTCAATCCGCAGAGGGAGAATAAAGAATGAACTAGCTGGCCAGAGAGAGAAATAGGAAACCCAGAGGAGACAGACTTGAACACTGCAAACTTTAAATGTTTTCCATAGTGTTATAGGTCTCACATCCAGTTGCTGATAGGGTCAAAGATTTTCTACCCTATGAGTTTGCAGTATGTCTTTATAGTATCTAATATATCTTCCTTATAATAGCTTAAATGAGTATTTGTTCCTTCACTAAGATACCTATGGATTGATGAGTATATACTAATATGAATCTATTGACATTTATACCAAAATTACTGTCTTTGCAAAATACTGGCATCTCATAAAAACAGGAGTAGTGGTTTGCACAAATTTCATTCTGTACAACTATGAACCCAATTTTCCTTTTTGTTTTTTTCTTTCTTTCATTTATTTATTTATTTTTAAGATGGAGTCTCACTCTGTCATCCAGGCTGGAGTGCAGTGGCACGATCTCGGCTCACTGCATCCGCCACCTCCCAGGTTCAAGCGATTCTCCTGCCTCACTCTCCCGAGTGGCAGGGATTACAGGTGCATGCCACCACACCAGGCTAATTTTTGTATTTTTAGTAGAGATGGGGTTTCACCGTGTTAGCCAGGATGGTCTCGATCTCCTGACCTCGTGATCCACCTGCCTCAGCCTCCCAAAGTGCTGGGATTACAGGCGTGAGCCACTGCGTCCTGCCCCAATTTTCTTGACTACTAACTTCACGTATTCAGTGATTTACATTAAGCCATAGTATATTGGTCCTCTTTGATGAGTCTGATAATAGACTGCTTCTCATGACATGAGAAATAGTAACATGAAAAAATTGTCTCAAGCTCTCAACATGAACTAAGACTCAACTTCTCTTGGGCAATATTTTAAATGTGCCTATATTAAATAATGGAATTTTCAATAACTTGCTCTTTTAAAATGCAAGTGCCCAAGAGTTTGTATTCTGGGTACAGCAAATCAGTTCTCATTTAACTGGTCCTTATGCTGATAACTGTAAAAGCCAAAAAAAATACTAAAAAATAAGAATTTGAAGACCCTAGAGGGGAATCAAATTCAGCAGAAACTGACAGCTATGATCCCTGGAAGAAACAACGGAGCACAGTAGGCGAATTCCTCTGGCTTTCTCCCAGAAGGCGCCTCCCGGTTTTCATGGAGCAAGGGAAGAGCCCAAGCAGAAAGTATAGTCTTACCCAATGGAGGATGTCTCAAAGGAATTTGAAAAGCGCAGGAGACAAAATCAGGGTAATATACCCACCAAATTATAACCTTGATTCCTGAAAACATTACAGCCAAGAGACTGAAATAATATAATGATATTTTTAAATTAGAATGTCCATTTTAAATTACAAAAACTTATCGAGTTTTCCTCATAGAGCTACTATGAATAGAATGTTAATAACAGAAAAAATAACAGAAAAAGTTATTTTTTTCAATAGAGCAGTCTAATTTCCCCGTTGTATAACCTAAAATATTCTGCAGTAAGGAAAGGAAAGGAAAAATTCTTCATTTTGAAAATAAAGCAGATGCCTGCTCAATTATACTCATTGTCAATGGCAGTTGCACAATTAAAACCACTAACGCTATGGTCTTGTGAATGGTTCATTATTGTTCAGAATAAAACAAATCAAAAACTTCCAAGAGTACACATGTATTTTTGGTCCTGTATCGAACATCTGATCAAACTACTCATGATTTTTTTTCTTTTTCTCAAGAGAATAGCTCTTAGCAAAGAAAGCCCAGTTTAATAGCTTCCAAATGTTTTCATTCATTTTAAATTATATATTTATTTAACACAGAAAATATGCAAAGTATTGTGCTAGATATAAAACCAGGACTCAAAAATAAGTCCTTCCCTCAGTGTATTTATCTATTAATTGAGACACACATGAATGAGTACAATACAAAGGAGAAAGTGGTAAAACATCAGGACAAAAATATGGCTAAGAGCATTTATAGGAGGACAAGATGGCTCCTAACTAGGGCAACAAAAAAAGCCTTCAAGATCATGGAACTATAGAAGGACATAAATTGAATCTTAGAATGTGTGAAAACAAACAAACAAACAAAAAAAAATGAAGGCACAGAACAGAACAAGCAAATACATAGTGATGGGAAAATTTAGGGCATCTTCAGTAAATAACGAATATTTCAGGCGACATTAAAATGACCAACAAGAGGTAAGCCTGGAAAGGGAGTACACTGACAAACTTCCAAGAATCTTAAAAAAAAAAAAAAAAAAGAATCTGTAATGACAAATTACGAACTGAAGCCAAATACAAAATGAGGCAATGAAAAAGAGTTTTAAACAGGCAAATGAAATGGTGATAAATATGCTGTATGTAAATTGATCTGACAGTATACAAAATTATTGACTGGAAGGAAATGGGATTAGGGGCAAAAATGAATGATCAGGAAAATCCTATAAAGGAAGGAGAGCAAGAAGAGACAACCGACCAAGACAGCTCAATTTAAAAAATTAAAAGGTTTTAAACTAAAGCAGTGGCAATAAGATTATACAATTAGGACAAATTTAAGAGTCAATGCAGAGAAGATAAAATGAACAAAATTTAATCAGTCATTCTGCAAAAAAAAAAAAAGGAGAAATAAAAGCAATGGCTAAAAGATTGCTCATTTGAGGGATTTTAAAAATTATGGTTCTATAAACAATAATTAAGAATGCATGAAAAATGGGTTTCATAGCACATGGCGACAATAAATTTTGTTTGGAATATACGCCCGTGAACTTGAAATACATAATGTGAATAGGTTAAGATTGATGGTATTTCCATGATCTATAAATTAATAAATTTGCATTAGGTCAAAAAGTTCCTTGATGATGCTAGTTGCGGGTTTCTCACAAGTGCCTTTTATTAGGTTGAGTATGTTTCCTTTTTTGATAAATAATCAATGGAGGTCAAGTGCTTTTCTATATCTATTGAGATGATTATGTGACTTTGGTTCTTTATTTTATGGTAATACATTGACTTTTAAAATAAATCCCAATGAATCATGGTATAATACAGTTTATATGTCGATACATTCAATTTGCTAATATTTTGTTCAACATTATTACACTTATGTTTGTAAGGCTGCTCTACAGTTTTCTATAATACTTTGGCTTTGTTATCAGGGTAATACTGGCCTAGTAGGATGCATTGGAAACTGTTTCTCTATTTTCTGAAAGAGTTTGCAAAGGACTGGTATTATTTCATCTTTAAATGTTTGACAGAATATTTGTGTGAATTATGTATGTGCAGGAAAATTTTTAATTACTAATTTATTTGTTATAGGACAATTCAGATTTTCTGTTTCTTCTTGAGTCAGTTTTGGTACTTTGTGTCTTTGTAGAAATTGGTCTGTTTCATCTACATCGTCTGATTGGCATATCATAGTAGTCTCAGAATCCTTTTAATTTCTGTAGAGCCTGTAGTTATATCTCCTCTTTCATTTCCTGATTTTGGTATTCTTTAGACTTCTCTCTTTTGGTATTCTTTAGACTTCTCTTTTTTAATTGGTTGGTCTACTTAAAGATATATCAATTTTTGATCTTTTCAAAAGACCTCTATTTGGTTCCACTTTTTTTTCCTACAGTTATCCTGATTTTTATTTCATTGATTATCACTTTACCTTTATTATTTCCTAACCTCTGCTTGCTTTGGCTTTGAGTTTTCTCCATTTTTTTTTTTTAGACAGAATTTCACTCTTGTTGCCCAGGCTGGAGTACAATGGCATGATCTCAGCTCACTGCAACCTCCACTTCCTGGGTTCAAGTGATTCTCCTGCCTCAACCTCCTGAGTAGTTGGGATTACAGACGCCCACCACCAAGCCCAGCTAATTTTTTGTATTTTTAGTAGGGACAGGGTTTCACCATGGTGGCCAGGCTGATCTTCAACTCCTGACCTCTGGTGATCCACCCACCTCAGCCTCCCAAAGTGCTGGGATTACAGGTGTGAGCCACTGCCCCCGGCCGAGTTTTCTCCTTTTTCTAGCTCTTGGGATGAAAACATATGATTATTTAGGTCTTTCTTCTGTTACCCATGGTATATTCAGAAGTTTGTTGTCTTATTTCCAAATATTTGGGGACCTCCAAATTTCTTCCCTTTTTTTGTTTAATTCTGTTGCGGTCAGAGGATATACTTTATGTGATTTCAATTCTTTTAAATGTATTGAGACTTACTTGATGATCTAGCATATAGACTCACATGGAGAATATTCTATATGACCTTGAGATCATCTGAATTCTGATGGTGTTGAGTGTACCATACATGTCAGTTTAAATCAGGGTGGTTAATAGTGTTGCTCAAGTCTTCTCTGTATTTTCTTCTAGTTGTTCTATTAATTATCAAAAAAGGGTATTCATTATTTAAAAAATCACCAACCATAATCACTGAATTTTCCACTACTCCTTTCAGTCAATTTTTCCTCCATGTATTTTGGATCTCATGGTATTCTGATAGTTTGTTATTTCTACTTTCACTCTTAAAAAACAAAGACAAATAAAAGAGACAATGCTAGGGGATGGCACAAAAATGGTCTCAACATCCAAAAGTATATTCCTAACTATAGCTTCAATATATTCTCTGTCCATTTCATTTAAACATATTTTAAAGTTCATTCTACCTATTTACATTGCTTTCTCCCCTTTTCTTTTCAACTTTGACTACCAAACTCTAGAATTATCTTACACCATTACAAAAACTTCAGGCTGGGTGCAGTGGCACATGCCTATAATCCTAACACTTTGTGAGGCCAAGGTGGGAGGATTGCTTGAGGCCAGGAATTCAAGACCAGCCTGGGTAACAGCAGTGAGGCCGTGTCTCTACCAAAAAAAAATTAAAAATTAGCCAGGCATGCATGTGCCTGTAGTCCCAGCCTCTTGGGAGGCTGACCTAGGAAGATCCCTTGAGCCCAGGAGTTCGAGACTACAGTGAGCTATGACTGCACTACTGCACTCCAGTCTGGGTGACAGAGTGAGACCCTAACTCCAAAAAAAAAAAAAAAAAAAAAAAAACCAACCCAACCAACAAAAAAAAAAAACTTCAGCTACTGGTTGTGTTAATTAATTCTGTAATTAACTAATTAACTAACACAATTTTACTCTGTTTTAAGACTAGTATGTTTCATCATAATATACTGACTCCTTCTATCATCACAGAGTCTTTCTCAGTCTCCTTGATTCCGATAACCTCCACTCTACTATTCTTTAGGATTCTGTGTCCTTAGGAAATACTCCATCTATAAGGTCACCAACTCTGAGTTCTCTCTGTCCACAATGTTTTATCTCCTCCAAAAAAATACAGACCTCTTCCTTCTCAGTTTGTGCTAAGATTCTGGGAAGACTGGTCTGCACATAGGAATCACTTGGAGAACTCCTTTAAAATAGAAATTCATGTGCCTGCCTTAGAACTACAAAATGAGAGAGTCATATAAAAACGCAGAAAGTCTGTGCTTGAAATCAACTCTACTACTTACTAGTTATGTGACCTTGGTCAAGTTACTTAATCTTTCTAAGCCTCACTTCCCTCATCTGTGAAACAAAAATAATAATAAAAGATAATAATAGAACTACTTCATAGAAGCACACGTTTACCTATGTAACAAACCTGCACATCCTGCAAATGTACCCTTGAACTTAAAAGTTGGAAACAGAAAAAGAACTACTTCATAGAATTAAATGAGAATTTTTTTAATAACGCATACAAAATGCTTAGTACATAACAGACTATTATTATCTATCAGGATAAGGCTCAGAAATCTGTTTCTTTTCTAATATATTCCAGTAAGTATATATCTATGATATTACCTCTCTGTGCCTCAGAACCTCAGTTCCTTCATCTGTAAAACAGAAATAATATTATCTATTTGCTAGTACTATCATCAGGGTCAAATGAGTATTCCACTTAGAACACTGCCTGAAGCACAGCAATCACTTTATAAGTGTAAGTGAGTGAATGAATGGGTAAATGAAATTATCTGTATATCTTCATCATCTCCTCAAAGTTATCATTCTTCTCCTTCTTCCTTCTTCCCCTTTGCGCTACAATAAAGATCTCAATTACTAAATCCAGGCTTCTGCTAATACTCATTCTCTAAACTTTTGGAATGTTTTCTTTCACTTCAATGAGTTTGATTACTGTATTTTACAACCTAACTACTTGAGTATTAGTAGTTAGGCTGTAAGAACTAACACTAATACTTAAGACTATTACTTAAGTATTAGTAGTTAGGCTGTAAAATGCAATTAGGAAGTAAAATATCCTAACCCTTGCTCCTGCTCTCTTCCATTTTTATTATTTCTACATTTTGAATGATTCCCAATTATCCCTCTTACATCATACTTTCTCTCAAGCTCCAAAGATACACTGCCATTGCTTGTAAGAATGTCTGGGTTCTCACATCCATATCACAGTAAGCAGGTCAAAACAATGCAGCAGATGTTTAGGAAATGCTAAAACATGGGTCCAACAAACTCAGACTGACCAGGTAAACTCTCTATTACCACCTCTCCTCAAAGGGAGGAAGGGCACCAAAGCGGGGGAGCTCCTTAATGTCATCATTCTTCTGATCACCTGGGATCAAAATGTGTAGTTAGTTGTGGCTCTTCTCAGTCTTGTTCTCCAAATCACCTGCCAAATCCTATAGATTTAATACTACACACTTCATGTCCAGTCCCTCTTCTAAATATTTTCATTCCCATACTCATCTTTCTAAATCAGGTCCTCATTATCTTTCATGCAGGTTATTAAAACAGTCTCCCACCGGCCATATCCTGCCACATGCATCTCATGACAGTCTATCCCACAACCTGCTACCAGATTAAACCCAATGTTTTCATTCCTCTGACAAGTCCTTCAATGGCTTCCTCCATGCCTTCAAAATAAATAAACCTCTATCTTATTATTATTCAGCGCCTCTCACAACACAGCCCCAATCAACCTCTATAGGATGAGTTCCTATTGGTTCTTTTTATATCATTACCAGTTGATTAAACTAAAGTTTTATTTCCTGTTTCTTAAATAACTCCCAAAGGCTTTCCATCATGTCTAAATTTATCTAATTTTTTTTCCTGCCATTAACTACTCTTCCATTTATCAAGTATGGGGAATGTTAGCTGTACATCAGGTACCAGGGAAAAATATAAAAAATTTTTTTAAAGCTTGGGGTATGAGATCAAGAAAGTGAATCTAAGTAGACTTTAATGGATCTTAGCAAACTACTTTTCCTCCATTCAGATGTTACTAATCAGAGTTACATGCATGGAGATGAAGCCAACCCCATGCATGAGGAAACAGAGGGAGGGGCTTATAGCTTTGAAGTTTTATCTTCTCATGGAGCTGTTATCTCTACCTTCTTCTTTTGAAAGTTCTTTTTGCATTGGTCTTTTTATGTCACTTCCCCTTGGTCTTACGATGACAACTATGTGCCTCTATCTTCCCATCAGATGTAAATCTGTAACATGCTGGTGGGTAGAATAAATCATTCTTATATTCTTTTCTAGCTAAAGGTCAATATCCCCCACCAGTAGGCTGACACTCAAGTTGAGGTTACAGGGAACCTGTGAGTAGCATATATCTCTAAAAGATGCCGTGTGTTTTTTCTGGTTTCCACCTACTTACTATAGTCACTTTAGATCAATGCCAGACATTAATATTTCATATTCTCACAAGGAAAAAAAGCACACATATGAAAATTGTAAAATATGTTTACAATTTATTCAACTCATATTTACAAATATATTTGTTCATATTAATATTTATACTTATACATGTCTATATACTGAGAATAAACATGAATAAGCATATTGTGTAAAAAAGCCATGATGCCTGTCTTCTGGGAGATTACCATCTATCTCGACTGTCAACTATGATATCTCACTCTAATTAAAACCCATACAGCAGTTTGTATCTCTCAAGGATTTCATTTAGCAGTTATTTGCCTTCTCTGCCGCCTGTCAGCCAGGTCTTTTCTTTGTATCTCTGTCAACATCTAGGCACAATGTCTTAAGTTACCTAAATTGAAAGTAAGATGCTCCAAACAGCAGCTACTTATTGCTGTTTCACATTCACAGATGAGCTCCTTGGAGTACAACTACAACACCCATGGTGAAACTTCAGGCTTTTTGAGGTACATTAATTTACTTACATTATAGGAATACCATTTATTACATTTCTGCTCCAATGAGATAAGTGCCACCCTAACGACCTGAAAGAGTTAATGCATCTTGGAAAAGACCCAAATTACTCTCTGGAGACAGTTTACTCAATTAAGTGGCTAAGACCCAGCATTTTCAATTAGCAGTTCAGTTACTAAAGATGATTTTATATTGTTTATCTGTAATATGTAAATATTGTCACACTTATAAAAAAATATTTGCCTATAGTTCATTCAAAATAGAATTTTTAGAGATAACAATTGCAAATTCAGATTCAACCAGCATTTACTTTGTAATTACTAAGTGCCAGGAACTGTGTTACATACCTTCTCATTGGAATTTAAGGGGAACATTGTAAAGACCAGGAGATAAGGGGGTTTGGAAGCACTGAGAGTACAAGGCACCAGAATGCAGAGACAAATACAGTGGTTCTGTTCTTTAAGGAGTCCACAAAGAACATCTCAACCGAATTCATCGCAGCCTCCTCAGAATGTGGTTAAATTCAGTAAGGTGCTCACTGTTCTGAATATATGCATATTATCCCTATCTAAAATGATCTTTCCAAAATACCTAAATTCTAGCCTTCTTTCAAGGACCAGTTCAGCCTCTAACCCATGCGCAAAACCTTCTCTGACCAATCTATCTAAAGTTATCTTTTAAATTCCTAGAGGACCCACAGATGATTATTTGGACTTGGCAATTAATCATACACTGCTGGATATTTAACTTTTCCTGTATTTCTCTCTTCACCTCCCAACACGACTTGAGCAGAAGGCATTTTATCTAATACCAGCATGTATTAGACAAAATTCATGTCTAATGATATTTCCACTGAAGTATCTTATTAAAATGCTTTATGACTGAAAGAACAACTTAATATCACCAATTTCTTGACTTCGCCAACTCTTGCATCTACAAGATTCTGTCTATGAAATAAGGAAAATTCTTCTGTCTGAAGGTGATGGTGTGTGTGTGGGTGGGTGTGTGTGTCCCTTGAGCAAGCTACTAAACTAATGAAAAATACCTGTCGACAGCTTGGTTAAACAAAAAGTAATACTATTTTATCAGTTTTGTTGCCAAAAAAAAATTTCCACATCTACAATAGGTATTTGATTATTATACATTACTTATACTGAATGTTATGTGTTAATTCAAAACATGGAATTAAACTATTTTATTTACGCACTACACTTGAGGATAGCCTAAAATTTAAAAGGTTAATCAAATGAACTGCACTGCTGGTTTAAGTAAGTTTACAGTAAATATGAAAATTCTAGCGCAAGGGTTCCTGTGCACTAGAGTTACTGGTCTGTGGCCTGTTACCAGCACCAGCCCATGGCCTGTTAGGAACCAGGCCACACAGCAGGTGAGCGGCAGGGGAGCAAGCATTATCACCTGAGCTCCACCTCCCGTCAGCAGCATTAGATTTTCACAGGAGTGTGAACCCTACTGTGAACTGCACATGCGAGGGATCTAGGTCGTGTGCTCCTTACGAGAATCTAACTAATATCTGATGATGTGAGGTGGAACAGTTTCATTCCAAAACCATCACCAGCCACCCTCCATACATGGAAAAACTCTCTTCCATGAAACTGGTCCCTGATGCCAAAAAAGGTTGGGGACCACTGCTCTAGTGTACAAAAATGGAGAACTATTTCACTGGTATTTCTGGCATCCAATTTAATTCTTTTGCATTGGCTTTCCTATTTCTTTTTTCCCAAATAATTCTTTATTTTGATCTTTTATTTAAAAGCAATATATACTCATAAAAATTTCAAAGAGGACAGAAATATGTAGATTCAAGTATACTTTAATAGCACAATCATATGCAATGTATTTAAATGATATGTCTGTTGATTTATCATTTCATTATTTTTCTCATCATTCCTCAATTTCTAATAAGCACAGTGTCCTGCATACATAAAGTACCGAAGAAATGCATTATATACATCCATCAAACAGCCCAATTCTATCAGTAAATGAAAATCACACTGTATGATTGGCAGCATATGATCCGATAAGATCCTGTCTTTCAACTATTTACTCCCCATTTTCCATTTATCACAGCACATCTCAGTTTGTAAATTATACTACGCATGTCTGCCCCAACAAACTTCACCCCCACTTCTGCCCCCATGAGGCAAGGGCAATGGCTGAACAGCTCACATGCCTGATATCAGAAATTAATTGTATACCTGGATCATTTCTCTCCAATAACTACATCTTTTAATTTTAACTCTCAAAAAGACAACCACAGCCAGGAGATGGATACAATAAATTCATCACAGTAGGATTAGCCTTGACTCCATATGACATGAGAGTGAGCATTTGTAAACATAACTAGAGAACATCCAATGGGATGAGGAACTGTGCCTAACTCGGTACTTATGAAAACCACCACAGCTCTACCTAATTATTCTCAGCTCTACCCTACCATTCAGTAACAAGCTCACACCATAAAGCAAGCCACAGAAAAGAAAAAAGACAGCATGCTATTTAAATACCAACCATGTTAACGCAGAAGCAATACCATACAATTCATGTACCTCATGTTCTCTGCTAATTGCTTAAGACATCCTGCTACAGAGAAGACAGCAACAGTAGCCAGGGCCTAGTCTTCTTTAAATGCCAGCTCTTAATAACAAACTCCAAAAAGGTCTTAATTGCATTTACCAGGAGCTCATGAACTTTAAAAGTTGTTAATCAGATTTCCATGTAAATGGAGTGACAATTAAAGGTTAAGTACAGGTTTCTGAAATTTCAGAAGTTGAGAATATATTGCCCTTCACAGGGCGGGGGTGTGGGGGTGGGAGGGAGGGCTATCAGCCTTGACAAGAACTAAACATCTTAATTAAACATGCAGAAGTACCATGCTTATTTTTACGTGAAGTTCCATTTCCAAATGTCAAAGTTAATCATGCACTTGACTAAAAATGTGCAATATTCTCTCTGCCAGAGAAATGTCTTAGTATTCTTTTCTGAGAAGACACCATCAGGTCTTCAAAAATTTCTCTGGTGTCCCCTCAGACCTGATCTCTGCCTATGCTACAAGAAAACCTGAGAAGCAGAGTGAAATGCCTTTACAGAGAGATCTTAATTGCTCTCCACCTGAGGAGTAATCTAAAACCACACGTTTTCAATCAATTCTGCTTCATATTTATGTGACTCAGGAGAAACACAAGGTGCTTCCTCCATAAATTTGCTGCACCTGTGTCCCTGGAGTGACATGTTGACAAATGAATATGACATCTCCTCAAACTCCAATAAGAATTTATGATTCTTTGAAAGAATATACTTGATCAATTATAGTGTCATCACAGTTGAAAGCAAAACCATGTCTTTGGAGTGCACTTCACAAAATTTGCGAGGGCTTGCATCCTGCAATAGGATAAATGACAATCCCAACCCCCAGAGTCAGGTCCTTATTCCAGCTCTAATACTTAATCTCAGATTCTCCAGCTTCAGAGGAGCTAGGTAAAACAACCAATAAGTGCAATAATGAATGAGATGAATAGCTGCGTAGTGGTCTAGACAAAATAACTACAGAACTCAAAGTCAGAAAATATTTGTAGTGTGATATCTAGCCAGTAAAAATAACTTTTCTTTAGGTATACATTTATTAAGAAAAACACCCCTTCTGTCAACCCCACTATTGGTCTCTGATTATACTTCTAATTCTTCCTTCTTTTATTTCTTCTAAAAGTCTGAGAAAAATTCGGTGTCTGCTAAATTCAAGTACCAACAGCACACTTTAGAAGAAAAGCATACATTGTTAGCATTATTACTGAAGCTATACCTACTACTGTACTATGATGATTAAATTTGGCCACAGAACTAACCAAAATACCTAAGGTTTAAAGAAATCCATAAGTGAAAAAGTAATACAATATAATGGTTATTCAATTAAAGGTGAAAAAAGAAGAGGAAGCAGAGAAGGGAAGAATTTTTAAATCATTATTTTCAGAAAATGTCTCTGCCAGATTGTGAAGTCCTTCCGGCAGAGTCCCTGGTTGCCTCTCAAGGATAATGGGATACACCAACTCTAAGGAGAAAGGTTCCCTCTTCCTAAGAATAGCATTTCAGAGTTTTAAATCTGATTCAATCCAACAAGTATTAAATTTTGATACGCAACCTAATTGAGAAAATGATCCCACTCAATATGGCGAGCTACCTAAGGAAGATGGGTGTGCTGAGCTATATACTGCACTTGCTTCTTGCTGGTGCCCTTTCAAGATCAACAGCCTATAGTAAGGCTATTGATCAGGAGTTATGAGACTAGTCTGTGAGACAGAATTTCTCAGTACAAAAATGTCTCATCCCTTTGTATTTCCCCAAAGAAGCTTGCACTGAGTCTTTTTGTGTGTGTTCAATCAATAACAACCTCTTATCAACCATTACCACCACAACATACACCACGGGCCTCTCATCAGACTGACCTCTCCTGTGTCTCACAAAATTAAGTAAGCTCATTCCAACATCTGTGCCTTTATTCATTGAGTCCTACTATTCTGAAAAGCCATGTCATTTCCCTTCACTAAATCAAATTCAACCACCTTTCAAGGCCCAACACAAATATTAACGTTTCACTAAAGTTTCTGTTCATTCGACGAGCATTTATTGAATGCAGGGCACTATGTTAGGTATTGCCCACGAAAAGATGATTAAGATAGTTTATGCTCTGAAGGAGCTCTCAGTGTTCTTCAGTGGTCTTCCATTCCATTGAACTACATTTAGTTTCTCTGCTGGCTTATACAAATAATCCTGCAAATAAAATTATCCTGAAGTGTTATCTGTGTTCTTCAAATTCTATGGCCTATTCCTGTAATTTCCTTTATTAGCTTAAACAGCATTTATGAGTGCTTTCTGTGTGCTACACACCACAAGTATCTTCGTCACCTAGGTGATCTGTGGAGTGACTCAATTCTCCAAACCACCTATCATGTCCTTCATCCTGGGCTCTGTGATACCTGATTCCATACTGGCAGGAGCTGCAGCCCAAAAATGAGCTCAGAGAACTTGGGAAGGTACACCTGCCTTCAAGTTCAAGATGATTATCCACACCATTCAGGGGAGTTTGCAGAGTTCAATTCATGATGTTTCCTAAGTTTTCTCATATCAGACATTGATTAGATAGTACAGAATGTGGCTTACTGTTATTTACCAAAATACCAGGGGAGTTCCATCTCAAGTTTTCTCCCTCCTAAGCCAATTCAATGATATGATCGCATGAATGTGAATTATGGTAGTGTGCTCCATAAAGGCAACAAAGTTTACGATTCCTGATACTGTGGCACTTTCACACAGTGGAGATATAATTATTGCCCATTTTGTTGACCTTGGTGCAGCCATTCTTTCTTCTGGGCACATAAAACTAAAACCCAAATATTTTCCAGCCACATGGTGACCTCTCTAGAATCTGGTGATCCCTATAAATACAGTGATTCTAGGATTCAGTCACAGTAACTTGCAAGAAGAAATTAGGATCATTAATGATAATGGATAATGATAATGGCTGGAATAGAGGTGCTTTCACCTCCTTTGCATTTACCTTCAACTGATAAAAATGTACTTATCTTTACAAAATAGCCTCCATGAATAAAAGCAGAATACACGTATATTGATTACAGAATGAAGCATATCAACCAAAGACATTCTGGCTTATTCCAAGGTGGAAGGAGACAAACAGCTCACATAATTTATTCCTTATAATTTATTTTCTCAGAGGGTAAACCTATTGCAATAATTCTCAGTTAATAAATAATAAAGGTGTATGATTTGGGATACAATAGACATGGCAAGAGTTGCACTGCTTATGTTGCAAGAAGTTCTGTTACTTTTGATGTTTGAAACATCACTAGCACTACAGATAGATCGTTCAATCTTTAAGTCAAAATAGCAGTAACTTAAAACCCATAAATCTATGGACTGCCAATTATGCATATTATATATGCAGTTTTAAAGCTCTAGTCAGCACTTATTCATTGGACAACCATTAGCTCAGCTTTATCCATGATATTGGTTCATCCTACCACTTGAATTTTCAGATTTATCAACTCTAGAACAGCTTTCAAAGAAGCCTAGAACTCTCTATAATAAACAGGTTCTACAAGTAACAAATCTAGAAAATAAACTTATTTTGTCTCATATATCAACCATGACATTTTAACTGAAAATCTACGATTAAAATCTAGATGGTGGTATTCCTAAACTTTGTCAGATAAAATTTGATAAGAAAATAATACTACTAAATAATACAGCAGTCCCATCCCCACCTCCCCTAACCCCTGGGCCCATGGTTTTGCTTTCCACGGTTTTAGTCACCCATAGTCAACCACAGTTCAAAAAAATTAAATGAAAAATTACAGAAATAATTAATAAGTTTTTAATTGCATGCTGCTCTGAGTAATGTGATGAAATCTTGTACTGGCCCACTTCACCCCTTCCTCAAATATCTTAAGAAAGAGTATAACTCACATAACTTTCACTACAGTATATTGCTATCATTGTTCTATTATTAGTTATTGTTGTTAATTTCTCACTCTAATTTATAACTTAAACTTTTTATTTATTTTATATATATTTTTTGGAGACAGGGTCTCACTCTGTTGCCCAGCTGGAGTGCAATGGCAAAATCTTGACTCACTGCAGCCTCAACCTCCCCAGCTCAAGCAATCCTCCCGCCTCAGCCTCCCAAGTAGCTGTGACCACGATACATGGCTAATTTTTATATTTTTTGTAGAGATAGGTTTTCACCACGTTGCTCAGGCTTGTCTTGAACTCCAGAGCTCAAGTGATCCACCTGCCTCGGCATCCCAAAGTGCTGGGATTACAGACAGGTGCCACTGTGTCTGGCCTATAACTTAATCATAGTATATAGAGTGGTTCTGTACTATCTTTAGTTTCAGGCCTCCACTGGGGGTCCTGGCACATATCCCACACGGATAAGGGAGGACTACTGTAATCACATATTGCCATCTTAGAAATAAGTTCTATTATTAGCAAGGAAGAAATTTTGTTTCATAAACTTTGGCCTAACAAGAAACAAAGCTACTCCTCAGAAGAAATGAAGGCAGTGGTCAGGCGTGGTGGCTCACGCCTATAATCCCAGCACTTTGGGAAGCCAAGGAGGGCAGATCACTTGAGGCCAGGAGTATGAGACCTGCATGGACAACATGGCGAAACCCCATCTCTATTAAAAATACAAAAACCAGCCAGGCATGGTGGCGCACAACTGTAATCCCAGCTACTTGGGAGGCTGAGGCACAAGAATCGCTTCGCCAGGAGGCAATGGCTGCAGTGAGCCAAGATCACACCATTGCACCCCAACCTGGGCAACACAGTAAGACTTTGTCTCAATAAAATAAAATAAATAAAATAAATGAAAGCAGTGTTGGAGAAATTATTTAAAATATAATACTAAACAAAAGGTTCTTTTAGTATGAAAAAGATGTCCTTTCAGAAATGAATTAAGGAAAAGATTTCCTTATCTACTGGAAACTGAATATTTATAACGTTTTCAGTCTAGTTATGTGTGAGTAGGGGTGAAACTGTAATAGTAGCATGTCTTTAATTTTCTTTAAGATTGACAATTAAAAGCAATCTGAATCACAGAATTTAAAACTTAATCATAAATTGTCTTGAAATGCCAGTGCTGTTAAAATTATATTAGTTTGATCTCAACTAGGAAGCAATCTAAGAACAATATTGTGTCTTACACTTCTTCTTTATCTCTTGTATTATGTATAGAGGTGACTTAATTCCAGTGACATGAATGAAGCATTTTTTATATACAAAGAAAATCATCTAGCTGTCACAATAAAGTTATGCACTTAACATATAACATATAATTCTGAACTGTGTAAGAGTTACATATTATAAGGAAAACTTTCTTCAGCAAAGAATAATCTGTTTATTAAAACAGAAGTAATTAACCAAGAGACGATAACTTTAGTAAAAAGAATACTCTCTTTAATACATGCTTAAAAGGTATGCATAAGCTTATGCAAACTTACATAAAGTTATATGTTTATGATTAATTTTCTCTAGAAAATATTGTTAAAGTAGATACAATAGGAAAAAAAACAATTAAGGAGATTCTCTGGATACTTTCTAGAAAAGTAGTCTGAAAGTTAATTACTAATTAAAGAGAAATGACAGTTTAATTAAGTTAAAACAAAATGTTTAAATTTTTCAATACACATTTTCATTCTTTAAATGATTACAGATCTGCGTGCTATTATCCAAGAGCAAATATAGAGAGAAAATGTAAGATTTCTTTTGATACTTTGATAACAATATAAAGCAAATGCAATCTCCAACAGAAAGTAAGTATCACTGTTCCATGCTACCAATGATCTCCCAGAATTTTCACTATGGAACTTTCTACTATATTCCATGCCTATATTCCTACTATAGACGCTGGCCAACCAATGATATTAAAATCACTGGGCCTTACTGTGAGAAGTAGAAATATATGTCTGCCTTTACATAAAATGATTTATATAACCTTGCTGTATTATTTATAATTCACAGCGATTTTTATATTCTCACAGTCTACAGATTTTTCTTAGTGATTTATGTTAAGCTCTTTTAATGCCTCGTTCATATTTATGGTTTATTCTCCTCCCAGAAAAGGTAACAATCCATTCCATGTATAAATGTCATGATAAAACTTACAGACTGGCAGAGGGAGGACAAAAGGAGACTTTACATAAGGGAAAGGAGATTAATGAACAACTGGTGATGCCATTATAAGGCCCTTTTCACATGGAACAAATACAAAATGGACTATCGAATTCCACAACTAACCTCACATGACAGAATTTTGAACACACATATATTTCAAATGTCCATATGTTGTTCATTTGCCCAGAGTGAACACAAAGCTGAGTAGTTTACATATGTAACATTCTGTTGGCTATTCTGTCATCACTGCTAAGCACATGTTCCACAGGGTACATTTGTCAGGCTGTCAGGGGCTCTCAACAATCCATAATAGTAGAGAATCAAACAACTTAGTTAAAAATAACATTTATAGAAAAAATAAAACTGCTATCTAGAATGGATGAGCATTAGCTATTCTGGACATACGAGATGCACAGAGAGCTAAAGGTTGACTGGAGCATGAGGATGGCAGAGGCTATTGGGGGTAGATGGCTTGTGACCCTTCTTGATGCCTGTGCTGTGGCACTGTTCTACTCTGGTCACCAACTTCCTCCTCAGACACAACATTTGCTGCTTCTCATCACCATGTGGGAGACTTCCTGGTATTTCTCAGATTCTAAGGTACACATTTGCTCACATTTTTTCACATATCCAAAAATCAACAGTTATCTTATGATAGATGTGTACATTTAAGGTAGTTTTACTTTTTTTTCCTAATCTTATACTTCTTAGGGTCTTGGAATCCAGAAAATGAGATATTTACTAATAATGCTGCTGTAGGGACCATTTCTAATCTAAGCTGTATTCCTCTTCCCTCCTCTCTGCTTTTATTCTCTCATTTTGTCTTCGGTTCCTTCCATGAAAAAAGTTGGACTCTTAGCAATTCACAGTGCATCAGGCTAATTATCAAAGCCTCAGCTCTTCTGAGTAGGACAAAAAGCTTTCAAAGGTAAAGGCAATAAAAGGTAACACTAATGTGAATATAGTTAACACTACTGAACCGTACAATTAAAAATGGTTAAGATGGTAAATTTTATGTTTTTTACTACAATTAAAATATTTTTTTTAAAAAGGTAATAGCAAGGCAACAGGTTTCTCTGTAATTATCCTGACATACAGCTGTGTTTCCAACTCAAAATCATTGACCTCTTTCCATCATATCAATTAGCTATGGGCTGAGCAGGTCTACCCTACCAACACACTGGAAACTAGTATCATGCTGGAGACCTTAGTGAAGAAACATCAGAATTGAGAATCCATTTCATCGTGTTCCTAGGAAGGCAGTTCAGCTGGGTGAACTATGGGTGGCTATCAGCTCAAATCCCCAAATAAGTCCGTGTAACTCTTTCTCTGACTCAAGGTTTTTAAATAAAATATGCCTGGGGATGAGAGAGGAAAATATACAAATAGAAGAGAAAGTAAAAAATTTTAAGTACTGAGTCCATCAAACAAATGAAAGAAAAAAATTCATTCAGGAATACAAGAGAAATAATTTTCTCATATTAACAAATAAAATATTAGTAAATTATCTGAATTAATAAACGTTTATGTTAATCTGCTAACCAAAGCACATTTAAATTTGAAATCCCATTTAGAGCTAAAGAAAATAAGATCAAAAGAGGATACTGCCCTAAATTACAAGTCAACAGGAAACCTACAAGTAGAAATGAGGAACAAATGTCAGACTTCCAAATTAAAATGATATTTGTCTGGTAATACCCAACACGATCTCTCCCACGTACCCACTCAAATATCTATGAATGCAAAAGATTTAAAAAAAAAAAAGCTTCACAATGCCAAAAAAAAATCTGGACCCACACACAATACAGCCAGAATCTTTAAACAATCTCCACTAAATACAAGGTCAACGGAAGAGAGTTAACACGTATACTGAATGGTTTGTGTTGCATCAGTGGAAGGAAAGTAATCTGCTTACTTGGAAGTAGGTACAAAAAGCCTTTCCCACTCTTGCACTGTCTGTATTCTCCAAACCAAAGTGAGCAACCGTTCACGACCACATAGTTGCTGGCCTGAGAGGCAGCTGGCCCTCCCGAACTCACCATCCCACCTGAACACTTCTTGTCCTGCATCCATTAGAAATAGTACTTAAAATTACACAATCTACTAAGAAGTGGAGAGGACTAACAATGGAATTCTGACAAAGAGAATCATCTTTTGTAAAATACTGTAAATACAAAAATAATCATGGAAAACGATTTATGTTTACCTTAGTAATTCATTTATTATTTTATGTGTTTCAGGAAGCCAGATAGTGATACAGGTTGAAGTTCCATCTCAGAAAAACAGATTTGCATTATATGGTAACAAGGAGTTGAGCTGGCATATGTGTACATGAAATTGATTACTAGCAGTAAAACTCAGAAAATGATTTCATTAGCACATATGTTTAAATAATAGGCTAAAAGGCAGTCTTCATATTCCAACAGTCAGCAGACACAAGGTCTAGGTAGATTTCCTCTCATTTGAGAATGAGTAAACAGGGAAAAGAAAAAGTGAGGAAAAGATACATTTCAAGAAATTAGAGGCCTGGCACGGTGGCTCATGCCTGTAATCCCAGTACTTTGGGAGGCCAAAACAGGAGGATCACTTGAGGACAGGAGTTCAAGATCAGACTGGGCAAGAAAGCAAAACCCCATCTCTACAAAAAATAAAAATTAAATGGGTGTGGTGACACACCCCTGTAGTCCCAACTACTCAAGGAGCCTGAGGCAGGAGGATTGCTTGAGCCGAAGAGTTTGAGACTGCAGTGAGCTGCACTGTGCTCCAGCCTGGGCAACAGGGCAAGACTCTGTCTCAAAAAAAAAATAATAATAACCCAAAAACTAGAAACAAAAAATTTTCAGTAAATCCTGGCATCCTCAGTAGCACACAAGAACACATAGCTTCTTGCAACAGTAAAAGAAATCTTTAAAGAGAAAACAGGCTGGAAGGAAAAGATACCAGGATAAGATTTTTTTTAAAGAGGGGACAAGGGAAAGAGAAGAATTGTAAGGAAGGTTAAAATGCTGCAACTTCAGAAGAGAAAGCCATAATAAAGGAACTAGGATACTAACAATTGATATTCCATAAAATAAAATCAGAGATGCAAAAAACAAATTGAGAAATACTCCCAAATATAGATGGGAAAAACAGCAATAATAAAGATTGAAAAGCTGGAGGAGAGATGATAGACATAAAAATTTCAGAACAGGGATTCAATCCAAGTATTACAGAAATAATGTTTGTAAAAAGAGATGTACACACACACACACACACACACACACAAATGTATTTTCTTGCTTTACAGAAAAAAACACCATGAGTAAGACAAAAGAGTTTACCGCATTTTCCAGGGAAAACAATGAAATAACACTTATCTAGATACAGATAGAATAAGGAACTTACAAAAAGAACAAAAATCACGATAGCTATATACTTCCTGTAACACTAAATGTGAGAAGACTAAGGAGCAATGTTGATAGATTTTTAAAGAAAAAACAGTGTATTAAAAGAAATTATCCTTGCATTTAAGAAAGCTCAGAAAAAAACTTGAGACAGTTCAGAACATAGGTGTTCTTGAGAGGTGTGTTAGTTTCCCAGGGCTACAGTAACAAATGACCACATACTGGGTGGCTTAAAACAATAGAAATGTATTCTCTTGCAGTTCTAGAAGCTGCAGATCTTAAATCAAGGTGTTGGCAGAGTCACCCTCCCTCTGGGGTCTCTAGGGGAGGAGTCTTCCTTGCCTTTTCCTAGCTTCTGGTGGTAGCCAGCAATCCTTGGCGTTCTACGGCATGTACAAGTTTTACTCTAATCTCTGCCTCCATCATTACATGGCATTCCTTGTGTGTCTTCTCTGTAACCAAATTCCCATATTCTTTTTATTTATTTATTTATTTTTGAGACAGAGTCTCACTGTCACCCAGGCTGGAGTGCACTGGTGTGATCTCAGCTCACTGCAAACTCCACCTCCCAGATTCAAGCGATTCTAATGCCTCAGCCTCCTACTGAATAGCTGGGATTACAGGCATGTGCCACCACACCCAGATAATTTTTGTATTTTTAGTAGAGATGGGGTTTCACCATGTTGGCCAGGCTGGTCTCGAACTCTTGACCTCAAGTGATCCACCCACCTCGGCCTCCCAAAGAGCTGGGATTACAGGTGTGAGCCACCACGCCTGGCCTAAATTTCCATCTTCCTATAAGGTCACTAATCATTAGATTGGGACCCAATTTAATTCAGTATGACCTCACCTTAATTTGACTGCATCTGCAAAGACCCTATCTCTAAATGAGGTCACATTCACATATACCAGACGCCAGGATTTGAACATAACTTTTGGGGTGATACAACTCTATCCACCATAAGCGGAGGAAAGAGGCTTAAGACCTGCTCTAGGTTGGGCATGGTGCCTCATGCCTATAACCACAGCACTTGGGGATGGGTGAAGTGGCAAGATCACTTGAGGCCAGGAGTTTGAGACCAGCCTGGGCAACATAGTGAGACCCTGTCTCTACAAAAATAAATAAATTAATTAAAAATTAGACAGGCATGGTGGTGTGTGTCTGTGGTCCTAGCTGCTAAGGTAGCTGAGGTGAGAGGATTGCTTAAGCCCAGGAGGTCAAGGCTGCAGTAAGCCATGATCGCACCACTGTATTCCAGTCTGGGTGACAGAGCAAGACCATGTCTCAAAAAAAAAAGACATATGAAGAATGAGTAAAAATTAGAATTCAAAGCATAAGGAAGTCACAATATATAGGACTGGTGGGGTTTCCCAGCTCCAGTATTAGTTATCTAACTAGACTGAGTGCAGTGGGGCACACTCCACAGCCCAAGGGCAAAAGGAGACCCAGAAATGCTTCACTACACTGTGCTTTTTCCTGCTCTGTCCCTCACCTAGAGCCACTTTTTAACCCACAGTCACAATATTTTAGTTGAACACCCAAGACAACAGCAGTGTTGTTCTTTCTTTACTAATAGTGGCTCAACTATTTTAAACACATTTGGGACAATATTCCATGACAACTACTAAATAAAAAGTACATCTTTCTCTCTAAAGGGAAGAATTACATATCACAACATAATAGACATTTTTTGCTTAGGAACTTCAGAAATAATTTTTCACATCTTTGAAACTCAAACTGAATGACTTGAGTCATTAGTTTTTTTATTAACTCTTCTCTCATCCATAACCTGTGACAATGCCTGTATTAGGTACACTTAAAAATAATTATGATATGAATCCAATAAAAAAAGTAAGTAAATATAAATGAAGGTTAAAAATTATCCCTGGGATAAAGGATTCTGGGTGATTTTTAAATCTTCTTTATAAGTTTTCTCTATTTTCTTAATATTTTTATAATATACATATCTACATTTATTGATAAACAGAAAAAAGCTTATTTAAATAAGCACATAGAATTTTGTACTCCCAATATGTTGAAAATTTTATAATTTTTAATGAAGCAAAATTTGAAGAAGGAAATACATAAAAATGTGAACTCTCTAAGTACTAGGAATATAAAAAAGTTAAATCTCCTCTTTCATTTTTCTGTATTTTCCAAATTTTCTATAATAAGCATGCATTATTCTTACAGTAAGAATAATAATATACAAAAACAGAGTGGAGCACTTGCCTGGTAGACTCTACAGAAGACAAGAGAGTGAAGCAATGTTCATTTCTCATATGTAAGAAGATCTATATATCCTAGTTAGGAAAAAGCAAGCAGAAGTCTTTGATTGCCTAAAACAATGTGTAACAGAAAAGGATTAACACTGATGTTTTCATGCCTCAATGTACTTTAGAAAATGATGTATTTTATAGAACATACTGGTGTACAGCCAAAATACAAGTGACTATAAAATGATGAACTGTGGAGTTGACTTGGTCAGAATCACTCAAAACTGAAAACTAAAGCTGCCAAAGCAAACTGAAATCTATCCCCTTTATTATTTCACTTATGGTTAAAAACCAACCAAAATGTTCCTGAGTCTTCAAAGGTTTATAGAAACATCTGTAAATGTAAACTGCAGCCTAGAGAGGACAGGTGGCAAAGTATCAGAAGCAGGTTGAGAAATGCATATTGTAGATTAAAGCTAAGCTCTAGGCTAATGCCCAGTGCCAGAACTTGAAATTTACCACTTACACTGTGTTACCCTACATCCTCAAAATAGTTGCAAATCAAGAATATTATTTCTACTCGTGAAAAAAGCAGCGGTAGTTATTAGTCCTCTCAGTGACTACTGGATTCAGAGATCCAGTCCATGGCTTCTGAAATTACCTATGAGGATTATCAGTTTTTGATACTTTATAAAACATTAAAAGTATATTTTTTAAAAAGACAAAGATGAACAAAATCTAAAGTTACGTTTTCCAAATCACTAGGAGTTTCTAATGGCTTCATCTCGATTTCTGTACTTATTTCATCAAGGACGGGTAATAGTGAGCAGACAGGTCGCTGGACTGAGGACCGTGCCCTGAGTAGCTCAGAGTAATCTTGCCAAGTTATAAGCTGGCATGTTTTCACTAGCTAACAGTGAGCAAACTAGAGAAGAAGCTATCTTCATTTTACAGACAGCCCTGCGTTAAAAACTAGGAATAACCATTCAAAAACACAATTAAATCTCCAGAGATAATTTTACAGCACAGAGTAGGGCGAAAAATAAAAAGCATCTCTCTCAATCCAAAAAATGGAATAAAGTCTCCCTCGTAAATAAGAAAACAGTTTTATTGAGAGGTTTTGGTTGTAATTAAATTAGGCTGTGGAAATAAAGGGGTTAGTCCAGCTTCACTGGTCTCATGTACAAGCACAGAGAATACTGATACCAGAGAAAGAATGTGGGATACCTGCAAACTCACAACCAGAAAGAGAAACAGTCACAAGAAAGAGGAAGGACTCTGCTTGAGACTTAAAGAAAGAAAAGAGATCTTCCTTAACAAGGTCATTAGAAGTATCCTGGTTGGCTCAGTCATCTTTTTTTTTTTTTTTTAAGACAGGGTTCCGTTCTGTCACCCAGGCTGAAGTGCAGTATTATAATCTCGGCTCACTACAATCTCGACCTTCTGGGCTCAGTTGAGTCTCCCACCTCAGACTTTTGAGTAGCTGGGACTGCAGGCATGCGCCACCATGCCTGGCTAATTTTTCTGTGTATTTTTTGTAGAGATGGGGTCTTGCTATGTTGCCCAGGCTGTTCTTAAACTCCTGGGCTCAAGCAATCCTCCCACCTCCGCCTTCCAAACTGCTGGGATTACAGGGTAACAACACACCAGATAACGCAGCTCCTGGTAAGGCAATGTGGAATAGGGCAGAGACTCACAGCTACTGCTGCACATTAGAATTACCAGGAGAGGTTGATTTATTTGTTTGTTTGTTTGTTTGTTTGTTTGTAGTAACTGTCCAGGCCTCTGAGGTGGAAGCACAATTGCTGGGCTTTTTGTTTTATTTTATTTTGTAACTTCCCAAGATGAATCTAACATGGGGCCAAGGCTGAGAACCACTGAAGTAGTGGAAAGACGCTGGCATATGAATCAAAGCCTTGGATTCTAAGATTGGTCCTAACAATTTTGAGTTGTGTTTTCCCGTCAGAGTCATTTTATATTCCAAAGTCCTACCCTACACAACTGCAAAGGAAAGAGTACAACATCTTCCTACCTCACACAGGTTTTGGAACCTCAGATGTGTGTTAACTATAAAGCACTTGACACACGTTCCAGCCATCTCTTTCAAATACAATATTTACTAAGAAAGATTTCAGGGACTCTTAATAAATCTGAAGATCAGAAACCTATGACTGCATATGTACACTTGAGTAGATTCTATAATGAGTTCAGAAAATTTTCAATTTGTCAGGATAGAAGCTGAAAACTTTGAGAATTGCTGTCTTTTAGCCATCAAGTACATGACAGGAGGAACTTGTCAATCAGTACACATACGGTCCAGAAACATGAAAAAAACATACACACACAAAATCATATTCATGCCCCCAAAGTTCTGCCTCATTCAACAAAAAATCTGTTCTATTTAAAATAAGAATCTTACGTGTTGTTAATCTCTAGGCAAATATACATGATTAAAAAGAGCTCCAAAAAAGTGTGAAAACGCCATCTCATCCAGTCCTGTGACTTTAAAATACAATCTATCTGGTAAGGCCCTGCAATCTGTCATCCCAGACCTCTGACCTGAACACCGACAAGCTGACACCACCGACCAACCTGCTCATGATCTCATGTCCCACAGGCATCCCACATTTAACATAGCCAAAATACAAGACCCAATTTTCTTCTCCGTTCCCTCAATCTTAATGTGGCACTCTTCTTCTCCTCACTCAGGACTCAACCCAAATGCCATCTCTTCAAAGAAGGCTTGCTGACCACCCTAGCTTTAACACCTCCAGAACAAATCACACCCTACAGTGCTGTTTCTCTAATTGTATCTTTTTCATAGGAAGTCATCAGTAAGGAATTACCCTATGTGTGTAGTTTACCGTCTCCACATGCCCACTAAGACATAAGCTCCGTGGGGCAGGAAGCAGGGGGTTGTAAGACTGTCTATCTTGTTCTATCTTGTTCACTGCTGTGGCCCCAACACATAAAACGTTACCTGTTACAAAGTCAATCCTCAATAAATGTTAGTCTCCACCTAGCTAAGTATATGTCCAAATTGATGCATATGGAAGGAGGGAGATTCAGGAAGAATAAAGAGCCTGGAGAAAACGCCAAGCCCCACTTGCTACCCTGTGCTCTGATTCTTCATTTGCTGGTCTCCTTGGTCCATTCTGCTGGCTCTCATTCAGAATCTCTCTTGCCCCTTTGGACTGAAATTCCTCTGGTCAGCTAGGCTGACTTTATAATTTGGCTTCTCCTGAAGAAACACTCAGACTGAACCCATGGCTATGCACAATCAGAAAGTGAGCTACACTCCACTCTTATGAGGACCTGGTTTTCAGCATACCTTTTGGGCCAGGATATCAGTACACACAGGTCTCCTGACCCAAGAGAATAGGAAATGCTCCTAATTCCCTGAACTACATAGTTCCTGCGGTCTGTCAGTTGTCCCTGGTCCTGCCTGGCATAATGGCCAAAATAAAGGCCACACTCCAAGCTTTCCTCATCTGGGCATCATCTTCCAACACAGGTGCTTCTTATACAGTTTGAGCTTTTTGTGTATAGAAGCCAACACTTAAGCACTACATGCCCCTTTGAGAGGGGGTGTTTCCCAAATGACCTTTCTGGGAATATAACTTTGAGAGAGAAAGATGGAGCTCTGGGGTCCTTAGATACTGTAACTAATTCTGACTCCTCATCACAGCCAGGAAAATGGGAGAACCTTTGATAAAGGCCACTCACACCACCCACTGATGCCCCCAGGAGGTCAAGACAACCTGCATGGAAGTGAATCTGTAGAGCTGCAGAGACAAACACTCACCCAAAGCATCTGCTGGATTCTACACCCTGGTGCTTGACCATGGGGAAGGTCACTGAGGAGTTTTTGGTATTTGAGTTTCTACCACCAGACTGAAGTGACAATAGACTCAGGGACAACTATTAGGCATTTCACAGATCTACAGGCTGATTTCTGACTCCATCCAAGGCTATCCAGTTGCTCTCTGGTGGAGAAAGCAGAGATGGGCCCACATTCTGTACTGCGCAAGAGACTTTACCAAGAGGCAGGTGTGTCAACTGTTCATCTTTCCCCTTGCCCTGGGCCTCTCCTGCTAGGGTCTCCTCGGAACCCAACCCCAGCCTTGAAAAGGACATTTCTGTGTCTGATAGTGCTTCTATTACCCATGTGAGGTCTAGCCTCCACAACCATGCCTGTGCCTGAGATCCTGGACAAATGCGACTACGGAAGAAGATGTGAAGAAAAAGCAGCTATAACACCACCCCTACAGGGAAATAAACTGTTGTAAATCTCACTCCCTGGCTCCCGTCACAGCAACTGGGGCTTCTCACTCCACTACTTCACAAACACCCAAGTCCTGCAGAGAGGCACTTTGTATTGTAGATTACATTGTCATTACACTCCTCTGTAATCAATGGTGTTCACCCTCATCTTTCACAGGTCAACCTTATCAACCTTCAGTACAAGCCTCCTATTGGACTCCCATTATCTCAAACTCAAATGTATTTAAAAACAGATTCATCTTCTCTTTATTACAAATGGGACCACCATTCTTTCAGTCACACAAAACACACAAAACTGATTCCTTGGTCATCTTTGATTCATTCCTTTCTTCAGTATCCAGCAAATCTTCGATTCCTTCAAATCCCTTCTCCTTGTGGTCAAAATCCATCTACTCCCACCTCCTCCATAACTCACTTTATTAATCATCCCTTCTCTCTCCCAGATCATATGTAAATCTCTTTTTCTCTACTAGGTTCTTTCTTTTTGCTTATAAATAGGCTCAAATACCACCCCACAAGCTCTTCTCTTGTCCATTCCCCATCCCCACTAGCCTGAGGCATCACTTCATGCCTCGAGGGTGTTTCAGCCTGCTTCATCCTTAAGCACAGCATACCATCACTACTTAACTTGTCAGACTGCCCGCTCTTGGGGGCTCTCTGAAGTGGAGTCCAACTTTTTCAGCTTTAAATCTCCACAGTGTAATAAATTTCAATAAATGTTTAATAAATGAATAAATTATCCCACCAATCATTCTGTAATTCATCCTTTCTACTGTCTAATAACCACCTCTTTCTATTCTCATTGTCCTTATTCTGTTCCCCTCACTTCACGCTAGGCTTTCAAAAGGGTCTTTTTAATTTGACTTAAGTTTTTATCACCTCCAATTCACCAGCTATGCCCAGTATATCCTTTCTAAAACAATAATTTCAAACCATCAATGGCAGGTATTAAAAAACATACATGAAAACAAACATAATACACAAAAAAATAAGCTAACCAAAAAACCTCTAATGGTTTGCCATTGTTTATGGCAAGCCTTGTAAGTGGGTCAATCATTAGTTACTGGTAGATCTGAATGACCAAGTGGTCAGAATTTCATTTCACAGTCTTCCAGGATTGTTCACTGGAGGAGAACCCAGCCAGCAGCAATGCACTGTCCCCAACTCTGCTCAAGGAATCCCATCTCAGGAATAAGCACCAGCAGGGATGTTGTATTTACATAGGTATGTGTGCGTGTATGTGCATGCACACATACACACACACACCCCCCACACACAAACACACAGGCTTAACAGTGTGAGTCAAAATTAGCCCCACTGTATCATTTGCAAGCCATATATCTTAGAAGATGACTGGAACCTTAGAGGAAGTGATAAATGCCTCTTCAAGATAACTAGAGGCGGAGCACGGTGGCACACATTGGCTCATGCCTGTAATCCCAGCACTTTGGGAGGCCGAGGTGGGTGAATTGCTTGATGCCAGGAGCTCAAGACCAGCCTGGCCACATGGTGAAACCACATCTCTACAGAAAAAAATACAAAAATTAGCCAGGCATGGTGGCACACATCTGTAATCCCAGGTACTCGGGAGGCTGAGGCATGAGAATCACTTGAACCTGGGAGACAGAGACTGCAGTAAGCCGAGACTGCACCACTGCTCTCCAGACTGGGTGACAGAGTGAGACTATGTCTCAAAAACAAGGCAAAAAGACAATTAGAAACCCTTGCTCCATAAAATATGCAACTGAAAATCTTCAGATGGAATTTCTAGGCCCTCTATGAGCCAGTCCCAACCTACCTTCTGCTAGTCCCTTCATTACATTCCTTCCTTCCACATATTCCGTGTACCTTCCTAACTCTCTTTCTGGTACTACTTCTCCAAATCTTACTTGCTGTAAATATCTCTCCCGTCTTGAAGCATTTTCCAACAACTCAGTGATCTCTACTTTCCTGTAACTCCCCTGGTACTTACAGTCTGTATCATTTATTTAGCATTTGCCACTGGCTATTGATGTTAAAACTTCTGAAATAGAAGACCTCAGCCAAAATCTCCCAATAGTACTAAAATATTTCTGTTACCAGAAAGGGGTCCTGATCCACATCCAAGAGAGGGTTCTTGGATCTCACACAAGAAATAATTCAGGGTGAGTCCACAGAGTAAAGTGAAAGCAAGTTTTATTAAGAAAGTAAAGGAATAAAAAGAATGGCTACTCCACAGAGCTGCCCCAAGGGCTGATAGCTACCCACTTCCATGGTTATTTCTTGATTATATGCTAAACAAGGGGTAGATTATTCATCTCTCCCCTTTTTAGGGTAACTTCCACATAGGGTAACTTCCTCTATGGAAGTTAGAATGCATTGCCATGGCATTTGTAAACTGTCACATTGCTGGTGGGAGTGTAGCAGTGAGGACCACCAGAGGTCACTCCCATTGCCATCTTGGTTTTAGTGGGTTTGCCCAGCTTCTTTACTGCAACCTATTTTATCAACAAGGTCTTTATGACCTGTATCTTGTGCTGACCTCTGATCACATCCTGTGACTTAAAACCACCTGGAAATGCAGCCCAGTAAGTCTGAGCCTTATTTTACCCAGCCCTTACCCAAGATGGAGTTGCTCTGGTTCAAATGTCTCTGACATTTCCAGTCACATCATGAACACTGATGACCAACTGTAGCATGAGAAGTTAATTCTAAGGCTAAAAGTACTTGGAAGGAAGACAGAATTGAATAGGTAATGGGGGGGTGGGGGTGGAGATAAAGGTGGGAAAAATAACAGAATGAGAGCTTTTACAAAAATGCAGAATTGATTCCAGTACCTTACTTTCCTCTGAATCCCTGAATAAGTCACTGTCCCTCCCAGGAAGACTCAGATCCAGTGAAAACATGAAGAGAAATAAGAAAGCCATTGTAGTGTTCAAGAACTATGACAACTTCCTGAAGAGTGTAAACAGTAGTTAATGTTACCTATGCAAGGCCTTGACTCAGAAATGGTTAAACTGTGTGTCCCTGTGGGGGTGGGAGAGGGTTGCCAGTAAGTGATTATTCAATGTAATCACTAAATTTATTTTTTTAATGCCTTTAAATGAATATATTGAATTAAAAAGTAAAAAATAAAGAAGCTATAACTCACAATAAGCAATGTGCTCATCTGAGTTTGGTTTCTTGGAGATGTCAGAGCTGAGTGATAGATGGAAGAGTTACCCAATGAGTTATAGTCTCCCTGATGGCTTCATTGTTAGGAATCTCTACACATTACACAATTCAACAGTGAGGCAGGTCCAGGGAAAACATGGGAAGGGTCATCTGGGCTGAGAGACTGATAATCTCCTCCTACATCTTTGCTTCTTTTGTGTTACAGGCTTTATGTTTCTTAATAAATCCTGAGTCTTTCAGGAGTGTCAGACCAGTGATACAGCTTTTTTGGTCCCAAGTAACCATGTGTCAGTAGTCAGAAGGTAGCTTTGTGTGGTATCATTATCCTCACAAATACAAACACACTCACACATAAATACGTACACTATACTTCATGGATATATGATACATATTATTTCACATTTTAACATCTCTGAAGTTGGGAGGGGTCTGATAAGTGATGATACATTAGAACTGATGAAATATGGGCTGGGTGCGGTGGCTCACACCTGTAGCCCCAGCACTTTGGGAGGCTGAGACAGGCAGATCATGAAGTCAAGAGATCCAGACCATCCTGGCCAACATGATGAAACCCCGTCTCTACTAAAAATACAAAAATTAGCTGGGCGTGGTGGCGGGGGCCTGTAATCCCAGCTACTTGGGAGGCTGAGGCAGGAGAATTACTTGAACCCAGGAGGCGGAGGTTGCAGTAAGCCGAGATCGCCCCACTGCACTCCAGCCTGGCGAGACAGCGAGACTCCATCTCAAAAAAAAAAAAAAAAAAAAAGAACTGATGAAATATGGTATATTTCCTTTAAACAACTATAACATCTTGAAGATGGAAACCAAAACCGAGGTTCAAATACTGACTGAAAGGAACAGTGGTAATCCAACCCAATCTCCTTCATTTTACAAGTGAAACACACACATACATATACATACATAGGCAAACACACACGTGTACAGAGGCAGAAGTAAAACCAAACCTGTAAGTCAAATTTCCTGATTCCCAGTCATTGTTCTTATGTTCTATCAGCACCTCAGCAAAATATACTAATGAACTGACCTACTGTCATCTGTAAGCAACAGGTAATCAAGTTTTTGAGATAAGGAAAACAATTCAACATACTATAAGCACTGCAAGATCAGGAACAATGTCCAGTTTGCTCACTGTGATATTCTGAGTGCCCAACACAGTGCCTTACAGAGAGCAGGCATTTTATAAATGTTCTGAGATGAAAAATCTGGCTGCTGCGTTTAAGATAAAGGATGGCAGTTAGCAGGTGGTAGTCATAGTGGACTGCCTCAGTAGACCACCTCATTAAAACTTGGGATGTTTGGCTCTTCATATCTAGGCTCTTCACAAACCAAATGAATTAGAATTTCTGGGCTAAGACTCAGAAATCTGGACTTTTAACAAGCATTCCAGACGATTCTCATGGCTATTAAAGCTTGAAACCAGAGTATATTAGATAATAACAACCCCCATTGGAGGCAACAGAAAGGAAGAAACTAATGTCATAATATTTAAATCGAAAGAACATAGGGCATTAGAGAAATAAGAGACAAAATCAAGATGGCAAGGAAAAACCAGGGGAAAGTTACTTAAAAACTAATATAAGAACTATTTAAATATAAATGTACAAACATTAAAGAATCAGGAACTCTGAGGAGCCCTGGGATAAGGGATTAATTCCATCAGTGTGCAAGAGGCCAGGGGTACCATATGAGACATCATTAGGATAATTAAATAATTAACACACATAGGATTAAAATTCCTCTTGGGGAAAATGATAATGAACAAGAAACACCTAATGTAGTTTCACAAATGACTCTTCAAAGATCTACAGACAAAGACAGATCTGAACTAAATATGGAGAAGAGTGAAAAAGTATCTTGTTAGAGTTAGCTAAAACTTATAGAAAAGAGTCAGAGGTAGCAAATTAATTCATGCTACTTAAATAAGTCAGACAAGAGAAGAGGAGCTTTTAAAATTACCAAAAAGCGGGACAAAGACTAGGAAAAGAAAAATGGTGCTAAAAATGGAGTGGGGTTTGGAATTAATGAAGACTAAACTAGCTAAGAAACTGAACTAATTCTTTTTAATTTGTCTTTGACAAGAAAAATGAAAAAGACATATTTGTATAATTAGAGAGAAGGAAGACTTTGCAAAAATAGCGACTGACAAAAAGCAGATGGGGAACACTTGACAATACTGAACTCATACCAATCAGCAGGCCTGGATGATGGGAAGCAGAGGAGCTTAAGGGAATTCATGCACACACTTGTGGAGTCATTTACAATCAGTATGGAAACATCACAGAAAAACGGGGAAATAAAAGATGTGAAGTGGAAAAAAGATTAGATAATAAAATATCCTATCGATCTTAAAATGGTAACAAAGAAATATTACGGAAAATTTTAGTGGTGAAACCAATAGCACTGTTTTCCCATCCAGATGTGAGCTCCATGAGGTCACAGGCATTCTTCTTCATTGTCCAGCATTAGTCTGAAGTTTAGAGCAAATAGTAAGTGATCACCAGATAATCGAAAATGGGAAAAGACCATGAGCTAGAAAATGAATGCCACCAAACTTTTCCATTTCTTCTGAACAGAAAATTGTACCACAGGGAGCTTACAGTCCATTTTTTTCTCTCATAAATAATAGCAAAAGGTAAAATACTTAAACATCTGGTGGATAATCATAAGCCATAATCAGAATAAAAATCTAAAAACTCTAGTAACACAAATATAGTAAATTTGAGAAACTATAAGAGAAAAAAAGTAGAACACAAATATTAATTTGGGCAAATATTTTCAGTACTTTCTTTAAAATGAAATCCTCTAACATGTTTGGATAACACGCAAAATTTAAAAAGAAATCAAAAAATTTTAAAATGAGCCTTTACTATGACCATAATATATCTTAATGAATCATGGAAGTTTCTCCCATCCTCACACACTCCCACACAAACCCATCCATAGTCACTCAGATGTATTTTTTTTTTATCAGTTCATCCTCAATTTATAGACAGGGCAAACAGGTAAATTTATATAAAATTATATGCCTCCAGGAAATTGACACTAAGCTCATGGGAAAAGATCATAAGTTACTCTAAAGTAATTATCCACACAAGCAAAACAGAAGAAATGCATTTCCTACAAGCTAAAATAAAGGGGGAGGGTATGAAGATTTCATTTTTGGAGTTTTTTTGCATAGAACACAGTGCATTCCATATAGTGCACATTAATAACCATACACTGATTAAATCAAATTGAAAGCCACTGGCTCGTACACACGAAGGGTATGTGATGATACTTAAAGAGGCTGATTATTTCATAGGTCTGTCTTATTTCTTTGATCAGGTCCCCAAAACTGAAGTCTATGGTTCTAGGCTTTAGTAAAGAAGTATTATGCCAGTAGAGTATCCCATAAGATATGGATAATATTAGGGTTTTTTTTTTTTTTAACACCACACTGCCTTCACTCAGGAAAAGAGAGACAAAAAAGAGAAAAAGAGAAAGGTTCTAATTACTGGAAAGGAAGTTAGTTTCATCATTTATTAGTTTTGATGCCAAATGAAGAGGAAAGGAGAAAGCTATCTCAAAAAGAATATCATTTATATGAGTAATGATAGCTCTGGCCTAAAGAGGACAGTCAAATTCTAGATCTTCTCAGTCAGAGGGCAGAGCTCAGGGCACATAGGAGGGCAAGTACAGACATAGCAGCTGAAGAAGTCAGAAGGCAGTACAAGGAAGGCCCACGCCACTCTGGGTTTGATACAGTTCATATCGTTAGTTTGCATGGATGCCAAGAAAAACATCTTTCAAAAACAAGCCGGCTGATGCAAGATCACCAATTTCTTGAAATGAATAGCAAGAGCAAATTCTATCTCCTTTAAAAAAACAAAAAAAAAAAAACACTGAGATAATTCAAATTCTTTCCCCCTGCCCTTCCTTATGTGGCTCTAAGGAATAAAGGACAAGTAAGAACAAATTAAGAGGAAAAAAGAAACTAACCAAATATTTAATCACAAAAAATAAAAGAAAAAACCCACTTGCTTCAGTATCAAAAGAAACATATTCATTCACTTATCCATTCAGCACAATCTAGGTGGCAAAATAAACGGCAAAAACTTTACCCTCAACCTAGATACTTCTAGAAATTAACAGATCACTAGATAACGGAGCATTTTTCCCAGAAATGGATCTTCATGGAATAGCTAAAACTTAAGTAACACAAATACAGATGGATGGGACTAGGATAGAGAATTCTACAATAAAGGTGTTTTAGGTATCATTTGACTGCCATTGTTAACAGAAGAATACCTAATTTACCTGGCAGCCTGGACCACTAAGAATAGCAGAAACTAAGGAAGAGAGAATTAAGAAAAAAGGGACATTTCCAGGGGCAAAATGTCCTTATGTTATACAATCCATAGCTGAGAATTCATGTGCATGATGCCACAGAGTGCTTTCTGGTCGCTTATTCTACACACAATTCTAACCACCTTGGTTCTCTGCCTTTGCAGCTTATACCACAATAGTTGAGCAACTTAGCAAGAGGAGCTTGTCTGAAACAGACACGATCAATAGCTAGACATGATAACCTACCCCCAAAAAGCAAGGAAAAAAAAGACAGAGGGTATGAAGAGTGAACAAGTATGATTTTTTTTTTAATGGAAGTCTGGGACTGGTTCAGCACGATGGAACGTTGTCCGTGCCTTCACATGTGACAAGATGACCTCTGACGTATCACAATACATTCAATAAAGGGTAGTGTGCAAAAGTGCAACCAAAGCATCGATTAACCAGGTTCAAAATGACAGTCCTTCAGTCACCAGAAAAAGTCTGAATGTGCTCAGTATATTGTGACAAAAGGACCAAATCTGAGAAATGTATTTTATAAAATTTCCATTAAAGATGTTAAAATACAATCTTTAATGCTAAAAGGGGAGAGACTATTTTCTGGAAAATTAAGCCACACTGAAAATCAGATTCCTAGATGGTGCTAAATAAATTAGGCATCACCAGTCTTCTTTTTAAAGAGAATATCACACAATAGTTAGGAGTTTACTTACAATAAAGCAATCGGTCTCTATCAGAACAAAGATAGCCATTGAAGACAAAAAAGAGGAAGGATAAAGCTTTAATTACAAAAACAAAGAGACATATGGATTTATCTATTATGACAGCACAATCCTGAGGTCTGTATAAAAGGCACCTCATTTCAGTCCGGCACACAAGCTTTAAAAAATTGGTTAAACAAGCTCAAAGTATCTTTGAAGCAACATCAATGGTGTATGGTACTTGGTTTCCGATTTTTTCTGCACCAAATTAAAAGTTAATAAATGTTGCCAACAGTTCCTCTACATTTCTCAGTCCACCCCCACCACAAACTCTGGGAAATAAAAGCAGCCCCCACCATTACTTTACAGTTTGCAAAATGACTTGGAGGGGAGCTTTGAAGTTTGTAGTAACAGAAAGAGAAATATACCATTAATGCCAGAGGGGGGAGCTCAGAGCAAAGGGAAAGATCATGTTTACAATGGGCAAAAAAGGGAAATTCTGAAAACCTTCTGAGCTTTTACACAATATCTTTTTTTCTCTTTTTCGGTATTCTCTTTTGAAGAATGGGTTCTAATACCCTTTGAAATAAACAACCTTCTTTTTCCCCCCCATGTAGAGAGAAAATAAATAAAAGTAGTGCTGAGGGTAACCAGTTTAAACAATGTGCAGGTTTCTGAAACCTCTGCTTTAGGGAGGTCTCATGCACACAGCCTCCAGTCTCTAATCAGTTTTGTTTGCAAATGAACCTACACAGTAGGATTGGCATCTAATGATGCTGAAGGCACAGTAAAGGAATTAGCCCAAGACAATCATTATTTTAAAGAGGTGTTTGGCCTCCTCCAGATTCCTTTACATGTTTATTTCTTAAGATAAAATGGAATTTTAATAGGCTCCTTCCATAATTAAAGATACTATCTTTGTGTATTCACTGCCCTTTGTACCACTAAGGACATACAACTAGCTGATCCAACAACAAAAAAAGGAGCCACTGGCCATTATATTTTCCTAGAAACAACTTCCAAGTACAGACAGGTTTGTGGAGATAGCCAGGGTCAACCAGCACTCTTCTTCCCATCTGAATTGTAAGCATTTCTTTAAAGTGAGCTTTCAATCCTGAACAGTTTTGCCAGTAACCAGAGACAAAACTGGCATTAAAATAGGTGCCATTGAACAATAAAGTTCTTGATGCTACATGGAAAGCTGCAGCTTCCAAAACAGTGCCTAAAGAAGGTCTTTAAAAGAAATGAGTATCCTTCTGTATTTGTCAGCTACCGCCACAATACTGAGTAACAAACCACCTCAAAATTCAGCAGCATACAACAAGTATATCTTCCTTGCTCACATATATGCTCATTATCTGGGACTTGGCTGTAGGCTGGACTACACTGGGCTTGGTACCAAGCTGCAGATCAGGTCCAGAGCCAGTGCTTTTCATCCTTCTTGAATTAGCAGCTACTAGAAGCATGTTCTTCTCACGGCAAACAATAGAAGTGCAAAGACCAAGTCCAACTGCACAAGCATATTTCAAGCCTTTGCTAGTGGCATATTTGCTAACATTCCATTGGTTATATCAAGTCACACGACCAAGTCCAATAGCAATTGGATGACGAAACAGACTGCTCTCATAGGTTGGGTGGGGGGCTATTGGGAGTGGGGTAGGTTAGGGAATGAATATTTGCTGAACAATAATCCAACCTACCACATCCTTCCATTCAGGCTGCTAGAGGTTATTTGTTTACCACATCTGGTATCCTACCGCTTATGGAATAACAAGATCTCATCATCTAAGTATGTCAGTCCTAGTTTTACAGAAGTCTGCCATTGATACTACTACCATTCGAAAATAAGAATGAGAATTAAGCAGAAAAAAACTGTAAAATTGGTATTATATCGTATAAACGGACATGATTAGGAGTTTCATTGATGTCTCAGAAATCTGTTGACAAAGGGTAATACATTACAGCTATAGAGTGCTGCTTAGCATACTCTGGTGTTTCAAGTCCATGTACTTGCTAAGCTGTCTACCTTACATTGGCATTGACAATATTTTATGCAGTATTAGTTTTGCATAGAAATAGCCTGCTAGACAGCAGAATTACAAAGAAAAGAGAAAGCAGGAAAGATCATACCAAGGTTTCCAACTTGGATAATGTAGTAAGCAATAGTAGTAGCATTAGCAGAAACTGGAAGAGAGTGGAAAGCACTTGACAAACAGATTTACAGCAGCTATTAACGAAGCTTTACAGTGAACATTTTAAGATAACTTTAAAAGGCTCTGGCTATTACATACATTTAAAAGTTAACTTATCAACCACATACCAGTTAAATCCTACTGGAAACAAGACATGGGATGCAGATATAAAGGGGGGAGAGGAATACATATATTACATAAACATGATACTTATATTTATATATCTATCTACCAAAATTTTCTTAAGAAGGTCCAATGAACCCCAGGTTCAGATTTCACTATCAGCTATTAAATGCCTACTATATGTCCCATACATTAGCTCACCAAATACAAAGCTGTGTTGTAAGGTAGGAATTTATTATTATCATCCACATTTTACAAATGAGTAAAGTGAGCCTTGGTAAAGTTAATAAAGTTATATAACTAATTAGATGTAGAGCCAGAATTTGAACACAAATCTTCTAAATAAAAGCCTGTTTTGTTTTTTTTTCCTCACTATCCCATGCTAACTTTCTAAAAATGTCTTTTTTACCTGAACCAAAAGAATTCTTTTATATTCTCCCATTCTCAACTCCCAACATTAAAGGGATAGACTAGACCAGGAACACAATTATGATCATAGTAGACTTATGATCCTCCCTAGGGTATCTCTCACAGATACAACAAAATTCAGGAATCTTTTTTAAACATGTTATTTTAAATACCAGGTATCAATCAGTTGATCAAAAGTTACAAAAAGGGGGAAATCTCAGTACTTTCAAGTAGTATTTTAATAGTCTGCTCCCTGGAATGAGTTTTAACTGAGGTAATTGAACACACTGTTTCCCATAAAGCCTTATAAAATAAAGTCTTTGTCAAAAGGAAGTGAAATATACGCTCTCCACATTCAAAGGCTCTCAATGTCTACCTGTAGTCTGCAGCTTTTGCACAATGATTCTCAACTTCATTACGGGTCCGGTCTATAAACCTATCCCTCATGGCACACAACTCCACTTAACATGCAAATGTGGCTCTAAAAACAACGCCTCAGATACAGGGTAATCTATGCTTACTTAAGCTATGCTACATTTAATTTACACATATATTACTCTGGAAGAGCAGAATAAGGAGGAAAGGCTGATAAAATGGATTCCTCCATCTGCAAGAGTGATTAGGAAAGAAAGGAATACTAGTAGATAGCAAACCTGTACTAACCTGTCTCACTTTCAGATAATTAGTTGTGAATTTTTTAAGGCAAGTGACTCACAAGGGAGGGTACAAATTTATTGCCTTCCACAATCTAATAATCTTGGCAGCAATGAAAGTTATCTACTTATTGATAGGCAACTGTAATTTATCTTCCCTGGGTAAAATGCAGTTATTTAAATGTTTTTTTCTTGTTATGAATGCTAGCCTCAGCAGTAAACATGTAAATGACTTCACAAGAACAAAAACACTCATTAAATGTCAATAAACCCCCAAAGCACAGCTATAAAACTGTCAGAAAATTCTGTATCAGGTCAGCAATGGACCATGAAGTTCAGGAAGAACAGTGAATTCAAGATGACTTTGAAGGCAAGAATTTGGCAAGGAAATCAGGACCAGAATTCTAGTCCTTGTTCTACCATTAAATCCCTTAGTGACCTTTAGAAAGTTACCTGACATCTCTGGGCATCACTTTTCTCATTACGAAACAAACGGGTTGGATTAGATTCATTATTCAGTAAAATTTGCTAAGCACCTAGTATTTACAGTGCTGACACAGGTGGAGTGGATACAGAAGTGAACAAAATGGACAAGGTGCCTAAACTTCAGGGATTTTCCATTCCAGTAGAAAGATGGATTCATTAGAACCTCTCAAGCTCTACAATTTTATGGCCTTTCAAAGTATCAGACAGTAACTCATTCCAGTATAGATGATGTCCAAAAGGCAAGATAGAAAGGGTAAAACTATTTTTTCTTAGTAAATCAGTTACATTTCAAATAATATGCCCAATATGCGTGGTGGAATATAAAATGGTACAGCTAATTTGGAAAACAGTTTGGCAGTTCCTCAAAAAGTTAAACACAAAGTTACTATATGATCCAACAATTCCATTCCTAGGTATAGTAAAATTGTAAACAAATATTCACAGAAAGACTTGCATACAAATTTTTATAGCAGCATTATTAATAAGAACCAAAATATGGAATCAACCCAGATGTCCACCAACTGATGAATGGATAAACAAAATGTCCATATAATGGAATATTATTGATATGGACCAGAAGCAGGGAAATATTAGATAGAAGAGGGCAGTTCCCCAGCAAAGGCCCCACCCGCAAGCCTGGAAACCACAGCCCTAAATGAGAAGAGTTATCCCGTTTTCCCGCTCAAATGTTGCTTTTTCCAAAACCACCCTGGCCCGCCATGCCCCACATCTTGTACCCACAAAAACCCCAAACTCCATTGGCAGAGGAACAGAGCATTGCAGCAGAGAAGGAGAAAAGAGAAGAAGCAACTGAATGTCGAAAGGAGTTCAGCTGGGGACGGTTGGAGATGAGGGAAGATCCTCTTTCCACTCCATCTCCTTTCCAGCTCCCCATCCCGCTGACAGCCACTTCCATCACTCAATAAAATCTCCACATCCTTCAAGTCCATGTGACCTGATTCTTCCTGGATGCTAGACAAAAACTCAGGTACCAAGAGGGCAGGGTGTAAGAGGCTGTCCAGAGATGGCAACTGCTAAAAGAGCATTAATTTTAACACACCCCTAGACACTGCCATGGGGCTGGAGCCCAAAAGCGTTTGTCCCAGCCCTGGCACCCGTTTGCCTGTGTGTTCCCCATTCCACAAGAGGTGTGAGCTCAGCAGCAGCCCAGTAAGTGGGCCACACCCCCATCACAAGTCCCATGAGGGGGTCAAGGGAATTCTCCTGTCTCATGATTAAGCAATAAAAAGAAATTAGGTACTGCCATGCTATAACATGGATGAACCTTGAAAACATTATGCTAAATGAAAGAAGCTAGTCAGAAAGGCCACATACTGTATGATTCTATTTACATGAAATGTCCAGAATAGACAAATCTACAGAGACAGAAAGTAGACTGGTGACTGCCAAAGGCTGAAGAGAAGCAGGAATGGGAGTGACTGCTAATGGTGAGTGATTGCTAAAGGCCAGTTTTCTTCCTGGAGTGACGAACATGTTCTGGAATTAGACAGTGGTGATAGTTGCAAAACCCTGTGAATATACTAAAACCTATTGAGTTATATTCTTTAAAATGGTGACTTATATGTGAATTATATCGCAATGCTTTTAATTTTAAAAAATTAAAAATTATGGAAAAAATTTAGGTCCTAATACGTAACAGAATCAATTTCTTAGCAAAGTTAGAAAACGGCATAGTGAAACAGAAAGCAGATGATTTGCTAGTGAAATGTTTAAAATAATGTTCAGATTATGATTTCAAAGCAGTCTTATACTTGGTTCCTTATTTTAGATCCAAAATAAACATCAAGATTGATTCAAAAAAAAATTAAAAGTCATGTTTCCATCAATTCTTTCTCTAATATTCTAAGACTTCGTTCTTTCAGTGCCCTTTCACTTACTAAATCAATATCCTCACTACTTCTCCTTCATCATTGTTCTTCCAACCCGTGCTGTCAATCACCTCAATCCCTATTCTCAAACCACGCCTCTCTTGCTTAATACTTTCCCTGCAACTTCAGCCTTTCCAAGGCATCAATATTTCCACAATCCTCCTATAGTCAACTTCTGACTCATTATAAGAATTTTCTAATCTACACATATGTATAACATTCATAAGGTAACTTCTGATCAGAGAAAAAGGGAAAAACAAAACACAAAAGAAAAAAATTTAAGAAAAATGATGATACTTACTGCAGGCAATTTTACCAAAATTAACTTTAGTAAGTCCTGGTATACCCTGGCTCAAAATCTAACATCTACAATAAGCAGCAACAGATGTTTGTGGCATAAAAGAAAGCAAGTGGCATACCAGAAAACACACTGATGTAGAATATAACTGAAGGAACCCGAATATTATACTAAACAAGTCTTCAAGCCACAATTATTGAATCCGTTTCCTGATTTACAAATTCTACAACAGCAAATTTCTAAGCATTGAGTCTGTGCATAACTAGCCAAAGCTGGATATGCTCCAAGGATTATAATAAAATAAGAATAGAATAGAGCAGAACAGAACAGAATAGAACAGAATAGAATATTAGCACAGAGTGATTACCATTTGTTCTGACATTGCTTCTTCCTGATCACTCTAAGGCATGTGCTCTGCTTGATGGCAAATGCTTATGGCTACTGGAATAACAAATGGCATTTAGATGTCAATAGAGAACAAAGTCAAAGGTGAAATGTTAGCAATTCTCTGATTGAGAAGTCCAAGGGAGAAAGAACTCCTTAACGCTCAGTGTGGTTGGCCTTGACCAGAAATTTAACTGTGGCTGAGAAATTTACATTCGACTACACAAGACAACAGGAAGGATGGCTGCTCCTCACATCAGACCAAGTGAATAAAATTGAAAAATTTTAAATCAGGACATTCTCTATGCTGAGGTTTAATAAGCCGTAGACATACAAATCACTGTCAAGTGTGATCCAGCAATTCTAAGAGCTGCATTTTTAAGCTTCCATTAGGCTGGAGCACTTTTACCGTGATCCTATCAGGCATAAGTTGAGAAGTTAAATACCCTATTTCTCAAACTCTTGAAAGCATCACAGACTGAAGCAAATAATTTGCAAACACAAGGTAGTTATGTCTCTCATCTTTTTCTGTAATAAGGAAATTGATTCTCTCTTCAAAATCTACCAATTGATTTTTTCCCTTCTGTTAATCAGATTATCAAAACACAGTGTAATTTTTCTACATGGGAACCTCAAACTGAAAGGAAGAACAATGGAATACCCAAAGTGTGTGTGGTACCACCCCCTTACCCACTGGAAATACAAGAAGAAAATATTTGGCCACCAGCCTCATCTCTACCACGGCAATTGATGGAGAAAACCGGCAAAGAGAGTTCATGCAAAAGCAAGATATTAATTTACAGAGTACAGAGTTGGGTGGCTCAACCTTCCTGTGCCAACCCCACATCTCCCTGCACCCCAACGCACTTGTAGATGGCAAAAATGAGGGTGCAGAGTAGCTGATAAAAGCTAATCCAAGATACAAACTGCTCTGTTTTCCTTTCTGACTGGAGGTTAAAATTCCTGCTCTACCAAAAATTAAAAGAAAAATCCATTTCCATTCTACTTACTGCTTTATGAACAACAGATCATGTGTCTGGCATTCCATAAGATAATAGTTTCAAGGTTGTCATGTCAAAATGTCAGAGTTGTTGATGAAAACGTATAGAGGTGATGTCAATGCCTGAGCCTTAGCATACAGACAGCAAACAAATAAAATAGTAACCTAGTAGAGCTGTGGATCACCCTACTGAGAAAGGCTGGGAGTCGAGCAGCACAGCCTATAAAGTTGGATACAAAAACAAATACTCCTCATCCCAACTAAAGACTCAATCCCACACTCATCCCCTAGCTTATGAGGCGCCTGACATACAATCCAAGTTAATGAACTGCAAAAAAATGATTATCTTGAAAAAAATAAAACAACTCATCGAATCACCTTTGATATACCTCAAAAACAAAAAAAAACCACACATATGGGAGCATCAGGAGAGTCACATTGGATGCTAAGGTTCCTTTAGAGTGTATGGAGCACTAGGCAGAGCTTAGAGCCATCTTTTCAATGTGAATCCAATTACTCATTAATGAAAAAGACAGAGACCATGGATCACACTGTCAATATAAACTGCTCAATTCCCTGTTATACCTTAAGAGAGGAAATGTCTGAAGCTCAGCAAGAAGCTGACATCAAAAGATGTTCATGAAAAAGATCAACAGGAAGTCAACTGAACTACTGAATGTTAATATTCAATAATAACCTCTGTATTATTTAATGATGTTGGTGATGACAACCATCTGTTTACAGCAGAAAGAACCTACATACATTAATAGTTCTTTCTTCACCATGTATTTACAAATACTGTCTTTAAAATTGCCCTTGGCAAAGCAAAGATAGCAAGACATGGTAACAGTTTTCATAATTTCAATGATGTATTTCTAAAAGAAAGGCAAAAGGAACCAATATTTATTATTTTCCACAGGAAAATTAGCAGAAAATTGAGCCATGTAAATAAATTTGCCATAAACATCCAAACAGATACTATTATTATCCCACACTTCATGAGCAAGTTATTTGCATGTAATTAATTTGCTTATTTCTGGGGCCTCAGACAATATAATATGCTCATCAGCTTGGTTTCCAAACAATAAGTGTTTAACTCTTCCTTTTATATTTGTAAGAAAATATTTACTTGCTCTTTCCTTAACAGATTCAGAGCCAGCTGCAGGCATAACACACAGGGCTGCTCCTGTGGCAATTACAGACACATAACCCCTAACTGGGGCATGATGTTACCAACCTTAAAATGAACATAGAATAGCCAAGGCTGAATTCCCTAACACCAAAAACATCATTACCAGAAACAGAAAACATCTACGGGAAGTGGGTGCTGATCATCTCCTTCCTGTAGACAAAAAGAGTCAAACTCTGTAAAACAGTTGAAGAGATATATTCTGAGCCAAATATTAGTGACCATGGCCAATGGCACAACCCTCATGAGATCCTGAGAACACGTGCCCAAGGTGGTCGAGGTGCAGTTTGGTTTTACACATTTCAGGGAGGCATCAGACGTCAATCAAATACATTTAGGAAATATAACGGTTTGGTCCAGAAAGGTGGGACACCTCAAAGCAGGGTCTTCCAGATTATAGGTAGATTTAAATTTTTTCTGGTTGACAATTGGTTGAGTTTATCTAAAGACCTGGGATCAATAGAAATGAATGGCGGGGTTAGGAGAAAGAACTGTGGAGATCAAAGTTCCTATTTGCAGAGGAAGCCTTCAGGTTGTAGGCCTGAGAGAGAATAAGGTGTAAAATGTTTCTCCTCAGACTTAAAGTCTGTGTTGATGTTAATGCTGGAGAGGTATAATGGGGCATGTCCAACTCCCCATGTTCCCGTCATGACCTGAGCCAGTCTTTCAGATTAAATGATAAGAGTGTCTTGAGCCAGACGTGGTGGCTCACGCCTGTAATCCCAGCACTTTGGGAGGCTGAGGCGGGTGGATTGCCTGAGCTTAGGAGTTCGAGACCAGCCTGGGCAACATGGTGATACCCCGTCTCTACTAAAACACAAAAAATTAGCCAGACGTGGCAGTGTGCACTTGTAATCCCAGCTACTCAGGAGACTGAGACAGCAGAATCGCTTGAACCGGTAGGCAGAGGTTGCAGTGAGCCAAGATTGCGCCATTGCACTCCAGCCTAGGTGACAGAGCGAGACTCCATCTCAAACAAACGAACAAAAAAAGTGTCTTGGCTGAGGAGGAAGTCCATTCAAATGACTTGGGGGCCTTAGAATTTTATTTTTGGTTTACATTCCCCAGACTACCGACTTCTAAATTCTGTCCTCCCTTGAAAAAGCAACTCCCTACCAACATCTCCCTATCCCCTGAAGCTTCCATGGCTGCTCAGCTCACTGTCTTTGAAGTTCCTGTCCCTGCCCACCGTAACTGCAGTTCATGGAGTCCATGCCTTCCCTCATAGGGTACCATGGCAGTGTCTCCCCATCCTGAGCTCTGGCCCTAGGAAAATACTGTTGTTTCCTCACTGAACTGGTTGCCATCACTAACTTAGTCTGAAGCTTTGGGAACTCCCCTAACATTTTCTGTGTGCTAGCCAACCTAGTTTATACAGGCTTTGCCTCCAGAGAATTTTGGTAGTCATTTACCAAGTCACAGGCTAAACATTTTAAATGTCTCATCTATTGATCTCCCTCTCTCTTAAGTTTAGCTTCTCTCTGAGAGAATATAAGAAACAAGAGTCAAGCTGATCACATTTTTATGGATTATTTACTGACTCTATTCATAGTGCTAAACCTCACATCGAATATACAATATTCTGACAATAAAAATAATGTTACCTCTAAATATTCCCGGCATATCTTTTTATGAGTAACGCTTGTAGGGTACAAGGTTATGAGAAATATTCATTTATTCATTGAGTAGTTACTAAACACCTATTGTGTTGGAATTGGTGGGTTCTTGGTCTTGCTGACTTCAAGAATGAAGCCACGGACCCTCACGGTGAGTGTTACAGTTCTTAAAGATGGTGTGTCCGGAGTTTGTTGCTTCAGATGTTCAGATGTGTCCGGAGTTTCTTGGTGGGTTCGTGGTCTCGCTGACTTCAGAGTGAGGCTGCAGACCTTCGCGGTGAGTGTTACAGCTCTTAAAGGCGGCGCGTCTGGAGTTGTTCATTCCTTCTGGTGGGTTCGTGGTCTCGCTGGCCTCAGGAGTGAAGGTGCACAACTTCACAGTGAGTGTTACAGCTCATAAGAGTGTTACAGCTCATAAAGGCGGCAGGCACCCAAAGAGTGAGCAGCAGCAAAATTTATTACAAAGAGAAAGCTACCAGAGCGTGGAAGGTGACCCCACCAGGTTGCTGTTGGCTCGGGTGGCCTGCTTTTATTCCCTAATCTGGCCCCACCCACATCCTACTGATTGGTCCATTTTACAGAGAGCTGATTGGTCCATTTTACAGAGAGCTGACTGGTCCATTTTGACAGAGTGCTGATTGGTGCATTTACAATCCTGTAGCTAGACAGAAAAGTTCTCCAAGTCCCCACCTGTCCCAGAAGCCCAGCCGGCTTCACCTCTCGCTAGCACTCGCCACAGGACTTTGCGGCACCTAGCCCAGGCACTCCGCAGCCCAGAGGGAGCTCGTCCCCCTATCAAGTCCAGCAGGCGCCAGCTGGCTGTGCCAAGTGCGGGCCCTCCGAGCTCGTGCCCACCCAGATCCCGTGCCGGCCACAAGGCCTGCGCGCAGCGCTGGCCCCTACCCGCGCCTCTCCCTCCACACCTCCCCACGAGCAGAGGAAGCCGGCTTCAGCCTCTGCCAGCCCCAAAGAGGGCCCAGAGCGGATGCCAAGGCTGAGGAGGCACAGAGAGCGACCGAGGGCTGCTAGCACGTTGTCACCTCTCACTATTATGTCCAAGAACAGCACTAGGTACAGGGTACATAATAATAATAAGCTAATCACATGGTTCTTACTTTCAATGAGCTTAAAATTTAGCAGGAAGGAAACTGACAAAAGTCTACACACATGCACATACTCACACCTACACAATCACCAAATGAGCAAAGTGATGTAAAGTAAGATAGAGAGTGCTATGGCGTACATATTGCTTACCTAAAGTGAGGACAAAAGACGACACAGAATATCTAAGCAGCAATATTAGTTTTACCATATATTATGAAGTCTCTAGAAGAATTCTAGAATTAATCTCTAGAAGAATTCTCACAAAGAAACTTATTTAGCTCATTTTGGATTGCTCCATTAATTCTATTTTTTTTTTTTTTTTTTTTTTTTTTGGAGACGGAGTCTCGCTCTGTCGCCCAGGCTGGACTGCGGACTGCAGTGGCGCAATCTCGGCTCACTGCAAGCTCCGCTTCCCGGGTTCAACGCCATTCTCCTGCCTCAGCCTCCCCAGTAGCTGGGACTACAGGCGCCCGCCACCGCGCCCGGCTAATTTTTTGTATTTTTAGTAGAGACGGGGTTTCACCTTGTTAGCCAGGATGGTCTCGATCTCCTGACCTCATGATCCACCCGCCTCGGCCTCCCAAAGTGCTGGGATTACAGGCGTGAGCCACCGCGCCCGGCCTGCTCCATTAATTCTATTACTTTACCTAATGACAATTTTCAACATGAGATTCTTTCCCTTTCTCCTTTTAAAAAGTAAGCATTTCCCATAATTTCTGTAGTAAGATAAAACTTTCACATACTTCTCTAAAATTCTAACTACAGATTTTTTTTCTATTATTAAAAAGAATTAGATTCCTAGGTTATTTTTAATTGCTCCACAAATCCCCAAGGGATTTTCCACCAATGCCCATTTCAATCAGCTCTAAGTTGAATGTCATTCTGAACTGGGTCATTTTGAAGAGCTCCATGAGCCAGTAAAACATGTAACCTACATAACCTCCATTTTAAGAAAATGTGGTTCTAAAATCAGCTTCATGCAGTTTGACTATAATTTCACTGGCTCCCATCTAATTTAAGCACTGATTTTATTATGTAATGCAAACTATAGGAAACACAGAACTCTTATGTTAGGCACCCTTTTTATTATGCAATGCAAGCAATATCAATACCCTCTTTATTGTATAATATAAGGTATATAAGTACCCTTTTTATACATGATACAAGCTATAAGGAAGACAAAACCTCTAAAACCAAGCTTAAACATGGAAATCACCCAGAGCTAAAGGATGACCTAATCAAGAAATCAAATAACTTCACTAAGCGAGTTTTTTAAAAATCTCCGATTTAAACTTCTGTTTTGTTTTCAGTTTTGCCTATCTCATTGTATTGTCCTCTGCCTACTTAATGAAGAAAGGTATATATGGCCAGACTGCCCAGCCTACTTGCAATGTTCAGAGGCGTAAGCAAAAATGATGGGCCCAAAAGCATGTCAGGACCTTATCATCAATCAGGGACAAAAGGGCTCAGTTCTTTGCAAAAAAATGAAATTTTTAATCACCTTCAATCAGGTTACTGGGCATAACATAAAAATTACCTCAAATGAATTGCACATAGTTCTTATTTCTTTCTTCTGCCTAGTATTATAGGTAGTCATTTAAATGTCCATTTCTCTTAGTAAATTAAAAAATTGCTTCAGGGCAAGGATCATATTCTTCATTTTGGTATTTCTAAAGTATCCTGAAAAAATGCTCAATGACTATTCAATGAATGAAGCAATATAATTGGCCTTTAAAAACAAATTATGTAGGCATTGGGGGAAAAATGAATGAGTAGTTAGGAGATTTTTAAAAATTTTTAAGTACACACTTATTGGCTCCCATTTCAGCTCTCTAGTTGAAAGTAACAGAAAACAACTCAAAATAGCTTGAACAAAAGAGGGAAAATTATTACTAATATACAGATTTAGAATTATGTGTTATACAACTTAAAGGCAAAAATGCTGCAAGGACCCAGAAAAGCAAGCAGGAAATCAAAAGCAGACAGGCCCCCAGCAGTGGGCCCTCTTTCTCCATAACTTTCCTTCTCTCTTCAGATCTGAGTTCCCTCTGTCCTCTGCAAGGAACATTCTCTGCTACTCGTACAGTAGAAGTCAGCTGTACCACAATTTCCTTGGATTCTAATCTCTTTACGTTAGGTCAGCAAGGACTAAACTGTCATCATTTGGTCCCAAATCCAAATTCCCAAGATGGAGAATCTGTGTGACCCAGTTTGGATCAGCCATCCATGCCTTCTCTGAAGGACTGTGGTTAGACACAATCAAGGAACAATCATGACTTCTGGATACACACTACTATTGGTAGGAAGGGGGCAGCTCTGTGAATAAGGCATTACAACAAAACAAGTCCACCACAACATTATATAATGCTTTACACTTTACCAAGAACTTTTACTTCAACTCATTCAATTCACACACAACAGCCCTGTAAGAGAAGAATGACAGAACTTAACATATAAAAGAATTGATGCAAAGGATAGTTCAATGTCTTTCCCAAGATTGTTCTGCTATTAGGGCAGAGCATGTCCATTAGTTTACACCAACCCCTATCATCAAAATGGAATAGTAAAAGGGAAAGGAACAATTTTTTTTTTCTTAAGCCCAAGTTAGGAAATTACAAACTCTCTCAGAGAGTACAACAGCACTACAAAAGTGAAAAACACTATACTCAAGCAGAAGTGGCAGGGAGAAAGAATACCAAAAATTCCCTGATGTGAATAAGCTTTTACACAACAAATTATTTTGCTGACCATAAAACAATTCACCTGGCCAGGTCAAGCCCAAAGAACTTTCTTCTCCCTCTAAATCAACCTTCTTTGGCACCTACCATCTGTAACAGTTTCTTAAAATGTAATCGTCTAAGGAATGTCACTGAAATGTAGATTCTGATCCAGCAGGTGTCACAGACAAGACTTTACATTGGCCCCATGATCCTCACCTCCTACTGTCCACGCTTTTGTGTGTTTCCCTCCCCTTCGGCGTGGGAGGGAACTGTGACTTGCTTTTAACCAACAGAATATGAAAAAGATGATAGGCTGTCACATGACACTATACAAGACTCTGAAGCTAGCAGAACCCCTCCCACCAACCCCACTGCTGGCTTTGAAGAAGCAAGTTGTCATGAATCCTGGAGCAGCAAGAAAAAGAACTTGGCCAACAACTGGAGCTTAGAAGCAGACTCTGTCCAACAATGATAGACTGGATTAAGAAAATGTGGCACATATATACCATGGAATACTATGCAGCCATAAAAAATGATGAGTTCATGTCCTTTGTAGGGACATGGATGAAATTGGAAATCATCATTCTCAGTAAACTATCGCAAGAACAAAAAACCAAACACCACATATTCTCACTCATAGGTGGGAATTGAACAATGAGATCACATGGACACAGGAAGGGGAATATCACACTCTGGGGACTGTGGTGGGGTGGGGGGAGGGGGGAGGGATAGCATTAGGAGATATACCTAATGCTAGATGACGAGTTAGTGGGTGCAGCGCACCAGCATGGCACATGTATACATATGTAACTAACCTGCACAATGTGCACATGTACCCTAAAACTTAAAGTATAATAAAAAAAAAAAAAAAAAAGAAGAAGCAGACTCTTCCTCAGTTGAGCCTCTCAGGTGAACCCAGAGCTGGCTAACACCTTGACTGCAGCATGGTGAGAGACCCTGAAGCAGAGGAACCATCTCAGCGTCCCAGACTCCTGTCCCACAGAGACTGTGAGATAATAAGTGTGTGCTATTTTAAATCATTACGTTTGTGGTAATTTGTAGGCAGCCATAGGAAAATAATAAGAGTCGGTTTGGATTGGGGCCTGGGATCTGGGATTCACACTTCAAACAGCACTAACATTCATTTGACACACCAACATTTGCTGTCTTCTATTTGGGTTGGCCTTTGATGTTATCCCTGTGCCAATCAGACTATGATCCCCTTAAAACACAAAAACCATATCCTCCATGGCTCCCCAGAACAATACTCAAATAAATACTTGAGTGTTGGCTGTGTATGAATGCACCACTGCTGCCTTCCTGATCTCCCATCATACAGATTTTATCCCTTTAAATCTGCTTCACATCAAAACACCAGTCAGGTGGTCAATTCCTTTACTGTTAGTTCTCAAAACTGACTTCTTAATTATTTTAATCATGAATACCAACTTGAAGAATTGGAGCATTTCAAACGTCTTCCTTCACTGCATCTGTAAATAAGTCCTTAATCTGTTCCATACCATGAGTCTCCTTTCCTCCTCTTCCTTGACATTTTTTCAGTCCTACTAACCATACATCAGCTCATATGCTGCTGGTGGTGCTACAAGTCCATAACCACCCAAAATCCTCATTACATGATTCATCTAATGTCTCTCAAATTGAAACCACCTTGTTATTTTCTTGAAACCATCTCTCCACTTCTACCTTCTTTAATTCTGCCTACACACCCAGCCTCTTGAAATAACAGTTATTCAGAGGATGTCTCCCCTATTTCCTCTGCTGTACAACACTCCTTGAATTCACTTACACCAGGAATATCATATTGAACCACTTTATGACTTTGAAACATAGTCAAAGATGACCTTTTTCTCACCACTGAAATTATCTGTCATCCTTACAATATATTCCCATAAATCTCCATTGACTTTTTCATTTTTAATTTAAATTCTGAAAGCTTACCGTATACAAAGGCTTTATCTAATCCTATATTCTACATAGAAGTTCGCTATAAAATACCTGACCAATCAATTACAATGGTCTCCCAGCGTCAGAGGATATGCACCAATTCATCTTATATCTAACAATATTCACAATAACCCTAAAAGTAACTACTAGTAGTGAGTACACAGAGTGATGCATGCAGAATAAAGGAAAACAACAAACCCTAGGGGTGACAGCTACAGCAGAACCTCAGGAGGTGGGTCGTGTATATTTAGAAACGTTTTAACTAGAGCTCCTGTTATCACCCCTTAAAGAATGTGGTCCTCACCCTTACCCCAAGAGAATCAATGCACTGACCCATTTTTTTCTCTCCAGCACTTCACAACCTGTGCACATTTCAGACATTCTTCTTAGTAATTTCTGACACATTATTTTCCATGAACACTGTGACTTTAATTCAACAGTATCTTAGCAGTACAATGTGAAAGTAACTCTGAGCCTGATTATTCCGTATTCTCCAAAACCAATGTACAACCTCAGTAAGCAAAAAGAGCTAACTGGCCAACATTATGAATGAAGCCACTTTGCCATTCCTTTCACATTCAGATGAGGCAAGAGAAACTACAGTAATCAATACTAAATTTCTGGGCACTAATGTGCCACAGCAACAAAAAAAGTGTCGAGTCTGGGATTCTCCAAGATTGTAGCCTATAGTCTAAATATGTAAAGCACGGAACAAAGAAAGGAATCAATACATATAGTTGTCTCTTGTCCTGAACTATGTTCATAACATGTTTGATGACATTATCTTTATGAGATGAGTGAAACTAATAAATCTGCTATGTTCTTTCTATTACCAAGTGGAGATGAAAGTGGGAAGAAAGGGTAGAAAGGAATTACTTTTTTAGTAAAACATGGAAGAGACATTTAGTTATTAATACTATGGCTTTCACTTAAAATAAAAAATCCATCTACTGATTGATGCCAAGGGTTAAAAATCATGCAAAAACTAGAAATCTATAAAGAATTCTAATGTTTCACATGCACAGTCTACAAATAAATTTAACACTCCTTGGTTTTTTATTTTAAAGAAGCCAATTATAATGACTTGTTTCAAATGAAATTTTAAATGAGGGTAAAAAAACCATGGTGACTAAAGGTACTGATGAGGTAGACTGGTCAAGGATCACAGCAAGCAAGAGGGGATATTACTCATATGATCTGTCCTTGATGTCACTAGTACAGAGGCAGAAAAAAGGACGTAAACTATGGCATAGATGTTCCCCAATTGTCTTAGATCCTTGGCTCCATTCTGTGTACAAGTAGAACCTAACCTTGATTCTTATAGTCACTACATGTATTCTAACCTCGCCTGGTTTCTTATAGTCACTACATTTATTCTGCTCTTAATTATAAATGAGATTTTTTTACCCCATCAATGTTCTGAGTACAAAACCATTTAACACCTTAAGTGTAAAAAAGGTTTCAGTTGACACGCAGTCAGACCTTCCATCTTCACATCCTAGCCTCTCTCTGAATCCTTCCCTTGTTAGGAAACTCCCTATCTCTAAAGACAGTGTATTCTATGATTAGATAGCTCTAATTACTGGTGATTTCTTTTGACTGGGCAGGAACCTGCCTTTCTTAGACTCTTTAGTGCCTAAGTTCTGTCCTATGATAAAACAGAATTAAAAGAATTACTTAACCATAAAAGAACTGTTCAAACAATTAAGGAAATTGCCATGTCGCCACCAAATCTTTCCTTGCAGCCCTGCAAATCCCTTCTATTACACACCCTGTATGCTATTCTTCATTCCCAGCTTCCAAGGTATAAAAATCACATAATCATATAGACCTCATCATTCATACTATCTAAATCCATGTGAATCCTCAATGTTGTTAGACAATGCATTTAGACATCTGTCTTTCATTTCTTCACTCATCCAAAGATGCTCCAAATGTTGTTCCTTCCCTGTAATATCCCACATTGCTACCTTCATCACCACCAGGCCCTCTTCCTACCAACAGGAGGGCACTCACCGTGCATTCCTTCAGCTCCTCCTCTACTCCAACATCGGCTTAGCTTCCCTCCCTGCAAGCAGAGAGTCATTCATCCATCCTTCTTTAAAAAATGTACTGTTGCCCTTTCTCTCCATTCCTTTCAGAGTGTTCTGAAACGTTTTCCTCAATTATTTCTTCTCAAATATCTGATAGTGGAGGAGACATGAGGGAATACTAAGATTGACCGATCATGAGTGAGGTAGTGTTGATGGCACTTTGTACACATTGTCTCATCTTCCCATGTTTTTCACAGCTTTCCCACATACAAAGTCTCTCCATGCTGGATAAAGTTCTTTTTCAAGATATATTTACTTATGCATCTGACTATATTCTGTGGTTGGCAGTGCTATTATAGAAACCATTATTCCTTACTCAAAGGATCTTTGAGTGCTAGAAAGAGAAACAACCCTATATGCAAATTACATCTTTTTAAAAGAGAGGAAAGAGAGAAAGTATGAATAAAAAACTTGTCACTCTAGGTATCTAAATCAGAACTATGTTGCTGTGGTACCACTTTGAAATTTCAAACTGTTCACATGGGTGATGGTCAAGTACTACACCAAATTTGATGCACAAGGCAAACTTCTTAGCTCCATCTTTCCTTTCAAGCCCTATTTCTCTCCTTCAATTCACTGACAACCTTTTTAATGTGTTTTACACCACAGTCTTTTTTTCTCATAGAGCATATATTGTATACTCCCTACAATTTGATTTTGAACCTTGCTCCTAAAATGAAAACTGCATCCTAGGAGGATATTAATAAGAATTGCCAAATATAAAGTTTTGTTGTTTTTTATTTAACTACATTTGCTCCCTCTCTGTGTGATCTGACATGGTTGACAACCTTTCCTTAGTATCTGTACTAATAAATGATTCTCCAACTTAGACTTTTATGACCAAATTTTACTTCCCGTTTGTCAGATCTCAACAAAATGTAAGCATGCACCAAAGCATTTCTGCAACTTGTATTATGTTTTAATTGTTCCTTGGCAAAATTTTCTACTCTCATTACAACAACTATTATTTTGAGGTTGTTGACTACAACTATACATATCTATATTTTAGAAAATAATATAACAGCTATGTATATAGCACCACAATTTTAACAAATGCTAATATTTTGCCTTATTTGCTTAATGCCCTTTGTTATTTAAGAAATAAAATGACACAAATATAGCTAAAGCTCCACTCACCATCTCTTCCCATTTTTTTATACTTTGATCATACATGTGTGTATCGAGAAACAATATATGCCAATGTTTTACATGCTTTACAAATCTATATACAGTCAATGTGCACATGAAAAAGATGATCAACATCATTAGCCACCAGAGAAATGCAAATCAAAACTACAATGAGATACTACCTCACACCCACTAAAATGTTTATAATCAAAGATGAACAGTAACAAGTATCAACAAGGATATGGAGAAACTGGAGCCCTCTGATGCTGCTGGTGGGAATGTAAAAGCATGCAGCCACTTTAGAAAACAATTTGGCTATTCCAACATAGGGTTACCAGGAATCCAGTAATTCCACTCCTAGGTATATACCCAAGAGAAATGAAAACACATGTCTACACAAAAACTTAAACATAAATGCTCATAGCAACATTATTCATAATAGCTACAAAGTGAAAACAACCCAAATGTTCAACTAATGAATGGATACACAGAATGTGGTATATCTATACAATGAAATATTATCCAGCAATAAAAAAAGAAGTACTGATACATGCTACAACACTGATGAACCTCAAAAACATTATCTAACTGAAAGAAGCCTGTCATTAAAGACCACATATTATATGATTTCATTTATATGAAATGTCAGTAGGCAAATACATAGAGACAGAGAGTAGATTTGTGGTTGCCTAGGGCTGGAGAATATGACAGGCTGGCAGCGGTTGGGGGTAGGGGGCTGATGGCTAAGAGAACGGACTTTCTTTGTGGAGTAATGATAATTTTCTAAAATTGACTGCAGTGACAGATACACAACTCTGTGAACATGTTTAAAGCCATTGAATTGTATACTTTGAATTGGTAAACTGTATGGTATCAAACTTATATCTCAAAAAAGGTTTATCTATAATACAGAATATAGACAATCACTATATCACATATATAATAGTTACATTACATATATTATATACTCTTTTACAGTTTACATTACCCTTAGTATGTTTCTGAGATGTATCCATGTGGATACATGTGCAACTAGTTTATTTTAACTGCTCTACTGTATGGAGGAAACATCACCCTACATTTATGCATTCCTCTGCTTTCTTTCTATTTGAAGTAGACAGTGCTACAATGAACACCCTTGTACATGTCTCTTTTATTTCTATGTGTGACAATTTCCTAGGCTAACACATAAAGGCAGAATGGCTGAGTTGCAGAATATGGACATCTTCAACTTTACCAGATATTTCTAGATTGCTTGCTTAAAAGATTGTAGTAATTTATTCTCATCAGTAATATACAAGAGTTCCTGTTTCTTCTCATCCTTGCCAACACTTGGTGTTATCAAGCTTATTAGGTATTGTCAATCAATAGGTGTAAAATGGAATCTCACCAGGGTTTTACTTTTCATTTCCCTATTAGCAAAGTTAAGCATCTTTTATAATTGGTCATTCAAGCATTCACCTATGTGAATTGCCTAGTCATATTCTTTATCCATTTTCCATTGAGTTGTTTATCTTTTTCTTATTGAATTGTATGACTTCTTTCAAATCCTGGATACTTCTCTTTGACCACTTAGAAGAGTTACAAATACATACAACCAGTCTGTGGTCTATCATTTTGTTTTGTTTTAATGTCTTTTGTTATATTTAAGATTTTTAAGTTAATGTATTTTTTTAAGTCAGTCTTTTAGGGCTTGTGATTTTTATATCTGCTTCAAGTGTCTTCTCTGTTACACTGTCATGAAAGTATGTCCCTTTAAAGTTATTCAGAGTCTGTCTGAGATGGCCTGGACTTTATACCCCCTTCACTGATCAGTCACTATGGGCCAAACCAGGAAAGTATATGATCTTGGACAACATAGCTCTCAGCAGCTTTGGTAATCTCTAAATGAAGTGACAGCTAAAGTTCTGGGTACCAAAATCTCTGGTTTGACCTATAGTGCAAATATGAATGATCTCCTATTTAAAACCCTTCGAAGATTCTTCTGCGCTTCCAGCAAAGTCCAGACTGATTAAACATGGCTATAAGTCCCCAAAAGGAATCTGAGGTTTATAAAAATTGAGTCACTTGCACTTCCATCACTTGAGCCATCCAAAGTAGCAAGACTGAAAGTCAAGCCTAAATTTGACACCAAAGTCACTGCAGTTCTATGACATCGTCAATAAAATCCCAATGTGAGTCTATGAAAGGGGATTCAGCTACGGAAGACTAAAGAAAGACCATCTATAGCAACAGTTTCTTAAGAGCAGTCTTACTATCTACATTGGTCCCAAGAAAACCTGACTATTAAATACAGTTAATTAAGAATGCCCCCTGGTAAGTCCTTTGGATTTAGGCACTAAGCAAAATGACAAGGAATTTGGTTTTGAAATGACCAAATTGCCAGTTTCATCATAACCTTCATTGGAGCTCATAAATCAGAAAAAAATTCAATGACCTGTGCAAACAGAAAATCACTGAACTCAACAGAAGAAATCATTCCGAAATAGGTCTTCAGTAGATGGAGCTCTCCGCTTTGAATTGGTACTGAACCAGAACTGAGAAATCTGAACAGCTGGAAATACAGTCGTTCAGACAAAGGTTCTGAACATTTCCACTGATTAAAATGCCAATCACCCTTCTCCTTAAAGCACCAGCATTAACCCTGGTATACTAGCCACACTTCAATCCAGAATAACATTATTATTAAACATGAACTGAGCACCAGCAATGCCTTCAGCACCTCTAAGAAAGATACAGAGTCCTTCCGAGAGGTTTGCCATTAAACCACTATTTTGAGAAAGATAGCAGAGTAATTGTAAACATCTTCTGAATTTTATTTTCATGGGAAAAAAAGAAAACCTCAAACTTCATTTCTCCCATTAAATTTTAATATGATTCAGAATTTATTTATGAAAAACTTCTCTATGATTACTACTTTTTTCTGATGCTTGATGGTGTCACATGAATTAGGCTTATGACCCGGTCCTGTTCTTTTGTTTTGTTCTGATTTTTTTAGAGATAGAGTCTCACTATGTTGCCCAGGCTGGACTCAACTAGACTCAAGCAATTCTCCTGCCTCAGTCTCCAGCATAATTGGGACCACAGCTAAAAAGAATATTTGATTTTTCATGGCGGTTTGGGATTAATTGTGTGGTTGCAGAGCTGGGCTACCATTAGACAAATGCTGAAGAAAAACACAACACTTTATACCTGAAAGTGAAAAAAATAATTGGACATTATCCCAAATAAAGATGGGAATATTAAAATACCCAAATATATTCCAATAAAAGTATGTCTAATCTCCCACAATGCCCCACCACAACATACCACTTTTATCAGCTAACTAATGCCCATCAACCAAATACTGGCAAAAAAAAAAAAAAAAAAAAAAACTGAATTCTGACAGTATTGACCAGATACAAATCAGAAATTCTGTACAATCTGGACACTCTTCAAGGCTTAAATTTAGATTGCCCAATACAGAGCAAGACTAACTTTGACCCAGCAGTCAGGTAATAGCCCATCAAAAGCAACACACCTTATAACAAGCTCACTGATAGACAAGTGATTATTATTTAGTGATCCACTCGAAGGTCTGACATCTTCCTATCAAAGCCACACTTAGAAGTAAACTGCATTATTAGAGAGAAACAAAAACTTGCAATGCAAAATCAAAAAAAAATTGCTTTGTTATAATGATGTACTCCAAGACTTTTAAAAGGCAGAAGAAAAACAGCAGGTGAGCACATACATTCAAGTATTTCAGTATAAACAACACTGCGTGAGTACCAAATAAACAAGCATGTTCCACTTGACACTATGACACAGCTTCCCCCAAAGCTAGCATACTTTTGTGACCTTGAAGATAAATCTCCCATAATCTGATCATAATTTGCACCTGGAGATGCCTTCTCTGGAGTATTTGATGTTGGGATTTTTGTTCAAATGACTTTCTTGAGAATGTCAATACATGTTTAGATGGAATACAAAGACTAAAAAAAAACTGTCCTACTTTTGCTGATGCTAAGTCCTGAAAAGATTAAATCTACAGATACATAATCTGTGATAACATCTAGTTAGCATTCTGCCAGTGTACGAATGTGCTAATGTACTGGCTGAGGTCAGGAAAAGCACAGGAAATGGAAATGTCTTTTCAACGCATAAATGACTAACAATATTTCTATTCTTATTAATAGCATGTTTATTCTATAGTAATAAGAATTATTGAGTTTACTTCTAATGACATTACAAACTATTAAAGACTACACTATAGTAAAATGATTCAATGAGGATCTATGATCTACAGAATATACAAAGATGCTTCAACTTCTTTATATTTGACTAACACAAACTATTTAAGACTTTGTATCCAAAAATGAGTCTACAGATGTAAGACATCAAGTTTAACTATTTTTTACAAAAGTGAGAATGAGTTTGCACTAATCTACATACATCTATTTGCTAAATTCCTTTTGATACAAAAGATGGATACTTTTAAGATGGCTGACCATAATTTGGGGTATAGTATATGGATTAAAAAAGCGGCCAAAGTTAAGTAAACCAAAGATAGTTAGCCTCTGTAACTATAGCCTCTTAAGAGACTCTTAAGATCACAGTCCCATCCAATGTAGTGCCTATCCTAAACTTTAATAAAATAAGATCAGAGAGGTTGACTTAACACAATTTAAATGGTCCATATTTACTGATGCTAATGTAGATTACAAACAATACATTTCACTGTCATCTTTTGGTGACCTTGGATGTATTATTCAAATAGAATATAAAATAAGGTGATACATCAATGATATCTTCAAATAATTTTAATGACTGGGAAATTATCAAGATGTGACATTATTTTTAAAGCTAAGATGCAGAACTGTATACATGCATAATCTCAACTATATAAGCATATATAGAAAAGAAACTCACAGCTAACAGTATTTCTGCGCAGGAGAGTTATAAATTTCATTTTCTCCATATTCTATAACTTTCTCAATGAACATTTATTAGAAGGAAAAATAAAAATCTTTCTTTCTCCCTCTGTCATCCCCAGTATGCCCCCACCCCAACACACAATCCTGAAGGGAAAAATCCAAGGTTTCAATCAAAATAGACCTAACATAGAAGTGGACAACATGCTGATAATGAAATAACCCCTCAGGTGAGTCAAATTAAATGATTGTGTTGTAAAAAATAAATCAGATAAAATAAGGCAGCAGAGAGATGCCCACGCATGCACAATGTGAATGCACGCAGCAGAGCCACAGGTGGAGAAAAAAAATCACACACACAGATATACATTCCTCAATATTAACGTTCATTTGATAACCCTGCACAAAACTCTTAATTTCCCTAATGTAATGCTTTTTTCCCTAATATAATGCTTTATTCCCTCCCTCCTCTGATATCCTGTGAGATATAAGTCTTGATAAGAAGGCTGAGCTATCTTGAAACACATGTCCAAGACATTATTATGATTCCTGCAGACTAACCATGTGGTGCTCATAGACATAAAACCATTTCAAAACTGTGTATTGGCTCAGCAGGATGGGCTGTCTGGAGGAAGGGAAAAAATGAAAAGATGATAAGCAGGGAGGCCTGGGTAAAATATAACTTCATTTCTTAGCATGAAAAAGAGACTCCCAGCAAATCTGTATACTCAGTCTCTAATCTTTATTGGTAAAATCAAGCTAATAATTCTGAATATTCTCTTAAGAACATCATACAGATAGCCTAACTATTGAAAAACAAAAAAATGCAAAATTATTTTAAAATGTTAGCTAAGAAGAGCTTTCCCTTATAAGAAAGATCTAGTAATTTCTAGTTCTTTCATTCAACTCTCATTACTAGTCCTATAAGGCTAACTAACTCAGAGCTATGAAGAGGAGAGTATTTCCCAAACTTATCAAGCTGGCCAATAGTAGCATTCTTCAGAATACCAGATCCCGAGGGCAATTAAAATATGTAGAAAAGCAAGAAGGAATTAATAATGACCACAGCCTGCCAAATGTCTGAATAAGGTCAATTGTTAATATTTTCCACAGTAAGAAAAGTTTAGGCAGGGGTCAGGATGATGACAGCAGAAAGTCATATGAACTGCTCTGAGTTAGTGATCTCTAAAGGTAATAGCGAAAATACTCATGGAAACAAAAGCAAATCAACTCCTCTGGCCATTTTTGGAAACATTTTAAAGATAAAGAAATTTAGCCTCCAGCATATTCTGTCTCTCATAGCTGGTGATACTTCACATGATTGCTTTGAGAAGATGGAGGGTGGAGGTGGGAATCACTGTGCTTATAGCATGTAGCACAGACATTTATACATGGATTTCTCCTGTCACTTGTGCTATAGGAACATTCCATAATGGCAATGAATTAAGAATAAACCTAATACAGCTAAATTCTGGCATTTTTAGTAGACTATCAAATGGTAGCTTTCTAACGGAAAACAAAGCCTCAATAAAGTGGCAATAAAACTTGATCATTCTGTTATTGAATTTTAGCTAAACATTTACAAATTTGCTGGTTACTGTACAATCCCTTATGAACAACACAGAGGTACAGCCTATAAGTAAGAACAATGGTGATTTATCTATTGACTAACCTACTGGGAGGTTTATCCGATTTTGATTATACTTCTTTTTTTATGCAGTCACTCCAGATAGTTCCAGCAAGAGAAAATTGTTTATATAAGATGGTCCTAACACAGGCTACCTATGATAGTTCAGAAAGGTCTTTTGGTCTTATAAATAAATTGTTGGATACTGAAATATGCAAAGAGAATAGAATCATTGATAGCAGTTTGACCATCTTATACTAGTCCCACAGTACCAGAATACAGGTGTCATTATTCTGTGAAAATACACAGAATTCACATATGGTGGACTGGAAATAACGTGAGAAGCAACGCAACATTCCTGTGAAGTATGTGGACTTTGGTGTCAGACAAACTTAGGTTCAAATCCAAGCTCTGCCACTTAATAGGCATGTAGTAAATTATGGATGCAGAGGTGTAGGTGAAATTAGATCATCCCAGAGGTTAGGACAAAAGAAATCCTAAGTAAGTGGCAGCTGCCACCACCATAACACCATCACCTCCATCATTACCATCAGCATCTTCACCATCACCGCCCCCTCCTCAACTCCATCATCACTACCAATCCCTCCATCATCCTTACCACCCTACTGTGACCTCCATCATCATCATCACCATCATCTCTACCATCACCAATCCCACTCCACCATCACCAACCTCTCTCCACCTCCATCATCACTACCAATCTCTCCATCATCACCACCATCACCTCCACCATCACCAATCCACCCCACCATCACCACCCCATCCCCAGCTCTATCATCCCCACCAATACCTCCATCATCACTACCACCCTACCATGACCCCCACGATCACCAGTCCCACCCCACCAACATCATTCCCTCCCCACCCATCATCACCACCAATACCTCCATCATCACCATCACCCTAACATGACCTCCATCATCACTACCACCTCCTCCACTACCAGCACCACCACCTCCATTATCACCACCAACATCTCTACCATGGCTACCGTCGCCACCACCATCATCATCTATTACACCATCAACACCTCCAACATCACCACTAACTTCTCCCCAGTTCCCCTTCTCCTTCATCATTACCACCACCATTATTTTACAAGTTTTGGAGTCAGGTTTAAGTTCTAGTTGACTTCAAATAAATTATTTGACCATTTTTAACCACAGGTTTATCATCTAAAAGTGAAAAATAATTAATGGTCCTGGCTTTCCATAATTATTGAGAGGACAAAAAAAAAGTGTCACCAGGTGTGCATCTAGAAATCTAGGAGCTCAACAAGAACTCCATTCTTACCTAAATTCTTATTTTGCTTATTCCAGCTTGATTTTAAATGTTTTTGCATCCTCCTTCAAGGAGAAATGGTCCATAGGTTGGTAATATTGGTATTTATTATCAGCATTTTATTTAAATTAATCTCACTCCTAGAATTTATGGCCACGCTTTTCAGTTTGCTGTGGACTACATCTTACACACATCTTATCTTACCCAAGGTTGCTATCCTTCATAGCTTATTTAAACATTACATATTTGAATATGGCTGATATCCCCTTCTTTTACCTTTAGGCCATAGAGACCTTAACCTCTATACCCAATCGTAGACTTGATTACTTGAATTGCTTTTGCTGCTGAGAATCTGTTAAAGAAAAAAAGTCATTCTCAAAACATGTTAAAAATGGTAAGGAAGATTTTATTCGAGACCACAACAATGGAGATATTCCAATAGGGGAGAGAAGCTGGGCTCAACTTCATATTAAGCTAAGACATGTGGGATTTATAGCCAAGAAGCAAAGTAAGAGGATGGTGGATGGAAAAGTACTAAGAGGAAACACATTAAGAGTAGGGGGATTCTTATTAAACTAACCTAACAGGATTGTTTCTAAAGGCAGGTCAAGGACTTACAGATCAAAGGTGGGGGATGTGGAACTTGATCAGATCCACATCTGATCAGGGTGATCAGGTATAAAGGGGAGGGTGGATTCTGATTAAACCGACACAGCAGGATTCTTGCTAAAGCTGGACTTAGCAAGGACAAACACAGAAACTCAAGGTTGACCCCACGTTGAGAAGAGGGCTCAGAGGAACCTAACTGAAGTTCTGTCAAGGAAACAGTCTTTGTCAAATCCAAGAGTAAACAAGCCAGAGTAGCCTTCCTAATAAAGAGCATAAGGTTCATGGCACACACTTTAGGACATCAATACCAGTGGCAATGGACTGTCCCCTCTCACTCTCTGTCCAAGTGGAGGACTATAGTAATACCACCTTACATTCATACATCACATTGCATTTAATAAACCACAGTTACATTCATTTTTATCAACTGACACTGTCAATATCAATGACTGTTGCCTAAATGAAAACTTTCTGCAGAAGCAGATACAAAGAATAATTTAAACCGAGGTGAATTATGAGAACTGTATTTTATTTATGTGCTGTAATTCCAATAATATATTTCTTTCTCTAAAGTTCCTTCTAGCTATAAGAATTTCACCCTTTGTATTTCATCAAGATAGCAAGGAAATTGCAAAAGGCAGAAAGAATCCGAAGAAATTTCAAAAAATACATACCTTCCCTTTACTGCTAATTTAAAAAAATACAATTCCAGAAAACATTAAGGGTAAAACCAGGTTTTTAATGTTTTAAAGTGTCAGAGGCGCAATAGTAATATAATGGATATAAGTTAGGTTGTGCTCATCCCCAACGCTCAAAAATTATTAAGCATTTGTGTTATAAATACAAAAAAAAAGTGATTTTCAAACCATGTTCTTAAAAACTTGATATGATTCTGTAAGGTATTCCACAATCGCCCATGGATGTAGTGCAGTATGGTGTAAGAAAATGGCATGGGATTTGGAATTGGAGCCTATCCTGGGTTCAAGTTTACTTTCTCTATCACACAGCAATGTCACTTTCTACAAATTACTCTCAGTCTCTGTTTCCCTCAGCTTGTTACGTGGAATTAAAGGCAATAAGACGCACAAAAGAGCTCTATGAGCAGTAAATCACTATACACATATTTGTTATCTACAGACAGCAAAGAACACTCACATGTAACTTGTTTTTGCAAATAATGGACATAGTTTATCTTTCAGATCATGTATATCTTGCTTATAATCCCAGCACCTAACACAGTGTCTGGCTCACAGTAGGCACTCAAATATTTACTAAGTGAGGTAAATGGATAGTCCCCCCTTATCCACAGTTTCAATTTCCATGTTTTCAGTTACCCACAGTACAGTACATACCTTCAATATAGTACAATATTTTGAGAGAGAGCAAGACAGTGTGTGCATGAAAGAGTTCCCAAGCGCATATTCACATAACTTTTATTATAGCATACTACTATCATTGTTATTAATCTCTTACTGTGCCTAATTTATAAGTTAAAGTTTATCATAGTTATGTATAGGAAAAAATATGGTGTATATAAGGTTTGGTACAATCTGCAGTTTCTGGCATCCACTGAGGAGCCTGGAAATTATCCCCACAAATAAGGGAAGACTACTGTATATTTGGATTAAGGCAATTCCTTCCTGTTTACTAGCCCTAAATTATAATCCAAATACCACCTTAATGTGGTACATTTGCTACCAAAGACAAATAAAAATCATATTCAGAAAATAAAAAATTATATCAATATTTTTTGATAATACTTATATCCATTTACCATGATCTAAATAGAGAAACCACAAAAAGGGAAAAATTTAACGTTTTACAATTTCTACAACATCTCTATCTTTACTCAAATATTTATTATTGGTTTTATGATTATTATTCCAGATCTTTTCCCTCCTCTTCCATATTTAATATGAATCATTGCCTACATACTAATATAAAATTACAAATTTTGTTTTATTGATATTTGCTCTACATACATCATTAAAGCTTTATTACTAAATCAATGTTGTATGATTTTAATATAAACTTTCCATAACCTCAACATTTTAAATTCTACCTCAGACAAAATAAAGAAACAGTACTTACCTAAGTTTTAATTTTCTCTTTTTAAAAATGTTTTTTAGAGACAGGGTCTTGCCCTATCACTCAAGCTGGAGTAGAGTAGCATGATCATAACTCATTGCAGCCTTGAACTCATGAGCTCAAGGGATCCTCCCTCTTCAGCAACCCAAGCAGCTAGGACTACAGGTGTAGGTTATCACACCCAACTAATGTGTGTGTGTGTGTGTGTGCGTGTGTGTGTGTGTGTGTATTGGGGGGGGGGGCGCAGGGGGTGGAGGCGCAGTCTCACTATGTTGCCCAGGCTGGTCTTGAATTCCTGGCCTTCAAGCAATCCTCCCACCCCAGCCTCCCAAAGTGCTGGGATTACAGGCATGAGCCACTGCACGCAGCCTTTTCTTTTCATTTCACCTCTTATTCAATAAATATTTCTAATGTGCCAGGCAGTAAGACAGCTGTGCACAGGTCAGAGTCATGGCCCCAAGAAAGTTCCCAGTTGAGCCAAGAAAAGGCAATGACAACATAAGATGAAAACTGCAAGAAAGAAATGTGCACAGCACTTTAGGGAATTCTACAACAAAGGGTACAATATGTGCAAAAGATTGGAGGCAAGAAAGAAAGGACCCCACCAAGAAACTAATGTGAGATGCACAGCTTCCAAGGCCAGACTCAAGGAAGGCCTTGTGTGCCATGTCAAGGAATTTGGACTTAACTTTCAGAGTTTAAATGTTAAGGGGCTGGGCGCGGTGGCTCACGCCTGTAATCCCAGCACTTTGGGAGGCTGAGGCGGGTGGATCACGAGGTCAGGAGATCGAGACCATCCTAGCTAACACAGTGAAACCCCGTCTCTACTAAAAATACAAAAAAAAAATTAGCCGGGCGTAGTGGCGGGCGCCTGTAGTCCCAGCTACTCGGGAGGCTGAGGCAGAAGAATGGCGTGAAACCGGGAAGCGGAGCTTGCAGTGAGCCAAGATTGTGCCTCTGCACTCCAGCCTGAGCAACAGAGAAGACTCTGTATCAAACAAACAAACAAAAAAAAGTTAAGGAGGGATTTGTCATTTAGAAAGCTGATCCCAGCTGCACTATGGAGAATATATCAGAATAGGGCCAGAAGATCAGTTAATAGGATGGTATGGTGAGCCAGGGAGAGAGACCAGTGCCCTGAACTAAAGCTGTGGTCTTAGAGAGAGACAGAGAGACTTAAGAGGATTTTAGAGACAGAGAGAGGTAGAACTGTTAGACTTTAGTAACTGATGTGGGACTTTTCTGACGGCAAACTCCTGGGCTCAAGCTACCTTCCTACCTCAGCCTCCCAAGCAGCAAGGACTACAGGTGTGCACCATCATACCTGGCTAATTTTAAAAAAATTTTTTAGAGATGGGATCTTGCTATATTGCCCAGGTAGGTCTTGAACTCCTAGGCTCAAGCAATCCTCCTGCCTTGGCCTCCCAAAGTGCTGGGATTACAGGTATGAGCCACAAAACCCAGCCAATGTGGGGCTTTTTGATGCAGAGCACCTGAATGGTAATATTCAGAAGTTACTGAAATGGAGAATACAGCTGCCTTAGCACCCAAAACTGAGTTAAGCAAACAGACAGGATTTAACTGATAATGTTGGTACCATTCTAATTGCCAATCACTATAATGGGCTAAATTCATTCCTACTAACACTGACAATCAACAAGGAAGTTCTGAACTTCAGCTCTGGGTCAAACATGATGGCCCGCCAGCAGTTTTTCCATAAATGCAGTAGGATCACAGTGATAAGGGGAAAGGGATACTGAAAAGACAGGAGTCATGACTACAGTCCCTTAAGGGTCTCAAACAGCTTCCATCATCTGAAAGATGACAAATGCTTATGGATAGCAGGCATGCTTGTGCATATGTGTGAACATGTGTGTACAGTTCCTGTGAGTAAAGGATTTCTCTCCTTCTAAGAAATATTAGGATCTTGCAGCCGGGCACGATGGCTCACGCCTGCAATCCCAGCACTTTGGGAGGCCGAGGCGGGTGGATCACGAGGTCAGGAGATCAAGACCATCCTAGCCAATATGGTGAAACCCCGTCTCTAGTACAAATAAAAAAATTAGCTGGGCATGGTGGTGCGTGCCTGTAATCCCAGCTACTCGGGAGGCTGAGGCAGGATAATCGCTTGAACCAGGGAGTCAGAGGTTGCAGTGAGCCAAGATCGTTCCACTGCTCTCTAGCCTGGCGACAGAGTGAGACTCCGTCTCAAAAAAAAAAAAAAAAAAAAAATATTAGGCTCTTGCTACTCAAAGTGTGGTCTATGCACCACTGGTATCATCTGATAGCTTTTTAGAAATCCAAATTCTCCACCGGGCATGGTGGCTCATGCCTGCAATCCCAGCACTTTGGGAGACCAAGGCAGGTGGATCGCTTGAGGTCACGAGTTCAAGAACAGCCTGGCCAACAAGGTGAAACCCCATCTCTGCTAAAAATACAAAAACAAAATTAGCTGGGTGTGGTAGCGCATGCCTATAATCCCAGCTATTTGGGAGGCTAAGGCAGGAGAACTGCTTGAACCTGGAAGGCGGAGGTTGCAGTGAGCCAAGATGGTGCCACTGCACTCCAGCCTGGGCAACAGAGCAAGACTCCGTCTCAAAAAATAAATAAATGAATGAATGAAACGCAAATTCTCTAGTCCCACCCAAGAAATCCTGAATTAAAGTCTACATTTTAAGAAGATCCCCCAGTGATTGTGATTCATATGCTTGTTAAAGCTTGAGAAGCACCGAATTAGGAGACTTGTCCACAACTTATTCCCGATAGATAAAATGAAAACATAAGCACTGCTGACTTCATACCTGTTTGAAACAGTTACTCAACAGCAGCCTTCAAATTTTACCACTTACAAAGCAGTACACGTGGGTACTTAATGGCAATTAGCCAACAAAAAGTATCTTCAGAATTTCCTATACACCTGAATACTTAGGCAAACTAATATAACTACAGTTTGTCCTTGTTTTAAATACTTTCCGCAAGAAAATTTTCATTTCTACCACACATTTATTTACTACAGCACTAGAAAACTCATATACATTTAACTCATTCCCAGTCTTCCAGCTTCCCCAAGGGCTCTCTGCAAAGCCCTTAATTACATAGTACTCCAGAACAACTATTTCATTAGCTAATTTTCTGCCCACTCCCTTTTGTCAGGTGCAAATGTGTTACCAAGGTTCTTAGTGAAGGCACAGTTAATGTGTTTTGGGTAGTGATTTGCCTTAAAAGGGGTAATTAATATTCTAGTTCCAAAATATTAATAAATAGCACATCTATTAAAATAATGCATTCAGGAATAGATTAAAAGGTTGAAGAAGGTAAACTTATGTCAAGATTTAGACAAAAAAAAAGGAAAATCATGCAGAAATCACTGTATAGACTACTTAGCATCTTAGGCTATTAAAAAAAATTCTCAATGAAAAGATTCAGAGTGATGATTTATCTTTTTTTTCTTTTTTTTTTTTTAAGACAGGGTCACCCAGGCTGGAGTGCAGTGGCAGCAACATAGCTCACTGCAGCCTTAACCTCCTGTGTTCAAGCAATCCTTCCACTTTATACTCCCAAGTAGCTGGGACTACAGGCCCATGCAACCACACCCAGCTAATGTTTTTATTTTTTGTAGAGAAGGGGGTCTCAGTATATTGCACAGGCTGGTCTTGAATTCCTGAGCTCATGATCCTCCTATCTCAAGCCTCCCAAAGTTCTGGTATTACGGGAATGAACCCAGTCATCCTCTAACTATTAAAGAACATAAAACAAACTGTCCTTGCTAAGAAAGACCAAATTTCAGGACAACTAAAATCACTGAGAGGTTAAATAGTTGACTGAATAGGAAAGAGAAGAAAACAGGCACTGAAACTAAATTTGGATCAATATTAGCACAAAAACCACTACAAAGAGGCCAAATCTCTTCAGACTGCCAAGTTTAAAAAAAAAAAAAAAGTGGGCTCTGGAATTATTCTCAAGGAATAATACTGTATACAAATGGTAATGGTAACTAAGATTCTTAGGCACACCCCAGAGTGGAAATTAAAAATCCTGGCAACTCTTCTAGTTGGTTAAAAGAGAACTAGAAGGACATTTAAAAAACTTTTACTACTTCCTGTACAACTCAGAGTTTAGGAACCTGAGTTCAACCAGAAACCTCTGGCTACAAACAGCTCCTCGTGCCCCCACTCTGAGGTCTCATACCTTTTCATTTTCTCTGTCCTTCTGTTTTCAAATTCTGTCTTCTCTTACACAATTCATTTTCCAAAATATCCACTAATCTACCAATCTATATGTTCCACCTATCTCTACATTCATCCCCTCATTACCTCGTTTATTAACCTACCACGTAACACAAAACAGGGCACAAGAGCCCCTCAAAGGGGTGATAGAAGGAAAGGAGGGCCCAAAACAAACCTTACATAGTTGTTACGGACAAGTGCTAAAATTGGGAGAAAAAGTCAAAAGTACTTCTTCAAAGAGATGTGGCTTTTGTTTCTAAAATGATGGAATGTAGAGAAACGAAAAACTATAAACTAGATTCAGTGATGCGACACAGTAGGCTGTTGTAAAAAAGAAAAGCAAAAAGAATCCTAAGAAAAAAATAAAGGAGACAACACTGTAAAAACACAGTCTTTGGTCAATCAGGTGACTCCCAAATAACTGGTCACTATAGATACTAGGAAGTAACTTATTACATGGTTGTCCCCCAGATTAACTAACATCAGGTGGGCAGAGGGACAGAGTGAGCAGCCCATCAAATCTAACAAAGAGATGTATATAGAGTAGGCAACTGATAAATATCTGCCAACTAAGTACTCATCATTCAGGTTCTTATTGCATTAGATTATATGTAGAATAACCAAGAAAAGATGAAGTTTCAGTCCTCTAGAACCAGGTCTTTAGTAGCTGAAATTATAAATTTTAGGACCAACCGTAATCCAAGGTGTCATCAACCCTAATAGTCTTCTGCGATTTCTATCTCTGGTCTCTCCATTTCTACCCAGGCTGCTCATATATCTCAGTGCCACTAACTCCTGCCCCCGCAGATCCAAGTGTCTTGAGCATAAATTCAAAATGCATATAAAAGTGCTGAGCATTGTGCCTAACACATAGATGGTATTCAGTAAGTGTTTAGTTCACTATGAGTCCTTAGCTAGCATTCAAAGTCCTTAGATATCTGACCTCTACTTAACTCTCAAATTTGAATGGTGACTAAACACATACATGAACCCTTACTCCAAACAAACTGGAACTCTCCCTGCATCAAAACATGTCATATGCAAGACATAGCTATCTTCCCTGCTTGGGACACATGCCACCACTACTCCCTCTTCTTTGTTTCTCTTACCAAAGCCTACACTTATGTCTAAGCCCTCTATCCCTAGTGGGCAGTCCAGCTCTAATTTCACCTCCATGTGAAGCATTTCTGAAAAGGTACAACTTTGCTCCTGTGATGTCCAACAGTATATCTTGTCTACACCACTCATGAGGCACATCTTGTGTGCATCTCTTACTGTGACTACTCAGTGTTATTTTAACCCAGTAAGATAACACTTTTGGAACATACAGAAATTAGTTTTATAATGGAAGCAACATCTGAGCATGAATACTCATTGTGTCCATAATTCCAGCTATGCTGATGTTTAGACAGATTCAGTCTGTAAGACAGAATCGCGCACTCAAATCGAGATTCAATGAACGAGTGATGCTGGTACTGTGTTGTTCCCTGACACAAGTGTTTAGTGGGTAGGTTTAGTTCATGAAATTTTGTGAAAAATATACAATGTGTGCACATTCCTATATGAATAAAAAATACAAAATAAACAGAGAGGAGAAGAAGAAAATCAAAGATATATATATAATCTGTACAAAAAAATAAATTCTCCAACATTGGCTTGGCAGCCATCTCAGCAATTCCGGCATCTACTTAACTTCAAGGGTATTTAAGAATGTTTACCTTTAGTGGTTTTAAAGCTATTAATCACTTTCACCCTTTGAACAAGGTGTAGTTGTCTGAAATAAAAATAATAACTATAAACTGAAAATGGCAACATTTCAGAGGATAGTACTGACATAATTTATAGGAATGGCAGGAGGACCAACTAATTTACATGAACAAAGCACTTTGGAAATGTAAATGGTATACAAATTCTAAATGAGGATAATAATAATGGTTGAGTTATCTATATTTTAACCTTTATAAATGTAATTAAAAAATAATAAGCACTTAAACATCGCTTTACATTCTCTAATCAGTGTAGAGATACTAACTAAGCCAGAGAGCATCCTTTGAAATACATGTAAATATTTCCACTTAGAGAAATGGAAGTCAAGTCACTAAGTTAGAGTGGCACTGAAAGGAACTAAAAGTAATCGAGTTCTCTTTCGTCCCTAGAAATTCAGTTGAGAATGTGGAACTTATGAAAATAAAGCAGAACAATACAAACTCAAATGTCTTGTTCTGCTTTTAGCTCCCTCTCTAAACCTGGCTTAAAAAAAGAAAGGATTACTGAGAAGTGCCTGGAAAGGAAAGTTATTAAAATGAAGAACCAGCCCTACTGTGTGCTCTAATCCACATTAGAAATTCAATACAACTGAATAAAGCAAATGCAAAGAGAGAGCATGAAATAGGAAAAAGGTTTACATGCAAAATCACTAAGATCCTGGATTGAAAGGAATTGAAATACTGGAAGGAAGTAACTAAACTAGAAAAATGCTGCTACAGCCCTATTTCATAATAGGACTGTATGTGCATCCTTGTCCTTACCTTATACTGGTATTAATATTTATTAAAAATGGCATTTAAGCTTAGTTATGAACATATATACTAACTGTGTCATTGCTGGAGTGAGGAGATAGCTTGATCCATGTGAAATAAGTCTTAACCTGGGAGGCTGTAGCCCATCACAGCCCCATATGACATTCAGTTCCCTCTAGCAGAAAATCCTTATTCTAGGTATAGGTGCCTGTCAGCCTAGAGGTCTCTGCATATTTTTTTTCCAGATTACAATAAGCAGGTTAAGCCTAATACATGAATAAGACGTCATACCAAAGCAAAGCAGACAAAGCCATAAAGGTTTTTTTATGTCTTTTGAAAACAATGGAGGCAAAATACTATAATTAAAAGTTTAACTGGAATTAAGATACAGCTGAATTTGAATCTCAGTCTCACCACTTAATAGCCGAGGCAAGGCACTTAACCTCTCCAAATTTCATTTTTGTCACCTACAAACTAAGAATAATAATGGCATTATAAATGTGGGGGTTAAATTAGATAATACATATAAAGTACTAAGCACAGTGGTATGTGGTAAATGCTTATCAAATGTTAGCTGTAATTTTTTAATTTTGTTATTAATGGAGAGAATAAATGGAGAGAGAAGAAAACAAAGGTGTATCTGCAGTACAGGAATGGCAAGTACAAATGCTCAGAGGGAACAGAGGAAAAAAATCACAAACAGAAAAGTTAAATGGAATAATATACAGAAGATAGGCTGGAAAATTATGGGAAAGGACAATAAAATAAGGAAGAGGCAAAATATTAATTCTTTATGACATTATTGAGCATGTACTGTGAAAATGACACAGCAATAGTTTACAGACAAAAAGCAAAGAAGCTGTCCTTAATGCCTAAGAACTAATAATTCAGTTAAGGAGACTGCAACTTTAGGTGACAGGTAAGAAAACCAAATGAGCCGGGCGCAGTGGCTCACACCTGTAATCCCAGCACTTTGGGAGGCCGACGCAGGCAGACCACCTGAGGTTGGGATTTCGAGACCACCCTGACCAACATGGAGAAACCCCTTCTCTACTAAAAATACAAAAAAAAAAAAAATTTGGCTGGGTGTGGTGGCCTGTAATCCAGCTGCTTCAGGAGGCTGAAGCAGGAGAATCGCTTGAACCCAGAAGGTGGAAGTTGCGGTGAGCCGAAGATCACGCCATTGCACTCCAGCCTGGGCAACAAGAGCGAAATTCCGTCTCAAAAAAAAAAAGAAAAGAAAACCAAATGAAACAAAAACAAACAAGAGGATATCGACAGGCCTAGATACAATGACTAGATGGGCTTTGTCTGGACCAGCTCCAGGCTGTTTCAAATCAAGGCTTGAGATGAAAGAATCATGATTATTGTTGTGACAAACAGCAAAGGTACAAGTCAATGAAATACTTCAGGTTTGCAAATGAACCCCTAAATATAATGCAGGTAAAAGCAAACTTCAGCATCTTGGTTGGTTTGTATTTCTTTTTCCATTACAACAGGATGGTACTGAATAGAAGCAAACTATAGCTCTCCCATTGAAAGGGGATAATGACCTTGAAAAAGTCACTCCACTATGCTTATTTTTTCCAGTTCGAAGTGGGAAGCTTCTCTGTAAAATAGGCACACTTCACAGGAAAAGTATAGTCATCTAACGAATCAAGTGTCCCAGGAGGAAGCCTGTTCAGAGGACATTAGGCCAACTAAATGAATGAGAGAGAGTAAAGGCAGAGTCAGGACTAGAACTGAGTTCTAGATTATAATCTGGTTTGCTCTTGGCACCCAACTTGCCACTCAACCCCTCAGGTACTTTCCTAATTGATGACATACTTAGTTGTAAAAAGTCACAAGAATAGCCACTTGAAAATCATTCCTTTTTAAATCTTCCTATTCTACAGCAGTTAAGAAAATAAATTTTGAAACCAGACCAAGATTCAAAGCCTGGTTCACTGCTTACCAATCAAATGAGCATGAACAGTGTCATCATCTGAACGGAAGAATAATGATGGCAGGCTCTCCGAAGTGTTATGAGGGTGGAAGGAAATAAGATATTTAAGGTTTGGCCCAGGTCATATTCATCAGCATAAGTGAGTCTGAGTGTTGAAGTTTCTTGAAATAACACTAGCGTTTCATTATTACAGTCTGTGTCTAATTCCATGGTTCTCCTGCATATCAGAAAAACCAGGAGGGCTTACTAAACACAGACTGCAGAGCTCCATCCTCCAAGTTTCTCAATCAGGAGATCTGGGATACAGCACTAGAATCTGCATTTCTAACTAGTTCCTAAGTGATGCTGATGCTGCTGGTCTGGGAACCACTCTTTGAAAACCACTACTCTATTAAAGATCATTCCTGATGCTACTGTCTATCCTGAGAAATTTTCATGCTAAGACAAAGGAATGAACCTCTCCTGTAGAATCAGAAAAGGCTAACATAAAACAAATTAAAAAAAAAATCAATCATCATATTGCCATGTTCGTATGCTGTAAAGAAAAAAAACAAAAAAAGCAGAGCTAAACAATCCCTAAAGAGAAAATTTTGGTTGTCTTCCCTACCCTTTTTCATAAAAATGTTAGCACAAGTTTATTCTGTACAAATCCCAAGTGATTCACTGTCAGATTAAATCCCCACAGAAATACAGACAGAATGAACAGATGGTCTTTTTCTTTCTAAATACAGTGTGTGTGTGTGTTTTATATATACAGTGTATATATATATAATTTTCTACTGAGCAGTAAAACTCACTTCCTCCAGAATCACATAGGGCCTAAATGTAATAATCTCAGTACTTTCATAACAATCACATTCTGGGGTCCTATTCACTTGCTCCTTTGATACTGTGAACTTCTTGTGCCGTATTTGCATCCCAGCTGGCCACAGATCAGGGAGATACAGTAGATATAAAATCAAGAGCATAATAGATATAAAATACAAGAATTTTCCCAAGCTCTTCTGGCTGCCTCCAGATTTTTGTTTTAAAGAAAAGGGCATCATTCTTCACTGTATATACTTCCTCATCGCTTTAATCCTGTGATTAGTGATCCTACAAGATGAACAACAGCTCTTCACACATATTGGAATGGTGTTTATATGTGGGTAGAGAAAAATTTTAAGACTACTTTATATTTAAAATGCAAACTTTCCTTAATGTGAGTGCTTTAAATGCCCCTATTTCACATCAGGAAGTTGCATTTACCCTTTCACGAGTAAATGGATTTTTCATCATCTTCAACTGCGACCAAGTTAAAAAAAAAAAAAAAAAGGCAAAAGTATTGCTGTTTGACCAGCAAAAATAATATAAAGATTTGGTGACCACAGCAAAATTATACTAATTACCATAGACTACCTGGTGATCTTCAAATTGAGGCTCTCAGAAGTAATTTACTACCATAAACTGACTCAAATACAGCAATTTTAATTTCATATTTTTATAGTTTCTTTTTTCCCTTTTTTTTTCTTTTTTACATTTTCCCCTTTTTAATGTTGCTGATCTTTAAAAAGGACATTGTCAGGCGCTTTTGGTAGTGTCTTTTTTATGCTAGGTTATTTATAACATTCACTTGAAGCTTGAAATTAAAATTCTTTCTCCTACCAATTTAGTGCCTTCCCATTTGGCAAACATCTCTTTTGATTCTTGCATCTCTAATGAAGCTGAAAATTAATATGACTTTTATGTTTAATTCTTTGATTATGCAAAAGAATCATCAATGATGTTAGCATGGTTCTGTATAGTAGGTCAGGAGTTGTAATAAAAGCCTTACATTTCTATAGCACCTCAACTCCCAAAGGACCACAAAACACTTCATAACTGTTTCCGTTTCTCAGAGGAAACACCTTCACATCACTCACTGAGCTGCCCCTCCAGTGAAATGCATGCTCTGATTAACTAGGGTTTACTCCAAAGAATTACATAATAGAAGCTCTGATGATTCTAAGGACAGACTTAACACTTAAAGAAGGTAATTACAAACCAAAGCTATCACTGAAAGAAATGGATTTAATTTGCAGCAAGTACATTTCACTAGCAAGACATGAAGGAAAAATTTTTAAATACGAGTAAGAAAATTAAAATGAAAAATCAAAAATTTAAATCGTTTTCAAAGAATAAAGGACAAGTTTGTATAGTTTAATTTCACTTAACCTATTATCAAATTTTTCACCATTCTTCCAAATCTATTATTGTCACACCCATGATAGAAATGATATTATCTATGCACGAGCATTGGCTATATAATAGTAATACTATGACAGTCCCAATTATTAATGGTTTCTCTTGCCAACATTATTTCATGCCCATTATTTCATGACATCATTTCATATCTGGAAACCTGAGCTAACAATCTGCCTGGCCAACAGAAACTCTTCATATAGGGATGATTTAAGTGCAGGCTGGTCTAGGAGAAAGCAGGAGGAACTGGTCTCCTGGGAATATAGCAAACCTTCGTAGCTTTATGAGTCTTCTGCTACATGATTTTTAAATCTACAAAGTTCAACACATTTACAAAGCATTTAAAATTCAACCTTGTCTTAGTTCAAACCACTACAACAAAATGCCACAGATTGAGTAGCTTATAAACAAGAGAAATGTATTCCTCACATTTCCAGAGGCTGGGAAGTCCAAGATAAAGGCATCAGCAAATTTAATGTCTGGTGAGGACCCCTGTCCTGTTTCATAGATGGCCATATTCTTGCTGTAACCCCACGTGGCAGAACTGTCGAGGGAGCTCTCTGGGGCCTCTTTTACAAGGGCACTAATTCCATTCATGAGGGCTCTGCTATCATGACTTAATTACTTCCCAAAGCCTCCATCTCCAAATACCATCACATTGGGGACTGGCTTTCAACATATGAATATGGGGTAGGGGGGACATAAACATTCAGTCTATAGCAAATCTTAAATCAATCAATAGATATGTATAGAGTATCTACTACTCATTTGTTCAAAACATATTTATTAAGTGCATACTGCCAAACTCTGTGAGTTTAGGGGAAGAGACAGGCACCATAAATAAGCCATAGTTCCTTCTCTCCAAAGGCTTAAAGACTAGTTGTGAGAAATTTAAAGACATGTAAGAAATGGTCCTCAAGAGAGCCTTTTTAATCTGATTAAAAAGGAAAGATGTGGATTCAGTAGAGGAAGAAAAATATAACTATTAGATATGTCAAATGAGTGGTAAAAACAAGAAATGCAATGAGTTCTTGAAGGGAAATGATCAATGGATGCTTCATAGGTAAGACAGAGGACTGGAGCATATCAGAGAAGGTATTCAGAGATGAGGGCAAGGACAGTAGGAAAGATGTATGGAATAAACAAAACTACTACTGTAGGAAAGGACAGAGTCATATTTAGAGGACAGAAAGAAAGGCTGATTTAACTGGAATACAGCATTACTATAGAAAAGGGTAAACTAAGCCTGGAAAAGCAGAGACTTTGTCCGAATTGTACAGGTATTTGAATGCCAAGCTAAGAAAACAATCTTATCCAATAGACTAAGATTGGATAACAATCTATCTAACAATCTTATCCAATAGACTAGTTTATAACAAGGAAATACAGACCATTTGTAATGAACCTGAAATTAAATTTGCATTTTTAGTTTACTTCTTTGATTATACAATGATACTACTACAGGGAAAGACTGGCATACACACCACTGTCACAGCATAAGGAGTCAAGCTCTTCTCCAGTAGCCCTTTCCCATCCAGGAACCTGAAATTTTTCACATTTCTACAGGACACAGTAAAAGTCTGTGGTCTCCTAGTCTGCTAAATATCCTTTTTCTTCAAAGTCAAGTCCTGGGGGAAGAGGGGAAAATAAAACCATCATTCACTCCCAAAGAGGCCAGCTTGCAGCCCTGTTAGGTTACTAGATATATCTGAAGAAGACACTGACCCTATACACATGGGCCCATTTTATATTACATGTATTCACCTTAGGTAAAGGACCCTAACACTGCCTCCCAAACAGAAAGGAGAAATTTCTACAACACCAGGAGGGATGGTACCAGGTCAACCTCAGGGCAATGAAGCTCCATTTTTAGCCTATGTCAATCAGGAAAGCATCTAAAATGTGCCTGGGTGTAGAAAAACAAGAGATAAAATTTCTTCCTAATCACAGCAGGTGAACAGATCATCAACAGGGCCCAGAATCAGAGAAGAGAGAAATGAAAAATGCCTACAGGGATATTCAGTCTATTTCCCTACTGATACACATTCAATTCTGTCAGGATCAAATGTCCAATGAAATTCAACCCAATTTTCCTAGGGGAATATCCTATGGTCCGATAGTTCTCACTGCAGAAATGTTCCCTGACATTCAGTTTATACTATGTATTTCTTAAATTATTTCTTTCTGTTGTGCTTGCCTATACTACTGCGGAAAGTAAGTAATTCCTTTATTTGTTACTTGAATTTCTAAAGATAACTATAAAGTCTCACCCCCATTGTTCCCAGGTTTAATATTTGCATTTGAATTTCCAATCAAAAGCACCTGACTTATGTAATCTATTACTTTCTATTCCTTCTCACATTATAGCAAGCACTGCCAATGTTAATCTCTTGATTAAAACATAGTTGACCATAAATAAGTCCTTGCTTAATTTTGCTTTAGAGCCCCTTTTTGCTGATATGCTGTCTGTGAAAGTATTTGGGTAATTCCTCTAAAGTGCACTGTACTAAACTAATGCCAACTAATGAGGAGTCTATGATGTATTTCCTCAACATCATCCTATCTCTGAAAAGGTTAACATCTCTTTACTTCCATGCTCATTCCTAAACATGCCACTTCTAAAACTTGTCTCATCTAAAGTCCTTAGTCACAGCAGATGCTCTGCTTGGGACTCCTACCCGTTTGTCTATCCTTCCAGTACGCACGTGTCCTACACTCAAGACAGCATCCCAGATGCTGCCTCACAAGTACTGGGTAGAAAGTAATGATCAGCCCAGCTCGGTGACGAGATGCTGTTTTGTGCAGCACAGCCAAAAATAGCGTTGGCTTTTTTCACTGCCATATCACGTTGCTAACACATATTTAATGTGCTGTCGTTTATCACCCCAATGAGACTGGCTAATTCGTGCTGAGCTTTCGTCATTTGCTGTAGTTCAATTGGTGACAGCCGTCATCTTCCTGTGAAATCATATCCAAAGCAGTGGATTTTGTTGACAGTGGTGGTGTTCACTTTATATTTTACTTTATATTTTCAAAACCCTTCACAACTTTCAGGTGGCTAGTCAAAAAATGTTTGTGCCACTCACTTATGTGACACAACTCTTTGGCAACACCAACAAAAATTTTTGGGAAGCCCAGAACTATTACAGAAAAATATAATCTGCACCTTTGAGAGCTATAAGATTTTCTATATAATCTTACTGAGGATAAAAAATTAAAATGATTTTGAACACAATTCCCCTGTGAAGAAGGGTACATCACCTGTGTTCAATGCTTCACTGAATTACAGGTATAGATTTGATAGCAAACATTTATTTTGCCATCCTTCTGCAACTAGGGAAAAGTATTCATAAAACACAGATGAGTAAATAAGATGCTGTTAAACAGGTTAAGGGATATTTCTGAATAGCACATTTTCTTAAAATCCTTTCAGCTAGGGAGGACTTTTGAAATGATTACATATAAGTTTTGTAGTTTCCCATTAACCACATTCTCTGTAGTCTCTGGATATAAGAGAGAAACAGCAGGAGAGGACACAAGGGAACTGTTGGTGCCCCACCCTCACTAACTAGTTCTCTCATGATGGAGGTCAGGCTGGGCTTCTGAAGGAACTAAAAGACACTAAGGCAAGTCTATCAAATCCCTTCAACCCCAAGGTCTTTCCCTATAGCTGGCCCCGCCCACTTTCTGTCCTGCTTGCTCTGCTTCTTCACTCCTCCCAGGCTCACTTATGGACTCGGCTTTTATTTCCTCCCAAGCTGTCTACATCCCCAGTGGAATCTCCAGCTTCGGAAAGCAGCTGGATTCTGCTCAAAAATCTGCTGCCATATCACCTATAAATGACGAAAAACCGCAGAAGCAAAGAAAGGCAAAATGTGGCATCATCATGAGAAACTCCAGTCTCTAAAGACAGTGTAATATTTTGCTGTGACAACTATAGAAAGCCGATTAAGCTGACGAACTACTTAAGGAAAGTGCTCCTCAGTTCACTCACGAGTTTCTGAGCTGGTCCATTTGTATGGCTTCAGCTATTCCCAGGCAGACAGAGAATCCCTAAATTTCTATTTCCTGCCCTTACCTCTCCCCTGGTCCCCCATGATCAATCTAGCTGCCTGATATGGCTTCGCTGTGTCCCCACCCAGATCTCATCTTGAATTCCCACGTGTTGTGGGAAGGACCCAGTGGGAGGTGACTGAATCATAGGAGCAGGTCTTTCCTGTGCTGTTCTCATGATAGTGATAAGTCTCATGAGACCTGATGGTTTTAAAAATGGGAATTTCCCTGCACATGCATTTTTTTTTTTTTTTTGGCCTGCTGCCATCCATGTAAGATGTGACTTACTCCTCCTTGCGTTCCGCCATGATTGTGAGGCTGCCCAGCCACATGGAACTGTGATTCCAATTAAACCTCTTTCTTTGTAAATTGCCCAGTTTGGAGTATGTCTTTATCAGCAGTGTGAAAACAGACTAATACACTTCCTATAACACAATTCTGCAAGGATAGTCTACCAATACACAGACCTTCAATTCAACATGCACAAAGCACCATCTTCCTGACCCCAACTCCCAATCACTCAGGTTCACAACTTCAACCTGACTTAAGACTCTCTTTTTTTTTTTTTTTTTTTTTTTTTGAGGAGTTTCACTCTTGTTGCCCAGACTGGAGTGCAATGGTGCAATGTCAGCTCACTGCAAGCTCCGCCTCCTGGGTTCAAGCGATTCTCCTGCCTCAGCCTCCCAAGTAGCTGGGATTACAGGCACCCACCACCACACCCGGCTAGTTTTTTTGTATTTTTAGTAGAGACAGGGTTTCACCATGTTGGCCAGGTTGGTCTTGAACTCCTGACCTCAGGTGATCCACTGGCCTTGGCCTTCCAAAGTGCTGGGATTACAGGCATGAGCCACCATGCCCAGCCGACTCTCCATTTCTTATAGTTAAGCCTAAAAGGTATTGAAAATTCCTTCTTTCAAAATCTCTCTCATCTCTATTGCCTTTCTTTTCCCTGCCTCTGCCTTACTGTAGCCTTTCCTTCCTGCACTGATTGAACCTGCCTTCTAATTCGCAGCTCTCCATTTCTCCTCTACCAATTCATTTTGCACACTGCTGCCAGACAAACCATCCTAAAAACATTACTTTCACTACTTTACTCCTCTATCCAAAAATGCATAATACCTATGAAGTAATTACGTCCCCAAAAATCAACTTAAATCTGATCAAGGCGCCAGATCCAAGATACAGGACAAAAATAAATAGCAAATGACGCTAGCAATCAGCCAAAGCCAGCCACACTGTGGAAAATTTTACAAAGCAAAGGATATAGTTTCTTCAATAAATAAATTTCAAGGGATAAAAATAAAATGACAGATGGAGCAGGAACTTATAGATTAAAAGAATCTTAATGTATTAATCAAATTGCAATATTTAAACCTTATTTGGATCCTGATTCAAACAAAATGTAAAAAATAATTATAATATTTGAGACAACTGGAAATGTGAACACTGACTGGATATTTGATGATAAAGAAATTAAGTTTTTAGGTATTATTTTATTTTTGAGACAGAGTCTCACTCTGTCACCCATGCTAGAGTGCAGTGGCACAATCTCGGCTCACTGCAGCCTCCACCTCCCCGGTTCAAGCGATTCTCCTGCCTCAGCCTCCCAAGTAGCTGAGACTACAGACACAGGCCACCATTCCTGGCTAATTTTTGTACTTTTAGTAGAAACAGGGTTTCACCACATTGGCCAGGATGGTCTCGAACTCCTGACCTCAAGTGATCTGCCCACCCCGGCCTCCCAAAGTGCTGGGATTACAGACGCGAGCCACCATACCCGGCCAATTTTTAGGTATAATTTTAAAAAGAGAGTTCTTATTTTTTAGAGATACATATTAAAATATAGATAAAACAGTATGATTTCTAGGATTGTTTCAAAATAATAAAGGAGAGGGAAATACGGAGGGATAGAAAACAGTATCAGTCATAAATTGATAATGCTGAAACTGATCAAACTGGATAATGAATACATGGGGAACCATTCTACTGGTTCAATTTCTGAACATGTTTGAAATTTTCCATAGTAAAAACAAAACAAAAATATAATCGCAGCCCGTGGCTTAAAAGGCAAAGTCCAAGCCACCCAATCTCTTCTTCAAAGGTCTCCCTATCATCCAAAAGTATTCAATCTTTTTTTTTTGTTTTTGGTAACATGTTCTAAGAAAACAAACAAACCCCCCAAAGCCCATCTCCCCCAGGTCTTTATAGTGCTGTTCATATTATACATTTATACTTAACTGTGTGAAAACATGCCAAGTCCCCCTTTGCCCATGAACTCAACTACTTTAACCCATTCTGACCTCAGCCTTCCAAGGTCTTCTCTAGTACTTGTGTTCAGACTGAACATTTGTCCATGGGACCATAAACTGTTCTGCAGTGTTTTTGTTTTGTGTTTTGTCTTAGCTCCCAGCAAGATTAAAATAATTTCCTAAATTCCTTTTACATGAACATGTTAAAAAGGAAAAAATTTCTCCCCTCCATTACATGAAAATCTCATCAATATAAGCCTTAAAAATTCATACAAGTAACAAATGGGGGCGGGAAGCAACCTAGAAAACCCCCTTCTTAATAACAGACAATTAACATGATGATATAATTGTTTCCAGTCCAAGAAATTATTGGATGAAATAATGCATTTGTCAACATTCTCAACTGTTCAAGTCAGAAATAGGAATTATCTATGTTTGCCAACTTTGGGCTGCTACTCTAAATAAAACTGACCAAAATCTGTAAATGGAGATCAGTTAGAGCACCGATGTCTAGTTTTTCTTTTCCCTTTATAGTAATGTACATTAAAGCACCTTCCCATATTTATGAAGTTTCATAATTCTATCTTCATTTACTATATGTTGCAGAACACAAACACTCTCCTAAACATGACATATCTTTCAAAATGAATCAAAATTTGCCTTCTGTAAACCTCTTCAACCCCTTAAGACTTTAATGGATTTGATTTTAGTATGACCAATCCTGTATCACTTACTAATCCTGCCTCTTAACCAGGAGTGTGCATTAGAATCAGTTAGAATCCTACTGAAGCATGCTCTAGAGATGTGGGGTCCACAGGCCATTCTAATTGTGCATCCCAAAAGAGATTTGCTGCTTTAAGATAGTAAAGATAACAAAACTAAGACTGACCATGAATAGGATAACAGAATCCAGAAGACTTCATCAACCAGATTATACATACATTTAAAATAGACCAAATAATGGGGTTCAATACATTATAGTGCACTGTCTGACTTCTGCATTGGTGTTTATTGCCACCTCTTTACCAGAACAACTGAGTCTTGCCCAGGACAGCAAAGATTCACAAAAAAAAAAACTCTCCTTTCATTACGTCTTTCATTTGCAGAATTCCAACTAATGGAGATCTTACAAGCCAAGATTAGAAGAAATGGTGCAATAACAGTTTCTACATCACCTTTTACCACAGAAGGTTTAAAGTCAAGGGCATAAAATATTAATATCCTACAATTTCACTTCCACTCAGTTTTTAAATTAAGCTTTGCATACACGTTATGGTACACGTATCAGTAATATCCCTCCATTCTATATTCCAGCCTTCAACCCTGAACAAGAGTATAAGCAGCACAAACTAAAGTGGTGAAGGATTGCTCCCTTCACTACCAGAATGCAGTACTCAGTGGAGTGACAAACAGGCAAAAGAAGCATGCTCTCGAAGGAACAGCAACTGCCAGAGAGCTCTTTGTGCTCCCTGCTGACAGCCACTTCATAAAAGCAAGATATACAAGAGAAAGCAACACCTTCTAAAAACAGGGAGAGAGGAAGTCACAGCTATTGCAATTACCATCAGCTCTGGAGAGGAATGGTGGGAGGCCCAGTGACCACTGGAATAGCCGTAATTAGCAAAATATTCAGAACATTCAGTTGATCTAATCTGAAGCCACTACCAAAAACAAAAAAGACATAGCCTCACCTTTCTTGACTGTATAGGGTAATGCAAAGGCTTAGACCAATCTCAGTGCCTTTATCAAAATATTTGGTATTTTAAAAGAGGAAAAGACAAATCTCTATGCAGAGATGGCTATTCTTTTAAACTTGAAATCCACACAGTAAATATGTATAATTATATCTGTCAATGTAAAAAAAAAAAACTTGAAATCCTGAATATTCACAATTAGAAAACAATCATACATGAATACATAAACACATGTATAGTGGTAAACACACTTCTATATATACAAACAAATCCCTGGTTGGCCATATTCCTCAACACAAAGCCTTGATTTTAAAAATATGTGAACTGAAATAATTTCAATTAAATGAATCAGTTGAAAGTTATCACGGATTCTCAAGTAAAATGTCAAGATGCCAAAGTATAAGCCAAAGTAGGCTTTTAAATCAATGACTTAAAAATTGCAAAAGAAAGCTAGGGCAAGCCGACTTCCATATTTGACTCTTTGGTGCTAAAAAACATGATTTAAAACCCATCACAGTTTCTCCATCTCTAAAATGGGGAGCAATACGACAAACTGTAACAACAGAAAGATCAAAGGGATTAATAACATATAAAAAATCATTTCAGTACTTGAGTGTAAAGTGACAAAGTGTAACTACTCCAAGAATTAACTCACTTGAACAAAGGAGTTCTGTGAAAGACTTGTATTTTCCTAAATGTATCTTGAATGGTCTTTAATGTGATCAAACTGGTGAAATGTTGCTGAATCCGGTAATCACGTAAATATTCTCTAACAAATTAAGAGCAGTAGACAATGAAATACCGGCCTCTATCTTGTGACACAAACCCAAAGACAATGACTTCATGCCAGTGTCTGACTGGTGGGTCTATAAAGGCAAACTTACAAAGTCCACAACGAAGTGGCAGAAAAAAATAGCTGGAAATTCCTTGCCACTCTTCACACTAAATAAATTCTATTTTCCCTCCATTTAAATCTGAGCTACCCAATTGACCAAAAGAACACAGTAGACGTGATACCAAGTAATGCCCCAAGGCCAGGCCTTAAAAGACCTGCAGCCTTCACCCTTTAGAATGCTCTCTAGTTAAAGCTAGCAATCATGTATGAAGTCCAACTACCCTGAGACAACGCTGCTGCAAGGTCATATGGTGAAACAGAAGCCACGTGGAGAAGCGTGATGGTGCCAGATACATAATAAAGTCTTCTTGGACCTTCTAACCAGTCCATGCTGCAGATGCGTGGCCAAGTGAATGTTCTCAGCCAATGCCATGTCAAGTAGAAGCACTGTGCATTGGAGCCTTCATGAATTCCTGACTCACAAAACTATGAGAAATAAAATGGTTGATGTCTTAAGCCACCAAGTTTCTGAAGAATTTGGCATACAGAAAAAAAAAAAAATCAGAAGAACTATCGCTATACTCAAGGATTCAGACATACTCATTGCTTCCACAATCAGAAAACGTTTTTTTTTTTTAAATACGCTTAAAAAAAAAAAAAAGACCAATTCAGGAAAATGTAATTACCTTTGCTCTAAAACCTTCTCAAGTAGGCAAGAGCAATATGTCAGTGAAGGTCATGCCAGTAGCTTTAATTTCACTCAAATCACAGAATGACACTTTCTACATCACACTATTTCACTTCATGCTATTAATCACCACAACTTATTATGGCCTCTTGGATCCTAGCAACATTCTTGCCTTGGCCCAGGTGCACCAAATCTTGATGAGCACACTTAAAGGAGCGGTAGCAGCATGAGTCTGACGGACACTTGGCTTTTAACAGTTCACCCTCTAAAATATCAGACAAAACCAGACAGAGATAAGCTTTGGAGGCAGTGAGGGAGAAGGAAGACCTGCCATTTCTACACCTGTGTTCTCTAGGCCAAGACGTAATGAGGCCCGAGCAGGCCCATCCTAGGTATGTGAAAATTTAAGGAGAACAGCCTTCCTACCAGATCAACCTATTCTGGGGTATCCCCTGCCAAGCTACTATTTTCTAAAGTTTGCCGCAATGTATTCAGATGTCCATGACATTGACATCACACTTCACTATGCATTAGACACCCTAGCACTCTGATTTGGGCATTTGCTACGTCTGTACTAGAAGCCAGAGGAATCTCCCTGGCTGCTCATCAGTTCCTGCTTGAAGAATTAGTAGTGAACATAAAACAACACAGGGAGAGTCCTGGTGCTACAGAAACAAACTCGAATTTAGAAGATTTTTAATTTAACTTGTAAATGTTAATTATATTCTGTTCATTTGGCAGCATATTATCCACTGACGAGACAGAAGAAACATTCTAGGAGCAAGCACTTTTGTGGAGATTCAATGGCCTGGCCAACAACATGACTTCACGATGCCACGCAAAATAGAGGTTATCAAAAAGTTTTATAGGCTGAGAAATGACGAAAAACTATTTCTGCGAGAATACTCTCATACGTTTTCTGGCCTGAAATACTAAAATAGGTTTGTTTTACTTTAAGGTATAGAATCCTCAGGTAACCAAAATATCAAAGTCGACAGAACCTAAGAATAACCTAGTTTCAGACCTGAATTCAAAATAGAAATTACATCTGTCTCCTTGAAAATCCCCTCCAGGTCAAGGATCAGTACTAATAATTTTGTGGATTCTCTTACCTGACAGCAAACTTCAAGCTCTCTCTGCAAGAGGTTAATTTTATCACTAAACATTTATATGGCAGTTAACAAAAGTAAAACGATTTTACATTCTGTCTCCATTAATCTCCAGAAAAAAGAAATCAAGGCACTAAAAAAAGTAAAGTGACTTGTTCTAGGTGTCACTGCTAGTGGTAAACAGTATAATCAGAACCCACTGTCCCCATCTGTAGACACTGCTTAGCATGCCAAGGAGTTACACATTTAAGTCAACAATGGCTAAATCGACAGTTGTGTTTTGAAATGAGATGTGAAAAAAATTTAGATTTTTTACAGAATCATAACGTCTGGAGGATGGGTTTGTTCAAAGTGATCCTCTTCCTTTGCTATGCAGAATTCAACAAGATTGAATATTTTGTATTTCTAGTGTACCTCAGTCTTTTATACACTTGAAAACACACAGCCAACAATATGACACACTTGTCACCAAGTAGGTGTCATTTTGGAAGGTACTGCCGCTGCTCAAAAGGGCAAAAACATGTATTTCTATTATCACAGTTTCAAAAAGAGTGAAAACTGAAAAAGGAGTGCAATGGTGTGTGGTCACAGGGCTGACACCAGGGAAAAACTATAACACCCCGTTACTATGATAGCTATAGCCTTGTCTCCTCACTGTCTGTCTCCAGACAAAAACACGCTGAGACAAATGAGCCTTCCAACTAAAGGATGGGTTCTGGCTGCCAGGGAAAGCCCAAGTTGCAGTGGAAAAAAACTGCTGAAGTCATTAAAAGATCAAAAAGTATTCTCTCTTCCAAGAATTAATTTACTATACAAAGAATTTAATATACAAGGAACATTTCAACTTTTCAGCAGGAAATGTTTTCCATTCAAAGAAATACAGAAATTTGAACTCTAAACACTTATAACTCTATTCATCATAATATCCCATCATCTTCATTCATGCTGTTACATATTTAACTAAAGGCTTCTAGTATTCTGTTGAATTATTTTGTTCTCCAGGAATGATTTCTAACCTAAAGAACACTCCTCCAACAAGTACATGAAAACTAAATCAGCCCCATGTGTAAAACTGTACATAGAAACTTAACCAAAAATCTTCATCCTAAACCCTCCATATAAATGAACATTAAATATTTCCCAGCCAGGGGTCTCTGGTGTTCATGTATTTTTTTCTATTCCCCAGTACTCAGTACATAGTTGGTCCCAATAATTTAACACTAAACCATCATTAAAATATCTGTCATACTGGAAACTAGGCTGGCAGATGGACCATATCATCTTACAGATTTTCTAAAAGACTCTGAAAAGGTTTAGAAATCTTCTTCTCCCTTCTTTGTATTCCTTTAGCATACACCAAAGCCTGTCTTGTTTACTTCTCTACTAAACAATACCTCAAGTAATATATGCATAGACTCTCCACTAGCCTACAAAATAGTTTGCCTGTCTTAGTCTCTACCCTCTCTACTCAGTCCTTTTCATTGCTACCACATTAATCTTCCTTCATCTCATCACACTCCAATATAAATCTCCAAAGTTCCCATATTACCTACAGCAAAGGTCCTCAAACTTCAGTGTGCATAAGAATCACCTGAAGGTCCCGCCCCCAGAGTTCTTGTTTCAGTCAATCAAAGGTGGGGATACAAATCTGCATTTTTTAATATGTTCCCACATAATGCTGATGATGGTCCAAGAGGTATACATTGAGAACCACTTACCCAACACAAAGACTTCCAAATACAAGATCCTAAACAAATATATCAGAATCACCTTAGGAGCTGAAAAACAGAATGTAGTCCTTATCCACAGTGACTGTCATAAGGTGTAAGATGGAGCTAAGAATCAATCCCTAGATAAGTCAAATGTGTAACCAGGTTCAGAAACTATTACTGTAAAGATAAATCACAAACCACTTAGATAACCCTAACAGGTTTTCACAACCTGCACCCAAATCTACCTATCCAAGCTTTTCATCAGATCCACAAAATAAACCTTCATTTATGCTAAACTCTTCTTCTTACCTATCCCTGAATATCCTTGTCTATTCATTCCTTTTTTGCCACTTGCAAATACTATCTCATGAGCCTTTCCATCTGCCTGGAGTGCCATTTCCCATCTCCTCTACCTCTACAAATCCTCCAAGGATCAACTCATCATCAATCTCCAAAACCTTTCTTGGGCCATTCAACATGTCTCAGAATAATAACATTACATATTACATCTACTACTCTTCTTACATTCAGCAACATTAGTCTGTCTGTGTGTCTGTGCCATTAGCCATCTAGGTTATTGATGGGTATATAGCTTAATACTCAGTACTGTATAACCTGAAAGAATTCTGAGAGAACTAGAAAACATGGAAATCTAAAAATAATTTAAAAGTTATATAACAATTTTTATTGCATAGCAATTACAAATTAAAATATTTATATGAACCTCTTATTCAAAAATGCTCTATGCTCAAATTTATAGGGCAATAATAAAGATGAGTAGAATACATAGTTAAGAAACAATCAACAGATTAACTCAACTCATGACTAAGGCCATTCTTCCACAACATGCTTAAGAAAAAAGATAAGGGCAGAAAGGTAGATAGTTAAGAGGCGAAGAAAAGTGCGGAAAGAGAAAGCAAGCAAAAATGCAAAGAACACTGCCATATCTTGGCCTCAGAGCAATTAAACAAAATACATGAAATAAAATGTTATTTCTATGTCAGACCTCTCACCTTTCATTAGAACGGTTTCAGTTCTATGTTCTTTCTCTGTCAAATAGCTTATGCCATTGGTACATGTATGCATTAACGTGGAACAGCAACAGCACTGCCAAGTGTATAATTAATGTGGAGACTACAAGTTTCTGAGAGATATAACACATAATTGATACCTCTTTTAGTGTCTTAAATTCATCTTGTCTACTTTCTCTTAAACTATAAAATTTCCAAGGACCCATATTTTAGAAAAATAAAAAAATAAAGATCATAGATCTATGATAAAAATAAGTCATTTCCAAAAAGTAGATCAGTACCTAACAGGCTAGGCCTAGAGGTAAAGGGAGTGGGATATGAGGAGTGACTGCTAATAGATACAAGGTTTCTTTTGGCATAGATGAAAATGTTCTAAAATGATATGATTGTGATGGTTGTACAACTCCATAAATATAATTAAAAAACCACTGAAATCTATACTTTAAATAGGTAAACTTTATAGCATGTAAATTATATTTCAATAAAGCTGTTTAAACAACTCATTCCGTAACTTAAAGACAGAATCCCCAAATCACTCATTTTATTTTATTTTATTTTATTTTATTTTATTTTATTTTATTTTATTTTATTTTTATTATACTTTAAGTTCTAGGGTACATGTGCACAACGTGCAGGTTTGTTACATATGTATACATGTGACATGTTGGTGTGCTGCACCCATTAACTCGTCATTTACATTAGGTATATCTCCTAATGCTATCCCTCCCCCATCCCCCCACCCCACAACAGGCTCTGGTGTGTGATGTTCCCCTTCCTGTGAACAAGTGTTCTCATTGTTCAATTCCCACCTATGAGTGAGAACATGTGGCCAAATCACTCATTTGAAACTACATGTATGAAACGTATAACTCATTTAATATGCCAGAAAAACCTATTTTTAATCTGTAAATTTCACCTGTTAATAACTGATGGAATTTAAAGTTGCTTAGTTCATTACAATCATCTTTATTATGAAATAATGGGTTTCGTTTTCAGCCGTACAGGAATTATATACATCTGACAATTACAAAGTAAGCAGAGTTAGGGAAGACATGATATCTTACTTTGTTTATTATCATAACTAATTCCTCATGGTAGTATTCTAAATAGGATCCTAACAGATTTAATAATTGTTTTCAGTTCAGAACATAAGTAAAAGCCAAAGATGGGGGGGGGTCATAAAAACTTATTCACAAAGTATTTTATGACCTTGCCATAAGTAAAATTACATAGTCCATAACATACTATCTAGGCCTTGATGTATTCAAGTTCTAAATGTCATAGTAGTATAATACAAATAATTACATTTATATATTCTAAAAATGTCTGATGTATTTGTGTAATACTAGCTATTTTTATTAGTATTTCATGGTTATCTCTTTCCATTCTCATACATTTAATTTTATGTTTAAAGTGTATCTTTTAAACCCAAAATGACAAACTTGTATTAAAAGGGGAGAGATACATATTTTTCAAAAGTGCCACTATCAGAAAAGAGAAAAAAAAGACTATAAATGTTCAAGTTTAAAGACAACTAAATGAAACACCTGATTCTAAACTGGTTTCTCTACTGGAGGGGCAAAAATACTGCTATATAGAACATTACTGGGTCAGTTAACAAAACAAGAATATAGACAGCAGAGTAGATAACTTGCTGCCCATTTTTCAAAGAAAAATGCATGTGTGTGTCCATATATACAGAGAGAAAACAGGAAAAAAGTGGTAAAACGTTAAGAACAGCTGAATCCAAATAAAGAGGTATATGGCTCTTTGTACTATTCTTATTCTCACAACTTTTCTACAATTTTAAAATTATTTAAAAATTTTTAAAGTAATAAAATATCATAAAATGCATCTCTTGAAACAGCATGGTTGGGTCTTGGTTTTTTTTAAATCCAGTATGATCTCTGTCTTTCAACTGGAGTATCTGGTCGATTTATGTCTAATGTAATTATTGATATGGTTGGTGCTAAGTCTATCATCTTGCTTTTGGGTTCTATTCATCCTATCTTTGTTTTTTATTGTTTCTTTCTTCCTTGTTCTTTTTCCTCCTTTCCTTTCTTCTGGATTAATCAAATATTTATTCACTGTTCAATTTTATCCCCTCAACTGGCTTCTCAGCTACGTATCTATCTTAGAATTTTAATGTTTGCTCTAGGGATTGAAATATGCATCCTTAACTTATCATAGGCTACCCTAAACATTATACCTCTTCATGAATTATATAAGAAATTCACAACAGCATAGTATCATTTACCCTACTCCCATCTTTTGTCTAATTATTGTCATATATTGCCTTCCAAAATATATTATAAAACCCACATACACTATGATTGTTTTTGACTTAGAAATTTTAAAAATTCTTTTAATAAAAATAAATCAAGAAATGTGGGGGGGAAAAGCATTTTTTTTTTTTGTCCACATATTCACCATTTCTGGCCCTATTTACTTTTTTCTGTAGATCTAAGTTACCATCTGGTATTATTTTCCTTCAGCCTGAAAAACTCTTTTTTTTTTTTTTTTGAGATGGAGTCTCACTCTGCCGCCCAGGCTGGAGTGCAGTGGCGCGATCGCAGCTCACTACAACCTCCACCTCCCCAGTTCAAGCAATTCTCTGCCTCAGCTTCCGGAGTAGCTGGGATTACAGGCGCCAGACACCACACCCAGTTAATTCTTTTGTATTTTTCATAGAGACAGGGTTTCACCATCTTGGCCAGGCTGGTCTTGAACTCCTGACCTCGTGATCCACCCGCCTCGGGTTCCCAAAGTGCTGGCATTACAGGCATGAGCCATCGCGCATGGCTGAAAAACTTTCTATAACATTTCTTTAAGTGAAAGTCTAGTGGTGACAAATTCTTTAAGTTTTAGTTCATTTGAAAATGTCTCTATTTCAGCTTCATTTTAAAGAATATTTTCGGTAACACAAAATTCTAGATTGACAATTTTTGTTTCTTTTCAGCATTCTTAGATTGACATACATTGATTTCTGGCTTGCATTGTTTCTGATGAGATGTCACTGATAATTTTTATCACTGTTTGCTTGTAGGCAATGTGTCTTTCTTCCTCTGGCTATTTTTAAGAATTTTTTCTTTGGTTTTCATAATGTGCGTATGTGTTGATTTTCTTTGTGTTTATCTTGCTTGGGATTTGTTACGTTTCTTGCATCTGTGGGTTTATGTTTCTCAACAAATTTCAAAACTTTTTGGTCACCATTTCTCCTGATATTTTTCTACCCCAATCTCTCTGTCCTCTCTCCTTCTGTACCTGTAAACCACATAATTGTTAAGCTGCATAATATCCTTGAAGATATTATAGCTTTGTTCATTTTCCTTTTGTCTATTTTTTCTCTGTGCTTTGATTTGGATGGTTTACATTGATCTATCCTCAAATTCACTGATCCTTTCTTCCACAGTATGTTATCTGCAGCTAAATCCATCTGGTGAATTTTTCATTTTATTTATTTATTTATTTATTTATTTGAGATTGAGTCTCACACTGTCACCCAGGCTGCAGTGCAGAGGCACAATCTTGGCTCACTGCAACCTCCACCTCCTAGGTTCAAGCAATTCTGCTGCCTCAGCTTCCTGAGTAGCTGGGATTACAGGTGCCTGCCACCACGCCCAGCTAATTTTTTTGTATTTTTAGTAGAGACAGGGTTTCACCATTTTGGTCAGGCTGGTCTTGAACTCCTGCCCTCAAATGATCCACCTACCTCAGCCTCCCAAAGTGCTGAGATTACAGGCGTGAGCCACCACTCCCTGGTGGATTTTTCATTTTAGATATTTATTTCTATCAACTTTTTCATTCTGGTTAAGAGTCACATTTTCCTGCTTTTTAACAAGCATAATAATTCTATGCTAGACATTGCAGGTGCTTTGTTATTGAGAAACTGAATTATGTTGTCTTACTTTAGAGAGAGTTTTGTTCTATCAGACAATAAATTTACAGGTGGATCAAGATGATAAAATAGAGGCTTGGTTTGGGGCTTTGCTGTATGAGATCTATAGTAGCCTGTCTTCTACTCCTAGAATAGCCCTACTCATAAGGTGTGACCTTTCTGAGGTCACAGCTGAAAGCACAGTATGTTCAGCAAGCTTTCCCCACACTGGCTGGTCTGAGCTCCAACACTGCTGAGAAGTTTCCAACTTCTGAAATCTTCATTCAGCTCACAGTCCCACAGTAGTTGTTTCCTGCCAAGCCTTGTGGTGTACACAGCTTCATATCTGACCAAAGGGCTAATAGTTTGGAAAGTATTCACGAGGAAGATGCAGGGATGAAGGTAAAGCTCACCTAGTGTGTTCTTTTTTCTCAGCTGACTGTGCTGACTACCTAAGTTGCTTACAGCAAAGGGTAACTTCATCAAGATGAGAAACAGAAGTCCCTATTTCTAATTATTTTTTATCTAGCTTTAGAATCTATTATTTCATACTTAAACATGGATACGAAAGGCACACATTATTTACATAAGACGGATAAACATATCAACATGCAAAATGTTAAATAACCAGCCTCCAACCCATAAAGATATTTTATTCAATACAAAAATATTCACCAAGCATGTACTACAGGCATGGCAATTGACAAAGCAGTAAAAAGTTTCAACCAATATTATTTCTACTGAACCACCAGTAAAGCATATACACTGTACCAAAAGTTGTCTAATGAATGAAAAACCAGGAATCAATCCATTCAATCCACCAAGAGCATGTCTACATTCTAAAAAATGACTATAATTTACATTCATGATTTACTTTTTTCTGCAAAGACTCTTATTTGCCATGCAAGTAATTTCATTCCTACACAGTTCCATTTTCCAATTCCCCACATATACTTAATTTTTTTCATATTAGCAGAAACTATCTAACTAAGTTACTTCTATTTAGTTATGTCAAAGCTTGCTTCAGCTAACTCTTAATTATATTTCTAATTTCCATCTGGCTAAATCAAATATATTTTGCTCACATATGGAGAAAAAGTATAATACAATTTCTAAATATCATTTCAGCAGCATCATACCAAAGAATAATATTATTCCTCTAATCTTCAACAAATCAAGCAAAGTGATACATTTATACCTCACAGATCTATTCTCATCTCTCAAAATAAGCTCTTGTTCTGTCATATAACCCAATATATGCAAAAGTTGACTGTAAGGAAATAGTCAACAAAATTAAGCTATGTACATGTTTATAAAATAATGCTTAAGAATATTTTAATGTTTTTTACCTTAATATATGACTAATTCCAGTCAAGTAAAGTATACTACGACAGAAAGCCAGACACTATACATATTGAGAATATGCTTCTATTTTTAAAGTCTGCCAAAAAAAAAAGAAGTCTGTTAAAAGGTTTTTTTTGTTTAGACGGAGTCTCACTCTGTTACCCAGGCTGGAGTGCAGTGGTACAATGGCTCACTGCAAACTCTGCCTCCCGAGTTCAAGCAACTCTCCTGCCTCAGCCTCCCAGGTAACTGAGATTACAGGCGCCCGCCACCACGCCCAGCTAATTTTTGTATTTTTAGTAGAGACAAGGTTTCACCATGTTGGCCAGACTGGTCTCAGACTCCTGACCTCAGGTGATCCACCCGCCTTGGCCTCCCAAAGTACTGGGATTACAGGAATGAGCCACTGCACACAGCCTGTTAAAAAGTTTTTTGAAGATAGTAGAAGTTAATGCCATCAGCAACATCACATTCAAATGCAAGCATTACTTTCTCACCCTGTTTATGACTCTTAAGATAGTGTTTTAGGTGGCTTGTTGTTGCTGTTGTTGTTGTTATTCTAAACTGTTACTCTGAATCAAGATGACACCCTTTGTAAAAGGCTCTTACCTGTAGAACATCTTGGATCTTCACCCATACATCTGCCATATCATACAGTTTGATATCTTCCTGCTGAGTCAGTGGAGTCACTACAGTGTCCTGCAGGTATCCCAGGACCACAGAGTGTGCAGCGGCTACAGCATTAAACTTGTCAAACAGTAACTCCAGCAGTTCTAGAAGCAACCTAGTGGCATAAACAAATAAATAACATTTACACATACGTACACGCAGATAAATGGCTTACAGTGACCTGCAAGAAAAACATCAAACTAAAGTAGCATTCTACAATGTAAACAGCATTAACGTTAGATTTCAGCAGATGTGAATTCAAACAACTGTATTATCTAAGCAACTTTTAAAAACTTATCTAAGCCTCAGTTTCCTCTGCTATAACATGTAAATGATGTAAGAATTTTAAAAGCAATTGTAAAGCCCCTAAACCAGCAATAGCATCTCAATAAACATATGTTGCCGTTTTAACATAGTTCACGGATTACAATACTACTACTATGTATTCATACAGGCAGCTTCTCCAAGGAATTCATGTAATTTTTTCAGACAACAGCTCAGATGTTACACAGAATATGCTATTCCCTAGCAATAAATTAGGCACTTTGATAAGGATATTAATCCATTTAGTCATGGAAAGCTATGCTTACTACCATCCAAATGTACAGCCTGAGTTGCCTGAAAAAAAAAACATACACCTGCCAAGCAATCTGACTTTCACCACAGGGAGAAGCTCAGGCATCCACATTATCTCATTCATCACAGTGAGATATGCTGGACACATATTATTACATCAATTTTATATACTCAAGGACACAAAATAAGGTTGCAGTGCAGCTAAGCCTAGAACAAAAGTTGATTTCCATGTCAGTACATTTAGCCACCTACCTTTCACTACAGCTCTAGAATAGATAGCTCAAAGATTTATGGCATAGATGCAAAATAATTCCTCTACCACTGAGACTTATAGTTTCAATGATCACACAGGCCTGGAATCATCTTTTCTTCCTCTGAACTTGTATACTCTTTTGTCTGCTTTTAAGGAACTTATCACATGAGCCTCACATATGCTGCTCAATAAATGTCAGTCATATTTCTTTATATATAGATACTTTACCTCACTTCTCCATTATTAATCTTTCAGAGTAGGCACTGCTTTATACATCTCTGAATACTTAAGAGCACTTAGAACAATAATTAGCAAATACTGCTGAATGAATTTAATGTGTATAGCATGAACAAGTACAGAAAATCTTGCAATGTGAGCTTTATTGTATATTTTGTGGCTCTCAGCTTGTAATTCCTAAATAGACTGATAAACCAACTTGGAAAGTTGAAAAGGAAAGCAAAAGAGCTTGTCAGCAGTGTCAATTAACAAGGTTTTATTACCATAAATAAGGGGTTATAACTACAATCTCATCCAAACATACAACATATTATCTATTCCTATGGCTTCTTTACTGCCTAATTATTGTAATTAATGTGACAATGAGACAGCCCATAACTATCTTATGGTAAAACCCTAGTATCTATTTGACATTGTAATTCAGATGAGACAAAATCAATAGAATTTATGTAGTACTCCCAGCCTAGACTATACATATATAATCCAGAAGTTACACATTGTATTTATAAATAGAAGCCATTCTACCTTTTGATTGATGATTCTTTTTAATCCTTAAAGGTCAAATTCATATTTATACTCACATATATCTAAAATAATTCTTCTTTCTCATCTGTGTTACTGAAGAACTACTCAAATATTAGCAAAGATACATACAAAATACAGAAACATGTGTCTAAACATACCAACTGAAACACTTAATGTGGTGCAGGGAAATAATCGGTATAAAACTGGTATCTGGCATCATACAGATCAGTAACTTAATCAGTAAATACCTGATTAAGTGAAGGTTCTCCTTTTCCAACAAAGATTTATCCTAGGTATGTAAGACTGTAGTTCTCAAATATGAATCTACAGACTGTAATATGTTTTTGAGTGGTAGATAGCAAAGTATGAATAATATATTGACTCTTCACAAAGGTAAATTTATTTAACATTATATCTTTTGTACTCTCTTGATAGGAAAATCTTAGTTATTTTCTGCCATGAATGGCAGTTATGTTGCCAAATGTCCTTACCGGAGAAAATTAAAACTTAATGTATGTTAAGGTAAATATTGGGGTATTCAAAATATGGTTTGAAACCATATTGATCCATGACATTCAGATGCCTGAGGCACACTGGTGTCTAATGTCCCAATGGCATGAAGTTCTAGATACAGGATTGTGAACCAGCAGCAAAGTTTTAACAGAAAAGTGGCTCCTCTTGTTAGGGGTGCTGTTATCTGGTTATCTCCAGGGCCAATGAGTGCCACAACTGCATACCTTGCCTGTCAGTCAAGGACAAGAGCTGCTCAGCAGCCAGGAACAGCGCTACATTTAGAGAAAAAAAAAACCAGTAGAGAATAGAGGTGTAAGATGAGATTCACAGTATCTATTAACATCTTGGAAATAGCAATCTCTTAATAAAATGCTGACACAGTTCCAGTTTCTGCCACTCCTGGAGGCTCAAAGCCAAAACAGGCCTGTTCCTATAGTGTGGCCATCATAGCCACAGGACAGGCTACACAGGGAGGAAGGAAAGGAGGTGTAATAGTAGCTAGGAACTTGCAGCTCTACCTTTTTTGAGACCTCCAGCCATTTTAACGAGAGGAAAGCTCTCTTCCGCCTTACCGAAGCACAACGGTGTCATATTATTTAATAAAACCCACAGCTCTGACACCAAAATTTAAAATGTTTGTGCTTCAAATGATATCATCAAGAAAGTAAAAAGGCAATACATAAAATGAGAGAAAATATTTGTAAATCATTAATCTGATAAAAGACAAATCTAAAATCTTACACTCATAATAAAAAGACAACTGAACTTAAAAATGGACAAAGGATTTAAATATCCATTGCTCCAAAGAAAATATATGAATGGCCAATAAGCAAACAAAAAGATGCTTAACATCTTTAGCCATCAGAGATATGCAAATCAAAATCACAATGAGCTAGAATTTCGGTCCACTAGGATGGTTACAATCAAAAACAAAAGCAATAAAAAGTATCAGTAAGGATGCAGAGAAATTGGAACTCTCAAACAGTGCCAGTGGGAATGTAAAATGGTGCAGCCGCTTTGGAAAACAGTTTGGCAGTTCCTCAAGACATTAAACATAGTTACCATATGGAGCCAGTGATTCCATTCCTAGCTATATGCCCAAGAGAAATGAAAACATACGTGCACACAAAAACTTGTACACAAATGTCCTTAGCAGTGTTATGCGCAACAACCCAAAGGTGGAAACAATCCAAATATCCATCAACTGATAAATGGATAAAATGCGGTATATTCATACAATAGAATATTATTTGGCCACAAAAAGGAATGAAGTACTGATACATGGTACAACTGGAATTAACCTTGAAATTACTATGGTAAGTGAAAAAAGGTCACAGAAGACCATATACTATATGATTATAGTTATATAAAATATTCAGGATAGGCAAATTTATAGAGACACAAAATATATTAGTGGTTACTTAGGCTGGGGGTGGGTGGGAACTGACTGATAAGTATACGGGATTTGTTTTAGGGAGGACATAAACGTGCTGGAACCAGGTAGTGGTGACGGGTGCAAAACTCTATGAATGTACTAAAAACCAATGAATTGTATACTTTCAATAGGTGAATCGTGCAGCAGTGAATTATACCTCAATTAGCTGTTAAAAGAACAGCAGCTATGGCTCTGAGTGGGGAGAGTGAAGATCCAACACCTCTCTAGCACTGAAGAGGAAATACATGAAACAGTGAAAAATGAAACCTGGCATCTCAAAAAGCGAGGTGTTGTGAAAGCTGATTCCTTTACATTCTTACTACCAGGAGGACATCAACTTTTCTCTTTTAGTTCACTTGGTTTTTTCTTTCTCTTTCTTAAGTAACATGTAAGAAACAATAGATTTCCATTCTTTCCCAGCACTGACACTGCCTACATCTTTCGTTATGAAAAAAATTCTCCCAACTTCTCCAAGTGTCCCCGTCTGCAAAGTGAAAGTATTAATTAATAACTGTTCTAAGAGACTCACAACACTGCTGGAAAAATCGAATTAGGAAATGCACAGAACTAGCTGAGGTAATGGTACAATTCTAAAGACAGGGAAAGGTTCAAGTTTCCTTCGTCTAAATTTCTGGCTTGAGCAACACTGAGGAGAATGGTTACCTTTCCTGTGTGAAAGGAAAATAAATCTTGCGACCCCAAAATCACTAAGCCAAAGGGAAAAGTCAAGCTGGGAACTGCTTAGTGCAAACCTGCCTCCCATTCTAGTCCTTAAAAAAGTAGCTACCAAGATTTTTTTAAAAAGCTACATACCTCCCTCACATTTTGTCCACACGGAAATTCCTCATGGACAAAGAACAGACAGAACTCAACGTCATCCCTCTGGTCACTGAGATTAATTTGTATCTGATTGCTTCCTTTGGAAAGGCTAATCAGAAACTCAAAAGAATGCAACTGTTTGTCTCTATCTATCTATGACCCAGAAGCCCCTCCTCGCTTGACTTGCCCCACCTTTCCGGACGAAACCAATGTATATTTTACACATACTGGTTGATGTCTCATGCCTCCCTAAAATGTATAAAATAAAAATATAAAAATTAAAATTAAAATTAAAAAACTAGCTGTGCCCTGACCACCTTGGGCACATTTCGTAAGGACCTGAGGCTATGTCATGGCTGCGTCCTTAACCTTGGCAAAATAAACTTCCTAAACTGATTGAGACCTGTCTCAGATACTCTTTGGTTTATGCTTTTGGGGGGGAGGGTGGGCGGGGGGGAGAGAGAATTAAAGTGAAATTAGAAATCTGGAAGGAGGCCAGGCACAGTGGCTCACGCCTGTAATCCCAGCACTTCGGGAGGCCGAGGTGGCGGATCACCTGAGGTCGGGAGCCTGACCAACATGGAGAAACCCCATCTCTACTAAAAGTACAAAATTAGCTGGGCGTCATGGTGCATGCCTGTAATCCCAGCTACTCGGGAGGCTGAGGCAGAAGAATCGCTTGAACCCGGCAGGCAAAGGTTGGGTGAGCCAAATTGCGCCATTGCACTCCAGCCTGGGCAATAAGAGCGAAACTCCGTCTCAAAAAAAAAAAAAAAAAAAAAAAGGAAATCTAGTAGAAGGAGAGATGCTGGGTTTTTATCTGGATATGTTAAGTTTAAGGTGTTATATCCTTAGGGAGTCAGATATGCAAGTCTGGAGCTCAGCAGAGAGAATGATACTGGAAATTTTAAAAGTGATAAATATTTGAGGAGATGAGATCACTCGGGGATAATATGCAGAATAAGAAAAGCAAGTGAGGTCCAGGACCAACACTCCAGGAAAGAGTATCATTAAAAAGATGGTTAGAAAGTAACTAGAGAGGAAGAAGGAAGCCAGGGAACATTGCAGAGGACCAAAGAGAAGAGAATACCAGCAGAGTCAAAGGCTATGGTAAGGCTAAGAGAGAGAAATTTACAACTTAAGGTCCCCAGTGACCTTGACAAGAAGGGTTTCAGTGGATCATTGAGTGGAACTCAGTAGTGGGATAAGCAGTGAATGACTAATAAGGAAAAAGAAACCAAAGTCAATCATATGTTGTCCCTCACCAGCACGTACACTCCTTTAAAAAGAAAAGGAGAAAGGAAGACGACGCTCCTCTGATGCAGCAAAGAATAAGAGATTAGGAATCATTCACATAAACAGGATGTAAATCTGCACTAGCTTGTCCCAATTTAAAGCTACCAGAAATAAACTGAAATATGTTGTTAATATTTATATACACTCTCTGACTGCCCACAACACAAGATTGAGAAAGAGTTGTTTGCCTTTAGCTGCAGACACACTAAGGATGAAAACACAATGCCCCAGTGAAATCATTCCCTGCCCAACTCCCAACAGAAAATATTAAATAAAAGAAATAAAACATTATGTTGCAGCTAGCTCAGTTGCTTACATACTGCTAGGATAAAGGTTTTCACCACTGATCTAAAAAAGACAAAAGAGCAGGCAAGATCATTAAATTACCTCAGGATTCCTTAAGCTGAATTGAATTAGTAAAGGCCCAAGAACTTTAGAGATTTTAATTTCAATTAATTGCAATTTCTACCCTTCAGAAAAAAATAACACACATACCCCTCTCTCACAAGTTATTTCTAAAGCCACAAAACAGTATGTAGTAATACTCAATGCAGCATCACAGTTAGTGAAAGAAAATATTAATCCTAGATGGCAATGTGGTATAAATACCAGTTAGAAACCTGGACTTGAATACCAGCTCTCTATTAAATAGACATGGGACTTTCAAGACATCATAGACTTCTCCAAATTTCACGTTCCTCAGAAATTGACTGTGAGAGCTACATACAAAAATATATATGAATGTAACACTTAAAAAAAAGCAAATTAAAAGTAACAATGAATTAATTCCTGTATCTTTAACATTTACCATCTAGAGGGAAGGAAAGGAGATAATAGATACTCTGGATGTTCCTAAGGCCCAGCTGCATCTCTCTCCTTCTTACAGCTTGATTAGTAAAGTCCTGCTTATATTCCATAATAATAATTCTGTATCATTCTAATAAAAAGCCCCTCTTTGATTAAGTTAGGTGATTTCAATTCCTGGCACTTATAACCAAAAGAGGCCTAATCCACAGAGTAAGAACCAATTCTCTCTTTCCTCTGTGATTCTACAGTCCCTCCAAACAAACTATTACAATGAACTGAGAGAAGTGACAAAACAGGTATGCATGGCCTCCTGGGCCAGAAAGTGTAGGCAGAATCCCTATTTTATGGTTCTTTGTAAACACATCTCTCCTACAACACATGGACCAATGTCCAGAATGGAGAAAACAGTCAAATTTTGAGGGCAAACGAGTTCATGAGTAAAAGAATGAGCAATGCAGGATGGCAATATAAGCAGAAGTCTGGGATGAAAGATGATGATCTGGGGTCCTTCTTCTACAAGGGGCAGGTAGTTAGCTACCTGTCATAATGGAGGAGATCCCTAAGAAAGTAAGACTGAAATGAAGTATCAGTGACAATGACAATGAAATCATGACAGCAACAAAAAGGAGAACTATGGTCATAACAGCCACTCTTTCCTAATTACTCACAACATGCCGAGCACTGTGTTAAGTACTTTACTTGGATTATCTCATTTCATCCTTAGGGCAGCCCTATAAGGAAGGTACTACTTTATCGCCATTTTATAGACAAGGAAACTGAAGTTCAAAGATAAGAGAACAAAGGACACAGTTCTGGAGACTGTCCCTTTTTAGGGGCGTTAGAAAACAGGGAAAGTATTTTAGAAGAGAGGCCAAAGTGATATTAGTACTCTATAATGCTAGGGAAGCCAAGGCTAGAAAGAGAGCCAACAGAACTGTCTGTACTGCCTCTTCCTTCTCACTGCAAACAGGTTTTCACCCCTGGGACCCTACTAAAACAGCTGTTGCTAAAAGTCCCAAATAATTATTTTGCTCCATCCAAGAAACCCACTTTGGCCTCTAATCAAATAGCCGCGGCACTTGTTTCTACTGCCCACTTGTGCCTCCTTGAAACACTGTCTTCCACTGGCTCCACAACCCTCCACTCTTCTGCTTTCCTGCCACCTCTCCAGTTATTCCTTCTCAGGAACCTCATCCTCAGCCTGTTCCTTAAATGCGGTAAACTCTTCTCAACCCCCTCATACTCTCTCTAGCTGAGCTCATTTGCCCCTAATCTTCAATTATCTACCTGCTATCAACTCACACACATATCCCTTAGCCAGATTACTCCCCTGAGCTGTAGACCGCTAACTTAATATGACTTAAATGGAACTCATCATATTCTTCCCCAAATCTACTTCTTCATGTTCTCTACATCAGTAAATGGTAATGCTTGCCCCAGCAAAAAATCCTTACCTCCCCTCCTCCCTCATACCCAAGCCATCACCAAGTCTCTTTACTGCTACCTCTTTACTCTCTCTCAAATAGGCCTCCTTCACTCCATTGCCACGGTTACCTTGCTCATGCCGGCCATGTTGCCTTTTGCCAGGATTATTAAAACTGTCTTCAAACTAGTCTCTCCTTCCCTCCAGTCCTTTCCTCTTCCCCTCTACTGTAAGCTCACTGTGGGTATGAGTTTCTGATTTATTACTGTATTCCAATATTTGGCATGACACTGATTGGCAAAATAGCATATGATAGGCAATAAATATTTGTTGATAAAGGAATGAAAAAGTGGGCTCCAGCAAAATGGGAGAGAGGCCTGATTACAGATAAGAGGTGGTAAGAAAGTAAGTGTTATAGATTATAACCTCCTGATTTTAGAAGCCCACAATAAAAAATATTTCACACAAAACCATGCTCTCAAAAAGGTAACCTTACCAAGCTAAACATGAGAACATGAAGTACAGTTACGAACTGAAAGATACAAACTTTAAGAGCCAACTTTAATAATATGGCAATAAAATCTATTTTATATTTAAAAAACAGAAAAGTAACAGGATGAAGAAAGTGTTTATTCTTTAAACACACTTCTAATTACCCAGCAGGTTTTAAAACCAGACTTCCTAGAGAAGTAAAATGTTACTTATTCTCCCAGATCATCTATTAACTTCCAGCCCCAAGTGATCCCTAGGTATCTCATCTTCAAGTGCTACCATGAAAAAAGGCAGAAGGCTAAGAAGAGGCACATATTAAGGAACAGTCACAGTTGCAGAAGGCAAGAAGCATCAACAGTGTAAAGCTACATCATCAAGCTGTGAAAAATGCTCAATATTTAAGGTGAGATAAGACTATCTGAATCTAAATTTAACATCCAGGGAACCTTGAATTAGTCATTTGGCTGGAAAACCCACGTTTGCAGCCAAGAAGCTGCCTTACTTGGTCACGAAGCAAAGACACACACAAGATAGAAGAATTAGTTCTGTTCTATTACTTGTCTGCTGAGACTTTAATATCAGGGTTATGCTTTTCCCCACTGACAAAAGCAATAACCATAGAATGTTTATTTCCCTACGATTATGCTCTAAAAGGTAAGAAAGTAGTGAACTCAGAGCGTAGACTTTATATAAAAACTTTATAATTTTATAAAAAGAAACGTATAATTAGATAAAAATGGTCTTTGTTTTACCTGCCCATATCTCTCATACACATTTCCTTAATAAGCCTGGCTGAGCTACTATTTTTCATTTCAAATAGGACATGGAGCCCATTTAATCTTCAAGGTTATCTAATACCTACTTCTAAGGGATAGAAATACGTTTTACCACTTATTAATAAGTCTTCATGTAAAAAGGGGTTACTATTTAAAGAGTGCTGACTAATTCTCCATCTGCTCTATGAAAAGAGCAAGAAAAAATTAGTAGTAATATAGAATGAAACACAGTAAAAATAACAAGAATACTGAAGTGGGGCCTGGTGCTAGTCACTTCCTTCCTGTGTTACTCCCTCCTTGTCAAGTCAGGTTTCTGAGTTCTGGAGAGATGACCTCAAACGTCTAATCCTGATGTATGCCAAATTTGTGGCTAAAATTAGAAAATAAACCCAGGCCCTATTTCTTTGAATTAAAGTATCAGTATCATTCTTTTGAAATCCTTTCCCCCATTCCAAAAATAACATTTCATCATAGTGGAATATTAGAAAAATGATCCATAAATCCACTTCCCAGGGATAACAAAAGTTAAGATTTTAGGTGCATATTCTTAGTGCTTTGTTGTTCTTAGTACAAGTGCTTTGTTGTTCTTAGTACTATATTGTTCCTAGTACAAGAATGCCCCTAGAGGAATTGTTTAGATAATAAAATTTGATTCTCAAGTGACCTAATTAAAATCCAGGCACTCTGTGGCTGCTTTTCACGCTTCTCAACATGTCCAGCTATCTCTGAGGCCTGCCACTGACCACAGTGTGAGGTATGGGCAGGAAAATGGATATTTAGTACAGATATCGTCCTTCTGAGGACAAACAAAATCAGGCCCATGACATGGGTTGGAAACATCATGTTTATATAAGCCAGAAAGCAAACTTACATGGTGGAAAAAGACTACTTCTAATCTTAATTGCACCACGAACAAGCTTTGTGAACTGTCAAATTATTTCAGCTTTCACATTTCTCTGGGTAAATCTGGGATTAATAATAATGCCCCTGCCTGTGAGGAGGCAAGTGGTGAGGCTCACTCAGGTGAGATACCAGATGGCAGATGGCTTTGCAAAGCGTGAATACTACAAAACTGCAAAATTCTATGATGTTTGTGATGTTATCTAAAGAGTGTTCTCAAACTTCAGTGTGCATAAGAATCAACTAAGGCATAGAGTCCTGTGGGCCCTGCATCCAAACATTCCAATTTAATAACCACTGCTTCTTGGGGAAATTTGCATTTCCAACTCTCTAGTGACACTGGTGATGTGGGTCCATAGACCCACTGTGAGTAGTGCTGAAAATAATAATAATAACTTCCACTAAATGACCTTATTTGCATCTTTTTCTTATTCATTCATTCATTAAAACTGGCCAGGCATGGTGGCTCACACCTGTAATCCCAGTATTTTGGGAGGCTAAAGTGGAAAGACTCTTGAGACCGGGAGTTCAAGGCCAGCCTGGGCAATCACTGTGAGACACTATCTCTTAAAAAAAAAAAAAAAATACTTTAAATAGCTAGGCATCGTGTCATATAACTGTAGTCCCAACTACTCAGGAGGCTAAAGCAGGAGGATCTCTTGAGCCCAGGGGGGGTCAAGGCTACAGTGAGCCATGATGATTGGGCCTCTACATTCCAGCCTCAGCGACAGAGTGAGACCACATCTCCATAAAAATAAACTTGTAGGCATTTCGTATGTGCCCAGCCCTAAATCAGGCTGCAAACACAAAGTTACCTCCCCTTATAAACTCACAGTCCAATCTGATTAGAGACTATAGCAAGAGGATGGGGCAGGAGCTAGAAGACCCAGACAATTTGAAATACAGCCTGAGAGACACATGAAGGTGCTTTAATCATATATGACACCACCCCTACACATCATCAACGTAAGAATTTCTTTTGACATAGGTTTGTTAGTTCATTTTTGCAATGAAAAGATCCAGTATTATTTTGAACTTGGAGTGCCTTTCCTATTATAACAATAGCAAGTGCACAAAAATGACAAAACCTAAGGCAGCTCCCACTCTAGCAAACAGAGAAGTGGCCTTGATACAGCATGATGGCTGCCATCTAAATAAAGTTATTACAGTCCATGAAACAGATTGTCTCTATTTCTTTGACTGGTCAGATCTTTAATTTGAACCTACTATAATATGTAAAACAAGAGAAATCGAGAGTAGGTTTTTTTTTTTTTTTTTTTTAACTTTGCCACATAAAACACAAAGGTTTAAGAAATGTAATATTGAGTAACATCTCTGGCCTATTCAGCCAAGAAGCCTTTCTCTAATGACTATAACCAAAGGACAATACACAACCAGAATGATAGCTGTCCAAACTCATGTTTACAAAAGAACTATGAACATTATTGACATTTCTCAGACACTGTATATGTGATGGAGCTATTATCCATTAATTTATTTAAGTCTTACTAGAAAGTATATAGACTTGGGACCTTTCATGGTAATGAGTTATATATTTTAGTTAACAATTGGAGTAACAAGTCCCATATGTAAAAAAAATTATCCTTTCATTTGTTCTAAAAATATTTCAGTTAAGCTGCAGGGGACATATCCTAGTTGAAGAATAGTGGAATTTCTTCTATATGTCCCTGGTTCATCCTATTCATCCCCTTCAATATTAAATAGTTGGGTATATTTAAAGCATGTTCTCATGATATGTGTAATCAAAAGTAGAGATTTAATCAAATGGAATCATAATCACTGAAGTTAAATTTACTTGCTTCCCGCTTGCTTTGATTCGAATTAACTACTCATCTAAATTACACGGAGGCCCTTCCTGATTCCAAGCATGTCCAGGTGCTACATGCGGTGCCTGGGAATGGCTATAAGAAGCCACAAGGAAAATGCCTGACCTTGCTTCAAAGCTGCTCTTGAATGACTTTTCTGTAAAATAAAATGACCAATTCCACCATGTCCTGCATTTCGGATACTTAGAAGAAGGGTAACTAATATAGAAAGAAGAGATAAAACGAAATGCTATTTATGTGAAATAGAAACTCATGCCTGAATCTAGCCACAGGTCTAAAAAAAATCATGAGCAATATTTCATTTATTTCTCCTTCCATAAACATTGTATTCATACTATAAAACTATCCTTGAGGCCTGAGCCTTTAGTCTTCCTCACAGATAAAACCATTTTATAAGAAAGTTCTATTACAGCAGTATGCCCTCATTCTGAATTCTGGCCTCCAAATTATAAAAAATATTTCAAAAGTATATTTTTCCAATTTTAGAGCAATAATTCAACGTATTTCTGAAAATCTATAGTCTTCACAGACTGAGAAACCAGGAGGAAAAAAAGAGTTTTAGAAAATGTGGCAAATACCAACCTTGAGAAGAACCATCACCATATGATAAACGACTCAGCGTTAGAATTATTCAGCAATTATGCAGCTAACATGGACAATTACATGACAGACACATGGATGACAGAAAAGAAAAGGGTGTACAACCCCTTACAATACAGTATAGTATGTGTCAGGTGTGCTCAAAAGTCGTTTGGTCACTCCTTCAGATCCCAGATGTATCAAAGATATAAATATTAAGAATGAGACTATATAAGTACTAGAAAAGTGTTGAAAATTTTATTATAATCTAAGAGTAGGGAAGCTCTAAGTATGACACAAAACCCAGAAGCTATAAAACCTGATAAATATACCCTCATAAAAAATTAAAACAAATGTCTACATGCCCAGAAACATCATGAAGTCAAAAGAGAAAGAAACTGGCAGAAAATTACAAAATAAATCCCAAAGAACAAATTTCCTATATATGTAAAGAGTTCCTACAAATCAATGAGACAAACATGTTAGAAAAATAATTCATTGAAAAGGAAATAAACACTTTAAACATTGTACTGTTGAAAATTTCAAACATTAAAAAAGTGAAGATAATAGGATAATGAACCACCTTGTACCTATCACCCTGCTTCAGTATCATTTCATGGCTTATTGTATCTATATCTTCACTCATTTGCAACTCATTTTATTTTGAAGTAATACATCCATATATAACCCAGATATCATGACAAGTTACTTTTATACAAACGAAAAGAAGTGTAACCTTACAATAAAAATGCAAATCCAAAAATACCATTTTTTACCTCTCAGATTGGCAAGGATAAAAGTATTTGATAATACAATCTGTTGGCAAGGGGATATAGGAACTCTCAAACATTATCCATTACATGAAAAATTGGTATCATCTCTAAGCAAAGCACAGTTGGCAACAGTTAAAATTTAATCAACACTCGGGAGGCCGAGGCAGGCAGATCACAAGGTCAGGAGATGGAGACCATCCTGGCTAACACGGTGAAACCCCGTCTCTACAAAAAATACAAAAAATTAGCCGGGCGTGGTGGCAGGCACCTGTAGTCCCAGTTACTTGGGAGGCTGAGGCAGGAGAATGGTGTGAACCCAGGAGGCGGAGCTTGCAGTGAGCCAAGATCACACCACTGCACTTCAGCCTGGGCAACAGAGCAAGACTCCGTCTCCAAAAAAAAGAAAAAATTTAATCAATACAGAGGTAAGCAAAAACAGTGAAAATGGCATATCAAGAATCTGGCTGCTTTCATTCTCACATCTTAGCGTTCTTTGAGTAACGCCTTCCTTCCTGCTTTAAACTCCATGAGGACAGGGACCACATATAATTTGTTGGGCATTTTACCCAATGTCTGGTCCATGGCAGATATTTCATAAATGTGGAATTTATTCTTGCAATCAACAAATATTTATTATGGGTCAGGTGGGCACTGTGCTAGATTCTGGAGATACACCAGTACTGAACAAGACAAACTAGTGCTCTCTTCTCTTCCATTCTAGAGGCAGCCAATAAATAACCAAATATATATAAAGATACACATATATAATAAAATTAATGAATGATGTCAAGTTGGTTTAAAAACAGGTATTATATTTTTCAATATTAAAATTTAGTTTTATGAACATTCATACCCCCACAGGCATTTTTATTTCTAATAATTTCTTGTGATTAAAATAACCTGAGTAATAATTTAATTTTTTGACAATGAATTATTTTCACTATAACTTGAGGTGCAAAACAGAGATGAAAAAGCAAAGACTACAACCCTACTAACCAAACACAACTACTTTTAGCATTAAAGTATATTTCTTTCCCATGTTTTCCATGAAGCTTTCTTCAATATTACAACAAGCCCAAAACCCACAAAGTTCTCTGCTTTTCACATCTGACATTTAATCTTTTTCTTCATAACAGAAGTCAATGAACCTTTTAAAATGGTTTCCTTCCAAAAGAGAGAAAGGTCTCCCTGGAAGCAACGGCTCCAACTCACTCAACGCCTTCTGCACTCTCTAGGACCTACAGCTCTACCTAAGTGAAGCTGACCTCCACCATCCCTTCCTGCAATGAATTTTTGCCTTTGCATTTAAACAGGTCCATTTCCCTCACACATACCAACCATTCTCTTTTCCCACATTCTTTTCTTCCATATTCTTGACAAGATACCACATCTTTGAGAAGTTTTTCTTCCATCTCTTCCTTATGCTTTTCTTATTTGTTAAGTACAGAACTCCTTCCAGCTTCTTTCAAATAAAAATAATATAAAAATACTCATGAATCAGATTTTGGGAAAGAATCAACAATTAGGCAGCAGGAGTTGAAGAAATTGATTCTGAAATGCAGAGGCTTCAGGCCACAGTCACCATCTGAAGTTGAAGACGCTGCCTGTCTTTCTAGAGAAATAATGGGTAGCAGGTGGTTCTGGTAAATTAGCAAGGCACATGTTACCCTAATGTTTATCAAGTTGGCAATAATTGTGGTTGAATATTTTCATTTAATAGTAAGTGGAGGCTTAAAGACACTGATAGATTATGAATGAACAGAAAAGACAAAATATTTCTCCTATAAATAGACAACAGATAGTTTGGGAGATCAAAAACAAAATAAAATAAAATAATAAGTAGGTCACCAAAGTGATTTTTTAAAAAACTGGCTGGGAAAGTATCCTGGCTCTGTAGGAATTAAAAGCAAGAAAGAATTCACTAGTTTGTTTCCTTCTACATTTCTAGCAAAATAGCACACAACATTAATTCTCTTTATATAAAGACAAATGAAAACAAGCCTGCAATGCATCACAACCAGAATATATTTAATAAGATGATGAAACTTTTAGGGAAAATTACAGTATGGGTATCTTGTCTCAGAATAACTAATGTTTTGGAACAGGATATTTCACTGGAGGGTGGGGGAGAAAATTTTCATGTTGGGAAACAGGATTCATGGATTTTTTGGTCTCTGTTCCAACTTTCTTTAAAAAAATAAATTCATATATCTTTAGCCATAAAATTCCTTGAATGGTAAACAATAATAAATAATGCCAAGTATTGTGATTTTACTTCTCTCTGAAATAAATGCCACTAATACCTTCCTAAGTAAGAGTCAATGCACAAAAGCACCACAAGCTTCAAATGATAATTTGACAATATTGCTTCTAAAATTCCAATCCTCTAGAAGCAACAATGCTGATCATTTTTGAATGACTCTGCTTAATTCAAGAGAATTAATTCCTTGAAAGTTTTAAAGCATTTGACAGCACATAACCACTAGAGACTAGCTCAAAATTATCAGTCCTTTGGAATCCCAGCCCCAAAATTTAATCTTTGATCTTCTAACAAAGTGGTTTACTCTAAATACTTGCTTTCTCTGTACTATTTTGTCTCATAATAAACAGTTTGGGTCCCAAATCTTGAATTTGTATGTTTTATAAAATGGGATTATGTTTATACATACAGCCAAGGCAAACAGCTCATTCACTTGTTAGTGTCCAATATATCCTGCCTACAAAAGCTTTCTAAAATACGGACAAACGAAAGACACTTAACAGGGAAAAAAATCCTGCTGCTGACTCATTCCTCATAGAGAAACATTTAGTATTTCCCAGGGCAGTGTGCTGAATTTCTATTATACTTCTAGTGCTATAATTTCCACTCGTGAATTCTGGAAGGGGTTTAGGCAAGGGGAAAAAAAAAAAGATGAAACTCCTATGAAAGACACAGTGCTTTTAAAGGTACTATAATGAGATCTGCAGAAAAGTTATTAATCCATGCCCTTTTATTTCCAATATATACTACAGCAATGTTATTTCCCTAGGAAAGTTCACTGTATTCATCTAGGAACTTGCAGCAACAGGCAAAGAGCAAACCAGAATTTTAGAGTATTCATCAGTAAGGAGTCAAAAGGTCTTCACGAAAATCCAGGTGCCAGGCAAAGAAAGAAGAAAGGCAAAAGTTCAAAGAACCATTCTCCAGCTTCTCTGGATCATGATGTAAGTGATCATAGAACATGGAATTTGGGGAAGGCACCGATAATAAACATATATTCATATACACACGCATTTTATACAAGCAGGCATGCATGTTATAGTACTTACTGGTGCTATTCCACTAAGCACCACAACCATATAACCTCATCTAAAGCAAGCAACACTGTAAGACAGGTTAATTTTTGCAAATCACAAAGTGGGGATACAAAGTCAGGTCTGTTCTCCAAAACCCATCAAATATTTACTTTTGGTGTTTTTGTTTGTTTGGTTTTGGTTTTTTGGGGTGTTTGTTTGTTTGTTTGTTTGAGATGAAGTTTCACTCTGTCAACCAGGCTGGAGTGCAGTAGTGTGCTCGGCTCACTGCAACCTTCGCCTCCCCGGTTCAAGCAATTCTTGTGCCTCAGACTCCCAAGTAGCTGGGACTACAGGCATGCACCACCATGCCCAGCTAATTTTTGTATTTTTAGTAGAGTTGGCGTTTCACTATGTTGGCCAGGCTGCTCTCGAACTCCTGACCTCAAGCAATCTGCCCACCTCAGCCTCCCAAAGTGCTGGGATTATAGGCATGAGCCACTGTGCCTGGCCAAATATTTACTTTGAAACATTCTGTGGCAGGAGAAGGATAAAGGGTAGTTCCATTCACCAAACATAGTACTTTTGAATCAAGTTTACAAGGAAATTAATTTTTGAAATGTTAAAGTATAATTGAAATCAATGTTATTTACATATGCAAAAGAACACAGAAATACAGTATTAATTTTTCCAAAAAATTTAAATAAGTCTATAGAGAACTCTATACTAAATGAGTTATTATTTCTCCTTAATTTTATCTTCTTTTAAAAAAACTTTGAGCCCTAGGTATAAACAGTAGATATTTCCTTAACAACGTATCTACAAGATTATGATTTCTTCTTGTTTGTCACACATGATCTGTTAGTATATGATAGTCACAAAGTTAGAATCTGAATTCAATTTCCGTACTCTCCATATGAAATAAGAATTATGAAATTCAAATCTTATTGTTTTAAAAATTCCTGAGACTGATTTGTCTATTGGAAATATCATTACACATTAAAGAAGAAAGCATGAGACACAGGAAAGACCATGGATTTTAGAATCAAATGGACTAGTATTCAACACCAAGACTTTTTCTAAGAGCTTGCTAATTATTCAATCTCTGAGCTCCAGTTCTCCTAACTGCAATATGTGGATACTAATAACTAGGTCATACAGTTGTAGTGATAATTAAGTGAGATAATATACATAAATTGCCTTGAACATTGCTGAGTACTTAGTATGTGTACAATAGCTGCTACATTATTTGATTCAATTTATTCTTTAAATGTTTAAATATCGACAATCTCTACTATAAATATGTCCATATTTTTCATTGAGTGACAATATGCTTTGAATTTTTCAACAACATTAAAAAACAGACAGCTGAATTATGCCTAGTCAAGCTGTTTTACCAATCAAAGTTTGTATGGGCTATAGTATCCTTTTTATTTTTTAAGACGGAGTCTCGCTCTGTCACCTAGGCCGGAGAGCAATGGTGCAATCTCGGCTCACTGCAACCTCCGCCTCCTGCGTTCAAGCAGTTCTCCTGCCTCAGCCTCCAGAACAGCTGGGATTACAGGCATGCACTACCATGCCCAGCTAATTTCTGTATTTTTAGTAGAGACAGGGTTTCACTACTAGTACAGGCTGGTCTCAAACTTCTGACCTCAAGTGATCTGCCTGCCTCAGCCTCCCAAAGTGCTGGGATAACAGGCGTGAGCCACTGCGCCTGGCCTGTATGGGCTATAGTATCCTAAGTTCAAGAAAACAACATCAACAGAAGGTAAGTTACTTACGCCCCACCCTAGAAAATGTGCAATAAATAGAGTTGTCAAAAATACAAAATACACTCCCACCTACCTTGGTTGGTTCTCCACAGTAACGTTCTCCCCCCGCTGATAGCCACTGTCTGCCACCTGGGTTGTAGACCTCTTCACAATTTGCTTCAACTCCTGCTCCAAGCGCTCTATGATTGCCTTAACTGTTTCTGGGATCTTCTTCAGTTTCGCCAAGCCCTTAATGAGGATACCCATAAACAGGGTGCTGTTTTCCTCTGGATCCAATTCTAAATCTTCCTTGATGTCCTGCAGATTTATCTCCCTCACTGAAAAATTAAATAATAACAATAATAGATACAGACTCCACTCAAAAACCCCAAAACAGAGCAGTCTAATAAACGAAATCACTGCCTTGATTACTCTCTTAAAGAATTAAAGAGGATTTTTCAATTAAATTATATTTGCACAGTAACCATCCAAAAGTCACAAAATAACATTTATATTCCTCAAATCATACCCATCAGTTAGTAATAAGAGGCAGATGCAATAAAAATTAGTAAACAAATCACCATGGGAAGTTTTCCACAGACTACTACTTCTGCCATGAGTCCACTGGCTCATGACATTTATTAGGCACTCGCTGTTTATAAAATGCCATATGTGGCGCTGCAAGAGAATTCTGAAGAGCTGGATCCTAGCCTCAGGTTTGTATTTGTTAGTTAAAAGTGGTAAGTCGCTGGAGAAAAAGACATCATGAATACACACAGGGGGAAGAGTGATAAATAAATTAAAATTATAATAAATTTTTTAAAAAGATTAAGGGAAAACAATACATACAAGTGAGACAAGACTTTGAGGAAATAGGGTAACGAAGAGGTATTTCATAAATACAAAAGAACAACCTATTTTTCTTTAAACATATGTCTGCTACAACATAATTATCTATAGGAGACAGATCTTGCTAATAATCCATGAAAGGCTTCTGAGAAGTAATGTTATATGTCAAAAGCCTCTGTAGATCTTTAGAATACAGCATTCTTTCAAACAATTTGGCACTGAAATGGAAGAAATAACCAAAACTTTAGTTTTTAACCCCTGTGGCAAGTTGGAGAGAGGGGAGAACTGCTGATAGGAGATCTCTGTTATCTACTGAAAGCCACAGGCCTTGCTCTCCAAAGTATGAATATACATATGCAAAACTTCACATAGGAATTCCGGGTTTCGCAACTGCCAAAAAAAACAGGACGTTACAAATCTCTGACTTAAAAGTAACTGCCTCATTTTACAAATGGCTGGATTAAGATATACAAAAGCAAAAGTGAGTACAGAGCTGAAGATGGAGCCTAATAGTCAAAAGTTTTCCCCATCCACCTCTGTCCTCCATCTCTCAAAACAAATGCAAGATTTTAAAAATCTGCAATATCCTGAAAGAATGAATACATTCTTCCTTAGTAGATTTAAACTCAGACTACAAGCCATTCTAAGTTATTCAGCACTACTAGAATGGTACTGAAATCTACTAGGGAAGAAAGAAAACATCCCAGTATATGGAATGAGTTCTTGTAACTGCTACACAAAGTCCATAAAACCTCTACTTCAGATGATGTGAAATCCACTGTAGGGCATTCTCCTCAGTCCCTATTTTGGGGGTTCCCAGCTTATAAAACGCTCTTAAGGAGGATTCTGGGAAGACTGCAGAGTAGGAGGCACCAGGAATCTCCCCACCTACACGATTGTACTGGCAGAATCTGTCTGATGTAACTATTTTGTAACTCTGGAGTCTATGGAAGGCTTGCAACTTCCAAGGGAACACTTGGATGGTAAATTGTGGTCGATTTCAATTACAGCTCTTACCAAAGTAGCTACCTAGCACTGTGGCAGACATCCCTGTACCTGTTCCTGGAGTACCTTGCACACACCTGGTGGGAAGACAGGGTGGGCAAAAAGAACCCTGCCTGCCAAGTATCAAGAATCTATGCTCTGATCGCTGATTGCTTCCTCTAATCACAGAGGTACAAAGAGGCACGTGACAATTGTTGTTGCACCTCCTCCAATTTTTCAAGCCCCTCCTACTCTTGCTGAAGTAAATTCCAGGGAAGTTAAACAGCCAGTAGCCTTCCCCTACTGCCTTTATTTTTCTCTTGCTCCCCGTTTTAAAGCCAAACATTAGGACTAGGACATTCAAAAACAAATGCATGTATTGAAAAAATTATAAGGTGACTGTGCATGCCCATGTAAAGGTGCAGGCTTAGAAAAGCTTTATTTGAGGAGATCTTAAATTAACACCCAGGCTGATCCTTAGGATAGACACTGACTACAATAATTTATAAAACAAAACAATAACAACATCAAAACCCAGAGAACCCGGGAAAAGAGGGAGAATGTGATTTCTGGAGTCACCACATCATTAAACTCAAATGCCCAGTTTTCAACAACAACAAAAAATCACAAAGCATAGAAATAGAGAGGCAAATATGGCCCATTCAAAGGAAAAAAAATAAATCAACAGAAACTGTCCCTGAAAAAGACTTAATGGTAGATATATTAAGAAAAAAAACTTTTAAAAAGTTTTTTTTAAAGTTTTAACTGTTTTAAAGATGCTCAAATAACAAAAAATAAAGAGAAAGTCAAGAAAATAATGTATAAACAAACTGGCAATATCAATAAAGAGATATAAGAACTAAAAAAATAAAAAGAATAAGAAATTCTTGAGCTGAAAAGTATACTTGGAATGAAAAATGCACTAGAGGGATTCAAAGGCAGATGTGAGCAGGGAGAAGAAAAAAAATCAGCAAACGTCAAGATAGGACAATGGAAATTATCATCTAAGAACAGAATGAAAAAAGATTGAAGAGAAGTGAAGACAGCCCACAGGATACAATTTAGACATTGTGGGAGCTCTGAAAGGAGAAGAAAGAGAGAAAAGAGCAGAGAATATTTAAAGAAATAATAGAAGAAAGTGTCTCAAATTTGATGAAATACATGAATATAAACATCCAAGAAGCTCAAAAAACTCCAAGTGAGAGGAACTCAAAGAGACCTACACCATGACACATTAAAATCAAATTTTCAAAATACAAAGAGAGAATCTTGAAAGTAGTGAGCGAAGTTACTCATCATATACAGGATCCCCAATAAGATTATCCACAGATTTCTCATCAGAAATTTCCGAGGCCAGAAGGCAGTGGATTAATTCAAAGTGCCAAAACAAACAAACAAACAAATAAAAAAACTGTCAACCAAGAATTCTGTATCACACAAAACTGTCCTTCAAAAGTGATTGGGAAAAATTAAGACATTGCCAAGTAAACAAAAGCTACAGGATTTCAGTACCATCAGGACTGCCATGCAAGAAATGCTTTATAAAGTCCTGCACGTTAAAATGAAAGGACATTAGACAGTAACTAGAAGGCATATGAAGAAATAAATATCTCAATAAAGATAAACGTCTAGGCAATTATAAAAATTAGTAGTGTTACAACAAGACAATTATTTCTAACTATTGTTTTCTACATAATTTAAAATATTAAAAGATTTTTAAAACACAATTATTAGTCTAAAAGCTAGTATTACTGTTAACTTTGGTTTATAAATCCACATTTTGTTTTTTACATCATTTAAGAGGCTAATGCATTTAAAAGAATTACTAGTTTATGTTTTTGAGCACACAATGTATAAAGATATAATTCTGTGACATCAACAACCAAAAGTGGTAGGGACAGAGCCATTAAAGGAGTGGAGGTTTTGTATTTTATTGAAGTTAAACTGGTATAAATTCAAGTTAGAGAGTTATAACTTTAGAATGTTAAATGTAATTCCTATGGTAAGCACAAAGAAAAATGCTACAGAATGCATACCATCGGGAAATGAGAAAGGAATTTAAACATTTCACTATAAAAAGTCAACTAAACACAAAATAATACAGTAATGTAGAACATGAGGGGTAAAAAAAATAATGCATATAGAAAAAAATAGCAAAATGTCTGAAATAAGTCATTCCTTATCAGTAATTATTTTAAATGTAAATGGGTTAAACTGTCCAACCAAAAGACAGAGACTGGTAGAATGAATAAAAATTCATGATCCAATTATATGCTGTCTACAAAGGCACAAATCGATTCAAAGGCACAAATAGGCTGAAAGTAAAAGGCTGGAAAAAGATATTCCATGAAAACAGCAGCAAAACAAGAGCAGAAAAAATAGACTTTAAATCAAAAAAAGATTACAAGAGACAAAGAAGGACATTATATATTAATAAAGGCTCAACACAGTAAGAAGATATAACCATTATAAACATTTATACACCTAATGACTATCAAAATATATGAAGCAAAAACTGACAGAATTGAAGGCAGAAATACGCAGTTCTACAACAGTTGAAGACTTCAATACCCTACTCTCGATAATTGATAGAACAACCAGACAGAAATAAGGAAACAGAAGACTTAACACAATCAACCAACTAGATCTAACAGACACATACAGAACACTCTACCCCAAAACAGCAACACACACACTCTTCTCAAGTACACATGGGACATTTTCCAGGACAAACCATATATTAGGCTGCCAATTAAGTCTCAATAGATTTAAGTAGAAAGTATCACACAAAGTATCTTCTCTAACTAAATAGGGATAAAGTTAGAAATCAATAACAAAGTTAAAAAGGGAAAATACACAAACTTATGTCAATTAACACACTCTTTAAAAACCAATGTATCAAAGAAGAAACCTCAAAGGAAATTAGAAAATTACTTAGAGATTAATGAAAATGAAAACACAACATATGAAATACAATTTACAGGATGCAGGAAAAACAGCAAAAAAGGAGAAATTTATAGTTATAAATGCTTACGGTAAAAAACAAAAAAGATCTCAAAACAACAGCTTAATTTTACAGCTTAAGGAATCTGAAAACAGAACAAACTAACCAAAGCTAGCAGAAAAAAGTAAATATAAAGATTAGAGCAGAGATAAAATAGAGAATAGAAAAACAATACCAAAAACTGATTAAATCAAAGTTGGTTCTTTGAAAACATCATCAAAAATAACAAATCTTTAGCCAGGTGAACTAAGAAAAAAATAGAGACGACTCAAATGACTAAATTCATAAATGGAAGTTACATTACCATTGATTCTAGAGAAATAAATTAAACAGAGTACTGTGAATAATCGTACAACACCAAGTTATATAACATAGATGAAATGTACAATTTCCTGGAAACATAAAACCTATCAACACTAAATCACAAAGAAATAGAAAATCCAAATAGATCTATAACTAGTAAGGAGATTAAATAAGTAGTCTAAAATCTTCCAACAAAGAAAAGCACTAGACCTGATGGCTTCACTGGTCAATTCTACCAAACATTTAAAGAAAACCAAACTTTTCCAAAAAATTCTAGAAAAAGGAATAAAACTTCCTAAGTTATTCTATGAGGCCAGCATTGCCCTGATACCAAAGCCAGATAAAAGCAGTATAATAAAACTACAAACCAATATCACTTATGAACACAGATGTAAAAATCCTCAACAAAACACTAACAAACTGAATTCAGCAGCATACTTATAGGACTATACACTATGATCAAGTCCATTGCATTTCTATACACTAACAGTGAACAATCTCAAAAGGAAATTATAAAAATAATTCAGTTTACATTAAAAAGAATAATCAGGAATTAACGAAAAAGATGAAAAACTTATGTAATGAAAGCTTTATATAATGAAAGCTATAATATATATAAGCTATATAATGAAAGCTATGAAATTGTTGCTAAATTAAAAAATTATAATTAATGGAAACAAATAAATGAATGGAAACGCATCCCATGTGCACGGACTGGAAGACTTACTACTGTTAAGATGCCAATACTATTATACCTAAAGCAGTTTACAAAGTCAATGCAACTGCCCCATCAAAATCCCAATGACATTTTTTGCAGAGAGAGACCATCCTGAAATTCATACAGAATCTCAAGGGATCCAGAATAGCCAATACCATCTTGAAAAAGAAGAACAAATCTAGAAGACTCATACTTCATTTCAAAACTTACTTCCTAATTTCAAACTTACTTAGAAGTTACAGTAATCAAAACACTGTGGTGCTGGCACAAAGACAAATATATAGACCAATGGAACAGAAAAGAGACCCTAGGGGAAAAAACCTCACATACACAGTCAAATGATTTTTGGCGAGAATACCAAGACCATTCAATGGGGAAAGGACGGCCTTTCAACAAATGCTGTACAGGGAAACAATATCTACATACAAAAAATGAAGTTGGATCCTTATCTAACACCATATACAAAAATTAACTCAAAATAGATCACAGTCCTAAATGTAAGACCTAAAACAATAAAACTCTCAGAAGAAAACACAGGGCAAAAGCTTTATGACATTGGATTTGGTAATGATTTTTTTGGATATGATACCAAAAACACAAGCAATAAAAGAAAAAATCAAATTGGACTGCATGAAAATTTTAAAATTTTTGTGCACCAAAAGACACTAAGAACAAAGTAAAAAGGCAACCAACAGAATAGGACAAAAAATTCAAAATCACATATCGGATAAGGTATTAATATACAAAATATATAGAGCACTCCTAAATTCAACAAAAAAGTCAACTTGAATATGTGCAAGGGACTTGAATAGACATTTTTTCAAAGAAGATATACAAATGGCCAATATGCACTTGAAATGATGCCTAACATCACTAATCATTAGGAAAATGCAAATCAAAGCTAAAATGAGATGCCACCCTACACTCATTGGGATGGCTACTATTAATATCACCCCCCCCAAAAAAAAACAGGAAATAGCAAGAGTTGGCAAGGATGTGGAGAAATTGGAACGCTTGTGCACTGCTGTTGGGAATGTAAAATGGTACAGCCACTATGAAAACCCATATTGCGGTTCCTCAAAAAATTAAAAATGAAATTACTATATATCCAGCAATTCTAATTGAGTATACACTTAAAGAATTGCAGGCAGGGTCTTGAAGAGATATCAGGGTCTTGAAGAGTACACTCATTTTCATAGCAGCATTATTCACAATCACTAAAATGTGGAAGCAACTCAAGAGTCCATCAACACACGAATGGATAAGCAAAATGTGATATATACATACAATGGAATATTATTCAGCTTTAAAAAGGAAGGAAATTCTGACACATGCTACAACATGGATGAACCTTGAGTACATTATGCTAAATGAAATAACTCAGTCAAAAGAAAGACAAATACTGTATGTTTCTACTTATATGCCGTACTTAGTCAAATTTATAGAAACAGAAAGTAGAATGGTGGTTGCCAAGAGCTGGGAGAAGAGGGGTATGGGGAATTGGTCTTTAATGAGTACAGAGTTTCAGTTTTACAAGAATGAAAAGAGTAATGGAAATAGATGGTGGTGATGGTTGCACAACACTATCAATGTATTTAACACTGCAGGACTGTACATTCCAAAATGGTTAAAATGGTAGGCTTTATGGTATGTGACGTTACCACAATAAAAAAAAAAAACATTTAAATCTGAATCAAAACCATTTTAATTACATACATGATATAATCACTTACACAATTTTTATTCTTATAAGAATAAGTCCTCTATTTATCCATGATGCAAATCTTACTAAGCTCATTAGATCCCTGAAATCCATGAGTAGAAAGAGGTATAATGACCAGATTCATTTGGTTTTACTTGCAATGTGGAGTGCATTTGATGATATGGGATTTAACAAATAAACTTTTTGAATATTAGTAAAACTTGGAATAAAACCAGGAAGTCTTAAGCTTATAAAGATGACAACGCAACTCTGAAGGCAGATCAAAAAAAGTCATTTATATTTCCAAATTTGACATTTCAGTTACTGGTTTTGTTTTACACATGAAGAAGCTAGATACTTCAGGAAAGAGAAGTACTCCATCCAGCAAAACCAACCCCACAGCAAGGAGAGAAAAGTATTTAGCGGCCAACAAGCCAACTAAATTCAGCATGTTTGGGGACTGCGGGTAGAAATACGCAAAATTGTAAGCAGAGCTTCAGGTAGGACCAAAAAGTAATAGGAATTTAGGTGAGACAAAATGCTCTTCACAAAAAAGCACGTATGAGTCACAAACGTGACACATACAAAGTGCCCCCTGAACACTGCAGCTACCTGCCACAAGAGTGATTAGTGATGAGGTAAATGCAGTTTAAATCAATAAGACTTGAGATTATGTCACATGTAGCCACTTACATACACACTAATATGATAGATAGCCCATTAAAGAACAACAAATAAGCCAGGTATGAATAATAAAATGACACAGCCCCAAACGGCACTTGTTTAGAACCTTCTCTTTCTGTTTGTCTCCTGAAATCTCCTAGAGCATAAACACTGAACAGATCCAATATTAATTAATTTATATTATCTATTTCACTTACATCAGCTGAAAATTAAAAGGCAATTTAAAAGGATAATATAATCAACCATGACTAGTCTAATATCACAAAACCCTGTGAGGTCAGGTAGAATTATTGGTGCTTTATGAAAAAAGCCCTGCACAAAAATAATTTAACAGGAATTCAGTAAAGTCTCACATCAGAATTATAACAAAATATACGTATTTCCAAACTACTGAACTCCAAATCATTCCCTAGTATCTATATTGCTACAATATGTACTCAACGTGTAGGTTTTAGAACACTTTAAAATTAGAAATACTTAACTTCCTTTCCCAGTTCTCTTACCCTTGATTTTTCTGCTCTGAGGGTCTTAATGAGTAAAGATTTCTCAAACCTAGTTTCGAAGACTTTCACAGACTGATAATGCTAAATATTAAAAGATTTTAATGCCCTTTAACCAATTATTTCTACTAAAATTCTATTGGCCCCAAGTGCTTGTGATCACAGCCCCCTACACACACACACACATTGTATGTATAGATATGGATATATTGGTATGTATGTCTAAATGGCTATAAATCATCTCTGTGATTGAAGCTAAGAATGGAATCATGAAAGGAGGGCTTAGCTAAAACTCTCTGGGACTCATGAAAAGATTGACTAGATAATATCTATGGTCCTTTCATTCGCTACAATTCCATGATTCCACTAAGTATAGTTTACAGGCTGGGTGTGGTGGCTCACGCCTGTAATCCCAGCACTTTGGGAGGCTGAGGCAGGCGGATCAAGAGGTCAAGAGATCGAGACCATCCTGGCCAACATGGTGAAACCCCATCTCTACTAAAAATACAAAAATTAGCTGGGTGTGGTGGCACACGCCTGTAGTCCCAGCTACTCGGGAGGTTGAGGCAGGAGAATTGCTTGAACCCAGGAGGCGGAGGTTGCAGTGAGCCAAGATCGCACCACTGCACTCTAGCCTGGGCAAGAGAGCAAAACTCTGCCTCACAAAAAAAAAAAAAAAGTATAGTTTACGTCTATATATCCTTGATTACACAGCCTACAGCTACTTACATGTATACCTATATTATAGATGGCTCACTTAAAAAATAACATATAAAAAAGCTAAATAGACTATTTATACAGTTAAATATTTTATTTAAAAAATTACTTCGTGTCCTAGTGAGTACAGAAAGCAATCTAGACCACCAGTTCATCATGACTGCTTCCTTTGCTCAGTATATTTGATGGGACAAGATCAGTAATATATGCCATACCACACATACACGTCACCAAACCCCAGAAAATAAGGGCCCTGGTGATATACTTCAGTATTTTACTTCATAAACTGCATTATTTCATTTATATTTGTACATGTTAACTAAGATATAGGACAATAGTAATGTTTACTATAGAAACTCTTGGTAGATGTCATTCCTTATACTACGCATGATACACAAATTACACAAAAATCACGTATATGATTTCAATCTACGTAACTTAAATCACATGTATTCAAGAATATTATCCCTCTATCACATGAGAACTGTCACTATTGAATAGAATTAAATATAAAAAGGAATGTTCAAAAACATCACCCAGCCTAATTAGACCACTAGAATATCAAACAAGTTACTTATCTAGAAGCCCCACAGATGAGAACCTGGCCTGAGAATACTGACAATATTCTCAAGTAGAAAATAGTAAGAAAGTTACCATTTAAAAATAATGTGAGTGCTTCTGATCAAAATGGCACTATAAATTCACACTCTTAACATATCCAATATGCTCAAAATATAATTAAATTTAAAAATGTAAATTAAGAAATTAAAAAGAAATCATCTGACTCAAGATTGAGAATAACATCTCTGTGGACAAGAAATGCAAACATGGAGAGGAGCCGGAGTACAGTTCCAATGAGCGCTGGATGGAGAAGCAGACAGAAGCAGGCTGGATTTGGCCCATGCAGGGTAATAAAGACTTAATGCGCTCCACAGGCCAGGTGAGCCAACCAAACCAAATCCTCCACTAAAAGCAGCAAGCACAGGACCAAATCAAGGGCCTACCTAGGTTGGAAGACTGTTGCCCTTGCCAAATCTGTATCCTCAGCCTCCACTCATGTCTTATCTCTGTGTAGGAAACTGGCCAACTACATATCTTAAATAGCATTTCCTTCACCGTGAAAAATTACTTCTTACATCTTTTATTCTAATTAATGCACCCACTGGTACAGGTTGAGAGCAATATCTGAGGCACTGGTTGCCTCTGGAGTATAGAATTTTGATTAGGGTCTTTCAAATGTTAACTAACTACCCCTGGAGTGTAGATTCATGATTAAGGTACTTCAAAAATGTTAACTAAGCACCCCTAAGGTGCAGATTAAATTACTTTAAAGAAAACTACAGACAATACAACACCCACTCCAGAAAGGAGGAGCCAAAAGTTGTTGCCAACTGCTACTTGGGGCTATCATTTCCATGAAGTGAGGAGTTTGCGCAGGGAGGGCAGTGAGTTTTGAAAGCAAGGTGAGTGTGCACGGGTCCTCCCGTACGTGAAAGTGGGCCAAGAGGGAAATGATGGTAGGTCTGCTATAAGGGGAGATAGAGTAAAAACCTCTATTAGGAAAATAAATAAATAAACAAAATTGACATCTGTTGAATCATTTTTTTCAAGAGATAGCACTTAATGTACATGATCTCGTTTACAGGAAAGAAAATGTACCTTAGAAGGTCAAGGAGTAGAAGCCAGTGGAGAAGAGGCTACTAAAAATATAACAGGACTGCAAGATAACAGGAGGGACAAGGAACAGATGAATAAACTGACAGTTTACATTTATAATCACTAAAATGTTTTAGGTTGCAGTATTTAATTAATGCATGGGCTTTCTAAGTTCAGTTACTCAGGGAGATGGCAAGATGTAGTGGAAAGAACAAGAGCTTGGCATCATACAATTTTAGAGTTGATTAGAATCTCTATCAGTTTCTGGTTGTGTGATCTCCCTTGAGTCATTTAATCTTGCTGGACCTTGATTTCTTCATTCATGAAATGGAGATAGTATGTGTAGCTCAGAGATGTGCAAATTTAATGAGATAATGTGACAAAATGTAACATCAAAACTCAAAATGAAGAAAAATAGTTAAAAATGCACTTTTAAAACATTCAGCTTTGGAAACTCTCAGGCTGACAAAGGTGGTTGCTTATGTCTCCATCTTTCAATATTTCCTCCAGAAGCAATAGAGGACAAGAAAAATAAGCAGCAAAACTACACAAAAACCATGTCCTCGGGATCACTTGAAAACTGAACTGACCAAAATCCAAAACAACTGTAAATAAAAATAAGAAAAAGACACCTAATCCCAGCAAGTGATATCTCATGCTCCTCCTCTGTCCCTGATCTGCCAGAAGGCCTTATTGCAAACAAAGGTAGAATGTGAAAAACTATAACAAAGAGAGAAGGGAATTAGTGATGAACTTAAGGTTGATCTAAAACCATCAGAGGAAAGACAAAGTCAACCCTAAGTTTCAAAATACTAAAAAGGTATCTAGACAGATCACAGAGCTGACTATAGGGATGGGATGTAAAAGCAGACACAATCTTGACCAGTTTTTGAAACACGTAGCTTCTGGGAAATAAAAAAGGAAACAAAAAGTAGAGAGAAATGCCCTTTGGCTATTGGATGGCTAAAAGAGAAACAGGAAAAAAGGGAAAATTTGGAATCCTACCCGATGACAAGACAGCTAAAATTCAGAGACCACAAACCTTCCGATGCTACCAAAACAAAGATCTGGACTTTGCTATAGTGACAGAAGAGGGAGCCAATGAGCTAAAAATCCTATAAAACACCCCAATATCATAAAAACAAACAAAAAAATGATGAACAGACTCATACTGAAGTATTATTTTAAAAAGACAGAATATCCAACACACAGCAACAGAGGTAAATTCCCTTCAACAAAACAACCATGAAGCACAAGAAAACTAGAAGGCAACATTCCAGATGGAACCAATATACTCAAACAAGAATTTGGGATAGGAAAAGCTACCTTGAGCCAGAAATTCAAAAACTAAGAAAAGATATGGACAAAAAACAGGAAAGTGTGAAGAGAAAATGATGACCCTCAGAAAAGAAATGGAAGAAAATGACAAAATTAGGCCAGGTGCTCTGGCTCATGCCTGTAATCCCAGTATATTGGGAGGCCAAAATAGGAGAACTTCTTGAAGCCAGGAGTTTGAGACCATTCTGGGCAACATAGTGAGACCCCATCTCTACAAAAAAACAAAAATAAAAAAGTTGGCCAAATGTGGTTGCTCACGTCTGTAGTGCTATCTGGGAGGCTGAGGCAGCAGGATCCCTTTGAGCCTAGGGTTCAAGGCTGCAGAGAGGTATGATTGCACCACTGCTCTCCAGCCTGGATAACCAAAAAAAAAAAAATCTCAAAGATAAATAATAAATTATTAAATGCCCAAGAGAGGGGCTCAAATGAATAATTCATAGGAAGCACTGAGGAAATACAAGACACCAAAATAGAGAATAAAATACAGATAAAGAAATAGGCAGGATGAGGGATGCGAAAAGCCACCTTGAGCCAGAAATTCCAAAACTAAGAAAAGACACGGACAAAAAACATGAACGAGTGAGAAGAAAGTGATGAAACTCAGAAAAAAAAAAAACGGAACTAAAAGACAAGATTAAGTCGAGTGCGTGGCTCATGTCTGTAATCCTGTCACATTGGGAGGCTGAGGTGGGATGATCGCTTGAGCCCAGGAGGTCAAATTCAGCTTAGGCAACATAGGGAGACCCCATTTCTACAAAAAATACAAAAATTAGCCAGGTGTGGTGGTGGTAACTGGAGCAAGTGCTGGCTGAGAGACCAGCTGAGAGACCTGAAGACAGATCACATCCCAAGACTCTTTGCAGAAACCCCCAAGTACCAGCCCATAGCCTAGTAGCTCTGCTGGGTGGCCAGACCCAGAAGAGCAATAACAATCACAGCAGTCCAGCTCTCAGGAAGCCCCAACCATAGGGGAATGGGGAGAGCACCACATCAAGGGATCATGCTGGGGGCCAAAAAAAATTTAAACAGCAGCCCTTGAGTCCCAGATCCTTTCTCTGACATAGTCTATCCAAATGAGAAGAAACCAGAAAAACAATTCTGGTAATATGACAAAACAAGGTTCTGTAACACCCCAAAAGATCACAGTAGCTCACTAGCAATGGATCCAAACCAAGCAGAAATCACTGAATTGACAGAAAAAGAATTCAGAAGGTCAATTATTAAGCTACTCAAGGAGGCACCAGCAAAAGGTGACAAACAACTTAAATTTAAAAATTAATACAAGCTATGGATGGAAAAATCTTGAGAGAAATAGATACCACAAATAAAAAACAATCAATCACAACCTCTGGAAATAAAAGACACACTCAGAGATATGCAAAATACACTGGAAAGTTTCAACAATAGAAATAAACAAGTAGAAGAAAGAACTTCAGAGCTCAAAGACAAGGCTTTCAAATTAACCCAATCTGACAAAGACAAAGAATCAAAAAAAAAAATGAACAAAGCTTCCAAGAGATTTGGAATTACGTTAAACAACCAAACCTAAAATTAATTGGTGTTCCTGAGGAAGAAGAAAAATCTAAAAGTTTGGAAAACTTACTTGAGGGAATAATCAAGGAAAATTTCCCTGGCCTTGCTAGAGATCTAGACATCCAAATAAAAGAAGCTCAAAGAACACACAGTAAATTCATAGCAAAGAGATCACCGCTTGGGCATATAGTCATTAGGTTATCTAAAGTCAAGACAAAGGAAAGAATCTTAACAGCTGTGAGGCAAAAGCATCAGGTAACCTATCAGATTAACAGGAGATTTCTAAACAGAAACCTACAAGCTGGAAGGGATTGAGGTACTATATTTAGCCTCCTTAAACAAAACAATTATCAGCCAACAATTTCGTATCCAGCAAAACTAAGCTTCATAAATGAAGGAAAGATACAGTCTTTTCCAGACAAACAAATGCTAAGAGAATTCGCCACTACTAAGCCACCACAAGAACTGCTAACAGGAGCTCTAAATCTTGGAACAAATACTGAAAATACAACAAAACAGAACCTCCTTAAATCATAAATTTCACAGGGCCTATAAAACAATAACACAATGAAAAAAAAAAACCAAGGTATTCAGGCAACAAATAGCATGATGAATAGAACAGTACCTCACATCTCAATATTAATGTTGAATGTAAATGGCCTAAACGCTCCACGTAAAAGATACAGAATGGCAGAATGGGTAAGAACTCATCAACCAAGTATCTGCTGTCTTCAAGAGACTCACCTGACACATAAGAACTCACATAAATCTAAGGTAAAGGGGTAGAAAAAAATATTCCATGCATGTGGACAGGAAATGTGAGCAAGAATAGCTATTTCTATATCAGACAAAACAAACTTTAAAGCAACAGCAGCTAAAACAGACAAAGAGGGACATTAGATAATGATAAAAGGACTAATCCAACAGGAAAATACCACAATCCTAAATTATATATACCTAACCCTGGAGCTCCCAAATTTATAAAATATTTACTTCTAGACTTAAGAAATGAGATAGACAGCAACACGATAAGAGTGGTGGACTTCAATACTCCACTGACAGCACTAGACAGGTCATCAAGACAGAAACTCAACAAAGAAACAATGGACTTAACCATACCATAGAACAAATGGACATAACAGATATTTATGTTCTCATTCTATCCAACAACTGCAGAATATACATTCTATTCACTGGTACGTGGAAAATTCTCCAAGACAGACCTTATGATAGGCCACAAAACCAGTCTCAACAAGTTTAAGAAAATCGAAATTATATCAAGTACTCTCTCAGACCACAGTGGAATAAAACTGGAAATCAACTCCAAAAGGAACCCTCAAAACACTACAAATACATGGAAATTAAATAACCTGCTCCTGAATGGTCTTTGCATCAACAAGGAAATCAAGATGGAAATCTGAAAATTCTTTGAACTGAACAGTGACAGTGATACAACCTATCAAAACTTCTGCAATATAGCAAAAGTGGTGCTAAGAGCAAATTTCATAGCGTTGAACACCTACATCAAAAAGTCTGAAAGAGCACAAATAGACAATCTAAGGTCACACCTTAAGGAAGCAGTGAATCAAGAACAAACCAAACCCAAACCCAGCTGCAGAAAACAACCAAGATCAGTGCAGAACTAAATAAAATTGAAACAAACAACAACAAAAATAAATAAAATACAAAAAAATTAATAAAACAAAAAGCTGGTTCTTTGAAAAGATAGAAAAAATTTATAGACCATTAGCAAGATTAATCAAGAAAAGAAGGAGATCCAAATAAACTGAATTAGACACGAAATGGGAGATATTACAACCAATACCAAAGAAATACAAAAGATCATTCAAGGCTATGAACACCTTTATGAGCATTAACTAGAAAACCTACAGGAGATGGATAAGTTCCTGGAAATATACAACCCTCCTAGATTAAACCAGAAAGAAATGAAAACTCACAACAAACCAATAACAAGCAGTGAGACTGAAATGGTAATTAAAAAATTGCCAACAAAAAAAAGTCCAGGACTAGACAGATTCACAGCTGAATTCTATCAGACATTCAAAGAAGAATTGGTACCAATCCTATTGACACTAATCCACAAGATAGAAAAAGAGAGAATCCTCCCTAAATCATTCTATGAAGCCAGTATCACCCTATTACCAAAACCAGGAAAGGGCCTAACAGAAAAAGAAAAGTACATACCAATATCCCCAATGAACACAGATACAAAAATCCTCAAAAAAAAAAAAAAAAGAAAAATACTAGCTAACTGAATTCCAACAGCATATCAAAAAGATAATCCAGCGTGATCAAGTGGGCTTCACAGAAGGGATGCTTGGATAGTTTAACATCCAAAAGACAATAAATGTGATACACCACATGAACAGAATTAAAAACAAAAATCACAGGATCATTTCAATAGATGCAGAAAAAACATTGGACGAAATCCAGCATCACTTTATGATTAAAACTCTCTGCAAAATCAGCATACAAAGGAAATGCCTTAATGTAATAAAAGCCATCTATGACAAACCCACAGCCAACATAATTCTGAATGGGAAAAAGTTGAAAGCACTCCCCCTGAGAACTGGAACAAGACAAGGATATCCAGTTTCACGTCTTCTGTTCAACATACTCCTGGAAGTCCTAGCCAGAGCAATTAGACAAGAAAAAGAAATAAAGGGCATCCAAATTAGTAAAGAGGAAGTGAAACTGTCCGTGTTCACCAATGATATGATGATCACATACCTAGAAAACCCCAAAGATTCATCCAAAAAGCTCCTATATCTGATAAATTCAGTGAAGTTTCAGAGTACAAAATCAATGTACACAAATCAGTAGCACTGCTATATGCCAACTGTGACCAAGCTGACAATCAAATCAAGAACTCAACCTGTTTTACAATAACTGCAAAAATAAAATAAAATGCTTAGAAATATACCTAACCAAGGAGGTGAAAGACCTCTACAAGGAAAACTACAAAACACTGCTGAAAGAAGTCATAGGCAACACAAACAAATGGAAACACATCCCACGCTCATGGATAAGCAGAATCAATATTGTGAAAATGACCATATGGCAAAAGTGATCTACAAATTCAATGCAATTCCCATCAAAATACCACCATCATTCTTCACAGAACTAGAAAAAACAATCTTAAAATTCACGTGGCACCAAAAATGGAACCCACGTAGCCAAAGCAATACTATACAAAAAGAACAAATCTGGAGGCATTACATTACCTGATTTCAAACTATACTGTAAAGCCATAGTCACCAAAACAGCATGGTACTGATATAAAAACAGGCACATTGACCAATGGAACAGACTAGAGAACCCAGAAATAAACCCAAATACTTACAACCAACTGATCTTTGACAAAGCAAACAAAAACATAAAGCAGAGAAAGGACACCCTATTCAACAACACACACACACACAAAACCATGGAATACTAATCAGCCATAAAAAGGAACAAAATAATGGCATTCACAGCAACCTGGATGGAGTTGGGATCCATTATTCTAAGTGAAGTAACACAAGAATGGAAAACCAAACATCATATGTTCTCACTTATAAGTGGGAGCTAAGCTATAAAGATGTAAAAGCATAAGAATGATATAATGGGCTGGGCACAGTGGCTCACGCCTGTAATCCCAGCACTTTGGGAGGGCAAGGAGGGCGGATGACCTGAGGTCTGGAGTTCGAGACCAGCCTGACCAACATGGAGAAACCCAGTCCCTAATAAAAATACAAAATTAGCCAGGCATGGTGGTGCATGCCTGTGATCCCAGATACTCAGGAGGCTGAGGCAGGAGAATCACTTGAACCGGGAAGCAGAGGTTGCAGTGAGCTGAGATCGCCCCATTGCACTCCAGCCTGGGCAACGAGAGCAAAACTCTGTCTGAAAAAAAAAAAAAAAAAAAAAAGACTACACCATTGGGTACCGTGTACACTGCTCCTGTGGGTGCACCAAAATCTCAGAAATCACCACTAAAAAATTTATACATGTAATCAAATACCACCTGTTCCCCAAAAACTAATGAAATAAAAATTTTTTTTTTTTTTTTTTTTTTTTGAGACGGAGTCTCGCTCTGGCGCCCAGGTCGGACTGCGGACTGCAGTGGCGCAATCTCGGCTCACTGCAAGCTCCGCTTCCCGGGTTCACGCCATTCTCCTGCCTCAGCCTCCCGAGTAGCTGGGACTACAGGCGCCCGCCACCGCGCCCGGCTAATTTTTTGTATTTTTAGTAGAGACGGGGTTTCACCTTGTTAGCCAGGATGGTCTCGATCTCCTGACCTCATGATCCACCCGCCTCGGCCTCCCAAAGTGCTGGGATTACAGGCGTGAGCCACCGCGCCCGGCTGAAATAAAAAATTTTTAAAAATAAAATGATAATGAAAACTACATATTAGTGTATATGAGGTATATTCAAAGCAGTGATGAATGAAAACTTTGTATCACTAAACATTTTTACCAGTAAAATGAAAGAATTAAATACATGATTTAAATATCTAGCTCGAAATTTTTTAAGAGTAACAAACCAAAAGAAAGCATAAAGACAGAAATAATGATAAAAGCAGAAAGTAATGAGACAGAGAACAGAAAACTAGTAGAACTGATCAATAAATCAAAATCCTAGTTATTTCCTTAAAAAAAAAAAAAAGAAAGAAAACCTAACAAAATAGACAAACTGCTAGCTACTTTCACAAAGAGAGATAATACAAACATAGAAAATAAGAAATGGGCTCAGCATGGTGGCTCAATGCTGTAAACCCAGCACTTTGGGAAGCCAAGGCAGGTGGATTACTTGAATCCAGGAGTTTGAGACCAGCCTAGGAAATATAAGGAGACCCTGTTTCTATAAAAAATGCAAAAATTAGCCAAGCATGATGGCACACACCTAGTCCCAGCTACTTGGGAGGCTGAGGTGGGAGGATCAACTAAGCCTGGAAGGTTGAGACTGCAGTAAGCCAAGATCGCGCCACTGTACTCCAGCCTGGGCGACAGAGCAAGACTCCAAAAAAAAAAAAAAAAAAAGGGAAGGAAGGAAGGAAAATAAAATAAGAAATGACAAAAAGGAAATACAAGAAAAATTTTAAAGCCATAAGAAAATGCTTTGTAGATCTCTATATAAATAAAATTGAAAAATTAGATGAAATGAGTAATTTCCTAAGGAAATACAGATGTTAATTACATCTCACTAGAGACAAAAATGCTTAAAAAGACCAATTTTGTATAGGAAAAAACACAGAAAAAATTATAAGAAAAAAAGTGAAAATGTTGAACAGTACCAAACACAAATGGTTTCACAGAAAAATTCCCAGACTCCAAATAGTCCCAATGCTCCATAAATTGTTCCAAGTCTTGAAAATGAAGGAAACTTTCTACTTGCTTTTATAAAGCAAATTATTACACTGAAACCAAAATGTGGTAAGGTTTAGACTACACAATATCATTCATATAATATCACTTGTAAACATCAATGCAAAAATACTAAATAAAATATTAACAAATAGAATTCAACACAACATTGACAAAACAATACACCACAGTCAAGAGAGATTTATTTCAAGAGTGAAAAATTGTCTAAATACTAAGAAATCTATTAATATAGCATATTGATACATTTAAAAATAAAACATGGCCAGGAGTGGTGGCTCACACCTGTAATCCCAACACTTTGGGAGGCTGAGGAGGGTGGATCACGAGGTCAGGAGATCAAGACAATCCTGCCCAACATAGTGAAACCCCGTCTCTACTAAAAAACACAAAAATTAGCTAGGCATGGTGGCGTGTGCCTGTAGTCCCAGCTACTCTGGAGGCTGAGGCTGGAGAATTGCTTGAACCCGGGAGGCGGAGGTTGCAGTGAGCCAAGATGGTGCCACTGCACTCCAGCCTGGCGACAGAGCAAGACTCCATCTCTAAGTAAAATAAAATAAAATAAAATAAATAAAATAAAATAAAATAAAATAAAATAAAATAAATAAAATAAAAATGAAACAAAACAGAAAAATTGAAAAAAATACATAATTCACCAAAATAACTAAAAATAAACCTTAAACATACCAGAAATTGTTCAAATTTTATACATAATTATAGAAATGAAAATTAAACAACACTGATAACATTTTTTACTTCTCAGATTGGCAAGAATTGTAAAATGAAAACACATTCTGTTGGGAAGGCTGTGGGGAAACAGGCACTGTGATGTACTGGTGGTGGGAATGCAGACTGGTACTACTTTCTCTTTGGGGGGAGAATTTGGCAAGATGTAATAAAACTATATATGAGCATAGACCCTGACCTTATACCATACACAAAAAGTAACCCAAAATGGATCAAGACCTAAACATAAGGCCTAAAACTATAAAACTCTCAGAAGAAAACACAGGGGGGTAGGCCTCACAACATTGGATTTGGCAAGGATTTCCAGGATATGACAGAAAAAGCACAGACAACAAAAGTAAAACTAGACTACACGAAAATTCAAAACTTCTGTGCATCAATGGACATAGTCAACAGAGCTAAAAGGCAACCTATGAAATGGAAGAAAATATTTGAAAATCACACATCTGAAAATGTGTTAATATACAGAATATATAAAGAGCCTCTGCCACTCAACGGAAACAAAAACAAATAATCCAATTTTGAAATGGGCAAAGGACTTGAGTAGGTATTTCTCCAAAGATGACCTAAAAATGAGCAACAAGCACATGAAAAGATGTCCAGCATCACTAATCATTACAGAAATGCAAATCAAAACAATAATCAGATATATCCTCATACCCATTAGGATAGCTACTATCAAAAGAAAAAAAATACAGAAAATGGCAAGTGTTGATGAGGATAGAGAGAAGTAGAACCCTTACACACTGTTGGTGAGAATATAAAATGGTATACCTGCTGTGAAAACAGCATGGCAGATCCCCAGAAAATTAAATATAGAATTACCATATGATCTGGCAATTTCAATTCTAGGTATATATTAAGAAGAATTGAAAGCAGGATCTCAAGGAAATATCGGCACACTCATGTTCACAGCACCACTATCACAATAGCCAAATGTCCATTGACACATGAATGGATAAACAAAATATAGTATATATACAATGGAGTATTATTCAGCCTTGAAAAGGAAGGAAATTCTGGTATAGGGTACAACATGGACAAATGCTGAAAATATTATGCTAAGTGAAATAACTAGTCACAAAAGACAAATACTATATGATTCCACTTATATGAGGTATCCACAGTAGTCAAATTAATAGAAACAGAAAGTAGAATGGGGGCCGCCAGGGGTTGGTGGAGGTGGACAAAGAGGAGTTGTTTAATGGGCACACAGTTCCAGCTTTGCAAGATGAGATATTTCTGGAGATTGGCTGCACAACAGTGTGAATATACTTAACACCACTGAACTGTCTACTTAGAAATGGTTGACACAGTAAATTTTATGAGTTTTTTAAAACATTAAAAAAAATTTTTAAGCTATAAACAAAAAGATCCCATACATATGGGCTTACCTTTTGATTGAGCTATCCCTCTTCTAGAAATTTAACGATACACCTCCAACAACATGAAAATGCACGTGCATGTTATTTATTCCACCATTGCCTGATGGCAAAATACTGAAAACAATCTAAATACTCACACAAAAGAGAGTGGTTACAATAGCAAAGACATGAAATCAACCTAAATTCCCAACGATGACAGACCAGATAAAGAAAATGTAGTACATATACAACATGAATACTACATCACCGAAAAAGAACGAGATCATGTCCTTTTGCAGGGACATGGATGGAGCTGGAGGCCATTATCCATAGCAAACTAACGCAGGAACAGAAAATCAAACAACACATGTTCTCAACTAATGAGTAGGAACTAAATGATGAGAACACATGGACATATAGAGGGGAACAATGCACACTGGGGCCCATTGGAGGGTGGAGAGTGGAGGGTGGAGGGTGGGAGGAGGGAGAGAATCAGAAAAAATAACTAGTGGGTACTAGGCTCAATACCTGAGTGATGAAATAATCTATACAACAAACCCCCATGACACACATTTACCTATGTAACAAACCTGCACATGTACCCCTGAACTTAGAGTATAAAAAAGAGCAACAACAGAGAGTGGTTGACCTATGATAAATCAACCCAACAGAGTACTATGCAGATATAAAAAGAACATTGAAGAATAAGCAGAATCTCCATGAACTAATACAGAATGATTTCCAGGATATATTGTAGAGTGAAACAGCAAAGTATAAAGGAGTATCTATAGTATCCTTACCCTTCATGGAAGAGAGAAAGGATTTAAGAAAAGATATATTTAACTCCTTGCTTTTGCAAAAAGAATTACAGGAAGGATAAAGCAGAAATGAATGTGACTGATGACCTATAGGGATAGACGGAAAAAATAGGAAGGAAACTGGGAATGGGATAAAAGATAGAGATGGAAAAGTGACATTGCCTGAGTGCTTTGTGTTATAGTTCAGATGCTTACAACATGATAATGCTTCCGATGTACCCCCACAATAAATAATTAAAATCAACTGAGATCTAGGAGAACTCAAATGAAATAAAAACAGTAACAAATGAACCTAAAAGTATTGCAAATAAATAACATAACCATAAGTGAGTGGGTTGGGGTCGAAAAGAACTAACCTAAGTAACTGGATTTTGACTATTTTGACTAAATATTATAAGCCTTCTAATATGCAAATTGAACTGCACACAAACATTGTACTCAAGTTTATAGATTTGTTTTTCACTGCCGTGAATTGTTTTTCATTGGTTAGCAATTGTAAAATGATTTCATGTATATACTGGGATTACAAAAATGAGTTGCTTGTTACAAGAACCAGGTTTCTCACTATTGAAAAGAGCTAGAAATAAGGAAAGAAGGCTCAGCTGAACTGCAGTGGTTGACATGGATTTGGAGTTGAACTCATGTTTTACTCATATATACACATGGTTAGAAATAAACAGATACAGAAATAAATAGATACAGATCTATGTAGAAATACATACAGAAATAGATACATATAGATGTATATGTTTCTGTCTATACATGTGTATGGTGTACACACATATACACATGTAATATACATAAGCATGCACATACATATCTCCTAGCTCTGTCAGCTAAGAGGGACTACAGCAACATTACACCAGCAGCAATGTGTTCAACTAGAATACAAATCTAGGTTTCAAAATATCACTCTCCAATAAAAAAAAAACCAGATCTCCTTAGAGAAATGGTTAATTCCAAGGCAAAGGGAGGGGAAGTACAAGATGAGTCTGAAATGTCTTGTGGTACCAGAATGTAAGGAAGTTTTCAACAATGGATGGGGACATGTTAAAACAACCTAGGAACCAACCTGAAGGAGCTACCAGTGGCCAAATTTGGGACAATTTGAGCAATAAGATAAATAATGACAGTACCTGATTACAAGTCATAGAACAAAGTAAATATCCATAAATTTTTACTGATTTAAACAATTAATGAATATAGAAATACATGAAGAAGACACAGCTCTTCATCACAGTAGAATTCTATTAGTAAATGAAAAAAGAATGACAGAAAAAGAAAATCATGATTTGGCCAACGCCTGATAATTGCTATAGGCAAGAATAATAATCATACCTTGGAATGTGTACTGCACTTGAAATATTAAAGAAAAATAGACATTTGATAACTTTAAAATAGCTCTGTAGCAAAGTAGGTGCTAAAAATTAAGGTTAAAATCTAAAAGAACAAAAATATAATCTATAACTTCCCACCCAGAAGGGTAAATAACCAGTCAAAAATGAAAAGGAAATATCATACTTGATGACATTTTAGAACCATTTCCATTAAGGGCAAGACTCACACTATTGCCTCTACCATTCAAGTTATATGATAGGTTCCCAGCTATGCAAAAATTAAAAACAAATAAACAAAAAGAGGGCAAATAACTGTTGAATCTTTACAAAAAGGAGACAACACTGCCTTAACTGCAGACACTGACTGTTTACATACAAAATCCAGGAAAATATACAAATATATTTTTTCAAATATTCTATTAGAATTTTGAAAATAATGCAACAAAATTGGTAGATACAAGATCTCACCTCACTGCAACCTCTGCCTCCCAAGTTCAAGAGATTCTCCTGCCTCAGCCTCCTGAGTAGCTGGAATTACAGGCACGCACCACCATGCCCAGCTAATTTTTGTATTTTGGTCACCATGTTGGCCAGGATGGTCTCGATCTCCTGACCTCGTGATCTGCCCACCTTGGCCTCTCAAAGTGCTGGGATTACAGGCATGAGCCACTGTGCCCGGCCTCCAAATTCTTAAGATATATATAAAGTCTCAGAGCAACACTTTATGGAATAAAATGCACATCAAGAAAATAGCAGCATAAAAATCATTTAATTTGTGTTCTCTTTAGGTTTTTACTGCTTAACCTATGCTTGTACCCAAAAGAAAAGAACTAAGAAGTCCAGTTTCATTATAGTCATATTCACGAAATCCCAGCAGAAGCATGAATAAAATGAATAAAGAGGCCACAAATGAAATGCCTGTGTTCCCTGGGAGTAACTACTCAGTCAAAATGTTCCAAAGGCAGTTTGCCAAATGAAAAGACATACTGGGAGTCCAAAAGCTTAAACCAACATTTTACTACAATTATTGGCTTTTCTCCACACTTCTCCCATCCTTCTACCTAAGTTATAGTTGAACTACTACATCTAAATTAGACATTAGTTTCTCTGTGCATTACAAAATACTGTGACTGAGGAGAATAAGAGAAAGGCTTGCAAAATACATGCCCTACATATTTAGACTGGGAACAGCATGAGGCCAGGCTCCAACAATTATCATCTTGGTTGAACCTGGACCAACCACTCAACCTTCCTGCATTCAGCTTCCGTATCTGTAAAGTGATTGTAAAGATAATACCTCACTTTGGGAGGCCGAGGCGGGCGGATCACAAGGTCAGGAGATAGAGACCATCCTGGCTAACACGGTGAAACCCCGTCTCTACTAAAAATACAAAAAATTAGCCGGGCGAGGTGGCGGGCGCCTGTAGTCCCAGCTACTGGGGAGGCTGAGGCAGGAGAATGGCATGAACCCCAGGGGGCGGAGCCTGCAGTGAGCCGAGATTGCGCCACTGCACTCCAGCCTGGGCGACAGCGAGACTCCATCTCAAAAAAAAAAAAAAAAAAAAAAAGAAAAAAGAAAGAAGATAATACCTGATTAACCAGAATATAAGTAGTTTTTCATATATTTCTTAGCATTGGATTCCCCTTATGCAAACTGTTCATAATTTTGCCTATTACTCTATTAGCTTGTTTTATTGATTTATAGAGATTCTTTACATATTCTAGATACTTAATCTCCATCAGATAAATGCCAATTTTTCCACGGACAGGGACTTGTCTGTGAATTGCAAATTATTTGCTCAGTTCTTTATTATGTCATTTCTTTTCTTCATTAATATGTAGGAAAGCTAAGCGGATGCTAATCATTTTTCTTTTAATGGATTCTTGCTTTTGCCAACCTGTGCCTTGACTTTGCATTTTATAAGTAAATGTTTTATATCTGATCGCACTTAAATTTAATGATCTAAATATAATAATTGTAACAGTAATCACATAGTACCTGCCCTAACTACGTCATAGGCCTGTTGCATCATTTAAATGATATATTTTGCAAACTATAACTTATAAACTATTATTTAAAAAAAAAAAAACCTCTCACAGAAAAGTCACCCACAGATTGCTGGCAAGATGGCCGAATAGGAACAGCTCCGGTTTGCAGCTCCCAGTGAGATCGACGCAGAAGAAGGGGGATTTCTGCATTTCCAACTGAGGTACCCGGTTCATCTCACTGGGACTGGTTGGACAGTGGGTGCAGCCCACCAAGGGCGAGCCAAAGCAAGATGGGATGTTGCCTCACCCAGGAAGCACAAGGAATTCTCTCCCCCTACCCAACAGAAGCTGTGAGGGACTGTGAGGGACTGTGAGGGACTGTGAGGGACTGTGCCGTGCCGTGAGGAACAGTGCACTCCGGACTAGATACTGAACTTTTCTCACAGTCTTTGCAACCCACAGACCAGGAGATTCCCTCCAGTGCCTACACCACCAGGGCCCTGGATTTCAAGCACAAAACTGGGCAACCATTTGGGCAGACACTGAGCTAGCTGCAGTTTTTATTTCCAAACCCCAGGGATGCTTGGAACACCAGCAAGACAGAACCGTTCACTCCCCTGGAAAGGGGTGCTGAAGCCAGGGAGCGAAGTTCTGGCTCAGTGGGTCCCACCCCCACGGAGCATAGGTAACTTAAGATCTAGTGGTTTGAAATTCTCGGTGCCAGCATAGCAGCAGTCTGAGATTGACCTGGGACACTTGAGCTTGGTGGGGGGAGGGGCGTCTGCCATTGCTGAGGCTTGAATAGGAGGTTTTACCCTCACAGAGTAAACAATGCCACTGCAAAGTTCCAACTGGGCAGAGTGCACCACAGCTCAGCAAGGCCGCTGTGGCCAGATTGCCTCTCTAGATTCCTCCTCTCTGGGCAGGGCATCTCTGAAAAAAGGCAGCAGCCCCAGTCAGGGGCTTACAGATGAAACCCCCACCTCCCTGTAACAGAGCACCTAGGGGAAGGGGCAGCTGTGGGCACAGCTTCAGCAGACTTAAACGTCCCTGCCTGACGGCTCTGAAGAGAGCAACAGATCTCCCAGCACAGCATTTGAGCTCTGCTAAGGGTCAGATTGCCTCAAGTGGGTCCCTGACCCCCATGCCTCCTGACTAGGAGACACCTCCCAGTAGGGGCCGACAGACACCTCATAAAGGAGAGCTCTGGCTGGCATCTGGCTGGTGCCCCTCTGAGATGAAGCTTCCAGAGGAAGGAACAGGCAGCAATCTTTGCTGTTCTGTAGCCTCTGCTGGTGATACCCAGGCAAACAAAATCTGGAGTGTACCTCCAGCAAACTCCAGCAGACCTACAGCAGAGGGTCCTGACTGTTAGAAGGAAAACTAACACATAGAAAGAAATAGTATCAACATCAACAAAAAGGATGGCCACTCAGAGACCCCATCTGAAGGTCACCGACTTCAAAGACCAAAGGTAGATAAATCCACGAAGATGGGGTGAAACCAATGCAAAATGGCTGAAAATTCCAAAAACTAGAATGCCTCTTCTCCTAAGGATCACAACTCCTCAGCAGCAAGGGAACAAAACTGGATGGAGAATGAGTTTGATGAATGAGTTGACAAAAGTAGGCTTCAGAAGGTCGGTAATAACAAACTTCTCCAAGTTAAAGGAACATGTTCTAACCCATCACAAGGAAGCTAAAAGCCTTGAAAAAGGGTTAGACAAATGGCTAACTAGAAGAACCAGTATAGAGAAGAGCTTAAATGACCTGATGGAGCTGAAAACCACAGTACAAGAACTTTGTGAAGCATACACAAGCTTCAATAGCTGATTTGATCAAGTGGAAGAAATGATATCAGTGATTGAAGATCAAATTAATGAAATAAAGCAAGAAGACAAGATTGGAGGGAAAAGAGTGAAAAGAAATGAACAAAGCCTCCAAGAAATATGGAACCATGTGAAAAGACCAAATCTACATTTGATTGGTGTACCTGAAAGTGACAGGGAGAATGGAACCAAGTTAGAAAACATTCTTCAGGATATTATCCAGGAGAACTTCCCCAACCTAGCAAGACAGGCCAACATTCAAATTCAGGAAATACAGAGAACACCACAAAAATACTCCTCAAGAAGAGCAACCCCAAGACATATAACCATCAGATTCACCAAGGCTGAAATTAAAGAAAAAATGTTATGGGCAGCCCGAGAGAAAGGCTGGGTTACCCACAATGGGAAGCCCATCAAACTAACAGCAGATCTCTGCAAAACCCTATAAGCAAGAAGACAGTGAGGGCCAATATTCAACATTCTTAAAGAAAAGAATTTTCAACCTAGGATTTCATATCCAGCCAAACTAAGTTTCATAAACGAAGGAGAAATAAAATCCTTTACACACAAGCAAATGCTGAGAGATTCTGTCACCACCAGGCCTGCCTTACAAAAGTCCAGAGGAAGCACTAAAATGGAAAGGAATAACCAGTACCAACCACTGCAAAAACATACCAAACTGTAAAGACCATTGACACTATGAAAAAACTGCATCAACAGGCAAAATAACCAACTAGCATACTAATGACAGGATCAAATTCACACATAACAATATTAACCTTAAATTTAAACAGGCTAAATGCCCCAATTAAAAGGCACAAACTGGCAAATTGGATAAAAAGTCAAGACCCAGCAGTGTGCTGTATTCAGGAAACCCATCTCACGTGCAAAGACACACATAGGCTCAAATAAAAGGATGCAGGAATATTTACCAAGCAAATGGAAAGCAAAAAAAAAACAGGGGTTGCAATCCTAGTCTCAGATAAAACAGACTTTAAACCAACAAAGATCAAAAGAGACAAGGCCAGTACATATTGGTAAAGGGATCAATTCAACAAGAAGAGCTAACTATCCTAAATATATACAGACCCAATACAGAAGCACTCAGATTCATAAAGCAAGTTCTTAGGAAGAGACTTAGACTCCCACACAATAATAGTTGGAGACTTTTTAACACCCCACTGTAAATATTAGACAGATCAACGAGACAGAAAATTAACAAGGATATTCAGGACTTGAACTCAGCTCTGGAACAAGCAGACCTAATAGACCTCTACAGAACTCTCCACCACAAATCAACAGAATATACATTCTTCTCAGCACCTCATAGCACTTATTCTAAAAGTGACCACACAATTGGAAGTAAACACTCCTCAGCAAATGCAAAAGAACGGAAATCATAACAAACAGTATCTCAGACCACAGTGCAATCAAATTAGAACTCAGGATTAAGAAACTCACTCAAAATCACACAACTACATGGAAACTGAACAACCTGCTCCTGAATAACTACTGGGTAAATAACAAAATGAAGGCAGAAATAAAGATATTCCTTGAAACCAATGAGAACAAAGACACAATGCAACAAAATCTCTGGGACACATTTAAAGCAGTGTTTGGAGGGAAATTTATAGCACTAAATGCCCACAAGAGAAAGCAGGAAAGATCTAAAACTGACACTCTAACATCACAATTGAAAGAACAAGAGAAGCAAGAGCAAACAAATTCAAAAGCTAGCAGAAGACAAGAAATAACTAAGATCAGAGCAGAAATGAAGGAGATACAGGCACAAAAAAACCCTTCAAAAAAAATCAATGAATCCAGGAGCTGGTTTTTGGAAAAGTTTAACAAAATAGGGGTGGTTCCAAGATAGCCGAACAAGAACAGCTCCAGTCTACAGCCCACAGCATGAGTGACGCAGAAGACGGGTGATTTCTGCATTTCCAACTGAGGTACTGGGTTCATCTCACTGGGGCTTGTCGGACAGTGGGGGCAGGACAGTGGGTGCGCAGCCCACCAAGCGTGAGCTGAAGCAGGGCGAAGCATCGCCTCACTCGGGAAGCACAAGGGGTCAGAGAATTCCCTTTCCTAGCCAAAGGAAGCAGTGATGGATGGCACCTGGAAAATCAGGACACTCCCACCCTAATACTGCGCTTTTCCAACAGTCTTAGCAAATGGCACACCGGGAGATTATATCCCACGCCTGGCTTGGAGAGTCCCACGCCCATGGAGCCTCACTCATTGCTAGCACAGCAGTCTGAGATTGACCTGCAAGGCAGCAGCAAGGCTGGGGAAGGGGCGCCTGCCATTGCTGAGCCTTGAGTAGGTAAACAAAGGGGCCAGGAAGCTCGAACTGGGTGGAGCCCACCACAGCTCAAGGAGGCCTGCCTACCTTTGTAGACTGCACCTCTGGGGGCAGGGCATAGCCGAACGAAAGGCAGCAGAAACCTCTGCAGACTTAAATGTCCCTGTCTGACAGCTTTGAAGTTTGTAGTGGTTCTCCCAGCACGGAATTTGAGATCTGAGAACGGACAGACTGCCCCCTCAAGTGGGTCCCTGACCCCCGAGTAGCCTAACTGGGAGGCACCATCCAGTAGGGGCAGAATGACACCTCACACAGCCGGCTGCCCCTCTGAGACGAAGCTTCCAGAGGAACGATCAGTCAGCAACATTTGCTGTTCAGCAATATTCACTGTTCTGCAGCCTCTGCTGCTGATACCCAGGCAAACAGGGTCTGGAGTAGACCTCCGGCAAACTCCAATAGACCTGCAGCTCAGGGTCCTGACTCTTAGAAGGAAAACTAACAAACAGAAAGGACATCCACACCAAAACCCCATCTGTACGTCACCATCATCAAAGACCAAAGGCAGATAAAACCACAAAGATGGGGAAAAAACAGAGCAGAAAGCTGAAAATTCTAAAAATCAGAGCGCCTCTCCCCCTCCAAAGGAACGCAGCTCCTCGCCAGCAACGGAACAAAGCTGGATGGAGAATGACTTTGACGAGTTTAGAGAAGGCTTCAGACGATCAAACTTCTCTGAGCTAAAGGAGGAAGTTCGAACCCATTGCAAAGAAGTTAAAAACCTTAAAAAAAGATTAGACGAATGGCTAACTAGAATAACCAATGTAGAGAAGTCCTTAAATGACCTGATGGAGCTGAAAAACATGGCGTGAGAACTACGTGACGAATGCACAAGCTTCAGTAGCCGATTTGATCAACTGGAAGAAGAGGTATCAGTGAATGAAGATCAAATGAATGAAATGAAGCAAGAAGAGAAGTTTAGAGAAAAAAGAGTAAAAAGAAACGAACAAAGCCTCCAAGAAATATGGGACTATGTGAAAAGACCAAATCTATGTCTGATTGGTGTACCTGAAAGCGACAGGGAGAATGGAACCAAGTTGGAAAACACTCTGCAGGAAATTATACAGGAGAACTTCCCCAACCTAGCAAGGCAGGCCCACATTCAAATTCAGGAAATACAGAGAATGCCACAAAGATAATCCTCAAGAAGAGCAACTCCAAGGCAAATAATTGTCAGATTCACCAAAGTTGGAATGAAGGGAAAAAATATTAAGGGCAGCCAGAGAGAAAGGTCGGGTTACCCACAAAGGGAAGCCCATCAGACTAACAGCGGATCTCTCGGCAGAAACTCTACAAGCCAGAAGAGAGTGGGGGCCAATATACAACATTCTTAAAGAAAAGAATTTTCAGCCCAGAATTTCATATCCAGCCAAACTAAGCTTCAAAAGTGAAGGAGAAATAAAATCCTTTACAGACAAGCAAATGCTGAGAGATTCTGTCACCACCAGGCCTGCCTTACAAGAGCTCCTGAAGGAAGCACTAAACATGGAAAGGAACAACCAGTACCAGCTGCTGCAAAAACATGCCAAACTGTAAAGACCATCAATGCTAGGAAGCAACTGCATCAACTAACAAGCAAAATAACCAGCTAACATCATAATGACAGGACCAAATTCACACATAACAATATCACCCTTGAATGTAAATGGGCTAAATGCTCCAATGAAAAGAAACAGACTGACAAATTGGATGAAGAGTCAAGACCCATCAGTGTGCTGTATTCAGGAGACCCATCTCACGTGCAGAGACACACATAGGCTCAAAATAGAGGGATGGAGGAAAATCTACCAAGCAAATGGAAAACAAAAAAAGGCAGGGGTTGCAATCCTAGTCTCTGATAAAACAGACTTTAAACCAACAAAGATCAAAAGAGACAAAGAAGGCCATTACATAATGGTAAAGGGATCAATTCAACAAGAAGAGCTAACTATCCTAAACATATATCCACCCAATACAGGAGCACCCAGATTCATAAAGCAAGTCCTTAGAGACCTACAAAGAGGCTTAGACTCCCACACAATAATAATGGGAGACTTTAACACCCCACTGTCAACATTAGACAGATCAACAAGACAGAAAGTTAACAAGGATATACAGGAATTGAACTCAGCTCTGCACCAAGCAGACCTAATAGACCTCTACAGAACTCTCCACCACAAATCAACAGAATATGCATTCTTCTCAGCACCACATCACACTTATTCCAAAATTGACCCCATAGTAGGAAGTAAAGCACTCCTCAGCAATTGTAAAAGAACAGAAATCACAACAAACTGTCTCTCAGACAACAGTGCAATCGAATTAGAACTCAGGATTAAGAAACTCACTCAAAATCACACAACTACATGGAAACTGAACAACCTGCTCCTGAATACTACTGGGTACATAACAAAATGAAGGCAGAAATAAAGATGTTCTTCGAAACCAATGAGAACAAAGACACAACATACCAGAATATCTGGGACACATTTAAAGCAGTGTGTAGAGGGAAATGTATAGCACTAAATGCCCACAAGAGAAAGCAGGAAAGATCTAAAATTGACACCCTAACAACACAATTAAAAGAACTAGAGAAGCAAGAACAAACACATTCAAAAGCTAGCAGAAGGCAAGAAATAACTAAGATCAGAGCAGAACTGAAGAAAAGAGAGACCAAAAAAACCCTTCAAAAATCAATGAATCCAGGAGCTGATTTTTTGAAAAGACCAACAAAATTGATAGACCACTAGCAAGACTAATAAAGAAAAAAAGAGAGAAGAATCAAACAGACGCAATAAAAAATGACAAAGGGGATATCACCACTGATCCCACAGAAATACAAACTACCATCAGAGAATACTATAAACACCTCTATGCAAATAAACTAGAAAATCTAGAAGAAATGGATAAATTCCTTGACACATACACCCTCCCAAGACTAAACCAGGAAGAAGTTGAATCTCTGAATAGACCAATAACAGGCTCTGAAATTGAGGCAATAATTAATAGCTTACCAACGAAAAAAAAGTCCAGGATCAGATGGATTCACAGCCAAATTCTACCAGAGGTACAAGGAGGAGCTGGTACCATTCCTTCTGAAACTATTCCAATCAACAGAAAAAGAGGGAATCCTCCCTAACTCATTTTATGAGGCCAGCATCATCCTGATACCAAAGCCTGACAGAGGCGCAACAAAAAAAGAGAATTTTAGACCAATATCCCTGATGAACTTGATGCAAAAATCCTCAATAAAATATTGGCAAACCGAATCCAGCAGCACATCAAAAAGCTTATCCACCATGATCAAGTGGGCTTCATCCCTGGGATGCAAGGCTGGTTCAACATACACAAATCAATAAACATAATCCAGCATATAAACAGAACCAAAGACAAAAACCACATGAGTATCTCAATAGATCCAGAAAGGCCTTTGACAAAATTCAACACCCCTTTACGCTAAAAACTCTCGATAAACTAGGTATTGATGGAACATATCTCAAAATAGTAAGAGCTATTTATGACAAACCCACAGCCAATATCATACTGAATGGGCAAAAACTGGAAGCATTCCCTTTGAAAACCAGCACAAGAAAACGATGCCCTCTCTCACCACTCCTATTCAACATACTATTGGAAGTTCTGGCCAGGGCAATCAGGCAAGAGAAGGAAATAAAGGGTATTCAATTAGGAAAAGAGGAAGTCCAATTGTCTCTGTTTGCAGATGACATGATTGTATATTTAGAAAACCCCACTGTCTCAGCCCAAGATCTCCTTAAGCTGATAAGCAACTTCAGCAAAGTCTCAGGATACAAAATCAATGTGCAAAAATCACAAGCATTCCTATACACCAATAACAGACAGAGAGCCAAATCATGAGTGAACTCCCATTCACAATTGCTACAAAGAGAATAAAATACTTAGGGATACAACTTACAAAGGATGTGAAGGACCTCTTCAAGGAGAACTACAAACCACTGCTCAAGGAAATAAGAGAGGACACAAACGGAAAAACATTCCATGCTCATGGATAGGAAGAATCAATGTCGTGAAAATGGCCATACTGCCCAAAGTAATTTACAGATTCGATACTATCCCCATCAAGCTACCATTGACTTTCTTCACAGAATTGGAAAAAAACTACTTTAAATTTCATATGGAACCAAAAAAGAGCCTGCATAGCCAAGATAATCCTAAGCAAACAGAACAAAGCTGGAGGCATCACACTACCTGACTTCAAACTATACTAGAAGGCGACAGTAACCAAAACAGCATGGTATTGGTAACAAAACAGATATACAGAAGAATGGAACAGAACAGAAGCCTCAGAAATAACACCACACATCTACAACCATCTGACCTTTCACAAATCTGACAAAAACAAGCAATGGGGAAAGGATTCCCTATGTAATAAATGGTGTTGGGAAAACTCACTAGCCATATGCAGAAAACTGAAACTGGACCCTTTCCTTACACCTTATATAAAAATTAACTCAAGGTGTATTAAAGACTTAAACGTAAGACCTAAAACCATAAAAACCCTAGAAGAAAACCTGGGCAATACCATTCAGGACATAGGAATGGGCAAAGACTTTGTCTAAAACACCAAAAGCAATGGCAACAAAAGCCAAAATTGACAAATGGGATCTAATTAAACTAAAGAGCTTCTGCACAGCAAAAGAAACTATCATCAGAGTGAACACGCAACCTACAGAATGGGAGACAATTTTTGCAATCTATCCATCTGACAAAGGGCTAATATCCAGAATCTACAAAGAACTTAAACAAATGTACAAGAAAAAAACAAACAACCCCATCAAAAAGTGGGTGAAGGATATGAACAGACACTTCTCAAAAGAAGACATTTATGCAGCCAACATAATGAAAATGCTCATCATCACTGGTCATCAGAGAAATGCAAATCAAAACCACAATGAGATACCATCTCACACCAGTTAGAATGGTGATCATTAAAAAGTCAGGAAACGACAGATGCTGGAGAGGGTGTGGAGAAATAGGAACACTTTTACACTGTTGGTGGGAGTGTAAATTAGTTAAACCATTGTGGAAGACAGTGTGGCAATTCCTCAAGGATCTGGAACCAAAAATACCGTTTGACCCTGCAATCCCATTACTGGGTATATACCCAAAGATTATAAATCGTTTTACTATAAAGCACATGCACATGTATGTTTATTATGGCACTATACACAATAGCAAAGACTTGGAACCAACCCAAATGTCCATCAATGATAGACTGGATAAAGAAAATGTGGCACATATACACCATGGAATACTATGCAGCCATAAAAAAGGATGAGTTCATGTCCTCTAACACAAGAACAGAAAACCAAACACCTCATGTTCTCACTCATAAGTGGGAGTTGAACAATGAGAACATATGGACACAGGAGAGGAACATCACACACCTGGGCCTTTCGGTCAGGGCGGGGCTAGGGGAGGGATAGCATTAGGAGAAATACCTAATATAGATGATGTGTTTATGGGTGCAGCAAACCATGGCACGTGTATACCTATGTAACAAAACTATACATTCTGCACATGTACCACAGAACTTAAAGTATAATTTAAAAAAAAAAAGTCACCCACAACTCTACCTCAAAATAGGACACGTGAAAAACAACTTGTTTAAAAGCAATCAAAATTCTTATTTAATTAAAATAACCTGAAAGTTCTCAGGAATCACCTCCAATCTTAATTTATGGTATCCCAATGGGAGAGCCATACTCCCCAGGGATTCCCTAATGGAACTTCCTCTATAAAAGTGTCAATTCTAATGGATTACACCCTCAATCTTACTGTTTCACAAAATGAGAGAGGAGCTTTAAGAGCCTATGTTAAATTCCCAGCTGAAAACGGCTATTACTTTCTAGGCTGACTTGCAGAGCACTTCACAAATAGACTCTTAGGACTTCCAGTTTATTATTAAGAATAAGACAAAATTCCTGCTTTTTATTATAGTATATTTCATCAGCCCCATACTTTTATATGTACTTAGTAACATTTTGTGCAGTTCTCTACATAATTTACATCTTCCTCATTTATACAATTCCCTTTAATAATGTGATCCAGATTAATAGAGTCCTAAAGACTACACTGCAATGACTTAAAAAGATTTCGCTACATAATTTGAAGAAAGTCAAATTTTTTACACTTGCTCCTAAAGATAACTTAAGTCACAAAATGGGCAGCGTAGAGTGTGGTAAGCAGAATTATGGTTGCCCAAAGATATTCATGTCCTAATCCCTAGAACCTGTGATTAGTCACATGGCAAAGGAGACTGCAGATGTAATTAAAGTTAAGGACCTTGAGATGGGAAGATTAGCCAGAATTATCCAGGTGGAATCAATCTAATCACGAGTCCTTAAAAAGAGGAAAGAGGCACAGAAGAGTGGGTCAGAGAGAGGCAACATGAGAAGAATGTGACCCACCATTGCTGGTTTTGAAGATGGAGGAAGGAAACCATGAATGAACCAAGGAATATGGTGGCCTCCAGGAGCCAGAAAGGCAAGAAAACAGATTTTCCCCTAGAGCCTCCAAAAAGGAACACAGCCCTGCCAACACCTTGATTTTACTGCTATCAGATTTGTGTTAGACTTCTCACCTACAAAACTGTAAGATAATAAATTTATGTTGTTTAAGCCACTAAGTTTGTGTGAGTAGAAAATTAATACAAAGAGGACACCTAGCTTGTTTTCAGCAAAACAAACTGGTTAGAAGAGCATAGTCGAACCTGGCTCTAAGCTGAAATCACAACCACTTGTCAACTGTGTAAACTTTTATCAATTATTAACCTCCCTGTGCCTCAGTTTTCTCATCTGTAAAATGGGACTGATAATAAATTGTTATAAAATTGTTGAGGGACTAAATGAGTTAATTCATGTAAAGCACTTAAGACATTGCTTTACCATATGGTAGGCACTAAACACATATTAACCTCTGCTATTATTGACTTTAATCAATAATATTTTTACCTTCTTTTTTGGTCACGCACAAAAAAAAAAAAAAAAAAAAAGCACACGATCAAGTCTTCAAAATAGTCAAGGAAATGAACCCATCTAAAAAGAAACGTCTGGCCAGGCATGGTAGCTCATGACTGTAATCCAAACACTTTGGGAGGCCAAGGCGGACAATTACCTGAGGTCAGGAGTTTGAGACCAGCCCAGCTGACATAGTGAAACCCTGTTTCTACAAAAATTAGCTGGGTGTGGTGGTGCACGCCTGTAATCCCAGCTACTTGGGAGGCTGAGGCAGGAGAATCGCATGAGCCCAGAAGGAGGAGGTTGCAGTGGGCCGAGATCGCACCACTGCACTCCAGCTCGGGCCACAAGAGTGAAACACCGTCTCAAATAAATAAATAAATAAATAAAAGGTTTATACATATCTCTACAAGCAGTCTCCATAATGCTCCTAGCCCCAGTCAACTACCAAGCAGTTCTTCAACAGTAATTCCTAATAATACCAAAATCAGAGTGTCACCATGAACTCCACTAAGTAATGAATGCAAACTCCAGAAGCTGACAGATAAAGTGCCTATCAAAAAGTAAGGCCTATCATAGTAAGAATAATAGATGTAGCAAAATTAGCTTCCACTGAAATTTGCCGTAACTGGCATATTTCAGCTTATTTTATATTTATACAACACTCATTTGCAAAGCCTGCCCTGTCATTTCTTCATAAATAATTAAATTTTTTATTTCACTTGGCCACTGACTTGGCAACATTTACATAAATTAATATAACCAGGCTAAGCAGTAATGATTCACATTACAAAAAAGCAAAGATGTAACAACTGGTAATTTCCATAAAAGGCAGAGATAAAATACATATCAAAGGTACAAATATATTTTGTTTCATAATTCCACAGTCTACAACCCCTCAGAGCAGTGTTAAAACTCAAAAGCAACATTACATCAGAAAGAGGGAGAAAACAAAACCTTTCTAGCTCCAAGAAGAGGCTGGAGTACAAACTATTGTAAAGTATCATAATAAAAATAAATGACTGCAATTTTTTAAAACTTGGCTACTAATTAAACAAAGGAAAATCTATTATCAAATTCTATACTTTCCTGTAGTTAAAGTAATAAACTTGAAGATTCCAAGCCTAAATAATCCTAAAACAATTTTAAGTGGCATTTTAAGGTAACAAAATATGCCCCAACAATATATTAAGCTCTCAACAGAAACATTTCCAATTAGTTACACAAAATGTACTGATTGAATCCAAATTGTTTTTCTATTTTTTTCTACCTTTTCATTATTTCAAGCTCTACAGCACTAATAAGAACTATAAGAACTAATTTTTATCTGAAAAGACAATGATAATAAACATTACAATTTCGTTAAAAGGCAATGAAGATTTTGGCTGCCACAAGAAGGCACCTGCGAGGCATCCCACAAAAGACATCGAGTCTTCTTCCCCAACCCAGTTACAAAAGCAGAGAAACTCTCTGCAGAGGCCCAGAAGCTCTCCAAGCCCAGTTGAGCTGAACCCTCTGCAAAGGCAAGCCTAAGGCAATCCACAAGATTCCCCTAAATCTTTGCATCCAAAGTATACCCTCCTGCCCTCAACCTTAAACATAACCCCAAAATGGCTTTGTCTTATTCAATAGGATATTGGATATCTCCAAAGAAGAAAAGATAAGTTTGTAGATATTTCCTCAAAGTGTGTTACAGGTACGACTATGAGTGCACACGTGGATGCATGCACATTTAGAAGTGGAGAGGGCATAGGACAGAGGTCACACACTCAGAAGCTCCCAGGACCAGACACTGAATGCAATACATGAGATAAATAAGTAAAAGCTACTAGGAGTAGTAAAGATTATAGCACAATGGAAAGCATATGCTCTATCAAAAAGCATCCAAACTCAACTTTAGAAAAACAGTGCTGGTCGCCCGGGTGTGGTGGCTCACGCCTGTAATGCCAACACTTTGGGAGGTCAGGAGTTTGAGACCAGCCTGGCCAACATGGTGAAACCCTGTCTCTACTAAAAATACAAAAATTAGCTGGGCATGGTGGCAGGCACCTGTAATCCCAGCTTCTCTTGAGGCCAAGGCAGGAGAATCCCTTGAACCCAGGAGGCAGAGGTTGCAGAGAGCCAAAATCGTGCCACTACACTCCAGCCTGGGCAACAGAGCGAGACTCCGTCTCAAAAAAAAAGAAAGAAAGAAAGAAAGAAAAACAGTGCTGGTCAAACAAAACACAGATGCAGCTGGATTCAGCAGGCAGGCCAGGTTCAGCTGCCACTTTTCAACCCTGATAATGCAACAGCCCAATAAATCACTGTACATCTTATTTGCTCTGAAGGTTGCAAAGGGCTCATCACAGGTTCCAACACACCTAGCTCAGGCCCACCTAGCCCAGCCCAACCTAGCTCAGCCCCCAAAAAGCTCCTCCAGATATCTACCTAGGAACTAAGACATACTAAAAAGCTTAGTGGCTGAAGAATTAAATACTTACCACTTGAGCTTCCAGCAGTAGAATAGTGAGAGGTATCAAGGAATTTTCGAGGAGTAGGGAGGTTTGTAACATCAATCAGAGGAACAGAAGCATCTTTCACGAGGGAGCTGAACGGGAAAAGAAGCACTAGTTACCACTTTCTTCAAAACCAACTAAAGTCCTCCCACTACAGCCCCACCCTTACCACTTTTGTTTTTGTCATGAGCCCTCTTTACACTGGAACTGGATCTCCCCAGTATATACTATACTGGATCTCCCCAGTATATTTCCAATAAAGAGGTGACTGTCACAGACAGGGGTATAAAAATGTATTGTAAGGGTTCCAAGTACTTAAATTTTTATTTTGTCATTTCATTCAATGCTGTTTAAAAAATTAGTGTAGTGTATTCTGGATCAACTGGATAACCACCTTGTAATAACACTATGCCAGGCAATTTCACTGTCCTCCTTTGTATCTGTATTAAATATTAATTTATCAACAAAGAAAGATCAAATGACAACATGCCATGATACTGAATAAAGGTTTAACTAGTGTTTACTTGTGTTTTTCAGGCTATAGTTTTTGACATATGCCGGAAGTTTACTACATTCAGTTTTCTTTAAAAGAGACTCATAAATTTCATGACGTGGACAATCACAACAATTAAAATGATTTAAGGATCTCAAACAGGTTAATTCAGTATTTACCCATTTCACCTTTCCTAAGAAGGCCAAGCCCCTCATCTTAATGATTAACTTTAAATAAACTAATAAACTTTAAATAAACGCATAAATCAACTTCCTTCAAAATAAACACATTAATTTTAAATCATGAAAACTATAAAAAACAAAATTTCCAATTAATTCCCATCTCAAAATACCTGTTAAGTGAAAGAATGCAGGCTATGCCAAGCCAACTAAACCCTATGCCCTGCTCTCAAGAAATGGAATCATCTCGCACACTATCTACAACAGAAGAGCCCCTCGAAGCCAAATCCAAGGGTAGGGAAGTGGAAGCCATAATTCTCACTTTTTAGTACTGAAATACATCATCAGTAGCAGTGGCTAGAGCAGGCAAAGGGGAAGCAGAGAAGAGACCACGCCTATAGGAAAGATTTCTTCAAATGGAAGGAAGGAAGGAAGGATGTGTGCAATTGGGAACAACATCTGCCCCCACCACAGCAATATATCCCCATCTCCTTCACACACTCCTTTTGGAACAAATGTGCTAGGTATGTGTGTATTTATAATCCAATAAAAAACAAACATGTTTTTTCAGAGATCTTTGAAAAATAAAGTTTGTTAAGTGATAATTCGGGTTCAAGTGATAATTTCACACTGTGTTAAAGAGTGAAATTATCACATAAGGTTTTATTCTTTTCACTGAGTACAAATAATGTAGGAGCCACTGTCCTAGGCCTTGAGGATCACTATGACAGTCATTAACGTCTCCCTTTTGACTTGTTACAGGGAAACAGGGAATCATTACTCGAACAATTCTTCAGCATCCATTATGTGCTTGGCACTGTGCTCAGTGCTAAGAATGTGAGTATGACTAAGATATGAACTAAACCAAACAGCATATTTCCAATTGTTAAAATCACTCACAGGCTAATGTGAAAAGTGGAGTATAAGATATTAAAGTAACAGAAAGCATTTACCAGGAATTGAACTGGCATCCTCCCAACAACTCTTTTCTACCAATGTAAACCTGTAAGTTCCTAGCCTAAACTATCTTAAGAAAATCCAACAGTCCTCAAATCCAATAACTTTTCATAATGGTTTATCTATTTATAAAATAAATTAGATAATAGATTTGTCCATTCTTTCATGTTTTATGACTTCTTTTGTCTTCTCATTTTTTTCCTCTCAATGACGTCATCCTCTTTCACCTGCATTTTACTCACAATTACAAAACACTTCACAGGTCCCCCTAGGCCCTGGATACAGATGCCCAAAGACACAAAGAGCTCTTTCCACCATCTTTCCGTGCCACCCTAATGGTGTGCATAAATGTCCTGTTTGCTGCTTTCCAGAGCATCGACAATACCGAAAAGAGAGGCAAACACCTGGTTCTTATTAGACCTTGCTCCAAAGTCACTGTCTAGTGTCTTCATCAACTGTGATGACAAAGCATGGGCACATGAGCGAATTTGAAATCACTGATGATCACAGAGCTGGGAAAATTATTGGGAACCTCACAGTGTGAACAAGTTGTTGTGAGCAAGTGTGATCAGCCCCAGATTTGATGTCCAACTCAAAGATCTAGAAAAATCTAGAAAAATCACAGACTAATCTGCTCCCATCCCACCAGTTTGGTTTCATTGTACTGACTCAGCTCACATCATGGACCATGAAGAAGCAACACAAAAACACACAGGAGAGAAAATCCTGGGGTTCTTCATCTATGGATGTAATACATATTTACAAATAAAATGCTTCAATGGACAAATGAATAAAGTAAAATAAAAATGTTTTAATTGTAAAAAAAGACACAGGTTTATGGTACTGCTACAGAGTAAAAAAAACTTCAACTTTAAATGACAGGAAAAATATAATACATTGTCTAAATATTTAAATATTTCTAGAACAAAGTGGAGGAATTACTTTTAAAGTACAGATAAATTAAGGTATCAATCAGCAGGAAAATTCAATTATATAGCTGGAATACTGCCTGCCACACCTAATGATGAAACAGTTGTTACTATGTGTGTGCACACTGATATTTTTATATGTGTATTTATCATAGTACACACTTCTATGAACACAGATGTACATGCACATCACTCTAGATTAAATCCTACAATTATTTTCTCAGTTTTAACCTAAAAACATATTTCAGTTAAATTTAGGGTGATAAACAGCTTGCCATTTCAACTCTGAAAAATATAACCTGCTGATTTTATTATCAGAGCCAGAAGGGCCCTCAAACTCCATCAATAAACTTTTAGAAAGTCAATTTACTGCAAAACTATTTTCATACACTCATCTCTCTCTCTAAAATTTTCCCTTAAGCTTCAATTTTCTCCTTGGTGAGCACTAACCCAAAGGCAAGTAACTCTGGAAATGACTTTAGTTTTTCTCCTGCTGTTTTATGAAAGGACTTAGTCTCAAAAGTTCCAGAGAAAGGGGGCACACCCACTCACTTTGTGACTACAGACATGAATGAAGCTCAGCATAAGGTAGGTGCTATTGTAGAATATTGCATTAAGTAATATGGACCTCAGTTTCCATTTCACAACAGAAAAAAAGACCTCTTCTCACCACATATCAGAGATAAAGCTGAGAAGGGATTGATTAATTAATACCTTCAACGGGTTTTTAATCCCTCAGAGAAAGCATTTTTTGAAAACAAAAAATAAAATAAAAATTATAACGTTATTTTGGAAATACTGACAGTTATTTTTCATTTTAAATACATGATTACAAATTTTTATTTTAAATCCATTCAGAATCATTCATAGCTGAGATCAAAAGACAGCTGATGTACAGTAATCCCTGCTAGTATAAAATGGTCCCCCCAAAATTACCAATTATATATTGTGACTGAATGCATTTTGCCAATAGCAACATGGTAGAGGACAGGAAAAGTATACAACAAATTAAACCCAAAACAAGCAACAACCACTGCCACTGTAACCTCAAGGACTTCCTGGCCATTAACCAACATCCAACTAGTAAAGCTCTGCTTCTAAATGTTAGATTTCAAGATTTCATGATACGAAAACAGTTTTTTAAGAGGGGTTAGAAGTGCTGACAGCTTATTAAACATCTACTTTTTAATTATAACATATTTCTGTTCCTTCACTTCACAATAAATGGGTTCAACTATGTCCAAAATTTACAACTGCAACTCATTTGGCTAATTTTGTGAAACTAAAAACTGACAGAGGTGAGTTGAACTTTAAGTTGTAAATCGAATAACTGATATATTCACTTATATAGCCAGAACAGCTGGCACAGTACTTGTCAAAGAGCAAGTGCTCATAAAATTTTGTTAAATCAAACTGAGCTAAGAAATATCTGTCAAAGATAACGTGCCCTTAGTAAGACTTCACCAAATAATGAAACAGGAATGGCTGGCATAATAATTCTCAATAGTTCTAAGATCTGTTGGAACACTCAGAAAGAATAAGAATGATTTAAAGGGTATAAAAGTAAAAAAGAGCCATCGTTTCAAATGACAGACCAAGGGTGAAGACATGGTAACAGAAAATAAAGTGAGGCTAAAAATTTAAAATCTAAGCCAAGAGGGAAAAAAAAAAAAAACAAGAACTGAAAGATAAAAAGAAAACCAACATATGTAAACAGAAAAAAAATCTTTAAAAGACAAAATAGTTAGGGAATGAATACAATGCAGTGAAGAACATTCTTTACATGCCCAGAGACAAATATGGACACCAAATTTTCTCTTCCATGAGCTAGACGATGTCCCAGGATGGCTGAGGAAGCAAGGTTAAACCGAGTATTATCCAGGATCATGCAATAAATAAAAGAATTATTTTTAAACAACTTTTTACTAATTTTATCCGATTATAAAGGTGTAAATTCTTTCTTGAAAATACTTAAAAAAAAAATAATCCATTCACATCATTTTGGTATACTGCCTTCCAAAACATCTTACAGAAAGGAGCATCAAGGCCAAGCACAGTGGTATGCCAGTTACTTAGGAGGCTGAGGTACAAGGACTGCTTGAAAAAAAATTTAAAAATGAGTGTCTGTCCATCCACCCCCCACGTCACACAACACAAAAATGGCACGCATGCTCCTTTTTCAACATTCTTTGATCATCCTGCATAGATCTGAATTCTAGTTTTTCCCTTCAAGGGTATAATCTAAACATTTTCCCATTTCATTTTTAAAAATCTTCAAAAGGATCATCAGTAATTGTATTATTATTTTTAAAAAACATGCTCATGATGTACACAGGAAATAAAAGAATTTCTACCTCCCTATTCCCCACCTCACATTTCCATTTCTCACAAGTAATTCCTTTTATCAGTGTTTTGACATTATCTGTCTGACATTTTCTATACACATACAAATATTTATACCAATATATAAAGTATACATATTTAAGTTTCTATCCTTTCAATCTTTCACAAATAGGTTCATACTATCTATGCTATTTTTCAACTTGCTTTTGGGACCCAAAAATGCACCTTAGAAACCTTTCTATATCAGCACATAGAGATCATTATCACTGAAATTCTGTAATTACATGGTACCAATATACCATACTCCTCTTGATGAACATTTAAGCTGAATATTTTTGTTCTTCTTACCAACAATGTCACAATGAATATCTTGTTACATATATTTTTATGAACTGGTACTGTTTTTGTAGGATGTAGACCTAGAAACAAAATTCTCTGGACAAAGAATATGCAAATTTATTTTCCAAAAAGGCATATTGGTTATTCCACCATCAAGAGAAAGCTACGCATTTCCGCCATCTTTGCTATCATAACATGCTATCAATGTCTTTGATTTTGATCATCTTATGAACAAAAAACTGCATTTAATTTTTCAAATGTGTATTTCTCTGACTACTCATGATATTGAACAATCTTATATTTATTAGCCATTTGTATTTTTAATCTATGAACAGTCTATATCCCGCTTTACTGAGCTTACAAATATCTGCATGCTTTAGATATTAAAGCGTTATATGACATACATATATTTCCTCAGAGTATAGTTTATCCTTTGACTCTGTTTTCCTGAAGATAAGTTTTGGGTTTTTTAATGGTTAAACCATTTAATATATTTCTTTATGTCTTCTGATATGCTTGAAAAAGGCTCCTCCACACATATCCTCCTACACGTTTTCCTAATGCTAATACAGTGCTATGTGATTTTTAAATCTGGCTGAATCATTTGTACATAAGAGGTAGACACCTAAATTTATTTTCTTCAAATCAACAGTCAATTGTCTGAACACTATATATTAAATAGCCTTCATTACCCCCCAGCTGAACTATTGTTCAAAATACTAAAGTCTATAGATCCTGGGGTCTATTTCTCAACTCTATTTTGTCTCACCCATCTGATTTTCTACTTCATGTCTGCACTGTTTTCTTTAAAAAAATTTATTTTTGCATGTCTGTACTGTTTTGACTAAAACAGCTTTACAATATGCTTTGATATCACATAAGAAATGCCCCCCTCATAACCTCCCTTCACAATTCTTTTAAACAATTCTTACGCATGTATTCATCCATGTGAACTTTAGATTTCATTTGACAGTTTCAAAATTTTCAACTGGAACTGACATCTTCATGAGCTAAGAACAAGGACAGTCTCACCATTTATTTGTTTCATTTCCTCCAAGTAAAATTTTTATTATTTTTTGTATGTGAGCATGTACCTTTCTTTCATTTGTCAATTCTACTGCCTATCTTCTACTTCAAAAACATCTGGTCTTCTTTATACGTAAGTGCCTTCATGTGATTTCCTTTGTTTTCTCTTGCAGTAGAAATTTGTTGGGTGTTTGTCTTGGGTACCAAACATCTGAACAGTCCATCCCCACTGACTGCATCAAAGCAAAAAGAAGGCCCCACTTCCTACTATGGAAGCTGAAGGAGTCCAGGCATTACCCAGGCTCAGCAAACTGGATGCCTGAGTCCAGAAGTTTGAATCTTGACGAGATAAAGGAAAGATGCAGGGACATTTAGAGATCATTTACAGAGGAGTTTAAAATCCAGCTATTGTGGGCATGGTGCCAGCAAAAATAGCAACCCAAACAGACCCTTCCTGTGGCTTGTCTAAGACTGTGTGTGCTCAGCTGCTTAATCTCCGTTGGTTCCTACTGGGCTTTAGAGCCTGATTATACAGACTTCCCATAGATTCTGTGAACAACCTGATAACTTTCCAATAAATTCTTTTCCTGTTTTAGTTACCCAGACTGATTTCCTCTATTTGCAATCAAGAATCTTGGCATATAATGAAACGAATTTTTTTTCTCTCATCAGCAGAGGACCTTGAAGGACACAATGTTATTCTAGGACCTTCTGTATGTCATTTCACTTGAAGTTACAGCTTCATTTCACTTAAAGTCACAGTTTCCAAGTGCCTATTGAGGGCATTAAGTGAGGATTTACTGTGCAGGTAGATTCAGGGTTCAGCACTATCTGCAGTTTCAGGTACCTACTGTGGGTCTTGGAACATATCCCCTGCTGACAAAGGAGGGCTGCAGTACAATATCCTTTGTAATAGAGAATATTTTTGTCTTCTCTATTGATTTTTAAATATACATATCTAGATTAGTAAAAACAAAATTAAACATTTTCTCTAATTATTAAAGTCGAAAACAAAACTTCACACTCATCTTAAGCAAGAATTCAGCATTCCTTTCTCCTACCTATCCAAATTTCCTAGTCACTATTAACTGAGTAAAAAGGGATATAAATTCTGTTTACTGTTAGAGAGTACTCCTTGACTACATAGCCTTTTTTGTTTGTTTGTTTTTTGAGATGGAGTCTTGTTCTGTCACCCAGGCTGGAATGCAGTGGTGTGATCTCGGCTCACTGCAACTTTCACTTCCTGGGTTCAAGTGAGTCTCCTGCCACAGCCTCCTGAGTAGCTGGGACTACAGGCACGTACCACCATGCCTGGCTAACTTTTACACTTTCAGTAGAGATGGGGTTTTACCACGTTGACCAGGCTGGTCTCAAACTCCTGACCTCAAATGATCCTCCCACCTCGGCTTCCCAAAGTGCTGGGATTACAGGCGTGAGCCTCCACGCCCGGCTGACCTTTTTTTCCACAATGGTTTTTAGCTGATATTCTCAATCTTGTAAAAACATATTTGTCAGTTACTTACATATATATATACATGTACCTATTTAATGGTATGTGGTCCTCAAAGTTGTTTCAAACTACCTACAACTTTATTGTTCTCTGGTTGTACGTCTCACAGTTTATCTCTGAGAATTTTGCTCGGAAAAAGAATACTAATTTTTTTTATTATAAATTCATATCTGAGAATATCTCTTGGCCACCTATGCATATCAATGTCCCCTTGGCTGGCTAGAAAAGTCTTTGGTCCCAACTCTTCTCCATTCAACTTTATAGATTTTGTTCTATTGTCTTCTGGCATTTAGTATTCAGCAAATCCTGGTGAGCCTGATTTTTGCTCCTTTCTGTGTAACTGACCTGGTTTTAAGTGTATAAAAAGAAGACCAAATAATAGTGGTCTGAGTAAAACAAAGACTTCCTCTCACATTAAAGAGGCACCCCACCCAGGGCTAGAAAAGAAGTTCAAGGTGATCATGGAGTTTCAGATGTGGCTTCTATCCTCAAGGTCACCTTGTGTCTAGGACGGCTCGATGGCACCAATCTATGTCCCAGATAGAAAGTAAAGAAAGGCAAATGAAGGGTAAAAGAGTGAGCATACCAGTTTAATTGGTATCTTTAAAAAATTAATGACCTCCCCATTCAACAGCTTGCAAAATGAAGTCCCACTAAACACCCTCTAGCTATATGGGAAGATGGAAAATGCAGCCTTTTAGCTGGGCCTATAGCCACCAGGAACGAAATAAAGATTGTCATTAAAAATGAAGGGAAGAATGGACATTGGGTGGGCAAATAATTATCTCTATCACTTCAGATCACATAATATTTCTTCCTGGTATTTATAAAATTTGTTTTTGAAAATCATAAAAATTTCCAGATTATATCTAAGAGTAACTTTTTTTTATTCATTTTACCTTAAATTCTTTCAACTTGCAGACCAAGGTCTTGTTTTCCTGTTTAAGTAGGTTTTTTTATTTATACTCTAATTATTGCTTCTGATCCCCTCTGTCTGAGTTCCCTCCCACTGCCATAATAAAGTAACACAGACTGGATAGCTTAGACAACAGAAATTTACTTTCTCACAGTTCTGCAGGCTGGAAGTCTGTGATCAAGGTGTGGGCGTAGTTGGTTTCTTCTGAGACCTCTCTCCTTCGCTTGTAGGTGACCATCTTCTCCCTGTGTCTTCACATGGTCTTCCCTCCAAGTGTGTCAAATTTCCTTTTTATAAGGACATCAGTCCTACTGGATTAGAGCCCACACAAATGACCTCATTTCAACTTAGTCACTTTCTAAAAGACCCTATTTCCAAATACAGTCATAATCTGAGGTACCAGGGATTAGGGTTTCAATATATGAATTTTAGGGGGAACATAATTCAGCCCCAAACACTATCATTTTAGTGTGATTCTCTGGAACCCCTAAAATCACTGGATTGACCACTGTTCATCTTTCATATTTATCCTCTTCCTTTTGGCATCTTGTCTTTTTCCTCTTCATCAAGAAAAGTTTTTCCCTCCACATCAGTGATTCAGATCTTCTCTCTGAAGCTTTAAAGACTTAAATTTCTCTACTTCATTTTGGTTTCCTTACATTTTATTCATGTTTTAGTTAGCTCTGTTAGCATCTCTCCTCACTCTGTTCTTGTAGCTCCCGGTTACTGTTTTCATGGAAGCTATGCGCTTACTGTATACAACCACAAAATCTCAATAATGTTCAACAATAAGCATACATTTTGGTGGTTGGTTGATGCAGGCTAGGCAGGTCTGCTGATCTTCAGTCAGTTCCATGTGTCTCTTACCCTTCTCCTGGGACCGCCAGCAAGGCAATGGCAGTGGCACGAAAGGCCACACTCAACAGCATAAGCACGTTTGAAGCCCCTGCTTGTGTCATGTACCCTAATGATGGCAAAAGCCAAGGCCCCAACAAAAAGCGTAGGAAATACTCCTCTCCCACAAAAGTAGAAGGGAAATGAGTGATTATTCTGAATAATCTACTACATCGTGTTTCTTGTATTTTTTGAGAAACCTTGAGCTTAAGTCTCTTAAATGTTTCTTGCTTGCTTTACAGAAATTTTTTTAAAATAAATGTTCTTCCTCTGAGACCTCAAATAATGCTCATTTTCCCTTATAATACAGAATATTTTCACAGGACCATAGTGATTTTATTACTTAACCTTGTATGGGAAGAAATCTCTTCAGATCTGCTATTTATCAGCAGGCATTGTCGAAAGAATGCCTTAGCACTTCCCCTATTCACCACTTCACTCTCTGCTGAGGTACTGACAGATACCCTATTCAGAGCTAGTCTTGAAGTTATGTCTCAGGTACATATCAAATCTGTGTGCCTGGCAGAAGTTTTTCTAGTGCCTATCTGCTGAAAAGAGGTAGAAACCTCTCTTTCTCTGTCAGGATCTCTGATTAAACTGAAGCATCACAAGCAAATTTGGCGTTTTTTGTTCAAACAGGATAAGACTTGAAAGACTTCATTCCCAGCGTGCACTGCTTCCAGTGCTCTTCTTGTCTATATCTGAATGAAGAAGCATGAACATGTATATTTCAGTAGATAGTGCTGAAATGCCCTCTGAAAAGATCTGTCTATTCTAAAGGAATATTGGAAGGACATGTACTATGCACAGCTATCTAACATATGTTAAAAATTCCAATATTCTACCATCTTAAGATCTAGTCTTATTCCCTACCAGGCCTCTACTAACCTAATGAATTTCTTGAGACTACCCAGGCCATTAAATATAGGGCTATGCTACAACCAACCAAGGAATAAAAGTGTTCTCTCTGAACCTTTCCTAAACTATTCCAGAAAAAGGACAACCTAAAGCTGAACATAACCCTAAGTAATAAAGAATCTTATCATTCAGTCAATACATCTATATTTCTTTTTGTCTTTTTTTTTTTTAAGAGACCAGGTCTCCTCGCTGTTGCTCAGGCTAGAGTACAGTGGAGAAATCATAGCTCACTGAAGCTCAAACTCCTGGGCTCAAGCCATCCTGTCATCTCAGCCTCTGGAGTAGTTGAGATTACAGGTGCACACCACTATACCCAGCTAATTTTGGCCCTTTTTTTGTAGAGACAGAGTCTTGCTCTGTTGTCCATGCTGGTCTTGAACTCTTGGGCTCATGCAATCCTTCCACCTCAGCCTCTCATAGTGCTGGGATTACAAGCATAAGCCACTGCACCCAGCCAATATATCTACATTTCTTAATTAGGCTGACTTCACAGTCCAATTTAAGAATTTTTCTACTTCCTTCTGAGATGTACCAATGTCTCTGATTCAGAATATGAGACCCACAGTAAATGCTTCTTATATATCCTTACAGAAAAGGACCATAATAAATGTAGAATGAATGAATGAACAAACTTCAAATGTCAGCCTCTCAGAACATGGAGTATTTGCTATTATAAAACCATCTTCAAGTTTCAGAGACAGTCCATTAAAGGAAAAGTAAAATAAATTACAACAACATTCTGGGAAACAAAAAATATTCCTTCCAATCCTACACTGCCACAAGACACTTATAGCAAAGAGCCTCTTTAACCTGATTTTCCCTTTTTCCTTGTTACGCTGCACAACTCGGCTAGTCGATTTGATGTACAGGTGCCGGTGTAGTTCATCTATGAGAACCAAGTGAAGGTTCATCTTCTTGCTGTGAAGCTCTAGTCGAAGGTCACTCAGTCCTTCCACCTGGAGCAGGGGGCCCTCCAAAGACTCAACTGCTGACACCTGAAAAGAGAAAAAAATGAAAGACAATTAAGTACAACTTAATAACCTGGCAATATTATAAATAAGAAAGACGTCTTAAAAAGATACTAACAAAGGGAGCTTACGAGAACTTTATCAGCATATAAAAGACTTCGTAGAGTATAATGTGGCTAGGGGAGAGTTTTTCTCACCTTAGGTAATGATAAAACAATCTAGACAAAGATAAACATGAAAGCATACACACCACCATAGCAAACTATTTATGCCCACACACATCTGTCAATGGACACGTGTAAAAAGACCTCCCTATTTAAATGATACTATCATTCACATTCTCACAAGAATCCCATGTACTAATGGTTTAATCAACTTTTACTCAAAGTTAGCTTTTTTAAACTAAGGCTTTAAAAAAAAGCACACTATATAAATGTTTTAAAAAGAACTTGTTCTCACAGCAATCATGACTCTTTGTGCTTACCAAGAGTCGGGCTCTCTCTCACTCTTTTTCAAATACACATCACACAGAGGTAAATACATTTTTTTACATGAATGCTACAAATGGACAATAGTAGTCATCACCTCTCCTTGTCCTGATTCAGTTTGATAGAAGAAACGGGATATGAATGGTGACTGGAAGACAAAACATGAAGAGGAAGATACTCCCGGTGCAAAGTGGTTTGGGAGATTTTCAAGACAAAAGGACTGGATAAATCAAACTGGTATAGGAATGCCTACAATAAATGGAGAACATGAAGGATTCAGGGAACCTGGAGCAACCAACTCACTTTGAAACTCAAAGTGACATCTGCAAAGGAAAAAAAAAAAAAAGACAGCATGCATGATATGATCCCATTTATTCATGTACACAAAATTATGTTTGTTTTTATGTGTAAAGATCTTGTATCTTTTCAAAGAAAACTTAAAGAGCATACTCTAGGTGCTATTCTTTGAGAGAAAATAGAAATGACAGGATGAGCTTAGAGGGAAAGAACACAAGTGAGCTCCCTCAGGGATGAAATGCTATGCGTATTATTCCCTGCTTTGGTTATACTAAATATTCCTAATAGGTACAGATAAAGGAAATAACTAATAATACTTCAGGGTAAAACCCTTAAATGTAATTATGGATACAAACACGCTCCTAAAGAATGAACCATTTACACTAAAACAATAGGTAATTAAAGCCATGAAACACATTGGTGATCAAAAATGTTGATCACACAACTACAGCAGTCTAAGGAGTCATCTAGGAGTCTGTGGACAGTGAACAGAGAAACCTTTGTAGCTGCCAAATATAAACCAGCCTGAAATGGTAAAGAAAATGTGATGGCTTATCCACAACCACATCACTTGTTTTGTGATGTGCTATAATCAAATGTCAGTAGCAAATAAGTTTCCTTAAGTTAACCAAGAAAGAATCAAGGAATGGGAGAGTGACAAGCCCTGGGCCAGCTCTGCCCTCTGAAGCCTACCAGTTCATTTTCACGCTGACTTGCAACTGCCCCTGCTATGAGAGCCCCTGGGCCCAGAGCAAGCTGCCAGCAATTCCAAATGGAAAGGCAGCCTCACAAAATGACCACAGTGTCCCCAAGGAGGAAAAAACAACAACAAATTCATTTATACTTATGCCCTAAAATGGATTTTAACTCAGGTCTCTAGCAGAGAAAGAGGATGCATTAACTTTCAGTGACACTGAGATCCAGAAAATGAAAAATAATTTGGTAAACCACTGGCCCATCACGTAGCCTTATCCCTTAAGGTAATTAAATCCAGCTGAGATATTTAAGCTTAAAAACCACCCACTGCACATCCACACTTGATTTGTTTGTAGGAATGTACATGAAGATTTTTAACCCAAACAGTACATGTTCCAAATACAGAATTTTATGACAAGTGTCAACTTTCAAAGTCACCTAATTAAATTAAAAGTAAAAATTCAGGTAAAACACTTAGCGCAGTGCCTGGCAGCTCCTGAGTGCTCACTGAAATTATTTTTAACAGTACCTATTTATTCCATGAGTAAAGAAACCTCAGAGAGTATTCCCAACATGTTTTAGTGAAGCAATTTCAGTAAGTGTTCCTTCCTTCTTTGAGCCATTGTAACTGTTTAAATGACAAACTTTGAATATATTTCCTTGACCCAAAATACAAGATAACATAATAACATATATTATCAAAGGTAGTCTCAGAACTTCAAAAATTTGAAAACCTTACCACAAAAGAGGAAAGAGAATAGTCTCTTATTTCTATAAGAAAACACTGTGTTTTATTTTCTGGCCTTCACTTATTCATAGTCTATTTATAAAGCTATAATTATGGAAGCTGGACAAGGCCACTGTCTTCCCTTACTCTAACCATACTAAGTGGTACTCAAACCAATTTAAAGAAAATAGTTGTCAATGCAACATTTGCTCTCTAGAATATATGTTTAGAAACCTAACATTTATCTTTTTTTTGTTTTTTTGAGATGGAGTCTTGCCGTGTTGCCCAGGCTAGAGTGCAATGGCACAATCATGGCTCACTGCAACCTCCACCTCCTAAGTTCAAGCGATTCTCCTGCCTCAGCCTCCCGAGGAGCTGGGATTACAGATGCCTGCCCCCATGCCCAGCTAATTTTTTGTATCTTTAGTAAAGACAGAGTTTCACCATGTTGGCCAGGCTGGTCTCAAACTCCTGACCTTGTGATCCACCCACCTTGGCCTCTCAAAGTGCTGGGATTACAGGCATGAGCCACTGCGCCCAGCCCTAACATTAATCTTATCTGGTTTTAAGGAGTTTGAAACATAAATTTTACACACAAAGGAAAAGTTAGTGAGGCAGCAGTCAACCCAACAGACTACCGCTGACAGTCAATTCTGTTGTACTGGGGAGGTACGGTTTCCAGGTATTTACTAAGATTTGAGATTTACTAGAAATAATAAAATAATCGTCTGTATTTAGGAATGTGCATAATTAATGATAAAAAGATTGTTTTAATGTATGGGAAGTGGTCATTGTATAAATTACTGCACTTTTCCAAATGTAATGACTACAGAGTACATTTTAAATAACACACTGATGAAAGATTAACAGAAATTAAAGAGACACAGTTGGATTAATGCAGACAGCAACAAGACAGTCTCACAGGGTAGGTAGCTGCTATAAGAAATTATAAAAAAAAACAGGTTCATAAGTGTGACACGCAACACTGAATAATGTCACAAATATATATTAAAATTACAGGATAAAACATAGCAGATGAAAGACTAAACAGACAACATCCACAGTACAGTGAATTGGTAAATGCTGTCTATTCCCCTATTCACAAATCAAACACCACGCATTCATGTGCCAAATGATCTCTAATATGACCTCCTAGAATTATCAGGTATATCTCACAGTTTCTTTAAGTTAGATTACTATATAATAATGAGTCACCTAAATGTATTTAGAATTCTTCATATATATAGACAGATATAAGTATTTTTAAATGCATTTTGGAGGAAAACAGATATGACTACCAGTGAATTTTTTCACCGAACACCTATTACCATCTAACAGAATATTAATGTTCTAGTCAACACAGTTGGAAACTGCTCAGATAGACAATAGAAATCTGTTTTAGAATTGAAAATAAATATTTCCTTTAGGATTATGAAGATAAGCAAACCTTTTCCAAATGTTTTATCACATGATATTGAACAGGAAAGCATGTTTTGCTATTAGAAACCTATCCATGTATGAAAACAAAAATTCTAAAAAATGTTTCTATAACTAAAAGAATAGCTTGAACACACAGTTAAAATGTATATAATCAAGAATTCAAAAAAATTTGCCTGAGTTGAGATATAAGTCTACAACAAAGGAAAATCTTTGCAATTAGGAACCACCATACCCTTAAATTTTCTTTCCCAATGTCTATTTCTCAACTTCATTTTAGTGTAAAATACAGGAAATAATTATTTCCTAGTTAATGCTTGTCTTTAGCCAATCTTAATCACGCTTATCATGTAAAAAGATCTAGTTTTGTGTTCTGACATGAACCACTGTAAATATTTTGGAGGAACACTAAACTTGGCCATTCTCAGCAGCTGCTTTGTTGAAGAAATGTTGTAAAAGAAACTATTGATCTTTTTATTTTTCTAGTTGAGGTGAGTAAGACACACAAAGATAAACGACATCAGTAACTGTTTGTGAATAGAAATAAGGTTCAAGCCAAAAAAAGAAGAAAAACTGCTGTATAAACAAAAAACAAAACTGATAACTAAACCATCTGGTAGCTAACGAAAATGCTTATTTTGGCAACACTGTTCCCTAAGGAAAGCAAATGTATTGCCATTGTTGAATCCAAAACAAATATTTCTTTGAGGACTCTGAAAATTATATGGTTCTAAAATGTTTTATCACTTTTCACTAGGTCAGTAAATCTCCCTTAAGGAAGCATTTTTCTAGCAAGACAACATAACCATTCTGAAAATGTTGCCATGGTCTACCTTGGAGTTGCAGTAAAAAGATATAAAATTAGGCTACTCCAGAGAATTGATACCTTCCCCCTTCCTACATATACATAAGACACAGTTAAACAAACTTTTTGAGCAGTCTCAACTATTCAATAAATAAGAACATCACAAAATCTCTGTATGAACAAAAGAAACATGCCCTGAAGCCTAGATTTACTTAGTGCCCAGGTCACCTACCTGCCGCTGCCTGCCCCTGCACTGCTGGAAGGCAACCTCCAGCGGTTTTAGGGCCTGCTCCCCTAGAGGGCCCTCCACCCTCAAGTGTCCACCTTCAGGATCAGGGAGTCCTGGGTGGGCACAAGAAGCCTCCAGGTCTCCCAGTGAATGTGGAATGATTCCGACTCACGTCTAAGCAAGCAGCGAAGATATTTATCACACAGGAGCCAAGAATCCCAGATCATTCATTCACCAACTATTTCTACATTGCTACATCTTATTTTTCCCAAGTCGGAAATTTTTATCTTTATCAGACAGAAACTAGTAAAACAAACAATGAAGCTTAGAAAAAAAAAATGGTATCTATCATATTATTAACTTGAACCATAAGAAAATACTGTTTTTACAAGTTAAAAATGATCAAATATTGGTTATTTCCTATGGTCCAACCTAACAGCTGTAGCAGCAAGTCTGAAAGCTTTGATAGATCTGGGACATCACAGCACTCTTTGCAGTACATTGTAGCCTTTATAGAACTCTATGTATTTAACTGCATCAGATAAACTAGGAACAATTTTACTAGTAGAATATACCACAATATATATGTATGTGACATAAATGTGCAAGCAAGTGAACCCAAAATTCCCAACTGTTAATACAAACCTAATAACAGCATCCACGTAACTTTTGTTTACAGCATGACACCAGTAGACCGGACTTCATGTACAAATGGTGGTCGGGGGAATAAGAGTATGGGACGTGAAAGGGAAAATAAAGGGGATTCATTCAAGGGTCAGGGCTATTGTGAAGATTTCAGGGACTCTTGCGGGATCTATGGGAAAAACAACCTCTGATTTCAGTTTCACTGGAGAAGACTAAGATGATGTGTCTGGCTCCCTATGGCCAAGCTTTGCCACTGCCTGAAAGCTGCAGGGTTATTGACAGTCTGGTACTGAAGACAGAGTTCCAAAGACAGCTGCATCAGGAGCAAGGCCAAGTGCCTGGAGCAAGAATACTTTTTTCTCCTAACTCCTCAGCCTATATGCTAATCAACAGTGATCAAGTAAGACAATCAAAAATGCCCATTCTTAAATCACCCTGATAAAATAATATTGATCAGACCCATTCAGGTGCCCTATCTCCCTTAGGAAACCCAATACCTATAAAGCAGACTTGGTGTACTCTCACCATTAAAAAAAGGATGTTGTCTACCTCCCTTCTCCCTTCATTACTGCCAGGGTTACTGCATGTTTTTATTTAATAAACCTTCATCAGCTCAAATGAGGGGTTGTTATTAGTTGAGCTAACAGCAAATGATAATGCTCCAGAGAGATATCAGTGCTTGTTGGTGCATTAACAAAGAGAGGAGAAGGACTGAGGTCAAGCATATGTCAATGTAAATGAGGCGATATTAGGTACTAAGGGCTTAATGCAATAGACTGCCAGGGAGATAATGGAATTTACAGGATAAGGCAAATTAGATGAAGTTATTGATAAGTGAATGAAGGGAGGGGGGCCTGCAAGATAAAGTGCTGTCAAAGAAAAGGCCCTTTACTTGTGAATTTATTCTTTAAAGTATCTTCAGATCTATCTCGGAAAATAAAACTCGAAAACAGGATCAAATGTGACTTCTTCCTTCATGAAAGATTTCACCCTATTACTACCATGAAATGCGGACTTGTTCTAAAAGCATACCATTTTATTAAGCTATTCTTAAGCATTCTTCAGGGTTCCCTCTTTTGTTGTTAGTTTTTTGTTTTTCCCCCTTAAACATCAGTGCATTCTGCCACAAATAATTCCCATATTTTATTAAAGCGAAAGTAATCTTTTTTTTCCCCTCCTAAAGTAGCAACAGCCAAGTCTTCTAACATACCCTATCAGCCTGAGCCTCACAGAACGGCAGTATCTGAGAGATGAAAACTAAGAACTTTCTATTGAAAGAGACCTTTAAAGGTTTTCAAGACTGGGGTCCCACCCTAATTTCACAGATTAAAAAAAAGTCAGGCCTAGAATGGTATTTTTTTCTTAAGCTTGGCATTTCTCCCAAATTACAAAAATAATACCTACTCAACCAAGAAAACTTGAAAAACATAGAAAATTACAAAAGAAAAATATCATCATATTGTCACTCATCTGATGCAATAATATATAATATTTTAACCTAGTTCTTTCCAATCATTTTTCCATGCAAAGTGTTTGCAAAAATACTTGTTTTTAAACATGTTTTTTCCATTTGGCAATACACTGGGAGCATGTGCCTATCCCTAAACATTATATTTAGTATTTTCATACTAGTCCATGAGTATGACTATACAATGACTTAAACCAATTCCCCATATTTAAGTCATTGCTAATCTTTTTACTTTCATAGATCTTACTGTGATAAGTATCCTTGTATACATATTTGTAACACAAAACAGTTATAATTCTTAATTCTTTCTTTAAAATAAAATTCTAGAAGTAGATCTCAAGTCCTAAGCTATGCATAGTTCTAGGGGTTCTGATGCATAATTCCACATTGAGAGCCTTATTTCTTCTAAAAGGCCTTGTAACAGATCTGTTCACAATTACCTTCCTGAAGAAATTAAACTATACGTAACACGGTAAGAGAAAGATAATTGTAAACTGCTCATAGGAAAGCTTAGAAAAAAAACCTCTTTTGTTCCTAACCTCATGGTCCCTTCAATTCCCAGTTCCCATCAGTGCTCTGTAAGAGAGCATTAAAACCTAGGTTTCTACTACAAAATCCAATAGAAGAGACCACTAGAAAAGCCATTCTCTTTTAACAAGCGTCCTAAAGTCACTCACCATGTCATGTTATTTGTTACTCTGGGACAAGAAAAAGTTACAGAACAACTCTCTTTTTAAGAGTTGGCAAAGGAGGTCTCAGAATCACTTCAGGCTCGCACTTCAATCAAGACAATTTCGCCCACACTCTGCAAGAGCCCCAAATCCATTAGAAATGCTCAGCACTTACACAGCTCTTTACTAACGTGAACTATTAAAATCCCACAAAGGAATGATAGAGGAATATGGCGTTTTTCATTTCAAGAGCTAGGCAACCACAAGTAATTAGTATTGGGATGAATCTCAGAGAAAATAGACTTCTTTAACAAGCTCCTCCTATCTTGTCAAGCCAAGCAAAAGCTACTCATTAGCATTCTCAGACCATCATCAAGTTCAGACTGAAGTCCCCTATCAACAACATGGGTTGTCATCAGCTGCAATTTACACAAACATCTAGTTCCCATCTGGCCACAGACTGACCAATCAAAAATCTGTTCAAGAAAGGTCGTATGTGAGGTTGAAACCAGAAATATGATGGAGGATGGCAGCAAACGACTTAGGTATTATTCTCGACTTAGAGCATTCTTCCTGTACACTCAAGTGTGCAAACACAGTCACACTTGGTTTATCTGATTAAAACCGGTATGCATTAATGATGGTAGCACCAGAATAGAAATGCTGCTCAGTGTAAACAAGCCCAGACTCCTGCATTTTCTTTTTACCTGGCATGGGGAAATGACGACGATGATACCTACACCATTTTAAATTTTTATACTGCTTTATATCCTACAAAGCACTTTTCCTGTACTATATTTCACTTTTATTCTCATAACCATTCTATAAAGTAGACAGGTAAGTATCTGTTTATCTGTTCTACAGATAAGGATACTAAAACAGAGAGATAATGTAATTTATTTATCTAAGCTCAAGGAACTGGTAAGTTGTTGAATCAGGACTAGAATTAAGAACTTCTTGCTTTTAAATCCACTTTGTTTCCACTATGACACACTATACATAGTCACCACTTGTAAATTAATAAACATATTCTCTAATTTCAATCCATTAAATCCCTGCAGTAGGTCATATCAGGACCCACAGCAAAGATGCACAAATCAGAGCAACAAAATGACAGTTCTAAAGAGTGCAAGTCAGTCCAAACATGGAGAATCATCTCATTTAAAAACTAAGTGAGTTAACTACTAAATCATCTCATTTAACTACTAAACCGATTTGACCAAATAATCAGACTATAAAATCAGAATAAAAGCCAAATACTCATTAGCTGTATCCCAAAACTACAATAAAGTATGGCCACAAAGCAACTTCAAACAATAAACTTCTACATAAATGTGAGTATCACCATGTGATGTGTGTCTTACATAAATACTTGGTTTCCAACTACTTACCACTGTTGCTAAATGAAGACAAGGACAATAAGTTTTGCTGAATTCCACAGAACAAGCTATACCCTACACCAATAGTTCCAATGTTGCCTGCATATTGGCATTACCTGGAGAATGTCAATAACTGAAGTCAGTGGCCCACCCCTAGAGACTTTTATTTAACCGGTCTGGGATGTGACCTGAATTTAGAATTCTTGCAAGATCCCCTAATGTGCAGTGTGGGAATCACTGCCCCATAGCCAAGCAAGCCAAATGGAAATTGCTGAACCTCGTAGGCTTTAGTGCAATAAAACAGAATTTCCATTGGCTTTAAAAGAGGCAAATGAATAGCAGATAAAAAAGCAAAATTTAAAAAAAAAGGAAAACTAATACAATAACCAGGTGCCTATCAAACAATCTAGTTTCTAAAAACCCCAGCCTTCAAAAACAAATATAAATAAAAAGGGCCTTGAGCAGCATGAAAAACAGCTACCACAAACCCCTGCACTTCTACTCTATAAGAGAAAAATAAAACTGTCACAAACCTACTCACTTAATTGTAGATATAAAAAAACAAAATTACTCATTTTGTTTTCAGCTTTTCCTAAATCTTTTTGAAGGCAAGAGAAGAATGAAGGGGGGTCTCAAATGCGGCTAAAAGCAGCTACAGCTGACCACCCCTATTTAAATAGCAAACCACACTATCCCTACCCCAAATCCCAATACTCCCAGTCTCCCTGTCTTATTGTAGCTTTCTCCATAGTACTTAACATAATATGAGAGACACTATTTGTTCACCATCTGTCTCTTCCCACTAGCAAGTAATATCCTCCAAGGTTAAGGCCACCTTCACACATACACATACAAACAACAGAAGTTATCAACAATGGCATTATCACATGTTAAAGACCCAATCATTTGTCTCTTTATCAAAATATGTGCCAGATTCTTTCCTGATAAATTATTAGCTTAGAATATTGGCCTCAGTCTTTCAAGCTGCTCTTCTACACTAGGAACAGATGGGTTTTAGTAATGGCTATTTCATTATTGATCACTGATATATTTTTATCATGTTGTGGAAAATCCATACGGAATACTGGAACATTGTTTTACAGTCACTGAACCACTTTCAGGTTTAGTCCAATAAGCTCACTAGAATATTCCAGCTCCTGTTATCTACAGAGCTTTCACATCGATACTTTTCCCAGAGTAATAAGAAAAAACAGTTCTGTGAGATCTCAGAAACTTTCAAGCCAGATAAAAGGGATGTATGTATGTTTTGGCTCCCTTTTTTCTTGCTTGCACATTAATCATTTCTCAGTGGATGCATGATCACCCATTCCTTGCGCATAAAGAAGAGAAAATAAGATCAGTCTATTTGCTAATGACACAGCTTTACTGACACAAATAGAAGCAACCTCACTGGTCCACTGGTCCTGCTATCTAAGCACTCACAGAAACAACAGCTTAACACCAACTCTTCTAACACTAAAATGTTCTGACGACAAACATCTTCCAGTACTGATCTGGCTTTTATCTAGTGATGATACCCAGTGGATTAACATATTTACTTACCTAAAAGTAGATTTTACAAGCTCATCTTGGATACTTTACCAACAAATTACATTGCTCAGAATTATACAATCAATGGGTACCCTATGAACATATTTTTAATGTAAGCCGAGTAAGTAATTGATAACACATAATCTGAAATTTGTCCATGCCAAATCCTAGAAATGTAACACAGAATTGTTAGAGAAGACTAGAATTGCTTTCTGAGAAAAACCCTATCCACCCACAAGAGTTCCTTTACCTTTAAAAAAGGTGGGCTGGTTTTTCATTTAGGTACATCCATGTTAGGCCAAGAAGAAAAGGAATCAAAACTGCTTAATCCAACCCTACTTCAACTTTTACTAGCTCAAAAGAAGTCCACCTCAAAGGCAGTTTTTGAGATTATAACATGGAAGCAATCATCATATCATTTCCTACAATATCAGTAAAATTTATCGATTATAAATAACATTTCAAAAACTTTATACTGCATATACTTTATGTACACAGTTTAATATCTCACTTAATCCATTCGACAACCCTTGGAGATACATATTATTCTTAACTCCAGCTTTCAGCAAAGATAATTTACTAACCATAAGTCATCCAGCTACTAAGAGTCAAAGCTGGGATTCAAGCATCAGACGACCTAACCCAAATTAAGACCCATGCTGACATTCACAACCCACCATGTTATCCAATTCCAAAGGATCTTGTTAACTAAAAATACTACAAATATATTTATTTTATTACATAAGATCTTAGAAAACTATTCAATTAAATAGCTGCCCTAATTTCTTTATCCCAGATATGGCCACATTTACACAGTGTAAGTGAAATAATTTCATTACACCATTCTCTCAGCAAAGCACTCTGGGATCCTCTGGGAAGAAGGCAGATATATAAATATAAGTTGTTATTATAATTATCATAATAACCCTTATCTGACTATACAGCTATGGATTCTTTTTAAAAGGCATATAAATAAAGACAGACAAAATGATTAAGAGACATTCAAAATCTCTACAATCTCAGGAAGGCTTAGAAATGAAATTATTTTAGTCACAAGCCTTGTGACTGTCAGCTAAAGTGCTTCAAAACTATTTGCACTGGCTTGGTTTCCACTGATTGAATGCAATTATGAATTGACTTCTATGGGATGATAAATCAGAACTTGTGTAAGTGGTTTTCAAAGCTCATCTGTGCAATTTTAGTTTGATGCAGACTTCTACACACATTTTCCCTTAAAAAAAGTTTATGAAAATATTAACTATCATGAAATACCTTCCTGGTTGGCTCATGCCACTGGGAAGAAGCTGCTATTCTTATATTAATAATTCTTCCCAGAATTAATCACTCTTTGTACATTAGAACCAGCAGCTGGAGTGTTTTGAGTGATAATGAAACCTGTAACAAGGCATCTTCAGCCGTCTTTTCAAGACAATAAGGGAATTAAAATTTCAATTTAAATGCAGAGGTTTGAAACACGCTTCACTGGCAAAATTACTTCAATTAATGTGAGTGGAATACAAAGGACAGACTGCAGAAATGTGATGCTGCAACCAGAAATTATGTCATTAATGTGCTTGCATCAACCCAGCACAATGACTGCAAAGGTCTAATTTAAACCGTACATATCACAAAGCTACAGGCTACAATATTAATCAAGTCTCTGATTTCAATGTGACGGATACAGGCTTCTTGTTGGATCATTTTTAGCTTTTCATAAGCCAACAGCAGCTGTTTACCTTGAAGAAAGAAACAAAAGGCCAGACCTATTTGCAGACATTCCCTGTCATGACAATTTAATTATTTTATGCAATACTCGGTTATCATATCAAAAGAAGAAACAAATATCTCACCTAAAAGCCAAGCCTATAGCTACCAGACCAGTCTGATGGTGCAGTAGGAATAGCAGGAGCTGCCAAGAGCAATGGGTCACCATGGAGTTATTTACTCTGGATTTATTAATCTATTCTGAGTAGGGATTAAATTACTAAGCATCTGCATCTGCCTTAAAATAGAAATGCAAAATCTTCTGACAAACAAATCCAAGGAAATCAGGGGGTTTTGAAGGACTAGATTGTTTTGTCTTCACTTTCCTCTGATGTCTTTTAGCAAAGATTTCGATTTGGACCCTTGAGATGCCTTAGATTTTACTTCTAACAGTACATAACCATGGAGAAAGAAAATGTGATTGTTTTTCATGTGAAGTCCAATGAAAGAGCAATTATAGAGCTTACTACTCAATCTTATATACAAAAGACCAAGTTGAAGATATCTCCAACCTTTTAAGTGCACTTTAAATCCTACCTCCACGAAATTTTTGCATATTGGGATATACAAATCATTGTTTATTGGGATATGCCAACTCCTCAGAACATGCAAAGTTATAAAATGGTAATATCAGAAGTGGAGTTGTTGAAAGAAATAAGCTAACAAATGTAACATATTTCAAATAGTACCAGGACATAGTAAGTGCTCAATACATATTAGCTATTGTTATCATTGTCATTCATTTAATTACTACGAAAAGGGAAGGTTAGACACTAGAGAACCTTGCCATTAAGAAATAAATAAACAAATAAATAACCAGAGAAGAAAAAACAGAACAAAGCTCCCACAAAAGAAATACCTTTTTCTCTCTGTAGTGGTATTACAGTCTTCCACATAGTCACCCATTTAGCTAATGATTTGTGAACTCTGACTGTATGAGCTACACTATGCTGGGAACAGGGCAGACAAAAATAGGTAAGACACAACCACTATCCTCAATGACCTACCACACAAACAAAAGGAATTATATTAAAATGAAACATATGAGCTTATGGAAACATAAAGAAAAGCACCTAGCTATCTGAATATCTGGGACATTCAGAGAGTTGATGAAATTTGAGCCAGGTCTTAAAAAAGAAGTCATCACTTTCCAGGCAGACAGTATTGGGAATCAGTTCAGGGAAATACAAGGTCAATTAAAAAAGAAAAATACATCACATCCTTATGCACCAGCAACCAGTAACTAGAAACCTTAATAAATAAATAGCTACTGTTTTAAAAGACAACAACAAAAAAATGAAATACCCAGAAATAAATCTAACAAAATACATATGATACCTCTAAGGACTATATATATTGCTAAGCATTATCAAAGGACACAAATGAAGATTTTAATAAATGAAAGGAATATTAGGTTCACAGATAAGAACACAACATTGCAAAGATAATTCTCTTAAATTCAATCAATTAGCTATTGAAGGTTCAAGTGATTCTCCAGCCTCAGCCTCTGAGCTAGCTGGGATTACAGGCATGCACCACCACACCCATCTAATTTTGTATTTTTAGTAGAGATGGAGTTTCACCATGTTGGCCAGGATGGTGTCAATCTCCTGACCTCACGTGATCTGCCCACCTCAGCCTCCCAAAGTGCTGGGATTACAGGCGTGGGCCACCATGCCTGGCCACAAAGACAATTTTGAATAGCAAGATGAGAGAATCTCTTCACCTCCTATCAAGATGTATTATAAAGTTACAGGAGTTAAAACAGCATGGTTTGGGTGCAGGTACAAATAACACCATTAAAACAAAATAAAGAGCTCAGAAACAGATCCATGCATATGTGATAAGTTGCTGTGTGACCAAAATAGCATCATGAATCAGTAGAAAAAGGATTCAATAAACAGCCTGAGCCAACAGACTATATAGAAGAAAGATAAAATTAGATCCTCAGTTAATACCATATATAAAAATGGACTTTCGACGGGTTAAAGAAGAAAACATAGGAGATTCTCTTAGAACACTGGGATGGAAAAAAAATTTTCTTGCATCAAAAATCACATAACAGGCCGGGCAGAGTAGCTCACGGCTGTAATCCCAGCACTTTGGGAGGCCAAGGCAGGCAGATCACTTGAGGTCAGGAATTCCAGACCAGCCTGACCCAACATGGTGAAAACCCATCTCTACTAAAAATGCAAAAATTAGCCAGGTGTGGTGGCACACACCTGTAATCCCAGGTACTTGGGAGGCTGAGGCAGGAGACTCACTTGAACCTAGGAGGCAAAGGTTGTGGTGAGCTGAGATCACACCACTGCACTCCAGCCTGGAAAACAGAGTGAGCCTGTCTCAAAAAAAAAAAAAAAAAATCACATAACAAAAAATACTGAGAAATTGAGAAATTGTTTTGCATTACGATTTTTAATTTCTTTATAACAAAGACACTATAAACAAAGGAAAAAGACAAATCCCCAATTGGGAGAAGATATCTAACAGACAAGAAGAATTAATATCTAGAATATATAAACAACCAAACAGAAAACGAAACAAAACCTCCGGAAAATGTGTCTTACAAACTCACTCTTTTCTGGACATGACTGTTCTTCCTCCCTATACCACGCCCCCTGCCCCAACCAGATAGTTTTATTGATGATTATCATACCCAACCTGGCTCAATCTAGCTCCTAACCCTAGATTTCTGAATTATGAAAAAAAAAAAGATTATTTTCTTCTGTAAAGGTGGAAAGATGTAGACATAGCCTATGCCCCCTGTTTTCCCTCAATACCCAACCTCCTCCCTCACACATGAAGAGACCAGTCTTCAGCAGAACAATGAAGAGGGCATGCAGAGAAAACACACAGGTGACATTCCACATACATGCCTATTCCTTTGGCAGACTGGTTACATGAGTCAAACAATTATTTTTACTTAAGCTAGCTAGAGTTGAATTTCTGTAACTTACAACCAAGAATTTAAAGAAGTTATTTAATGAGTCTTGAGGAAAATATGTCAGAAAAAAAGGGACAGTATTCATTATTGATTAGCCCTTAAGTAAATAAATTAGCCCTTAAGAACAAAGACCGTAACACAAAAATCTGAAATCCTAATATGAACATAATTAACACAGAAATAAATTCTAACAACCTATTTTAATCTGTGGCACTTACTTAAAAGCAAGCCCACTCCAAAAAATCATGATTCAAATAGATGTATATTTGCTACACAAATGTATACTTGCTTATCTATTCTGATTGCTGAATCTTGAGAATATAGGACAAGTATGCATTCATAATGCATAAATCAACACTAAAGGTGAAAAGTAATTTTTTTCTATCAGACACCCTATAGTCATTATTATTAAAGAAGCTGCCACTTTGAATAAGATGCTGAAAATAACCAATTCTTTTGTCATTCCCAAGAGTCAATCTTTTTTTGTTGTTTATTGGGGTTCTTTTTGAGACAGAGTCTTGCTCTATCGCCCAGGCTGGAGTACAGTGACCTGATCATGACTCACTGCAGCCTTAAACTCCCAGCCAAGGGCCAACCATTATTAATCTCCTTCCACTGTGGAAATTGACCATTCAGTCTTATCACATAACCAGGTTTTAATATCTGATAGAATATCATGGCACTTCTCACTCCTTGGTTACCAAATTTCCTTTAAAAAGCTTCTTATGAAGGACTTTTAGCAAAATTCTTCTTGGAAGTCTGAATGAATTAGAACCACTTAGAGCATTTAATCTGTGTCCCTACCAATTCCCCTCAGTGTTTTTTCCAGTGTTAAAGCCAATCTAATTTGGTGAAACAAAGGTAAAGGACTTTCACCTACTGTGGGGAAGGAAAAAACAACAATTCAAATACAGCCCATCTGCTGCTCAGAGCTCCTATAGAGAGCTTCCTTAACCAACTCTGAATGAGATGGAAGTGGGACTGGGTGGGTAAAAGGGAAGGGAGAAAGAGCAGCCCTCTCTAAGAGCCACAGGCCTTGGGAAAGAGGATTATTAGGGAGCAAACTCTGTATTTCTACTTTTTATTCATCTTCTTGACGCTCAGCCACATGAACCACCAATTGCATCCTTCTGGGAACTTTCAGCAATTCAAAAAGGAGCACACACAATGGACTAAGATGGAGGCTAAAGGCTAGATTGTGGAGTACTCTTGGTCAATAAAGTTGCTTCCAGTATTAGTCTCCCAAAATTTTATTTCTTATCAATTTCAAGGAAAAGAACAAAGCCCTAATGTAAAAATTCCTTCAAAAAATGTGTGGAACACTAGTCTATAAATCTTCAGAAGTTCTGTCTCATGTAGATTTCATTGTTTAAAATGGGATTCATTAACTATCTTCCTCTGAAGCTAAAAAACACCTCTCATTACCATTCTAACCTGATTTAAGTACTGGTTTCTTACTATTATATTTCTTGCCATTGTTACAAAGACAGATAATACATAAATAATAATTACCTACCATTTCAAACACTGGAATTAGAGAAATACCCAGGCTTCACCTTCAAGGGCTCATGAATCCCAAGAGGGCAGTTTGTAATGTGCTACATGCATTACAGGATTCAGAGAGAATAAAAGAGAGTGCTTTTACATCTTAACAAAAATGACCCTTAGCACAGGCTGTTCTCTTACCAACATGTCAGTGGCACTGAGATAGTGCTTGCTGGCCATGCACTGTTCCAGCTTTTGAGGCACTTGCTTGATATTCTCAATTTCATCCAACAAGTTCAGGACATGCTTATGCTCAATTCCTTCAATCCACAGTTTCCGAAGCTCATCCCGTTTGCAGTGCAGCAGCATCTTGCATGAAAGCAGGTTCTCTTTTACCTACAATAAAACAGATTCGGTCTTGGGTCAGTCCAAAGTCTTGCCAGTCTAAACCTATAATCTGGTTAGTAGTCTTCACTGGTACTACTGTATGCAGCAGTTCCTAATTCCCACTGCCACTTATTCTCCTTGGTCTGCCTCCAAAATTCTAATCCTGGTTCTGACATAGACTCACTTGGGCACATCTCCACCTCTCTCTAATTTCACTCCCATGAAATGAGAAAACTACTCCCAACCTACCTTTGAGTGAATCTAGAAAACATTACTAAAGAGAAAGCACTCTGAAAATATGAAGTACCTCATAAATATTAATATATCTAAAAGGAGAATGATCAATGTGAGAGTCCATGCTATTATACCTTCCCCAATGCTTGCAAATTTCCTATCCAGCTGATAGGTCACTTGGTCCAAGCTTCTAGCTCTAGAACTCCAGCTAAAGTTTAAAACCAAGAAACAGAGTGCTCAACCTAACTAAAATAAAAGTAACCCCAGCTTCCAAAAGAAAGTAGGCACATCCAGAGATAATCTGAAAATAAAAGGACATACCAAGGCTTTTTTGCCTTGCATTCTGAATATTAGATATTAAATAAGACAATCTCCACCACCTGTAGATCTGCATAGTATAGTGACTAGCATAGGCAAAACATGACAAAATAAAAGGGAGAGGAGAAGAATGGAGGAGGTAGCTGTGATGCATGTGATAGGAATAAGTTTTTATTTGCTCCCCTAATTGAAAATTTTCCATTTTTTCAACATGGAAAAATTTTAAAAACCATGATCTTTCAAAATTCACAGAACTACTTTCATATATTTTTGATAGTCCTCACATGTATTTTTATTTAAATTTGAGTTTAATATTTCTTTACAGTTTTGTTTCTGGCTTCTGTTTGAGGTAAAATTTACCCATGAATGCATCTCAAGTGTACCACGTGGTAAGTTTTGGCAAATGCGCCCACCTGTATAATCCAAACCTTCATCAATACATGGGACATGTCCATCAGTGCAAAGAGTCTACCGTATTTTTGGTAACTGAAAATCTGTATTGTTCTTCTACAAGACTTGGTGTGGTGATGAAAATATTCACTGACACTATGCCTCCGGTGATTACAAAACTAAATTTCAACATTCATCCAACAAGTACGGAAAATATGAGGACAAAATGCTAAGATTAAAAGATTTCTTGAGAAAGCATCTAATCCCTTCCTACGACTTCATGACAACACCTAAATCATGCTTCTATGAAAGTCTCCCATGTTAAAAAAAAGTCTTTAATAAGAAGACCTTGTAACCTCTCTTAATAAGTATAGTAGGCCAGGCGCAGTGGCTCATGCCTGTAATCCCAGCACTTTGGGAGGCCGAGGCGGGTGGATCACGAGGTCAGGAGATCGAGACCATCCTGGCTAACACGGTGAAACCCTCTCTCTACTAAACAAAACACAGAAAATTAGCTGGGCATGGTGGCGGGTGCCTATAGTCCCAGCTACTTGGGAGGCTGAAGCAGAAGAATGGCATGAACCTGGGAGGCAGAGCTTGCAGTGAGCCGAGATCGTGCCACTGCACTCCAGCCTGGGCGACAGAGCAAGACTCCGTCTCAAAAAAAAATATACATATATATATATATAATAGACTGATTATTAATTTGGGGGGTCATAGACCTCTTTGTAAATCTGATGAAGATGATTCCAATTATTTCTACTCCTTCCTGCAATCCCACCAAGGTAATACCAAAGAAATTTTTTGAAGCATAAAGAGAGAACAGAGAGGAAGAACAGCAAATAAGGGATGGTAACAAAACTGTGGAAGCTAGCAAGAAGATGGACAGTAGGCAACTAAATTAGCAGGCCAGAGAAATCTGAAAACCTTAGCCTGGAGTAGGATTTACTAACACCAAAAAGGAGGCACCAAGTATACTAATGGCAGGGGTACTGAGTTAAAAGTTTCTATAGGAGTATTCTGAGCCCCAAATCCCCATCAAGCCACACACATGGGTAATTTCCTCCCCCACAGCATTGGCCAAATTGGGAGCAACTGAATTGGACAGGATCTAGACAAGGAAATGCCAGGCATGGTTGAGAGGGAGGCATGAGACACTGCACAGAAAACAGGAGGATGAAGTCAAAGTGGGACATATTAAACAGTACGATCCAAAGCCCCCATGGACCCTCGGTCTCCGTCAATAGTTAGGCTCCAAAACACTGACAGCTTGACTTTTCACCCCAACACAAGAGACATATGGCTTCTCCCTTGGGAAAGTGAACTGGTCCAAGTGAAGACCTATACAGATAGTGACATTTGAGGTTTCACTGAAGAAACTGCTGAGTCCCTACCCAATCATTATGGACAAGCTCCATAACATGTTCTGAGCTTCCAATCAGGTTTGTAGTGCCTGCCTCTTACACACAAATGGTTAGCCAAGGATCATCAGACATGCACAGAAAGCCTGCAGAATGGAATGGCAGGCATCAAAACAGAGAAAATTACTGAAGCAGGACACGGGGGAACAGAAACTATGCAGGAAACAGAATTTTGTTAAACTATAATTAACATCCTTAGGAAAAATAACAGAAGCTATTACATCAATTAACCAAGGACAGGACGATATAAACATTTTCAAGAAATGAAAAACAACTATTAGAAATTAAAATAGAAATTTTAAAACTCCAATAGAAAGGTTAGAAGGTATCCTTGAGGAAATCTCCAAACAGGAAAACACCAAAAAATGAGATAGGAGGTAAAACAAAGCAAGAGGATTGATCCAAAAGGTCCAACACTTACCAGATAGGAGTTCCAAGGAAGGAAAAGCGAAACAAATGGAGTAGAGAAAAATAGTTAAAAAATAATTAAATAATTTTTTTAAAAAACTGCCTGCTCAGTGCAGTGTCTTACTATAATCCTAGTACTTTGGGAGGCCAAGGTGGAGGGCTGCTGGAGCTCAGGAGTTCAAGACCAACCTTGGCAACACAGGGAGACACTGTCTCCACCATAAATTAAAAAATCAGCCGGGTATAGTGGCACATGCCTGTAGTCCCAACTATTCAAGAGGCTGAGTCAGTAGGATTACTGGAGCCCAGGAGGTTGAGACTGCAGAGAGGCATGATAGTGCCACTGCATCCAGCCTGGACAACAAAAGCAAGACTCCAGCTCTTTTGAAAAAAAAAAACAAAAAAGAAGAAGAAAGAAAAAAAAGGCCAGAACATGCCAAAACATGAGTTTTCAGATTGAAAAGGCACACCAAGTGCTCAAGAAAATGGAAGTCAAAAAGACCCAAGCCAAGACACACTATTCTGACATGTAAGAACACAAGGGATAAAGAGACAATCATAAAAGCTGTCAAAGAAAAAAAGGAAAAAACAGGACCTATACAAAGCCTTGTGAATCAGAATGACATCGGATTTCTCTCAGCAGCAACATTAAAAGCTAGAAGACAAAGGAATGATATACCTTCAAAATTTTAAGAGATAAGTATTTCCCAGAAGAACTATCAATCAAGTATGAGGAAAGAATAAAGATATTTTCAGGTTTGCAAGCTCTCAAAAACTCAATTTTATATGCACCATATCTCAGCAAACTACTGAAGAATGTGTTCCACCACTACAAGAGAAAACAGAAGAGAAGAAACAAGGGATCCAGGAAATACAATACAGAAGAAAGGCAACAGGACTATCCAATCAGTAACTCCAGGAAAACAACAACGCAATGGCACAAAACATAATCACAGTATGCTGTATGGCTTAGATGTACATATTAGTGTAGTTATAAAAAGGTAAGCACTGATCATCTATTTAACCAAAACTAGAATACAACTATATAGAGAGGATGAAGGAAGAGGATGTAGTGGGATGGGGAGAGATTGGGAAGGGGGCTAAGTCCTCATCTTCCATAGTTGGAAGTTAATATATAACATTCAAAATAAAAAACACAGCACAAGCATACTATTAGAAATAGAAATACCTAAAAAAGAAAAACTAAAAGAGTAAAAGTCAGCATCTCTGAGATGTTGGAACTGGGACCGGGGTAGGATGAGGTAGGAGAGTCCAGTCTTTTATCATCATTTGTGGCTTTATTTGACTTTTAAACATATCTCTCAGGCCGGGCACGGTGGCTCACGCCTGTAATCCCAGCACCTCGGGAGGCCGAGGCAAGCAGATCACGAGGTCAGGAGATCAAGACTATCCTGGCTAACACAGTGAAACCCCATCTCTACTAAAAATACAAAAATAAAATTAGCCAGGCATGGTGGCGGGCACCTGTAGTCCCAGCTACTCGGGAGGCTAAGGCAGGAGAATTGCATGAATCCAGGAGGCGGAGCTTGCAGTGAGCCGAGATCGGGCCACTGCACTCCAGCCTGGGCGACAGAGCGACACTCCGTCTCACAAAAAAATAAAATAAAATAAAATAAAACATATCTCTCAAAGCCATTCCTAAATTCCACTGGAGTTCTTAGTCTCTGAGTTAAGGACTCCAGCTATTAAATCATTCCATTTTAAATCTTAGTTCAAATCTGTTAGAATCTGATTTCTGATATCCTACTTATATCACCTTGCTACTATAGTTCTCAGCTTTTTCCTCTATGTGTAACGGTTACTATGGAAACAGTTAAAAATAAATCTTATGTTATACAACACCCAACTAGGCTCCTGATCAAGAGTCAGGGACAAACTTACAGGGTGTCAGTAAAGCTTGGCAAACTCCTATCTGATTGGAAAAAGACAATTGTGTCACTTCACACTAGGATATGTGCAATGTAATCAGCTCACTTCTCACTTTTGCTTACTACATGGAAGGAAAAGCGAAATAGAATTTGTGGGGGATAAAAAATTAGCATCAGGCTGTGTAGAAAATGACCACACCAAAATTCTCTAAACCGAGGTAACAAAGCTACAGACCAAAGAAACTACAGGAACTTTTAATACTAAATTGCCCTGAGCCTTCTGCTTTATGATTAGAAAGTCACAGTCATGAAAAATGTTATTTTAGAACTTGGGGGATAGGGTCAGTCAGCCACAAAAAGGAAGAAACAATGAAGAATCTCAAAAACATTATGGCAAGCAAAAAAAACTAGACACAAAAGAGGGAATAATGTACGAAGTTCCGGAATAGGGAAAACTAATCAGTAGTGCCAGAATTCAAATCAGCAGTTGCTTGGAGCAGGATGTGAGAGAGAACTGACCGCAAAAAGGCAGGAGAGAGCTCTGGGGTGATGGTAACACATTCAGTGATATATACCTTTGCCAAAACTCATTGCACTGCACTCTGAAAATATGGCATTTTACTGTACGTAAACTATACCTCAATAAAGATGGAAAATACAGCCACTGTGGAAAATAGTATGGAGTTTCCTCAAAAAATTAAAAAATAGAACTACCATATGATCCAACAATCTCACTACAGGGTCTATATCAAAAGGAATTGAAGTCAATATGTCAAAAAGATATCTGCACTCCCATGATCACTGCAGCGTAAGTGTCCATCAACAGACGAATGGATAAAGAAAATGTGGTATAAGCACAATGGAATACCATTCAGCATTTAAAAAGAAGGAAATCTGTTTGGGCATGGTGGCTCACACCTGTAATCCCACCACTTTGGGAGCCTGAGGTGGGTAGATCACTTGAGCCCAGGGGTTTGAAACCAGCCTGGGCAACCTGGTGAAAACCCATCTCCACAAAAAAGTATCTGTGGTCCCAGATAGCAGAGAGACTGAGGTGGGAGGATCGCCTGAGCTCAGTAAGTCGAGGCTACAGTGAGCCGACTGCACCATTTACTCCAGCCTGGACAACAGAGTGCGACCCTGTCTCAAAAATAAAAGGAACTCTTGTCATTTGCAACAACACATATGAACCTGGAGGACATTATGTTAAGTGAAATCAGCCAGACACAGAAAGATGAATATTGGCATTATCTCCCTTACATGTAGAATCTAAGAAAGTCAAACTCATAGAAGCATAAAGTAGAGCAGTAGTTACCAGGGGCTCAGGGTGAGAGGACGGGTTGAGAAGATGTTGGTCAAAGGATACAATACTTCAGTTAGACAAGAGAAGTAAGTTCAAGAAACCCATTGCACAACATGGTGACTACAGTTAATAACAATGTATTGTATGCCTGAAAATTGATGAAAAGGTAGATTCTAAGTATTCTCACCACAAATAACTGATAAGCATGTGAGGTGAAGTATATGTTAATTAGCTTGGTTTAGCCATTCCACAGTGTATACATATTTCAAAACATCATGCTCTCTACTACAAACATATGTAATTTTTATTTGTCAATTTTTAAAAATTAAAAAAAAAGGTTTTTTTAATAGGAACAGGGCTATACCCATCAATGAATAACATTCAAATGTTAGAAAAGTATCAAATTACACTGAAACATTTATTTCTCAAAACTCTGTTCTACTTTTATAAATGTGATGACAGTATTTTCATTTCATTCTATTTAATTTATAAGTATAATTAAGATTGAAAAATTATGTTACTCTGTTTCTTCCTAAAACAAATGGGTGAAAAGGTTGTTCAAACCATGATATCAAGTCAGAGACAAATTTCCTTTGCTTTCTCAGAGTTTTAGTAACTTCACAGTTGCTCATAATCACCTATTCAGCAATAGCTACAATTTCACAAAATCTGCAAGTCACCCTAACTAGAGGCTATTAGAAAAAGAGAAAAGAAAGAAAACAGGGCCCAAGAGGCTACTGTGAATAGAAATGTGAGATGATACAGACGGCAGAGAAGTTGAAATTTTTGCAGCCCTCTTTTGGAAAAGATAAAGGGGTGAGAAAAGCTAAGTGGGGCTTTGAATAAAACTGCCTTAGCATTTGTGAGAGGAAGACCAGAGATCTATATAGTGAGAGGGGCTTATGGACACAGGCCTGGGGAAGACCATAACTTTTAAGTCATAAAATCAGAAAAGTACTGAATTTGTCTGGGCGTGATCGCTCTCGCCTGTAATCCCAGAACTTTGGGAGGCCAAGTTGGGCAGATTACCTGAAGTCAGGAGTTCAAGACTAGCCTGGCCAACATGGTGAAACCCCATCTCTACTAAAAAATAGAAATATTAGCCAGGTGTGGTGGTGGGTACCTATAATCCTAGCTACTTGGGAGGGTGAGGCAGGAGAATCACTTGAACCCGGGAGGCGAAGGTTGCAGTAAGCCGAGATCATATCATTGCCCTCCAGCTTGGGCAACAGAGCGAGACTCTTTCCAAAAAAAAAAAAAAAATAGAAAAGAAAAGTACTGAATTTGGATCAAGGAAAAGATAAAGAAGGGAGGAAATGCCTCTGAGCATGCATATTATCTGTAATAGAATACAACAATGTGCAAACAACTCATTGAAACTACAGACTAGAAATATCCTAAAAAGTTATCTATGAGTCAAGGATAGTAAATGAAAATTAATGTGTCGACATCATTCTTAATTTTAAAAGTATAAAATACTGAGATGTCTTCTTTGTTTTTGTTGAATTTTGTTGGCGAAAGTAAATCTACATATAAGTACTATCATAGGTTTTCTCCTGCCGTAAGAGACCAACCCAATTTTTTCCATGGAGTCTTTTTTTTTTTTCTGGACTTTTAATGATACATTTTTATTATGTATTTTATTGAATTTTCTTTTTATTTATTTATTTATTTATTTTTTATTATTACACTTTAAGTTTTAGGGTACATGTGCACATTGTGCAGGTTAGTTAGAAAGCACCTGGAAAGAACGAACCTTGGAAATACCACTCATTGTTCTGTTTAAAAGCCTTTTAGAACTACAAATCATCTTTAAATTACCTTCAAACTTGTACTGTCTGTGCTTTCTTTCCCCGGGTTTTTTCAGCTGCCACTCTAAGTTCTGAAATTCTGAGAGGCTCCCCTCAACACTTTCCAATACCTTCCTTTACACAAATACACACACACCTGAACTTAATGGAAAGATCACCTCATGGTTCCAGCAACTGCATTAATGTGCTCTAGAGTGCTGCACGCATTTAAAATTATATCTCATTATTACCCACTGTTTAGCATGTCCATTTCTAGAAACCAAAGGCCTTCTTCCCTTTCTCATACAAGCAGCATCTTATATTTGGGCTGTAAATAACTTCCTAGCAAACCATGTTGTTCTACTAGGACATTTTTTTATATTAAGGTTATTCCTCGTTCTAATTCTACCTTTCAAGGTATAATCGCATTTAAAAGCCAGAATTATTTTAGGTATCTACCAAATAATGAATGTTTCATTACTCAATGATTAAGCCCTAACAACTTCACTTGAATAATCGTGTACCCTTATTTCTCATTATAGGCAAAAAAAATGAGATTCAGAGCTTGATCTAGCACCAATAGGGTGGTCAAAATTGGGATGAAATGTTAAGTGTTTGTGTGCACATCTCAACAAAGCCAAGTATCTCCCTTCAACCTACCCTGTTCCAGTGATAAGCATTAGACTACTTTGTAACTTTAAAGAAATCTGAGGTCATCTCATTCACCTAGTACACCACAGAGAAACATACCAATTCATTTGGCCCAACTCCCCAATTTGTATCAACTCGTATCCATTTCTTTTGGTGCTGCTGCTACAATAAGCCCATCAGTTGTTATTATGAGAGACACTGGCAGAACCTATGGAACTGGAGGTTTACCAATGCAATAACATCTCATTTTGAGCAATTGTACAATGCATTCAAAAGTAATAGAACTGCCCAGTTATTTTGCTTATTGTCCACATTACTTGACCTGATCAATTGTACATGGTATCAAGGCTGAGCCTATGAGCCTTCTGTTGAGACCTCGTCTCTATAAAAAATTTTTTTAAATTAGCTAGGCATGGTTGTGAGTGCCTGTAATACCACCTACTCAAGAGGCTGAGGCAGGAGGATCCCTTGAGCCCAGGAGTTTGAGGCTGCAGTGAGCTATGATGGCACCACTGCACTCCAACCTGGACAACAGAGTGAAACCCTATCTCTAAAATAAATCAATAATTAATTTTTTTAAAAAAGCTTGGACCATCAGGGAAGAAAGTTAAATCCATCTGTCAGCTCACTTTTATCCTCAAAAACATAGAATCTACCAATATAATGTAAATCAATATATGAAAGTAATGTCAAAAAATGAGACATGTAGGCCAGGCACAGCGGCTCACGCCTATAATCCCAGCACTTTAGGAGACCAAGGCAGGAGGATCACTTGAGGCCAGGAGTTTGAGACCATCCTGGGTAACATAGGGAGACCCAGTCTCTGCAAAAAAATCAAATATTAGCCAGGCATGGTGGAATGTACCTATGGTCCCAACTACTCAGGAGGCTAAGGCAAGAGGATCACCTGAGTGTGGGAGGTCGAGGCTATGGCGATTCATGATAGTGCTACTGCACTCCAGCCCGGGTGATGGAGAGAGACCCTCTCTCAAATGGCAAGCATAAACAGTTCTGTGGTCTCAAGCTTTAAAAGGTGACAATGCACAAATATGAACATCTTCATCTGCCTTGGTCTCCAATGAAATCTATTCCCAGCACAGCAGCTAGAGTGGGCCTTTTAAGATGTTAGCCACATCATGATTCCTCAGGGATCTAGAACTAGAAATACCATTTGACCAGCCATCCCATTACTGGGTATCTACCCAAAGGATTATAAATCATGCTGCTATAAAGACACATGCACACGTATGTTTATTGCGGCACTATTCACAATAGCAAAGACTTGGAACCAACCCAAATGCCCAACAATGATAGTCTGGATTAAGAAAATGTGGCACATCTATACCAGGGAATACTATGCAGCCATAAAAAATGATGAGTTCATGTCCTTTGTAGGGACATGGATGAAGCTGGAAACCATCATTCTCAGCAAACTATCGCAAGGACAAAAAACCAAACACCACATGTTCTCACTCATAGGTGGGAATTGAACAATGAGAACACATGGACACAGGAAGGGGAACATCACACACTGGGGACTGTTGTGGGGTGGGGGGAGTGGGGAGGGATAGCATTAGGATATATACCTAATGCTAAATGACGAGTTAATGGGTGCAGCACACCAACATGGCACATGTATACATATGTAACAAACCTGCACGTTGTGCACATGTACCCTAAAACTTAAAGTATAATAATAGTAAAAAAAAGATGTTAGCCACATCATGTTATTCCTGTGCTCAAAGCATTACAATCATTTCTCCCATTATACCGATAGTTAAAATCAATGTCTTTCCAGTGACCTACAAGACCCTACGTGACTTCCCTACACCCACCCACCACACCACATGCCCTAGCTCTCTCATCTCTCTCCTGCCACTCTCCCCATGCCTCATTTTGCTTCAGCCTCATCAACCACCTTGCTGCTGCTCCAAACCTCCAATCATGCCCCTGACTTGGGATCTGGGCACCTGCTTCCTTTCTTCCTGGAATGCTCTTCCTGACACTCTTCCTAACCTCCTTCAGGTGTTGGCTCATATGGGCCCTCAGTGAAGCCCTTTCTGGCCAACCCAGCTAAAACAGCAAGTCCCTAGTCTCCCCTCCCTGGTGAGTGGGTGGGGGTGTGTGTAGCACTTCTTACCATCTGCTATACCACACTTTACTTATATATTCACTTATAGTCTGTAGTCTGTCTCCCCTGATTAGAATTTAACTCCACAAGGACAGAAATGTTTATGTTTTCTTCACTTCTACACCTGAAAATCTAGAACAATCCTCAGCACAAAGCAGACACTCGATACATAGAGACTACATAAATGTTGTTCAACGTTATCTATTTGTTCGTTTTCTATCCTCTCATTTGCACATAAGCTCCCTGAGGACAGGAACTGGTGTTTCCCATTTGTGCAGCCCTAGCACCTAAAACACAATCAGCAACATAGCGGGCACTCAACAGATATTTGCTGCATGAATCCTTATTCTTTTGGCAGAAAATAGAAAGAAAATTTCAACTCAGATCTACACATTCTCAACATTTTGCTTGGCTCTGAGATAACGTAGCCCAATCGTTACTGAATCATCCATGTTTTCACTTTAAAAAAAATACACACCTATATTTCATATATAATCCAAAGTGTAATTAAAAGCCAAAAATGACAGGAAAAGATTAGTGAGAAAACATCAGTGTTTCCTTGGTGACAAGAAATGGACTGTCATGGTACAAAATTGTCAAAAACAAATTCATTTTCATTCTCCCCCCTTTTATTTTCCCATTAATCAATTATTAAAGGCTCTTTTGAAAAGAGCTCTGACCCTTTATTTCTCTACCCAATATTGAAGCTAATTCATAACCCAGAATAATATGACATTTACTTTCGTGACAATTATCAGATATAATAAAGTTTTCATTGTTATTTTCTTTTGCTCAAAACTCTGGCATACTGAAAATGAGGATGGTAAGAAACGTGGCTACTAAAACAAATGTGAAATGATCAAGACAAGGCTCTTTTTCAATATCAGGCGAACATTCTTTGTTAGCGGCTAAGATGTTATCGACTCAGAATGATGGGAAGCAAAGCAGAAATCACTGCTGGTGCTTCCCATGCCCATGAGATTAGGACAAAGTCTTTTCAGTCAACCAGACTAATCAGAAAATACAAATACCATGAGGTCCTTCACCTTTGCTGTTATTACCTGAGGCAAAGCCAGAAGGTCAGCAGCTCTATACATTCATTGACCCCTCTTGAGCTTAGTATATTGGGTCAAAATGGACTACAGTTTACTTTAAATCTAGAGCAAGTGATCTATAACTTTAACTAGTTTCACAGATAAATCCATAGGATGAACTCAGCACTTGTAAAGGCAAAGAATTATAGTATTCCTTTCAAAAATGCCCAGTTATAGCCAGGCGTGGTGGCGCATGCCTGTAATCCCAGCTACTCGGGAGGCTGAGGCAGGAGAATCGCTTGAACCCGGGAGGCGGAGGCTGCAGTGAGCTTAGATCGCGCCATTGCACTCCAGCCTGGGCAACAAGAATTAAACTCCGTCTCAAAAAAAAAAAAATGCCCAGTTAATTTTAAAATATAAAGAGGTCAACACATGGCTTCCAAAAAGGTTAAGAGCATACTGATTCTGGAACTAAACTCTTAGAAGCTGAAAGTCATATATCATCAGTATTTGTAGAAGCATAATTTATGTATCTGCTTACAAAATCATAATATAAGTCTAATGGACAGAAAACAAAACATGAAGATGCCATATGCACAGCTGTTACTGGGCAGATACAGGCCAGCCAGTCCCCTAACCAATCTCATAGCACAGGGCAGTGAATTTTAAACCATAGTCTATGCATCACTCAGTCCCACAGTGGTGGGGGGAACCAAGTATGATGCTTTGGACCTCTCACCCCAAAACCAAAGAAGAGGAGAGCACTGCCTCTCTTAATGACTGACATGCTGGTATTCTGCAAAATATCACATTAAAAAAAAAAGTTTCTGCTGCTTTAAAAATGCCTGAAAATCAGCAACAACGGCTTTAGAATCTGGGAGATTAGAGTTTAAATTCTAAATTCATTGAGATGATTGGACATAATCATCCCTTGCAAAGAATCAGTGTTCAATAAGTGGTGGCAATTATTGTTATTTATCACAGAGTAGTACTAAATGGTATTAAAGGAGTGATCTCAAAAATACAGCTAAAAACCACATAACTATAATGTTATACTACATAACCCTTATTTGATCAGTTCATCCTTTGGCCAATTATGAAAATACTCCTTACAAACCCATTTTATCCTTTAGGTACTAAAGGCATAGACCCAAGAACCAAGAGTTTTCTCAAGGACCTACAGCAAAAGGAAGAAAGTAGGGGAGAAAGGAGGGGTAGGAGAAGAGAGAGACAGGGAGAAAGAACGTGGGGGAAGGAAGAAAGGAAGGAAGAGAAAAAGAGAGAAAAATAACAAATAAAAGAAAAACTGTTCCAAAACATGAAAACTACAAAATAAAACTTAATACACATTAGTCACAATTAAAGCATGATATTCAAGAATTTTGGTTTTTTGCCAGGCATGGTGGGTCACACCTATAATCCCAGCACTTTGGGAGACTCAGGCAGGAGGATTGCTTGAGCCCAGGAATTCAAGGCTTCAGTGATGCACCACTGCATTCCAGCCTAGGCAACAGAGCAAGGCTCCAACTCTAAAAAAAAAAAAAAGAAAAAAATTGTTCTCATAAACATTTCATTTTATGTTTAAATAATTTGTAGGTTAAATTTTCTTCACTTCACAAAAAATACCAAGAATGCACAATAAATGCAGGCAAGTCACAACCAACTTCAATGTAGGAGACATTCTCGCTTCTGTGGTTTGGATTCAGATAAAAGGGTATTCGACTGGCTGCCCTCCAATTCATGTGAGTGTCAATAGGTCAGCCACTAAGATTCAGAATAGGCATTGAATCAACAGTCAGAATATTATGCTTTATTGTTTAGATGTGTGAAATACAAGAATAACTGCTAGAATGAGAATGGAGAATACAAGGGCCAGTATGCCTTCTGGTTTGTTAGGGATGGATCGTAAGACACAAGCAAATGGAGGCCATCTTGCTTGTCTCATTCCACACTGCAGTGAGAAATAATGGCAGAACCAAGGATAAGACACAGGGGAGGGGAGAAATCAGCCGAGGATGCCTTCTGTGATCTTTCCCAACCAGCCTTTCCAGACACCTGCAGAACTCCTGAAAAGTGGCATTTTGAATCACTTTGTTAAGGACCATTAGCCACTACCATGGCTCCTCTCCAAGCTGCAACACCTATAGTGATGGGAAGTGCTGCCACCATCAGACCAGAAAGGAGGAATACCTGCTTTATTTTATTTCGGGAGTTAGTGATGCGCTCTGTGATGCTCTGGTATGTGCGAATGGCTGTCGTCAATTCTGTGTAGTGCTGTACAATCAATTCATCCAGGTCACGGTCACATTTCTCGTAGGCTTCTTCAAGGCGACCCTTTTCATTTTCCCTGTCTTCGACATCGTCACTAGTAGACAGAGTCCTGGTGAAGGCAGAGAGTATATCAAGCTAAGTAAAACTTGAAAGTAAAATGCAAAAGAAAGGTGAAGCAGAAAGTAAAATGCAAAAGGAAGGTGAAGCACATTCATCTTATTAACTAGGAAATGAAATAAGTTACAAACAGAAAACACAAAACTTCCTTCACAGTAAATTTCAATAGCCCATCTAAGTGGATTTGTAGTTGCCTATCCAAGGGGCCCTTCTCTTCTGTCATTGGCATTAGAACTGATTTTAATCAGACAGCAGGCAGGCATGAACTGTTCAAGAGACTGGGTAACTCTTGATTTGAGTGAACTGTTCCATTCTCCTTATCAGTGACAAGTCTGATCAATGAGACAAAACTAAGGAAGTACTAGGAACAATTTTCTGCAAGAATAGTAACAAGAAAAGGTGCCTTTCCCAACCCTAGGTATCACTGTACAAAGATAAGATACTTAAGACACTTCAGCCATGTTACAACCATGGAAGGAAAAACAAGGAGGAATGCCAAGCTACCACTATGTCCTTGGCCACCAAAGCAGCCAGCCCTGCAGCTGCCTTACTTCAGGACTTCTTGTTAGGGGAGATAATAAATATCCATTGTTTAAGTCACTTTCAGTTGGTCTTTTTCATACATAGCTGAAAGCACAGTAACTGATACAATTACTTATACACTGAGGAACCACCTTCCGAAAAGCTCATTTGAATGACCTGAATTTGGTATGGAGCCCCCAGCAGTCTGGAAATAAGGTCATATTAATTCTAAAATCTCTTACAACAGCAGTCATCTAAGCTATCCTACAGGACGGTTCCCGCATTTACTAGTCTTCGAACAGCACTAACAAGATTGATATGAATCAACAATAACCAGGGAATGAGATAGATATACTTATTAAAAATATTTCAATAACTTCGTTTGATACATGGACCACAGATCTTTGTTTCCCCCACTATCTTTCTTGGATAATTTTTTTTTAATTTAGTATTATAATCAGTAACAAAGGAACCTTTTCCTCTTATCTGTTGGCTGTGGTAATTTAGAGTTTCATTAAATTCCCTCAGATTTGTCAGCTTATACATTCAGCCTAGTTTATTTCATTTATCTTTTTTAATTTAGGGAGGGGGATATTTTAGGTTCTCAATGATGGATGCCATCAATTATAAGTCCATCATTAGAACTGCTTTCAGAGATGGTCTGTCAGCAAATTAATCACATATCCACTTCTAGATATTTGCAAGCAAAATACTGTACAATAGTCTGCTCTGAACTGTCATTTAGAGCAAAGGATCTTAATTCATGAGCCACACAGTATATAAAACTTCTTTTCCAATTTATAGGGAAATTCAGGCCAGTCTTTGACTTCAATCTAACCTCCAAAAAGAATTTTACAATTCTTTTTGTTAGGTGTTAGGAATGCCAAAAGATCAGCTATATCATGAATACGGGTAGGGGGATGGCAGGAACAAAGGCAATGAAGGGAAGGGCAAAAGCCACTCAGGACAGCGTGGGATGCTCAGGAAAGGAACACTACTGGGAACCACAAGACTTGATTTAAAGCCTTTACATGAGAGATCCTGTTTCCTCATCTGTAAACTGGTGACCCTAAACCAGACTACTTCCAAGGTTTCTTGCAGGTAGAGAATACCACCCAAGTGTTTGACTATTAAAGTAAATCAGAGTGGAGAATGTAAACGAAACTGGGCTTCAAAGATAGAGCTACCAAGATTACTTGCAATATTTGGGTACAGAGCAGCTTAGCATGTATCATGTCTTCTTGTTGTTTTAATGATACACAACTTTGCTCTTTAAATCTGAAAACTTCCAGACTGTTAATCTAAAGTAAAGCACAATCAGAAAATGCCTTCAATTTATCAACTGTCCCAAAGGTAAGGGTTCCTAGATGTTTAACTCTATTATTTCCCCTTGTAACAGCAGTCACAGAATTGTCAAAGCTACACTAGATCGGTTTGCCATCTTTACAAGGCTTTTCATGATTTCCGCTCCACTACCATTTGTGGAAAAAATATGCCAAACATTTCACATTGTTTACCTTAACTAGTTAGAATTACCATTAAGGAAAATGTCAGGCCCAGAGAGAACACCTTTTCTGGCATCAGCTGTCACTGTTAACACATTACTGGATCATTAGGAGTTATTTAGGGAATAGAAAGGGTTACTAAAATGAAGATTAGAGAGGAAATTGGGCCTACTGGGGGTTCTGCCTCCTATTTTCCTTTTTCAAGAAAATATTTATGTAAGAAATACCCTGTGCCAGCTTTGCCCCATATTTAAAATGTATCCTCTTGATGTAAACTAGGATGAATATTTTGTCTTTAGTGAAAAATATTTACATTATAGAACTCAGAGTGCAAAACCATTAAAGCTTTTTTTTTTTAATTAGAGAAAAGGAAGGCAGCAAGGATAATAAAAATAATAATAGCCCCTAATATTTAGAGAGGCTTACTAGCTGCCAGGAGCCAGCTGTGTTGCACATTTTATAGAATGTATGTTTAATCCTCATAACAGGCCTTTGGAGTAGGTCCTATTATTATTCCCTCCCCTCTTTTTACAGATGAAACAGCTGAGATTTAAAGACGTTGAATTAATTTACACCACCTCACACAATGAAGGTTAGGAATAGTACGGGGATTTAAAACTCAGGTTGGTCTGCTTTCAGATTGCACTCCTAACAGCTACAGAGTGGGGTCTCTTCAGGCAGAGTAAAGCTGCCTGGGTTAGAATTGTGGCTCCACCCTACTGACTACTCATGACCTTAGTAATGGCATCTCATTTTGCTCATCTATAAAGTGAAAATACTAAGATACCTTCCACATAGGGTTGTTAGTGAGAATTAAATGAGATCAAACAAGGCCTGGTATGTCACTAGCACTCAACAAATGTTGGTTGTTGTCGTTAGCTATTATTGTTCCAGTAATAACAGTAGTAATGGCAGCAGCAAAGACAGTAGCGTTTTTCCATAACATAATAAAAAGTACACCCTCTGAAGACAAAAGTTAAAATCCCACCGCCCCCAAATACTAGATCACTTAACTCTGGGCATTAGGTTTAAACTCTCTGATTGTCACCTTATTCCTCCTTAATGTCAAGAATGGTGAAGGCTGAGATTTTATTCTACTCGAAAGCTAAGAGGTTAGCCACAGTTTCACAGGTGCTGGCAGAAGACACAAAACTCCTAGAGCTCCTCAAGTCCAAAAGACTTGATCACACTCACAGCACAGCAAGCGGCGTAAGCGCAGCATGTTCACATCAGTTCCCCTTGCCCCCAAGTCCCACAAGGGTTAGGCAGATGGGCCCAAAGAGAAGCCTGCCCACATAGGCAGCTCCTGGAGAAGAACTCCGAGCTCCGAAAACCGAATCTAAGCTCAGAGACTGGACTGGAAACACATCTGCCCCTTGCTCTGGAGTGAGAGACCATCTCTATCTTCCAACGCTGTTTGCTAAACAAACATCCTTGGCAAAATAACCTAAAACTTAGGGCAATCAGTGCTTGGCTCACAAGAACTTCAGAAACACAAGAGCCCTGAGGAGAATGGTCTCCCAACAATAATAAAATCTAAGTCATTGGGTTCCTTCAAGGATTGAATGCATGATGCCAAGCAATGGTAGGCGGTGAACATTTATTTCCAAGTTCTGTTTTCTTTTCTGCAATATGAGACCAGAAATACAATGTCTCAGACAATAAATGTTTGTCTGAGATAAATATTCAATAAAAATTAATAAATGATAGACCATAAAAGCATGAAAGAGGCCAGGCGCAGTGGTTCATACCTGTAATCCCAGCATTTTGGGAGGCCGGGGCGGGCAGATCACAAGGTCAGGAGTTCGAGACCAGCCTGGCCAATATGGTGAAACCCTGTCTCTACTAAAAATATAAAAAATTAGCCAGGCGCAATGGCCCGTGCCTGTTGTCCCAGTTATTCGGGAGGCTGAGGCAAGAGAATCACTTGAACCCAGGAGGCGGAGGTTGCAGTGAGCCGAGATCGTGCCACTGCACTTCAGCCTGGGCAACAGAGAGAGACTCCATCTCAAAAAAAAAAAAAAAAGCAAAGCATGAAAGAGCTGACTAATTCCAGGGAGAAAGTTCTCACACATGCTAGCAAATCCCAGCAAATTTCAGTGTGGGATTATCACTAGTCCCTTAACCTGAACAGATAGCAGTGCAGAAGACAACACTTGTCATTGAGCTCACCCCACCAGCCAGGTCATGAACCTCTCTTCAGCCTTCTAAGCCTCTGTGTAATGCAGAGCTCTACCAGCTGACAAAGCAATTCACTGCAATTTTGAACAGCTTTACTTATTATAAAGCCTTCCATTAAAATAAAATAAAATCAGCCTCTTTCTAATTTCTACCCATTGATCCTAGTCTCATCTTTTTCTGTAACACAAAAAAATGTCTATTCCTTCTTCCATAAAATTTCCCTTTAAATGGTAAAGGACTTTCAATAGTTCTTTCTTGGGTTAAACACCTCCAGTTTCTTCAACTGTTTCTTCCACACCATGACTTCCAGCAGCCCACCATCTTTTTTGCTTTCATCTGAAGTCCCCTCAAAAACAGGTAACACTCACATAGAACTTACTATGTGCCAGGCATTAATCTAAGTGGCTTACACATAATAATTAATTTATTGCAAAAACATCCTTATGAGGTAGGTACCTGTATTAATCCATTTTCATGCTGCCGATAAAAACATACCCAAGACTGGGCAATTTACAAAAGAAAGAGGTTTACTGGACTTACAATTCCACATGGCTGGGGAGGCCTCATAATCATGGCAGAAGGTGAAAGGCACATCTCACGTGGCAGCAGACAAGAGAATAGAGCTTGTGCAGGGACTACCCTGTCTAAAACCATCAGATCTGGTGAAACTCATTCACTATCACGAGAACAGTGCAGCGCAGGAGAGACCCACCCCCATAATTCAATCACCTCCTACTGAGTTGCTCCCACGACACGCGGGAATTGTGGGAGTTAAAATTCAAGATGAGATGTGGATGGGGACACAGCCAAACCATATCAGTACCATACTTATCCCTCTTTGTAGAGATAAAGAGATGGAGTTTTTTATTCAAGGCACAGTCTTTAAGGAGCAGAGTCTGACCTCAAACCTGGGCCATATGGCTCTTAATGGCTTCACTAACCTGCCTCTCAGATGTGCTGAGAAGTGAATACAACATACTTCCAAACAGAAAGAGGTTTTATATCCCACAACATGAACACTATCTTTCTAATAATATAGCCTAAAACTACATTCCATTTTTAAAAATATAGTCCAAAAATTATCCAAGATCCCTTTGACAGTAAGTGCTGACAAGTCAACTCTCACTCATCCTCCACTTGTGAAATTTTAAAACTAAATGCAGAAATTTACATGCATCCCTGTGTTCTACATGTTTGGAAAGGAAGGTGAAAGTGAGACACAGGATAAAAACTACTGAGCATCTATAATACACCAGGCAATACAGTGGTTATTTTGCATACCTAATCTAAGACAATCCTCAAAGCAGTCTAGTATAATAAAATATTATCACCAGCCTTTTTACAGATAAGGAATCAGAGGCTCACAGAGGTAAAGTAAAATATACACATGCACATAGTTAATATCAGAGTTGAAATTAAAGCTAAGTATATTTGACTCCAAAATCCATGCTCTTTCTACTATACATGTTACAAAATCCTATCTTTCCTGCCTTCAACTCCTGAGCTGCAGGACACATACTCTCATCAAGCCACAGTTCATATGTAAAGAGAACAGCAGACAGTTAGGGATGGAAAGAGAGCACCAAGCAGCTTTTTTAGTAATAACAGTCTTGAATCTGGGCAAGATTTAAAAGCATGAGCTAAATAAAAGACATGATCAAAGGACAAATGGCATAAAGTTGCCAACCCAAGATGTATTCAAGTTATTGAATCACTCTAGATTTTTTTTTCCATTCCTATTCTCAAAATGATTATGACTTATAAATTATTGTCAAGTTCATGGAGGAACATAAAAGAATAAACTAGATTCCAGTTAAGCTGGTCACAAAGACATTTCTGGATCATTAAGAATTTTTCATTAAGACAGCTCTGATATTTTGCATGATGAATTACATCTTAACCATGACTAATTAATTCCCAGGAAGGAATTTATTTACCTAAAGGGCTAAAAGGACCACGGTACACATGTAAAGCTACTGTTAACAACATCTAGTAGGAACAAATATGTTATTAAGTTCTAGTGGATTCACAACCATGAGCTCCAAGTGAGTCCCATAAACAAGCATTAAAACCCAGGGTAAATAACTGGAGATCTAAAACTGAATTTGTCTGTTTCCCATTTTCATACTAGCCTCTGTATTTCAGTGTAGACGATCAAATGTTTTGAAAGGAAAATAATCAGTCACCATCACTGGTTCCTTCTGTGGAGCAATTTTGCTTTCACTTTGGTCTTAATAGAGTAATGGAGTCCGGACAGGAGAAAATACATAAAAGTCAGTATTGTTCTTAAAGACAAAAGAAAGATCAAATAAAGGAAAAAGCACACCTGTGAAAATAAGGTCAGTCACCAAAAGTGATTCATCACTCAAGTGGAATAAAAGGATGCAAAAAGAAAAACCCAAATCTAGAATACTACCATTAGGAATACACCAAGAAAGTCTCTTACTACCTCATCAACTATATCAAACAAGAGCCATCCACATACACATTAAAGGAACACAGGCTCTGGAATTTTAAAACACCCAGATTCAAACGGAGCTCTGCAACTTTCAAGTTGCTTGACCTTTGGTAAGTGACTTAACTTTTCTGGGTCTGTTTTTTTCTTTGTAAAACAGGTAAGACAATAAGAATACCCGCCTTGCCAGGATATTGTTAGGACTGGAGAAATGTGTGAATGTGCTTTGAAAATATAAAGTGTGACGGAAGTGTTGTCTGATATATTATTGGGAACAAAATAAATAATCTATGAATCACAACATTGTTAGCCCAAATCCCCTAAAGCCTATCCCTTTCTAAAGTTCCTGAGGATATTTATTTCTGAACTGAGATCAGACCTTTTCTCTATATTCTTACAGTGCCTGGTACATTAAGTGCTTAGTAAAAGCTAAGTAATGAGCAGCAGTGCGATGCAGGATCTAGAGAGGTCATGGAGGACAGTTCCCAGCCTTAAGAAACAATTGCAACTAAATTGTCTCACATGAAATGCATGCTCAAAAATCTGTAGAAAAGAACAAATAGTTGCTCGTGACCCTATTTAATTCACTTATTCATTCAACAAATATTCACTAAGTATCTATTACTTACCAGGCACAGTTCTAAGGGCCTAGAGATACATAACAGCAATGAACAAAACCAATCCCTCCCTCATGAAGCTTATGTTCTAGTGAGGGGAGCTGGGAGGTAACAGCTACGCAAAAGCCAAGACAGGCAAGGAGGAAGGAGGCTACTTCACATAAGGAGGCCAGGGAGGGCCTCTCGGATAAAGATGGCATTTGAATACAGCTTACTAGAAAGTGAGAGAGAAAGGGCACTATCTGGGAAGCTGATTCCAGAGAGAACAGACCCTGAAACAGGGTGTGTTTAGCCTGCTCAAGGAACATGGAATGGCAAGGAGGTCAATGTGGCTTTAGAGACTTGAGAAAGAGTGACAGTGACAGGAAATGAATCAAGGAGAAAACTGGGAGCCAGACCAGGCCCAACTTTGTGAGCTTTTACTCTGAGTGTTCTATGAAACTACTCGGGGAAGAGCACCCAGCCAAAGCCTGATAACCTTTCAACCAGTATTTAATTGTGAAACTGAGTAACAATATCTACATTCAAGTTTCATTTTAATTATATCCCACCTCTTCCCAAAAAAGATGTGAGATGGCTTGTGCAAGAATATAAACAATAAAAAGTAAAATACAAATGAGAAAGTGGGACTAAAGAGATGCAGGGCTAAACACCACCAAATAAATGTAAAAGACAACTATGCAGATCATATGGGCAAGCAAAGTTAATATGAAGTGAGCCCCCAAACTAAATCTGAGCTTCCTAGCAGCCCAGGCAAAAGGAGACACATCACATGATATAATTCTCATTCTCAAAAAATATGGACTCCAGTTCCTTTAAGGAAGCAAATTTTGAACTAGTCCTAAATTCTAAAAGAAATCTTTCACTTAAAAAACATGGAAGACCTAATATAGTAAAAGATGTCCTTAACAATCTTCTGAAAACAGACAAAGTCACAAATCTTACATGGCCATTTCTTGTAAGTTCCTTCAAGAACATAACATTAAAACTCAATTCAGGCCTAGAGATTTTGAAAGATCTGAATACAGCCCAGGTACAAAGTTTTCCAACAATTCATTTTAATTTAAGTCTAGAATTTCAGGAACTTACAGGACTAAATAGATCAAATTATGTTTTATTAATTTTAATATAAGCCAGAAAAGCATGCAGTAAGATTGACAAACAATTGTGAAAAATTAACAGCTTGACCAGGGCTCTTGCCCGAGCCTCAAGACTATCTGTAGGTGATGAGAGATTCTCACTCTAGAAGCAGTTTAGGATATTTTATCAAAATAATAAGAGTGCCCAGGGTACCACCTGTTACAAATTGAACTGTGTCCCTCCCAAATTCAAATGTTGAATCTCTGACTCTCACTGTTACTGTATTTGGATACACAGCCTACAAAGAAGGTAATAAAGGTTAAGTGAGGTTATAAGGGTGGGCCTTAATCCAAAAGGACTGATGTGCTTAGAAGAAAGGAAAAGGAAGGAGAAGCCCTCTCCACACATTTACACAGCAAAGGCCATGTGACAGCAGAGCAAGGGAGCCATTTACAAGCAGAGTGAGAGGCTTCTCTAGAAACCAGCCCTGGTAGGTTGATCTTGAACTTGTAGCCTCCAGAACTGTGAGAAAATACATTTCTATTGCTTTAGTCACCTAGTATTTGGTGTTTTGTTATGGCAGCCCAAGCAGACTAATATACCAAACTTTAAAACACAGGCAGTGTCATTTTGGTTGGTTAATTTTTCAAGATAAATGTTATCAGTCACTCTCCTTAGTCAGAAGCAACACAGATTCTTGGCAAATCCACAAGAATTAGCTGCCTAATACAGCCCCAGATAACTAAACTAATTAACTGGCTATAAGAAATATTTAATGTAATACACCTGAATTTTGGCGACACCTGCAGAATAGTTAGCATTAAGTCATGCTTTCTGAAAACAGTTAATCGGCTTAATTGTCTACTAAAGACATTCCTTGTTGGCATCCAGTGACTTCTCCTCCAGGAATAATAAAGATGAACAAAACAATGAATGGAAATCCCTTCAAGCAACTCAGAAAAACTAATTACAAGTAGAGCTTCACATATCCAAAAATCACTTATCAGGAAGCAACAGCTCTACAGAGCACAATCTACAATAAGAATCAAATCTCAGTGACCCCTCTTAAAAGTACTCAAAATGGGCCCCTAAGTGGATAAACTATGTCACCGAATCCCTGCCTTTTCTACTCATCAAGCACCTGAACCACCCAATCCGTGCTACCTTCTCTCTTGTTGGGACAATTCCAGTGAATTTTTTTTTTTTTTTAGACAGAGTCTAGCTCTGTCACTCAGGCTGGAGTGCAGTGGCGCGATCTTGGCCCCAGTGAAATTTCTTAAACTACATAATGGAAAGAGTACTAGATAGAGAAGGGGTTATCCTGATTTAGTTACAAAATATTCAAACACATTATCATAAGGCAAAAACTAAGCATAAACTCTCAACAAATGCTGAAGAGTTCACTAGTTTCAGAACCTCACTCCGAGATGGAAAAAAAGGTAATTATTAGCTTACTGATCTTTCCAGAACATAATATTCCTGTTGCTACTCATCCCGATGCAAGAAAAAAAGAGTCTAGAGCTGATGTGATTCTTTACAACATAAATCCTGTTTTCTTTCCCAAACTGCTTTTAACCAGAAGACATTAGATTAAGTTATTATATCTATTCAGCCCTAATTTCACAGTATGACAGTCAGTTTCTCTTTGCCTTTAAAATACTAAAGGGCCAATCTGAGAAATGGCTGACAGTACCATATACCTATTATGTCATCAGGGAAACAAAAGCCTGTCCTAAGTATGAATAGAGTGAAAGTACAAACTGAAGAGGAAAAGAGATAGTTAAGAATATAAGCACTAAAGAAACAAGTTAAGAAATAAGTTTTCCAAGCCTATTATTCTAAGCAGAACATTTTGTATATGACAAATAGTCTATAAATGCTTCCAGTGAATTATGAAAAGAAGAGACCCTCATCATAATTCTGAGTTACTCAGAATTATGAGTTTAATGTGTAAAAAATTACACATTAAAGAAATGTCCAAGATGTGTATCACTATATAATCACATAAGATACGGCTTCCCTCAAAGCATAACCAAATCTACATTACACTTTTAAATCGCATTTTATTATATTCAATTATACATTGTGATTGCTTATTTCTTAATTATGTCTTATTAGAGCACACAAACTACAAGATAATCCCATCCCAATTGATAGCAATTCACAATGACAAGTCCCTCTGAAAAAGTTTTCTGATGCATAAAAACAACATCCCCTAACAATACAAAGAGATGTATTTAGTATCAAGTGACAGTAAACAATTTTTGCTTTAAAGTCAATTGAAAATTCATTGGTGTCTTGCTTCAGACAGCACTTAGGGCCAATTACTACACCCAACACATACAGTTTTTCAAGAGTTCAATTAACTCAGTTATAGAACACTTCTGGGGACCAAAAGCTATAAATCTCTTAGGCAACAAAGGTCATTATCTAATATTAAGTAAAATCACCCCACTAAGGCATAAAACTGAGCCCAAGGTTGACAAAGTCAACTTAAAATCTACCCCCTACTCTTACTTCACCCAACTCTACCTCTTTTTCTACTTCTTTTGCAGCCCCACATCCTTCTCCAAGCATTGTCCACAGTGATCTTCTTTTCTGGTGAGTTCCTCAGAAACAATGTTTTACAAAAAATTAAGAGGTGTTATGTGGTCAAATTTTGGAAATTCTGGGTTATACAAATTGAAGCAGATTTCTTAAAGGCAGAAATCAGGGACACTTTAATATGTTATTGTTAAAGTGTCTAGGGGAGAGGGAAGAGGACATAAAGAATATATAGCACTTCTGTAATATACTAATCTATTAAAACATCAATCAATCAACCTGTTTCCCACCATCTTCCCTCCCCCCAACATATACATATGTAAACACACACACACATATAAATTTTTATGGAATTTTCAACCATGTACAAAAATTAAAAGATCTGTCAAATAGGCCAGGCACGGTGGCTCATGTAATCCCAGCACTTTGGGAGGCCAAGGCAGGCAGATTGCTTGAGGCCAGGAGTTTGAGACCAGCCTGGCCAACATGGTGAAACTCCCTGTCTACAAAAAATACAAAAACTAGCTGGGCATGGTGGCACACACCTGTAGTCCTCGCTACTCCGGAGGCTGAGGCACAAGAATTGCTTGAGCTTGGGAGGCAGAGGATGAAGTGAGCTGAGATCACACCACTGCACTCCAGCTTGGGTGACAGAGTGAGACCCTGTCTCAAAAAAAAAAAAAAAAAAAAAAAAAGAATGCTTTTTTAAAAAACATATCTATATAATGTTTATCTCAGAAAAAAAAATTTTAACAATTACAATTGGCTTCTTGTATCTCTTTTAATTAATGCAAAATATTTGTACATATTTATGGCACACATGTGATTTTGTAATATTCACAGACTGTGTAATGATCAAGTCAGGTGTATTAGTCTGTTCTCAAGATGCCAATAAAGACATACCTGAGACTAGGTAATTTATAAAGGGAAGAGGTTTAACTGACTTACAGTTCAGCATGGCTGAGGAGGCCTCACAATCATGGCAGAAGGCGAATGAGGAGCAAAGTCACATTTACATGGCAGCAGGCAAGAGAGAGCTTGTGCAGGGGAACTCTCATTTATAAAACCATCAGATCTCATGAGACTTATTCACTATCATGAGAACAGCACAGGAAAGACCTGCCCCCATGATTAAATTACCTCCTACCAGGTCCCTCCCATGACACATGGAAATTATGGGAGCTACAATTCAAGATGAGATTTGGGTGAGGACACAGCCAAACCATCAGGGTATTCAGGATATTCATCGTCACTAACATTTATCATTTCTATATGTTGAGAACATTTCAAGCCTGGGGTTTCTTGTTCTAAGGCTACCTAAACTTTATTGTGCTTTCAAATCACCTGGGAATCTTGTTTAAATGCAGATTCAGCTCAGGTAGGTCAGGTAGGACCTGAGATTCTGCATTTCTAACAAGCTCTCAAGTGATATTTTTAGTATAATTCTCCCATAATATTCAGCACAATGAATAGGTTTTAAATGGAAAAACACTTTAATTATATTCTATTTTATTTTGACAAAGACTCTGTACTTTTAAAAGAATAAATAAAAGTCAGAAAAGGGTCTCCTAAGAATCTTGAAATATTTTATTTTCTTACCAAGAGTGTCAAATATAATACAAGAATTTTCCCTTATTACTTCCTGTTAAACTGTACACACCTATGTTTTTCAAAGCTAAACCCCTAGCACATAAAAAAAAAAAAACTGGCCACTATAAGGACCAAGGTCATAATTTATTTCATGGCTTACTATGCTGCCCCAATGGGACTTGAACTCCTGAGCTCAAGCAATCCTCCCACCTCAGCCTGTAGTTGGGACTACAGGCACATATCACTGCACCCAGCTGCCATCGCTTTAAACAGCACATCTGAATATCTTATTCTTCCTCTCTGAGAAGATGCAATCCAAAATAGTACTTTTAGAGATTTTTTTTAAAATAAGAAGTACTGATGGACTTCTACTTTAGGCCCAGAAGAAACAACAGGGACTAACAAAGTAACGAACAAACAAATAAACAAAACCCGTTTCAAAACACTGCATATTAAGGTGGTTAGAATCTGCAGGGCAGTAATGGAGATGGGAAAGAGCTGCAGCACACGGAAGTCTGCAGATCTGTAGAGGGTCATCAGCTGGGTATTGATCAGCACACGTGTGACAGGTAACTACCCAAGGCCAGGAAAATAACAACCTGAAAGGATTAGAGGAAATAATGATCTGAACTCACACAGGGCTGGAAATAGTGCCTATCCCCCAGGCCAGAGTGAAAAAATTTCATAATTCTTAGGGTACTGAGTGGAATACTCAAAAGAATTTTGTCACAGTAGTGAGACAAACTTAGCCCTAGACTAAATGTTGCTCTGCTCCTAACTAGCAAAACATAAAACAAGGCCTGAGAAGACCAAATTGCTTCCAAGTAACTTAACCACATCTCAGAACAAAGCTCAAGAATAGTGGAATACAAAAATATCCAAAACCAACCACCATCAAGATAAAACTGACAATGTCTAGCATCAACTCAAAAACTACAAGGTGCCCGGGTGTGGTGGCTCACAGGCTGAGGCCTGCGGATTGCTTGAGGCCAGGAATTCAAGACCAGCCTGAGCAACATAGCAAAACCTAAAAATATATATGAAAATTAGCCGGGCGCAGTGGCACACAACTATAGTCTCAGCAACTTGGGAGGCTAAGTGGGGAGGATCACCTGAGCCTGGGAGGCAGAGGTTGCAGTGAGCAGAGATCACACTACTGCGCTCCAGCCTGGGCAAGAGAGCTAGACTCTGTCTCAAAAAGAAAAAAAAAAAAAAACTACAAGGCATGTAAAGGAAGAGGGAAAAAAAAATTAATCAATGGAAACCCAGAAATGACACAGATGATAAAATTAGTACACAAGGACATTAAAACTGTTATAATACCTATATTCCATTTGTTCACAAAGCTACAGGAAAAGTTAAAACATGTAAGCAGAGACATGAAAAAGACCCAAAGCAAACTTCCAGATAAAGAAGATAAGCTTCTGTATCTTAGATTGAAAAGTATAATCTAAGATAAAAATAATATTAGATAGGATTAGCAAGAGATTAGGAATAGCAGAAAAGACTAGTGAACCAGCATAGCAACACAAACTATATAAAACAAAACACCAAGAGAAAAAGAATGCATTTTTTAATGAACATCAACATTCCATGAACTGTAGCACAACTTGAAGTGGCCTAAAATAGAAATCTGACCAAAGACATATAAACCTAGACACTAAAATCTATACACACACACACACACAATTGCTGAGATCAATTGAAGAATTAAATGGAGACATATACCATCCATCCATGGATCAGAAGACTCAATATTAAGATGTCAATTCCATATATTAATCCCAATCAAAATCCCAGCAGGTTTTATTGCAGAAACTGACTAGCTTATTCTAAAATTTGTAAGAAAATGCAAACAACCTAGAAGACCCAAAACTACTTTGAAAAAGTAGAATAAAGTTAAAGGGGCCAGGCGCGGTGCCTCACACCTGTAATCCCTGCACTTTGGGAGGCCGAGGCAAGTGGGTCACTTGAGGTCAGGAGTTCAAGACCAGCCTGACCAACATGGTGAAATCCTGTCTCTACCAAAAATACAAAAATTAGCCGGGTGTGGTGGCGCACGCCTATAATCCCAGCTACTCAGGAGGCTGAAGCAGGAGAATTGTTTGAACCCGGGAGTCAGAGGTTGCAGTGAGCCAAGATGGTGCCATTGCACTCCAGCATGGGCGACAGAGCAAGACTCTGTCTCAAAAAAACAAAAAAAAAAAAACAGTTAAAGGGCTTACACTATGTCTTCATAACTTTAAAAAGCAGTAATCAAGACAGTGCAGTATTGTTATCAATATAAACATGAATGGAACAGACTAGAAAGTCAAGAAATAAACCCACACATATAAAGTAAATTGGTTTTTGACAAAGTTGCAAAAGAAAGCAAATACAGAAAGGATAGTCTTTTTAACAAGTGGTGTTGGAAATGGATATCCTTACACACACAAAAAAAAAAGTACTGGAAAAAACTGGTAGAGAAGGATCATTCTAGGATGCTGGAAGTGTTCTGTATCTCCAGCTGGGATGCTGGAAGTGTTCTGTATTTCCAGCTGGACAGTGGTTACACAGGTAAAAATTCATCAAGCCATATACTTAAGATTTGTGCACTCTAGCATATACATGTATACCTCAAAAAGGAGGACAAATAAAATTAGTATATAGAGTAAGATCCCATATTTAATAAAAAATTATTTCTGGCCATCAACATTTCATATACACACATACATTCACATAGAAAAGGGAGGGGTCTGGGATTAGGTTCATCTAATATCAATGATAATAACTTTAGGAGGATAAAATCTGAAATAATTTTTCTTACTTTCATCTTCACGGTTTTCTGCATTTTCACTGTTTGAATTATTTATCATGAGAGTACTATTTTTAAAACAATAGAGTGATTTTTTTTTTCTTAAACTGGAAGCAAAAGTATTAATAGTGGATAATGCTGGTGAAGAAAATACAAGTGGGCCGGGGACGGTGGCTCACGTCTGTAATCCCAACACTTTGGGAGGCCGAGGCAGGCCAATCACCTAAGGTCAGGAGTTTGAGACCAGCCTGGCCAACATGGTGAAACCCTGTCTCTACTAAAAATACATTCAATTAGCTGGGCATGGTGCCTGTAATCCCAGCTACTCAGGAGGCTGAGGCAGGAGAATCGCTTGAACCCAGGAGGCGGAGGCTGCAGAGAGCTGAGATGGCGCCACTGCACTCCAGCCTAGGTGACAAAGCAAGACTCTGCCTCAAAAAAAAAAAAAAAAAAGAAATTAAACTATGGGTGATTTTTTCTTCCCTACTGTTCTGTATGTTTAATTCCTCCACTTAAAAAACATATATAACTATGAACACTGTATAGCAATATTTTAAAAAATGTATATACATGGACAAGATCCATACGAAAACCTGAAAAACAGGTAATATTTTGGGAAATGAGATTGCTGGACAATGTTCCTATGACTCGTCTTTACAAATTTGTACAATACACAATATTGTTGTCCTTTTTATAAAGGACAACAAGGATTATCTCAACAGAGTATTGGGCCCTTGATTTGCTTGTTTATAGTCTTTTCAGTCTTTTAATCTAATAAATGTTTTATATTTTATGTGTGTTTATATTTTACATGTTTTACATACACACATAACCATACATGCATTTAAATCTAGCTTCTTCAGCTGACTCTCAAATTACCAAATAATTACTATCTTAATTCAGCTGTACAAGATTTCCTGGTTACAAAGACAACATCCTGACAAATGGAATCACTCCAGTCAACGCGTCAAGGTTATTTCTGGTGGAAAATTAACATTATAGCCTGGTTGCTATCCGGCAAATTTATTAATATCAAAAGAATCTTCTTAACAGAAGAGGCTACAGATCCTAGAAAGGAGGAAATGAACATATGAGTGCCTACCGTGTGCCAAACTGTGCTAGGCACTTTTATATACCCTCATCTCATGTGATGTTCCAAAAAAACACAGATTGTATTAGCCCACTTTCCAAATGAGGAAACTAAGACGCGGTGGTTTTAAGTAACTGTTCCAAGGTTACACAGGTAATACAGCAAGTTTCAACTACAACACACAACCACAGCAATTCACACCACAGGCTGTGACCACATCTATGTACAAATAATGGCTTGAAAAAACCTGACCATACCACCACCATCAATACTACAGGCCTCAAAGCCTTCAGGAAATCCCAGTGTTAACAGTTACACGAGGTACACTAAGACATGGGTCCACGACACTAATTCTGAGCCAGAGTACGGTAATTGTGTTGCCCCTTACGTTCACATATGCTGCCAGACATCCCAGGACTTCCTGAAAGCACTGTTTCTGGGTATTCTAGTAGTAATTTTCAAACAACACAGCATCAGTAGGGCCAAGATGTCCCAGGGTACAAAGAGAGCTAGAAACCAAACACCATTATGTGATGGGCTCAAATGAAAAGAAGAGATGGTGATGGAAAGAACATTAACACCTCACCCAACTTCCAAGACTCGGCTCAGAACAGAGTGACTACTTTCCTTTCCTGCCACAAACTGTGTCACGAACCTCAAAGCTGTTCGTTCAAAGCCCTGGTCAAAGCCTGGACCCCTTCAACAAAGTTTACTTTGAATTAAACACAGGGCTGACCAAAATACTCTCCAAGGAGGAAGGGAATTTAACAGGTGTCTACAGTAAAGGATTTTCTAAGTTTTTGAAATTTCAACTTCTGTGAAGACATAAAAGTTGATGAAAATGTGAGCCTTCCACTGCCTTCAAACCTCCTTGACATCTGTAACCAGAGTGTGTCTTCAAAAGCTCTGCTCCAAGGTTTCAATAAGGTCTCCTGAAGTCACAACCAAAGTTTGTCTTCCCAATTAAACTGGTTATTACAGGCCAAGTTATAAAGTGACACAACATTTAATTGGAAAGCAAATCACCTAACAGTAAGTGGCAGACACATTTCCCAATTAAAAATCTGGCAAGAACTCACAGAAATAAAATATCTCCAAAATGCCATCTTTCTTATTTCCCATCTAGAGAGGCTGCCTCCTCTGACTTCCCACCAAACAAAAGGTTGGCAAAGGAAATCAACAGAAAAGTAGAAAAATTGTGTGTGTGCACGTGTGTGTGTGTGTGTGTGCGTGTGTGTAAACCATCCAAATTGTACATCAGCAGGTCAACAGAAAAGTAGGTGTGTGTCTGTGTGTGTGTAAAACTGTCCAAATCATACATCACACATCAGCACGTAATCAGGATTCTGTCCCCCCCGGTTAGTTCCATTTTAAAGGGCCAGTGGCAAGACTTAAAACCAAAAGCTGCAGTTGGCAGTAGCCTCCGACAAACTGAATCCCAACCACTATCTGTCCCCTCACCTAAGCCCCACCTCACAGGCCTAAGGGCCTCTTCTGTAAAGCCCTGGAAGTCCACCCTTTGAAACATCTGACTGCCCTGAAATATTTTTATTCGATAATTTTTAAATAATTAAGCATTTTTATTTGAGTCTCAAAGCACTTAAAAAATCATATAATACTTGCATTACAATTACACTATACTTCATCTTTATTTTTGGCTTTTAAATGCTTTAAAGTTTAAATACTTTATACTAGCAAAATAGAGTCGTTATTTAACTATTTAGTACAAGGGCTGGAAATAGCGATGAGATTCGGATATTCCCCATGCCTACACATACTCTGTCCTTAAGTCAAACCCTTATCCACCTGTAGTTTTTTGAATACAATATTAAAAATGACTAACAATAAATGCTACCCCAACTGTTAGGAAAAGCATTGAAAAAATACAAAATTTTATGATACATAATGTAGTACAGAAATTACATTTTTACACATCTGAGCAAGAGAATTAAAGGAGCATTTTTAATACTCACTATTCAAAAAAGAAAAACTACTACTCAGTGATACAAAAAGATATTTTTTAAAAAGCTAAACTGATCAAACTTTTCAAAAGACAGTAGACTCTCTAACTGTCGGTAATTTATTTTGTGACAAAATAAGTCCATGGAAACATGAAAGGAGCTAGCAGGTACCCGGTACATGTTAGGAATGCTCAGACCTTATAAACACGAGCCTAACATGGGTTTTCCTTTTTGTGGCTTGTTGCCAAAGCAACCAGGAAAACTATAGCCTTTGGGAGAGAATTTGAAAACAACGTTAAAGATAGGAGGAGATAATCAAAGTTTTATATGAGGAATTAAGAAAAAATGAATGCAGACCAGGCGCGGTGGCTCACGCCTGTAATCCCAGCACTTTGGGAGGCCAAGGCGGGTGGATCACAAGGTCAGGAGATCAAAACCATCCTGGCTAACATGGTGAAACCCTGCCTCTACTAAAAATACAAAACATTAGTCGGGTATGGTGGCGCATGCCTGTAGTCCCAGCTACTCGGGAGGTTGAGGCAGGAGAATGGTGTGAACCCGGAAGGCGGAGCTTGCAGTGAGCCAAGATTGCGCCACTGCACTCCAGCCTGGGCGACAGAGAGAGACTCCAGGACTACGTCTCAAAAAAAAAAAAAGGAATAATGAATACAATGTTGCAAGAAGGGAAACACAAAGGACATAAATTGAACAGAAATACAAGAAGCAACTTCCAAGTGACAGCACAATTTACTAACAAGAAACATACATTCCTGGTTCTCTTACCCGCAGGACTCTCCCCCCATTCCCCATCCCAAACACCAAAGTAATACTTCCATTGTCCTCTCATTCACTACCACTGTTTATAAAATTTAAACCACTGGGTATGTTCAAAAGCATATTAGGAAGGAAATAACAGGAAGTTATAGCTACCAACATCCTCACTCCAACACCAAAATCTCCCTGTGACTCAAAGAAATGTTGAAATACAAACACCAACACCATTCGGTCTTAAGGTCATATATAACAATGCATCCCAAGCCTTAATAAACTTGCCCAGGATACTAGGTCTAGACATTCCCTTACACCATGCTTGTAAAAACTATATCACAAAAGTGTTATGCAGTGATCTGAGGTGGTCAAGGATAAAGTAGAAAAATGAGGGCTGGGCACGGTGGTTCATGCCTGTAATCCCAGCATTTTGGGAGGCCAAGGCAGGCAGACAACAAGGTCAAGCGATCGAGACCATCCTGGCCAATATGGTGAAACCCTGTATCTACCAAAAATACAAAAATTAGGTGGGTGTGGTGGCGCACGCCTATAATCCCAGCTATGCGGGAAGCTGAAGCAGAAGAATCACTTGAACCTGGGAGGCGGAGGTTGCAGTGAGCCGAGATCGCGCCACTGCACTCCAGCCTGGGGACAGAGCAAGACTCTGTCTCAAAAAAAAAGAAAAGAAAAGAAAAGAAAAGCAATATAATGCACAACAGAGATCAAAGTAAAAAATACCTAGGCCTAAATCACAGTGATAAAATGAAGGTCATATATTAATAAACTGGCATAAGAGATGGATGGATAACCACAAAATCTTAGCCATCAAGCAGTAGGGGGTTCCTCCTGGAGAATATTAAGGAATGGTCAAGCAAAGGCAATGTATGTTCTGAATTAGCATTAGTAAAAAAAGCTTTAGGTTGGCTTTCATGCTGTTTTCAAAAATATGACATTTAGAGTAAATTCAACTGGCCCTGAGGAAAATACAAATAGCATAAAAGAAATGGGAACAGCCTGGAGAATCAAAAGTACACAGATGAGATGACACATTTCACTTTCATTAGAAACAGCCACTCCTCCTGGATTTCCATAACATTTCATGTCTCTCTCGTAGTCTTATGTCATCATTTTTACTGACATGTTTTATCCCCCAGGTAAACTATACTCTCCTCAAGGGTAACACTGTGCCTGCTTCATCTTTGCAAAACTCAGGGCATTTACTCATTAAGTCAACAAATATTATTCAATATGTAATACGTGCCAGACGCCATACTGTCAACTGGCACTAAATACCTATTGTTTAAATAAATGTTGACTATAAGGTAGAAAAAACAAACAAGTTCAAAAAAGGATCCAAATAATGTCCTGGTATTCTAATTCCACAGGAAATTCAGATGGGAAACAACAAACATTCTTATTGGAATTTTAGTATCATGAGATACATCTACACTACCTGCGTATTGTCACAGCGAGAATGTGGGCCTATAGATTCACAATACAACAGCACTTCCTCTGTATGGCCTACCAAGTATATTAAGCATTTCCACACAGAGATGTTTTTCTCTTAAGCCCAAAAGAAAATTAAAGTAATGATTTAATAGGCCATAATCTTAAAGCCTCCTAAATAAGACCCATAAGATGTGTCTTTGTCAGTGAGTGGTAAGCTGTTCTAATGGTTTGATACATGCATTCATTGAAGTGCTTAGTACCTACCAGATAATGTTGGGCCCTGGGTTTTGAAAAGATGATCAATACATTCCAGAAAACTTGCAAGAACTCAAACAAAAGTTTAGTATAGGTGGGGAAAAATAGAGTGTTTGTTTATGAAAAATAAACGAGTTGAAATTCAAATGCCAACAACGTAAAAAACGTGCCATAATAAATTTTATTTAGATTGGTTTTAGTCAGTACCTGCATCATATCCAAGATTCTTGAAAGGGTTCCCCCATCCTCAATATATTTCGCTTTTTTAAAAAAAAGCTCCTAAAAGATCCACCGCTCCCACTCCACCCCCACCCTAATCTTCTGGGAGGTGCAGAGGGGCAGTGCATGGAGGATAATTTGAAATTGGTTTGGTTCTGTTTTTTAAGGAATGGACCAGAATGCGGAGGCAGGGCAAAAAATTGAAAACCGATGTGTGCCTTCAAACCCAGTCCTCCTACCAGCTCACTGCAGATTCTTGTATTTGTGGCTGTGGCCACGCACAGGTGGTTGAAAGTATCCAGAGTGTGAAAACACAAATCTGCAACTCGTGACAGGAATCTCCGGACTCCAAGGCCTTACACCCCAAAGTCCAGGAAACAAGACGCCTTTCTCAGTGAGTGCTGCTACAGGCAAACAATAAACAAGCATTTTAGGAATCAATAAACACACCTTTACACCTGGTTTTCTCTACCAAACCCAAATAGCGTGCTTTGGGGTCCCGAGACTGTAATAGAAGGTGCTGCCCCTAAAGAAAAGACTGAGGCGGGGCTCCTCTCTCTATAGCTAACCCCAGAAAAAAAAGGTGGAGGGGGAATTGCTGGGGCCCTGGGGAGGGGTTAGAGCCCTGGGGAGGGGCTGCGGGAGGCAAGGAGGAAAGGGGAGAGCAGGGTGGGACCCAGCTAACCCTTCTCCCTTCCAAAGCGGAGGTCGAGCCGCTGCCCCCAGTCCCCAGACCCTGCCTCCTGCCTCCCTCACCTGATCACAGAGATGAGCAGCCCCGAGGGGTCTTTGCTTTTGCTGACTGTGCTTCTGTATTTCCCACCAGCTGCTTCTGCCGCCATCTTGGACGCGGGGAGAGCCGCTAGGCTCCAAGGAAGCCAAGGGTGCGTAAATTCTGTATTTGACCCCGCAGGAGTCTCCACCAATGGGTGAAGAGAATTCCAGAGGCGCGGAAGTGGAAAATCCAATCACTGAAGTGAGGAGGCGGGACTAAGGGAGCAAGTTTTGAGGCCACGACGCGCGTGTTCTCTCTAAGCACTCTGGGAGTCGTAGTTTTCCTTCTCCGTCTCCTGGGCGCGCAGGAAAGCTAAACCAGCTGCAACTTCCTAAGTCTTGTAATGAGTGTCTTCATTTATCTTTATTCTGACTTCCAGCTTTTTTCAGTTTCCTTGCTTTTAGAATTTTGTCAGGCTTTAAATCAAATTTATCTGATGATGCCAAAATGTGTTAGGGTTTGTATTTAAATGAAAGAGGGGTTCTCTGCCGGATGTCTATGTGCGAAGTTTTTGCCTTAAGTGCAAGTGATTTTTTAAAAAATCCAATAAAATACGAAAATGAATATAAGCAGAAATGCTTTTCTTTAGTATTCTGTAAAACTAATGTTTCTACATTAGGTTTATGTGGAGTTCAATTTTTCCCAATGTTCCTATATTTCCAGATAGTTCTAAAACCACACGTACAGGAATAAATGAATATTGATGAAGAAAAGACAGTATAAGCTAAAAACAAACAGACCACACTGCAGATTCCTTTTTTTTTTTTTTCAAGCTAAATGAAATACTTAGTAGTAATGCACATTTGTGTTAATACTTTTACCGGTAAGTTTTTAGTATTTCCTGCATTTGGTTCCGTTGGCTTAGTCATTAATTCATAAGACCAAATGAACAAAACAAAACAAAAAAGACCAGAATGTGCGTGGAAAGTGGTTAGACTGAGGAACAAGAATAATAATAATTTAAAAGTAAGGAAGGAGGTGGCCTGCTCAGTAGCAATAAAGATTGAAGAACTTAAAGGAATAGAAAGCAAACTAACTCAGAGGTCATGGAGTTGTGAGCAGCAAGCTCAGAACACATCAATTACTTTTATTAAATAGACATCGAGCTGGTAGAAGTTCACATTTTTAAAAATTAGTTGAAGATAACACACACACACACACACACACGATAACTTAAAAGTATTCATAACCTTTGGCCCAATAATTCCAGTTCTAGGGACTTTGTTCCTAAAGAAATATAGAGTATTGACATTTTTTAAATAACACAGAAGAATTAAATAAATTATGTAACATTCAAATGAGGAAATAACATATAGCTTCTGGAAATCATAATTTTAATGGCTTTTAAAGAAAATAAGATTTTTGGGCCAAGTGTGATGGCTCACACCTGTAATCCCAACACTTTTTGAGAGGCAGAGCCGAGCAGACCACTTGAGGCCAGGAGTTTAAGACAAGCCTGGCCAACATGGTGAAACTCCGTCTCTACTAAAAATGCAAAAGTTAGCCGGACCGTGGTGGTGTGTGCCTGTAATCCCAGCTGCTTGGGAGGCTGAGGCATGAGAATTGCTTGAACCTAGAAGGCGGAGGCTGCAGTGAGCCAAGATCGTTCCACTGCACACTGCACGCCAGCCTGGGCAACAGAGGGAAACTCTGTCTCAAAAAAAAAAAAAAAAAAAAGATTTTTATGGTATAAGTACAAAAACTGGGCTATAAAATTAAATAATTCATAGAGAAAGGGAGAGGCAGTTGGGCCTAGTGGTTAAGAATGCAGGACAGGCCGGGCGCCGGGTGGCTCATGCCTGTAATCCCAGCACTTTGGGAGGCCGAGGCGGGCGGATCACGAGGTCAGGAGATCAAGACCATCCTGGCTAACACGGTGAAACCCTGTATCTACTAAAAAAAAATACAAAAAATTAGCCGGGCGTGTTGGCGGGCGCCTGTAGTCCCAGCTACTCGGGAGCCTGAGTCAGGAGAATGGCGTGAACCCGGGAGGTGGAGCTTGCAGTGAGTCGAGATCGCGCCACTGCACTCCAGCCTGGGCGACAGAGCAAGACTCTGTCTCAAAAAAAAAAAAAAAAAAAAAAAAGAATGTAGGACATAGGATAAAAAGTGTGTGATCATCTCAACTGTTGCAGAAAAAAGCTTTGTCAAAATCCAAAACACTCTTACAATAAAAACACTCAGAAAACTAGGGATAAAAGGGAACTTCTTATAGGCTATAAAGGGTACTTATGAACAACCCACAGCAATCATCATAGTCGATGAAAAACTGAAAGCCTTCCCACTAATATTAGACACAAAAAAAGGATAACCATTTTTTTGCCACTTCTATTCAACAAAGTACTGCAAGTTATAGCCAGAGCAATGAGGCAAGAACATGAATAAGTCATCCAGATTGGAAAGGAAGAAATAAAACAATATCTATTTTTGGATGATATGATCTTATATATAGAATATCCTAGAGAATACACACAAAAAACTATTAGAGCTAATAAAATATTCAGCAAAGTTGCAGAATACAAAATCAATAGCAACAGAAAATCAGTGGTATTTCTGTAAACTGGCAATAAACTATCCAAAAAGGAAATTTACACAACAATTCCATTTCCAATAGCAGCAAAAAGAATAAAATGCCTACGAATAAACTTAGCCATGAAAGTGAAAGACTGCTACACTGAAAGCTACAAAACATTGCTGCAAGAAATACAAGAAGACTCAAATAAATGGAAAGACATCCATGTTCATGGGTTGGAAAACTCAATATTGTTAAGATGGCCAAACTCCCAAAGCTATCTACAAATTCAATGTAATTCCGATAAAAATTCACTAGGCTTTTTGTGCAGAAACAGAAAAACTGATCCTGAAATTCATACGGAAATTAAAAGAGCCCCAAATAGCCAAAGCAATCTTGGAAAAAAAAAAAAATCAATGTGGAGGTCTCACACTTCCTGATTTCAAAACTTACTAAAAATCCGCAGTAATCAAAATAGCATGGTACTTGCATAAAAATAAACACATAGATAAATATAGTAGAATAAGCCATACAGAAATAAGCCTATTCATCTATGATCAATTGATTTTCTTTTTTTTTTTTTTTAGACGAAGTCTCTTTCTGTCACCCAGGCTGGAGTGCAGTGGCTCAATCTCAGCTCACTGTAACCTCTGACTCCCAGGTTCAAGCAATTCTTGTGCCTCAGCCTTCCAAGTAGTAGACACGGGGTTTTGCCATGTTGGCCAGGCTGTTCTTGAACTCCTGACCTCAGGTGATCTGCCCACCTCAGCCTCCCAAAGTGCTGGGATTACAGGCATGACCCACCGCACCCAAACAGTCAATTGATTTTCAACAAAGCTGACAGTACCATTCAATAAGGAAAGAATAGTCTCCTCAATAGATGGTGTTGAAAACTGGATAAGCATAAGCAAAAAAGTGAAGATGGACCCTACCTCATACAATATGCAAAAATTAACTAAAAGTGGATCAAAGACCTAAATATGAGATAAAACTCTTAGAACAAAATACAAGGGTAAATTTTCATGATTCTTAGCTATGACATCAAAAGCATAAGCAACAAAAGAAAAAATAGGTATATTGGGCTTTATTAAAATTAAAAACCCTCATACATCAAAGTACACTTTTCAAGAAAGTGAAAAGACAGGCACAGGATGGGAGAGAATAAAAGCAAATCACATACAGTATCTGGTAAGAGTTCTGTATCTAGACTATGTGAAGAACTCTTACAACTCAACACAAAAGGAAATAAAAATTAAAACCTAGGCAATGGATGTGAATAGACATTTCTCCAAAGAAGATACACAAATGGCCAAAAAGCACATAAAAAGATGCTCGACATCATTAATCATTATAGGAAAATGCAAAACCATAATGAGATACCACTTCACACCCACTAGGTTGGTTACAATTTTTTTAATGGAAAATAAATGTTGGCAAGTATGTGGAGAAACTGGAACCCTTGTACATTTATTTTGGGAATGTGAAATGGTTCAGCCATTGCAGAAAACAATTTGGTGGTTCCTTAAAAAACTAAACATAAAGTTACCATATGACCCAGCAATTCCGCTCATAGGTATATGCACAAGAGAATTGAAAACAAGTGTTCGGAAAATAACTTGTATACAAACATTCATAAAAGCACCATTCAAAATAGCCTAAAGGTGGAAGCAGTCCAAATGTTTAACAATGAATGAACTGCAACAATATGACTGTATCAGTGTGGTATAAACAAAATGTGCTATATCCATACAATGTAATATTATTCACACATAAAAATGAAAAAAGTACTGATATATGCTACAATATTGATAAATCTTGAAATCATGCTAACAGAAAAAAGCCAGACACAAAAGGCCATATTGTGTATAACCCCATTTATCTGAAATATCCAGAACAGACAAATTCATAGAGACAGAAAGCAGATCAGTGGTTGCCAAGGGCTGCAGGGCAGGAAGAAATGAGGAATGACTGCTCAATGGATACAGAGTTTCATTTTGGAGTGATGAAATGTTCTGGAACTACAGTCAATGGTTGCATAGCTTGTGAATGTATTAAAGGTCAGTAAATTATAAACTTTAAAGTAGTCAAAAGTCATAAATTTTATGTTATGTGTTTTTCACCACACCTTAAAAAAAAATGCAGTTTGTGTAGCAGGATGGCCTAGATTCAATCCCAGCTTTCCACTTCCTGGCTAGATTACCTAGGACAAGTTACTTAACTTTACTCTGCCTCAGTTTCTTTATCTGTAAAGCAGGTGGTCATTGTACTTCACATAGAGAGTTATTGTAAGAATATGTGAGATATACATTATCAGCACTTGGTAAATATCAGCTATTATTACTAAAGTATGGTACTAATTTTGTTGAAAATACATCTCTGGGGTTATTGCAAAGTTGTTTTGAGCGTCAATAACATGGGTAATTTTTTTTTTTTTTTTTACACTTTTCTGTGTTTTACAAAGTTTCCGGGATGGGCACAGTGGCTCATGCCTGTAATCCCAGCACTTTGGGAGGCCGAGGCAGGTGGATCACCTGAGGTTAGGAGTTCGAGACCAGCCTGGCCAACATGGCAAAACCCCGTCTCTACTAAAAACATAAAAACTAGTGGGGCGTGTTGGCAAGCTCCTGTAATCCCAGCTGCTCTGGGGGCTGAGGCAGGAGAATTGCTTGAACCAGGGAGGCGGATGTTGCAGTCAGCCAAGATTGTGCCACTGCACTCCAGCCTGGGTGACAGAAGGAGACTCCATCTAAAAAAAAAAAAAAAAAAAAAAAAAATTTCCAGGTGTTGCTTTTTATAAGCAGAAATACACAAAAGTACTTCCTTTAAAGGAGAATTGGATAAGTGTCAGAAACAATGGCCTACTTTCATCACAAAATGGAAATACAATTAAGTGATAAATAAATTAGCACACCCAAATTAATTAATTTATTTTATTTTATTTTTTTCAGACGGAGTTCTGCTCTTGTTGCCCAGGCTGGAGTGACGCGATCTCGACTCACTGCAACCTTCACCTCCCAAGTTCAAGTGATTCTCCTGCCTCAGCCTCCTGAGTAGCTGCGATTACAGGCACATGCCACCATGCCTGGCTAAAACCAGTATATATGCAGGTCTTGTTTTATGTTTTCTAAACCAGGGCAGACCGTTTCCTAATATTACATTTGTAAATATACCTAGGGGCTCTTAAAGCCATGGGAACATCCAATTAAATTAAAATGCTTTGACCTCTTTGGATGAATGGCTCTATATAAATCCAAGGTATTGATATTCTTATTATTGTGGATAAATGAAATGTGTGAATGAGGCTAGCTCAGCAGCAGAGTGGCTCCCTGAGATTCATAAAAACTGCCCAGGTTTGGGTGTCTATAGAACACCCAACACAGACATAGGAGATTTGAAAACAAACAAACAAAAAATATGAAGTGTCTCATAATATCAGCCATGTGGCCAGAACCCTGGAAAGGGACTATTTCCCTGACCCCATCAATATTGCCTGCTTACAAGTCAGCTCAGCTAAGATATTAAAAATGTGCTTTAGCCAAGGCTGAGTAAATCAAGGTATAGGATACAGATTATAAACTGAAGGGAAAAGTCAATGACTCTGTCATCATAGAAAAAGCAACTGTTTTATTTTATTCAGGAATTAAATTTTATGTTAGCTTTTTCAATTACATTGAATTAAATAAATATAAGCTTAGTTAAACATATACCCATAGTATATTCTATTTGGAGGAAAATGTTATAAGTAGATTACAATAGGCTGTTAATTTTCTTGTCCATATTCCCAATACCTGGTTCAGCCTATGTTGTCTAATGGGGGAATTGTGATTTAATTTTCATGTTGCATTTGAGTTTCTGAGTGTTTTAGGAAATTGGTCAAGGATATTATTTTCCATAATAAAGGATAGCTTCATTGAAAGAGGAATGTTTTTTATTTCTGTGGGATGCAAGCCTGATTGCTGTTGAGCTCAGGCTGCAACGGCCCCCCAGTTTCTCTCCCAAATTCCGTCATTCAGTAAACACTGAATGCATAGAGTGCACAAGATGAAAATGTTCTGGAACTAAATAGAGTTGATGGTTGCATACCATTGTGAATGTATTAAATGTCACCAAATTGTATATTTTCAAATGGTTTCTTTCATGTTATAAACTCTGCCTAAAAAGAAAAATCTTTTGAGTCCCCAAGATAGGATCCATTAAGTCATCTTTCTTTTTTTTTTTTTTTTTTTTTGAGATGGAGTCTCGCTCTGTCGCCCAGGCTGGAGTGCAGTGGCGCGATCTCGGCTCACTGCAAGCTCCACCTCCCGGGTTCACGCCATTCTCCTGCCTCAGCCTCCTGAGTAGCTGGGACTACAGGAGCCCGCCACCACGCCTGGCTAATTTTTTGTATTTTTAGTAGAGATGGGGTTTCACCATGTTAGCCAGGATGGTCTCAATCTTCTGACCTCATGATCTGCCCGCCTCAGCCTCCCAAAGTGCTGGGATTACAGGCGTGAGCCACCGTGCCTGGCCATTAAGTCATCTTTCAATTGGTCACCAAGTTCCATCAGTTTGACTTGCACAGTGGTGTTTTTTTTTTTGAGACGGAGTTTTGCTTTTGTTGCCCAGGCTGGAGTACAGTGGTGTGATCTCGGCTCACTGCAACCTCCGCCTCCTGGGTTCAAGCAATTCTCCTGCCCCAGCCTCCTGAGTAGCTGGGATTACAGGTGCTGACCATCACACCCAACTAATTTTGTATTTTTAGTAGAGATGGGGTTTCACCATGTTGGCCAGGCTGGTCTCGAACTCCTGACATCAGGTGATCTACCCGCCTCGGCCTCCCAAAGTGCTGGGATTATAAGCATAAGCCACCGCACCTAGCCAGTGGTTCTTAAATTCATCTTCTTCTCCACATTCCCACTCCTATTGCCTTGACTAGGCCTCATCTTCTCTACCATCAACTGTTGCAATGGTTTCTCAGTTGTTACCCCTTTTTCTTATATAAAAAAGAGATTGGTTCTCATTCCAATCTACCCACCACACTTCTTCCTGAATATAGTGAAGCATGAATCTGATCCTTCTAGCCCAGCTTTAAAAAATTCCAAGGACTCCACTTCCCGTATAATTGTTTCACAAACTGTTCACTAGAGAACCAGCTCCAAACTACCTTTTCAGCTTCTTTATTGATTACTCTGCCATTATACCCCAGTCTCTAAACATGTGCCCAGTGGGCCAGGATTCTTATATTTCCCTTCTTCCTACATACTTTTGCTCAACCTAAAATGTCTCTGAGCCCCTGATTATGCATCTGTTAAAATGTGGCTACCTGTCTTCAGCGTTGTTGAGAGACTTGGAGAAAATAAGATATGTACATAGGACACTCAGCATTGGGTTCATTTTTAAGAAAAGTTTCTTTCAATTCATCCAGTTAAAATTTTGTTTATTCTTCAAGGCCAAATTTCAGTAGCTCACCTAAGCAGTCACACACATTTACACACCACAACTCTTTTAATTCTTGATTAGTACTGGTATGACAACATAATATGACTGTTGGCTTGATGCGGTGGCTCACGCCTGCAATCCCAGCACTTTGGGAGGCCAGGGCAAGTGGATCATCTGAGATCACCAGTTCGAGACCAGCCTGGTCAACATAGCAAAACTCAGGCGCTACTAAAAATACAAAAATTAGCCAGGGGTGGTGGCACACACCTGTAATCCCAGCTAATGGAGTGCCTGAGGCATGAGAATCACTTGAACCCGGGAGGTGGAGGTTGCAGTGAGCCAAGATCATGCCACTGCACTCCAGCTTGTGCAACAGAGAGACACTCAGTCTACTAAAAAAAAAAAAAAAAAAAAAAAAAAAAAGATAGTATGACTGTTATAGAGGATGTGTTTGTTCCCTTTAGTCGAGTTCATTTGTAAACTTGAACACAAAATCATTGTTGTATTCATTTTCATACTCTCAATACTTTCAATGGAGCAGGGCCCTCAGTGTTTGTCGAATTGTAACATCCTCTATCCTACTTTAATATCTAATGGGGCCAAGACTGAACCTTTCAAAAATACTTCCTTTTAGGCAGGCGCGGTGGCTCATGCCTGTAATCCCAGCACTTGGGAGGCCAAGGCGGGCAGATTACAAGGTTAGGAGTTTAAGACCAGACTGGCCAATAGGGTGAAACCCCATTTCTACTAAAAATACAAAAATTAGCCAGGGGTGGTGGTGGGTGCCTATGGTCCCAGCCACTCAGGAGGCTGAGGCAGGAGAATCACTTGAACCCGGGAGATGGATGTTGCAGTGAGCTGACTCTGCGCCACTGCACTCTAGCCTGGGTGACAGAGCGAGACAGTCTCAAAAAAAACAAAAAACAAAAAAGGAACATTTCATTTTAAGGAAAATTACACCGCAGAGGCTGGTAAAAGTCACCACAGTTGTCAAACTAATGGTAAGTGACTTAAACACACTATTTCCTTTATACATTTTTAAAAAACTTCACTGTTTAGATGAATGAATGCAAACTTAAGTTGTCTTTTGGGAACAATAACAAAAATAGAAATCATTTTTGACTGATTTATAGATCATAACTTATTTTAATACATAAAACTGGGAGGAATATTAAAACAGAATCAGCAACATAATTTCATATCCAAAATTTCTCATACTCTCTGGAGTAAAATCATCTGTTATGTTTACGTTTTTCCCATATATGAATAAAACTGTAGATGATACAAAAATCCATATACTTATTCTGTAAAAATACTTATAGACACTTAGTGTGGAATGAAACACTATCCAAAATACAAAAGCTTTTGAAATTTATTTATTTTTGTTTATTTATTTTTATTTTTGGAGACGGAGTCTTGCTCTGCTACCCAGGCTAGAGGGCAGTGGCGTGATTTAGGCTCACTGCAACCTCTGCTTCCCAGATTCAAGCAATTTTCCTGCTTCAGCCTCCTGAGTAACTGGGATTATAGGCACATGCCACCATGCCTGGTTAATTTTTATATTTTTAGTAGAGACAGGGGTTTCACCATGTTGGCCAAGCTGGTCTCAAACTCCTGACCTCATGATCTGCCTGCCTCTTAATACTTATTTGATGCCTATTTTCGTCCTTAATTGACTCATCAGTGATACCAAAACGAAACAAAACAAAAAACCCAACAAGGTTGTACCAGACATCAAGAAGTTCAGTTATGCTAAAATCACAGTTCACATTGCAACGGGTACTAGCTTCAACAGGATGACCACCATTTCTATTTAACTCCTCTGAGAGGATTTTCAGCCATCCACAGAGATCAGTTTATTTATTATAACAAATGTCCCATAGATATCCAGAGGTTAGGGAGGTGTCACAGGGGAAATCCAGTTAGCAGATGATTTCAACTGCTCTGCATGGATTGGTGGATCAATTGGTGGACTCGTGATATGCAGGATATCTCCTGTAGCAGTGGCTGCTCAGCAAAGTCACCTAGCTCCCTTAGTACCCAGGGCAGACAAGGAACGAAGGGGAGAGAGAGAGAGAGAGAGAGAGAGAGAGAGAGAGAGAGAGAGAGAGAGAGAGAGAGAAAACATGGGAGGATATTAAAGAAAAATCAAGTGAGATTCCAGAAAGTCATTAGAGAGTCATACAGAGAGGGAAAATTAAAAATACTCATGGCAGCAAGAGGTATAGTACCACGAATTCCCCAGATATTCATCACTGTCCAAGTCAACAAATCATTGAGCCTCTGCCTCCATTTTTCTGAGTAACTTTAAAATAATATGAAAGTAATGCTTATTATAGAAAAAATATAACATGGAGCACAAAATGAATGAAATAACCTCATATAATTCTACCTGTTACTCAGACATAACCACTATTAACATTTTTTTGTATTCTAAGATTTCATTTCTGTATATGCCAATACATATTATCTTGTTACTTGCTTTATTTTAAGCAATAAACAGCTTTCTGTATCATTACATAATCTACTACTAATTGTGTTTTTTTAAATAGCTGAATAATATAGCTTTGAACAGGTATGTCATTATTTTACCAGCCTCCTACTTTTGGACATTTTAGTATTTTGTGCTTTTTAAAAATCGTGTGAAGAGTACTAAAATGAACATCCATTGAACAGAGATTATGAAGGTGAGTTGGTTTAGCTTATAGTTGAAAAACAGCTATCCATATAGTTGAAAAACAGCTACCCCAAAATTTAATGAGCTCCCCAAAACCAATTTGCCTCTATTAGTCCTTCACAAAATAAAAGCCCTTGTGAAGAAAAGCCATTGTGTGTGGAGGGAGTGATAACACATTAAAACTTGTTTACATTTTACACACATATGTATGTGTGTGTGTGTGCATGCTTCTTCTCCAGATATATGGGTACATATACACAAAGGAACATAAAGAAGACATTTGTGGTAGGGCATCATGGTGCACACCTGTAATCCCAGGACTTTGGGAGGCTGAGGTAGGCAGATCACTTAAGGGCAGGAGTTCGAGATCAGCCTGGGTAACATGGCAAAAACCCGTCTCTACTAAAAATACAAACCTTAGCCAGGCATGGTGACCCATCACTGTAATCCCAGCTACTTGGGAGGCTGAGGCACAAGAATCACTTGAACCCAGGAGGTGGAGGCTGCAGTGAGCTGAGACAGTGCCACTGCACACCAGCCTGGGCAACAGAGTGAGATTCCATCTCAAAAAAAAAAAAAAAAAGATATTTGCAGTATTGCTGGGTATTGCAAGAGAAATGCCCCAAAACAGTAGAATGTATAAACAGTACCACAGTCATACAATAGAAAATACTAGAGCAATGAACAAGAAACCAACTTTTGTTACAGAAAACAACATGAATGAATCTCAAAAATATAAAATGAGGTCGGGCATGGTGGCTCACACCTATAATCCCAACACTTAGGGAGGTTGAGGTGCAAGGATTGCTTGAGCCCAGGAGTTTGAGACCAGCCTGGGCAACATGGCAAGACCTTGTCTCTACAAAAACATTTTTTAAAAAATTAGCCAGGTGTGGTGGCATATGCCTGTGGTCCCAGCTACTTGGGAGGGTGAGGAGGGAGGATAGCTTGATCCTAGAAGGTTGAGGCTGCAGTGAGATGTGTTCACACTATAGCACTCCAGCCTGGGTGACACAGCAAGTCAGTGTCTCAAAAATAAAATAAACAAAACAAAATAAAATAAAATGGAATGAACAAATACACAAAAGAATGTGTACTGTATAATTTCATCTATATAAAATTAAAAAAACAGGCAAAATATATTGTTATGTATCAACATAATGGTTACCTTCCAGGTAGGAGAGACAGGGTAAAAACTGGGGAGAGCTGGTAATGTTCTCTTTCTTGATTAGGTGCTGGTTACATAGATATTAACTTTCCTTTATTTATTTTTGTGTTTTACATTTTGTGCTTTGTGGGGGTCATATTTTATTTTGCTAACTTTTCTGTAGTTGACAACAATATATTGCCAAATATATTGTTCACTTTTCTGAATGTGAATATATACACCAAATGTATTGTGTATTAGATGTATTACAGTTATATACATTATATGAATTATATATTCTTGTAAGAATACAAGAAATAGATAAGATGATAATCTTTTTCGCCTCTTGGGAAAAAACACATGGCTGAGGGATAGGGGTGCATTTTCTTTTCTTTTTTTTTTTGAGATGGAGTTTCACTCTTCTTGCCCAGGCTTGAGTGCAATGGCGCAATCTCGGCTCACTGCAACCTCCGCCTCCAGGGTTCAAGGGATTCTCTTGCCTCAGCCTCCCAAGTAGCTGGGACTACAGGCATGTGCCACCACACCCTAAAATTCTGCATTTTTAGTAGAGACGGGGTTTCTCCCTGTTGGTCAGGCTGGTCTCGACCTCCCGACCTCAGGTGATCCTCCAGCCTTGGCCTCCCAAAGTGCTGGGATTACAGGCATGAGCCACCCCGCCTGGCCAGGGGTGCATTTTCTTACATTTTGAAACATATAAATTAGCATTTGCTCAAAAAATAATAAATAAATTATTACAGCAAGATTTATGTAGTATAACGTGCATTGTTCTGACAGAACCTAATAGTTTCGATATTCTTGCTTTACTGAAGGTGTTTTCCTTTTGGCACTTAATATCCTGAATTGCACAGGGCTCACATTTGTGTTCTAAGGTGATGACAGCTTGTTAACCTCTCTTTTCGTTTCCAGTCATTCTCTTTCTTCAGCATTCTATGTCCCATGTCAGTTTCAAAAAAACAAAAAGAAAAAACTCTTCCAATGTTTCATTGGCATTTCTGATGCAGGTTCCCAGAATTCATACCTAACCATTCAGTCACTTTTACACATTCTAAAACTTTTTAAACTTTAATGAAATTATTGCTCCAAATCTCATCAAATTCTTTGATTATGTAAATAACTGTTCAGAAACATTGCTTCTGTAAACACTTGTATGTACTCAGTAAATGCAAAATAGATGACATTTGTTTAGCTTTACAGGTTTATGAAATTTTTATGCTTAATTTCAAAAATATTAAGTAAATAAATGCTCAGATATGCACACAATTCTTAAGAAACAGTCACTACCACCTGTTATCTGTTCAGTGCCAACATTTATAAAATAATAAATATGGTTTTTATTTGAACACCGAATGCTGGGTTCTTTGGCTGGAGTAAACGTGTAGAAAATGTGCTCTACCTTGGGGAAATGTGATATTTATACATAGCTATGTCTGAAATTTTTATATATGATAGATTCTTGTGAGTATAATGAAAAGGAAAATGCGGAAAATGCAGAAAATTGTGAGTAGCAGAAAGACCTAACACCTTAAATAATAAAAACTGTTTAATCCTAAATCTATGAGTGACTTGGTAAAATATAAATTCTAAAACCATTTTTAAAAACCATAATCCCTGTTAATAGACAGGAGAACTGAAACAGGCAGAGTACTCTTGAATGTGTCTATTCAAGGTTTTCATTTTTTTTCATCCAGGAGGGATATTTTTAAAATTAAAAAATTAAGAATATGACACAGATACTGACCAATTAGAACAGACATCTCAGTCGTGGTCCTGGAGGTCATCTGGGGTGCCAGGAATTAAGGCTTTGATGCCATAGTGTGCCAAGAGTAAATAGGATTTTGATATTAACAATCATGCAATTATATGAGTGCATATCACCAGAATGTCAGCCTTGTTCTAATCCTAGCTATTCCCAGTAACAAGTGTCTGATATGTTGACTACATCCTGTTCTATATGTTCTATTCTTGTTACCTCTAGTCCCTCTCTCATCTTTGTAGGTAGCAATAATCATCACAGATTCTACCAAGAAGAACTATGGGACAGAAACAGTAAATGAATGACTCTTCCACATTTGTTCAAAGTTACTTAACATGAAAAACTGCACTTCTAGCTTATCCTGAAATATTAGAAGATCTTACAAGATAGCACACATTCCTGGATGAAAACAATTGTCTGAATTTAGAAATAATAATTGCCAGCATGCAATTCATGAATATTTATAAAGTCCTGTATTTTTATAAAAGCGATAATAACAACTATTTCTTTAAAATGTTTGAGATGACTATGGAATTTTTATTTATTTATTTATTTATTTTGAGACAAGGTCTCACTACGTTGTCCAGGCTAGTCTGAAACTCCTTGCCTGAAGCAATCCTCTTTTTTTGGGGGGGGGTGGGGGGAACGGAGTCTTGCTCTGTCGTCCAGGCTGGAGTGCAGTGGCGTGACCTCAGCTCACTGCAAGCTGTGCCTCCTGGGTTCATGCCATTCTCCTGCCTCAGCCTCCCAAGTAGCTGGGACTACAGGCGCTCACAACCTTGCCCGGCTAATTTTTTGTATTTTTAGTGGAGATGGGGTTTCACTGTGTTAGCCAGGATGGTCTCAATCTCCTGACCTCATGATCCCCCACCTCGACCTCCCAAAGTGCTGGGATTACAGGCGTGAGCCACCGTGCCCAGCCCTGAAGCAATCCTCTTACCAGCCTCCTTAGTTATTATGGAATTTAAAATATGAACTGTATTTTTTTCTTAGGTGTCATTACAATATTGTGGTTATATATATTTTTTGTTTTATCTTTAGGAAATGTGTGTTGAAATATTTACAAATGAAATGTCATGTTTTCTGCAGCTTATTTTCAAATATTTTAGAAAAAAACTAAGGTATATATGAACAGACAAAGCAAATGTGGCCAAATATTAACAACTGCTACGTCTAGGTAAACATATACCACTTTTCTCTGTTCTACTCTTCCAACTTTTCTGTAAGTAGCTTTGAGCATTTTCATAATAAGATGTTGATGGATTAACCTGCAGGACATTATGTTAAGTGAATGAAATAAGTCAGGCACAGAAAGATAAATACCCCATGTTCTCGCTCGTATGTGGAAGCTAAGAAAGTTGAGCTCATAGAAGTAGAGAGTAGAACTGTGGTTACTACAGTCTGGGAAGGGGAGTGGGGAGAGGTGGATAGGGAAAGGTTGGTTAACAGATACATAATTAAAGCTAGATAGGACGAATGACTTACAGTGTTCTATAGCACTGCAGAGTGATTATAGTTATTAATTTATTGTTTAGTTTTTGTTAATTTTTTTAAGAGACATAGAGTCTCACTCTGTTGTACAGGCTGGAGTGCAGTGATATGATCATAGTTCTCTGAAGCTTGGAACTCCTGGGCTCAAGCAATCCTTCCACCTCAGCCTCCTGAGTAGCTGGGACTACAGGCATGTGCCACCATGCCTGGCTAATTTTTTTTTTTTTTTTTGAGACAGGGTCTTGCTCTGTCACCCAGCTGTCACCCAGGCTGGAGTACAGTGGCACAATCATGGCTCACTGCAGCCTTAACCTCCACGGTTCAAGCAATCCTCCCACCTCAGCCTCCTGAGTAGTTGGGTCTACAGCCACATGCCACCACACCTGGCTAATGTTTTCTAATTTTTGTAGAGATGGGGTCTTGCTATGTTGCCCAGGTTGGTCTTGAATTCCAGCTTCAAGTGATCCTCCCACCTCGACCTCCCAAAGTTCTGGGATTTCAAGTGTTAGCCACTGAACCTGGCCTATTGCATATTTTCAAATAGCTAAAGGAGGGAATTTTGAATGTTCCAAACACAAAGAAATGATCACTGCTCGATGTGGTAGATATGCTAGTTACCCTAATCTGATCATTACATCATTGTATACATGTATCAAAATAACACTCTGTATACATATATCGAAATAACATTACACATTGTATACATGTAGCGAAGTAACACTCTGTAACCCCATAAAGATGTACAATTATGTCTCAAAACTTTCTGAAAACATGAGAAAATGAAAAAATATAAATGGTGTATATATATATATATATATATATATATAGAAAATGCCCAATAAATATTCTTTTTATATATATGTTATTTATATAAGCTATTCAAGAAATATACTTTTTTCTCCATGTCTGGCTCATTGCTCTCTCTCTCCCTCCCTCTCTCTCTCTATATATATATGTGTATATATATACACACATATACATATATATGACAATATATATGTGGTTCATTGCCATATATATATATATGGAGACATGGAGAAAAATTAAGAAAATGTGAAAGTAGTGTCCACCCTGTAGAAACACACCAGCAAGATGGGAACAAATAACTGCATTGTACATGATTATAATCTGATGTTACTATGCAGTTTTAGAAATGAAGCGTTTAAACAATAACACCTAGAGTCACTGGCATAGAGGGGAAGAGAATACTTAATGCTATTACCCAGAAATTGCAATGGTGTAGCTCAACGTACAACCTTTTAGTGTAGCTGCCAGGCAGGGAGCAATACTTCCCACTAAAGAGGATTAACCAGCCCTGGGATTGCACTACACAGAGAACACAAATTGTGCCAGAGCAAGAACAGAGGCTAAAGAGACCAAGGATGCAGTGTGCTCTGAGGACCCTGAGAGGGGAGCTTTCTTTCTCACAATGTACCCATTCATGTTAACAAGTAGAGCAGGCAACTAGCAACTAATTCTTAGAATCCATAGCACATACGCAAATCTCCCACAGAAAATACATAATATGGCTGGGCGTGGTGTCTCACGCCTATAATCCCAGCACTTTGGGAAGCCAAGGCGGACAGATCACTTGAGGTCAGGAGTCCGAGGCCAGCCTGGCCAACGTGGTGAAACTCCATCTCTACTAAAAGTACAAAAGTTAGCTGGGCATGGTAGCATGTGCCTGTAGTCCCAGCTACTCGGGAGTCTGAGGTTCACTGCATGAACCTGGGAGGTGGAAGCTGCAAGGAGCTGAGATGGTGCCACTGCACTCCAGCCTGGGCAACAGAGCAAGACTCTGCCTCTAAAAAAAAAAAAGAAAAGGAAAGAAAAAGAAAATACATAATATTCAGTCCTTTGAACTGATGCTTTGACAGACAAATGCATCTACATTTGCAGCAAGAACAACATGGGACACATAAAGTAGGGCACAAGCTAGACCAGAACCATTCTCGTCAACACATGGGTTAAGGGTTTTTGCCAGGGCCTTAGAAGATATGCTTTAGGGTATGTTTAATGTAAGTGCATGGAGAAAAATAGACAGTACATGCAGCCTTTCTCAGCAAATCTTTGCTGCCATTTTCATAGAATTCCGAGAAATTTTGCTAAGTGTTATTACACTGAGATTGGACCCAGTGAACCCCATATGACTATTAAGTATGCATTCTCCTCTCCTGGGCCTTATTTCTGTCTAGTATGCTCTGCTATATTAACATGAGGAATACCAGGAGTAATTGTTACAGGAGTCTGGAGGTTTTAAAAGATTGAAGGCTGAGCATGGGACTGGAAGAAATAAAAGAAAACATGAGTGGGAAACCCCACAAAATGATATGGGGTTATGGAGAAAGGATTTCCTGACTATAAGACTTATGAATCACACAGGAATGAGTGACTGTGGAGAGTTACACACACACACACACACACACACACACATTTTCACAAAAACCTTTAGGCCATGAATATTCTATTCTCCTCCACAAAGTTGGAATTGTTCTTCCTGCAATAGGAAGTGCTCCCTGGCTGACCTCTCCTTCACAGTCATCAACCCTACCTTCTATATCCTCCCATATCACTAAACTAAGAAAACATAATCATCAGCCCACAGCAAATTCTAAAAGGCCTTTGGCATATCACATTGGCTTTGCATCAAATTTATTGCTGAATTTCACTGGCTTCTCCCGATCTGCTTTATTGCTGATTTTAATCTTGTTTGTTTTAGGCTTCCAAGCCCCACTGCAAAATACCTAATACACTCTTTGTAGCTAGAGACTGTATAAATAAAATGTATCATATTCCCATTATAACAACACTATATCATCCACATTATGTAGCACCCATAGGTGGCCTACATTTTTAATTATTTCCCTCCCCTAAACTCTAAATTAATACAATGAATTTAGAAACCCCTCCACCTCTCATCAGAGGAAGTAATTGAATACTCCATTATGATAATAAGCCATTTTTCATTGTAAGTGCTTGTTCCCAGAGGGCTTTGCTCTGTGCAGTAAGTCTACAGGCAACAGTTTTGAAAGGGCAGTGTGTGCTGTGTACTCAGATAATAACACTTTGTTATTTTGCCTTAGATCTTAAACCACTTTCACGCTAACAAACAATCCCCCGACCCAAAAAAAAATCAAGGAAGCTACATTTTTTAGGTAGAAAAGGAGATGCACGAAGGTGGTCACTTTTCCTAGCACTCCAGTGATTCAGGGATAGAGTAAGAGAAATGAAGCATGTAGCCAAACAGGGCTGGAGGTGAGTATTCCTGTTTTTGTTTTTGTTTTTTTTTGTTGTTGTTGTTTTGTTTTTGAGATGGAGTTTCGCTCTTGTTGCTCAGGCTGGAGTGCAACGGTGCGATCTCAGCTCACCGCAACCTCCGCCTCCCGGGTTCAAGCGATACTCCTGCCTCAGCTTCCAGAGTAGCTGGGATTACAGGCATGTGCCACCACGCCTGGCTAATTTTTTGTATTTTTAGTAGAGATGGGGTTTCTTCATGTTGGTCAGACTGGTCTCTAAATCCTGACCTCAGGTGATCCACTCACCTTGGCTTCCCAAAGTGCTGAGATTACAGACGTGAGCCACCATGCCTGGTCGAGTATTCCTGTTTTTAATGGTCTCCTGGCCTGTCCATCTTCTTCTCCTGTAAATGCCCCTGGATCCAGATGAGGTGTAAGAGCCTCCAGGCCAAGGGTTATGTCATGTGTAGCTTCAATCCTTTCAGTGCTTTGCCTGAGACGGGCAATCAATAAGTGTTGAATAACTGGGCAAGAAATGATGCAGGCTGCCCTATTTTTGTCCTCTGGAGCACAGGTGAGGAGCAGCAGAAGACAACGCTACCAGCTCTACCTCTAAGCAATTGCCCAGGGCCCAGATGAGAAGGGACAGAAAAAAAATAAAACCTCATCCCACATTTGCAACAGCAGCCTACAGATGTGTAAAAACAATTGAGCATTAAATGCAGCTTTGATGTAGATAAAATATCTTAAGGTTGAGAATAGTCTAGAGTAGATTAAGGTAAGAATATAGGCTCTAGAGTCAGGCCACTTAGCTGTGAATCCTTTTTCTGCCACTTACTGGCTAGTGGTGACGTTGGGTGAACTACTTGACCTCTCTGTGCTTCAGTTTCTTCATTTGTAAAATCGGGATAATGATAATACTGACTTTGAGGGTTGCTGTGAAGATAAAAAAGATTAAAAACTACTTAGAACAGTGACAGACACATTATAAATACTGTTACCTATTATTATGGTTGCTATGGATAACATGCTCATCATCACTCAAGAAGTACAAGGCCAGGTAGGTGGTCAACTCCATGGTGAGGACAAAGGCGGATAAAAGGTCTCTGTGAACAGATTGATCGCTCCCAAGAAGTCACAGGTGTGAAAACTCACTCATCAGTCCTACTCTTTATGTCAGAAGGCCCCTCTGAACATAAAAATGATATAGGAGAGGAGGGTGATTCGACCCTGATGGGTTTCCCTTCACAAACCTCCAGTGATTCCTGATTGCCTCACAACACATTCCTGCCCTAGCTTTTGAAGCTCTGTACTGTATGGCCCCATACTATTTTCCTCACCAGAACTCTTAACTACTTTCTGCATTTACCTTAGCTCTGGGCTTTCTGTTCATCTAGCTGATGCTATTAAAGTCTGTTCTGGCTAGAAATAATTCTTCTCAAGGCATCTTTTCTAAGAGCGGGCTATTTACCTGGTCTGGCCACGGGAACCCTTGAGAGCATGTGCCATTAAAGTCCATTGAGTTTCCCTGTCTACATCTGGAAATACCTAAAGGGTTTTCATAACAAAAGGATTAATTAGGCGGAGCGAGGTGGCTCACGGCTGTAACCCCAGCACTTTGGGAGATCAAGGAGGGCGGATCACCTGAGGCCAGGAGTTCAAGAACAGGCTGGCCAACATGGCAAAAACCCATCTCTACTAAAAATACAAAAAATTAGCCGGGTCTGGTGGCAGGCGCCTGTAATTCCAGCTACTCGGGCAGCTGAGGCAGGAGGATCACTTGAACCTGGGAGGCGGAGGCTGCAGTGAGCCAAGATCGCACCATTGCACTCCAGCCTGGGCAACAAGGGCAAAACTCCGTCTCAAAAAAAAATTTTTTTTAAATAAAAATAAAAAAGGATTCTCTGAGAAGCCAAGGCAGGTGTATCACCTGAGGTTGGGAGTTTGAGACCAGCCTGATCAACATGGAGAAACCCTGCCTCTACTAAAAATACAAATTAGCAAGGTGTGGTGGCACATCCCTGTAATCCCAGCTACTTGGGAGGCTGAGGCAGGAGAATCGCTTGAACCTGGGGTGGTGGAGGTTGCGGTGAGCTGAGATCGCGCCATTGCACTCAAGCTTGGGCAACAAGAGTGAAACTCCGTCTCAAAAAAAAAAAAAAAAAAAACAGGAATAATTGCCCATAACTGTAGGAAATGTATATACAGCAGCTAGCAGTGGATCTTCAGCATAAACCCAGTTATAATTGAGATAGTGTCATTCTCTTCTATTTCCAATTCCTTCACACTAAAGGGCAATGTGTGCCACCTACTCAGCACAAAGGGACGGATCTGCAGGCAGAGGGTTCTGAGGGGGTGTTAGGGGATGCCAAAAGCCACAAGACCAACAGGGAGCTTCTTTCTGAATCGTGTCTTTGGCAGCCTGCAGCCATTTCTGTTAAGGTAGACAAGCGGCTAGCAAATAATTTGTTAAGTATTTCTTCCACAGAAAAGCATACAGATTCAGGACTTAAAGATGGTTCTTTCACAGGAAAAGGCAAAGGGGCAGGGGGACTCTCTGCAATGCTGGTCATGTTCTTCCGCTTAGTCTGGTTGGCAGCTACACAGGCATGTTCACTTTGTGAAAATGCATGCAACTGCACACTGAGGAATTGTGTACTTTTCTATGTGTCTGTTATACTTCAATTAAAAAGTCTATTAAAGAAAATTGAACATGTTAAATGTATATATACTATTTGAAATTTTAAAGGGTTTTAATTAACTATGTCAATGGACTACATATTAATCAGTCAGTTTAAAAGCTATCATTCAAAATTTGCTAATTCCATGAAATAGAATAATAAGTTTTATAAGCTGAACTAAAAAACTTAAGGAAAATGTCATTCAGCCATAAAAGAAATGAAGTACTGATACATGCTACAACGTGGATGAACCTCCAAAATATTATGCTACATGAAAGAAGCCGGCCACAAGAGGCCACATAGTATATGATTCAATTTATGTGAAATATCTGAATAGGCAAATTTATAGAGATAGCAAGCAGATTAGTGATTGCCAAGGTGAGGGGGAAGGTGGGAATGAGGAATGACTGCTTAACGGGAAGGGAGTTTTACTTTGGAGCAATGGAAATGTTTGGGACTAAATGCCACTACATTGTCCACTTTAAAATGCCTAATCTTAAGTGAATTTCACTTCAAGAAAAGACTTAAGATGAGATTTATATTTTCATAGTTAACATTTAATACATTCAATAGGAATATTTAGACTGCTGAATGGTTTTTTTCTGTGCACCAAAACCACCTCAAGGGCACACAAAGCAATCTTACTTTATTTTGGCTTTTACTGTGGGGGCTATAAAAAGGGTCAGGTTCATGGTCAGATGCAGGGATGGGAGTATCGCTCTACACTCTTTGGAAGAGATGGTTCGCCATCTTTGCAAGTCCAATTTCATATGTTCTCCCTGGCAAAGTAGAGAATGAGATATAACAAATAAAAATGTAATTGATGGAGTCTGAGGAGTCGTCTATTTCTTCCTCCCTGCCATTTGATACACCTGAATTTGATCCATTTGAGATGACCTCTCTCAAATTAACCAACTCCCAGGAAGGGAGGTTCTACAAACTTTTTGTGATAGATCTCACACCCAATGAGTAGGATTTGTAGGGAAAATTGTGACATTGATTATTACGTCTTTGTAATGTGTCCGTGGGAGGTCAACATTAAGTTCAATTTATCATTAACTGGACGTGTTTGCTAGTTTGGCAAAGGAAGTAATGTGTAATATGTGCACATTAATGGCATCTGTAATGTGTAATGTGTAATGCGTCCATGGGAGGTTGACGTTAAGTTCAATTTATGATTTAACTGGACATGTTTGCTAGTTTGGCAAAGGAAGTTATCTTGGTGATAGTGGAAGGGGTTGAGCATCTCTGGAACTTGGGGAAGGAGAGAACAAATTCCAAACCAGATCTACTTGAAAAACTTGTTTCAGCATCAACAGAGTGGAAACTGTACTTAAAGCACAAACTTTGTGTAACTACAGACAGAAACTAAGAATTATTTGCAACTAATATGCACATCTCAAAACAAGAAAATGACTGTTCCAACCGAGTCCAACAGGGGGCAGTAGTGATTTCCTCAGCTCCATAGGGTTATATTCAGTGGCAGCAAGTTGATCTCAAGTTTCATTAGGTTTCGGTTGCCAGATCTAGTAAATAAAAATACAGGGCATCAAATTAATTTGAATTTCAGATAAAGAAACCAATTTTTTAGTAGATTTCATATATTTCATATGAAACTGAGGCATACTTAGGTTAAAAAAGCATTTATCTTTTAGTATGATATCCATATTTAACTGGGTATCTGGTATTTTATTTGGCCATCCTAAATTGTGTGTGTGTTTAGGAGAGAGAGAAACAGGCCCAGAGAATACATGTGGCTCATCTAGTTTACACAGTCTAACATATTGAAACAGGATTTCTGTTCATTTCATCCTAATATGCTATGAAAAGGTGAAATCGTGGTCTGAAAATTAGGGAGTTTTCCTGATTCCTGTCTTTTTTCTGATCTTCCTATACTGGCTCTATCTTTCCTGCTTTATAGCCAAACAGATTTCTAGTTAACCTTGTCTGTCCCCATATTGGCAATCATCTTCATGGTTTATGTCTTCCAATGAACCTGTCTCCTTCTCCCAATTTTCTTATCCTGCCCCTGAGGTTTAATTTTGTTCAAGAGTCTTCTCAAAACAAACAGAAGGTAAATGAAGACTGTCAGCTTACTTCAACCTGGACCAGATGGAGTTAGGGAGGTAGTGAAAACATGAAGTAAAAGGAAGGAAAAACATGTTTTATTTGTCTCTTTTTGTCATATGTCACAGAACAGGAGACCTGCTATGTCTGTGATATTTACCTTAGAAACAAGGTTTGTGTAAATTGTGTAAGCCACATGACCACAGTTTTTTTCAATGGTAAATAAAAATAATCTCAACCTAGAACTGCAGGTAGGCTTCAATGAGAAAAGGATGTACAAGTACTTTGTAAGATGTTAAAGGCTATGGTTATAACAATTAATTTATTATGTGTTTTTTCCTTTTGGAATACTATAACTAATACAGGCTTTGATCTCTTAAAAAGAAATATTGTCAATATATATTCTTCGCCATCACTCCAACCCCAGCAACTAGTCAAAGGTGTTATAACAGTGATAACGAAGCTGAACTAAGGTAGGCTAAATAATCAGTACCTTCCAATTTCCTGGGGTTGAGCTCTCCCTTGGAGAGCAGGTAACAGTTGGGGACAGAGTGATCCTCTTTTTTTAAAGCCACATTAGAGTCTCCAAGAAATGACAATGTTTCAGATGCATAAAAGGAAACATTCTGAAGCTAAATACCAGGAAACATCTATCAAAACACAAAAGAAGCGAAAAATTACTTTATAATATGCAGAAAAGTATGCATTTGAATGATCACCTTGAAAGAGTTTTGGGTAGGGGATGGAGGAATAACACATTTATAGATGTTATGCCAGAGGATGGGTGACTGCCATATTCTTCTATTAAATCTTCCCAGGAAAGGAGACTTTAGGGACTCAAAAGATGCTTGTGATGAGTTTATCTTACTTGCTTTTCTAGACTTTTGCTTTCAACGAAGCACCGTAGCTCTGACTGTTATATTCATCACCCATGTTAGGTGTCTGCTGCTATTTTTTGTTTCTTTGTTTTTTACGCATTCTTCTTGTGTTCTCGTCTTTCCAACTCCAGAGATAGCTAAGCATTTCCAAACTTATCTCCCTTGTGTACTTATATCCCCTGCATTCAATCCAGTTTTGTAAACCCAAGGTACAGTGATTCCCTACCACTTACCGAAGGGGATGTACCTTTCAGGAGCCCTTATGGGAGGTCCTATGTGGCCATTTAACACCATTTGTCAGCATTAGTTTCCAGCAAAGGATTAGACCACAGGTCTCTAAAGGGGGAGGTGAGGGTGAGATATTCCTCCTCATTCCTGAATGTGATGTTCCAGGGTTTGGGTAAAATGATCTACTGGTGTATGAGGAAAAAATAATAAAACAGTTATCTCTTTCTCTTAAAAGTGAAAGGAGTTCAACTTTAATATTTACTGTATGGATACACAAAGACAATCTCACTGGCATGCCAAGTGTCCTAGGAAGAGTGAGAATTCCATAGTGAGTTCGGATTGACAATGACCCCTGCTATAATTTGGATGTTTGACTCCTCCAAATCTCATGTTGTGATTTGATCCTAATGTTGGAGTTGGGGCTTAATGGGAAGTGTTTGGGTCATGGGAGTGGATCCCTCATGAAAAGATTAATGCCCTCCCTGTAGGGTGAGTGGGTGCAGTAAGTGAATTCTCACTTTTCATTCCCAGGAGAACTAGTTATTTTATTTTTTATTTTATTTTTATTTTTTCAGATGGAGTTTTGCTCTGTCTCCAGGCTGGAGTGCAGTGGCACAATCTCGGCTCATGGCAACCTCCGCCTCCCGGGTTCAAGCTATTCTCCCACCTCAGCCTCCTGAGTAGCTGGGACTACAGGCATGCATCACCACACCCAGCTAATTTTTGCATTTTTAGTAGAGATGGGGTTTCACCATGTTGGCTAGGGTGGTCTCAATCTCTTGACCTCATGATTCGCCCACCTCGGCCTCCCAAAGTGCTGGGATTACAGGTGTGAGCCACCACGCCCAGCCGAGAACTGGTTATTAAAAAGAGCCTGGTACCTCCCCCATCTGGCTCTCTTGATTTGCTCTCACCATCTGATCTCTGCACACACGGGTTCCCCTTGACTTTCCCTGTTTGTGGAAGCAGCATGAGGACCTCACCAGAAGCCAAGCAGATGCTGGGGCCGTGTTTCTCGTACAGCCTGCAGAACTGTGAGCCAAGCAAACCTCTTTTCTTTATAAATTAGCCAGCCTCAGATACTCCTTTGTGGCAACACAGACTCCCCCATTCTCATTCATTCTATTTCCTAGAATTGTGAAATATTGCTATTTGCATGTAAAAAGTTACATGGTTTTACAGATTAGGTTATTTAGTTTTAAAATATTCCTGCAGAGAGAGCATGAATTGAATTGAGTTTTAATAACACAAGCAAAAGGAAACAACAAGAAATTGGCAGAGCTGATAACTTTTTCTCTTTCTGGCATGAGCTCTCATTCAGGCACATTACAGGTTAAAACAGTGGTGAAGTAATAGAGCTGACACATTTCTCTTGCTTATGAAAAGTTTGTTCCCATTAAAAATAAAAAGGTTCATATCACAAATAAATGAAATAAAATGTATTTTAAAATATTGTTTATTGTGCCAGGTGCAGTGGCTGACACCAGTAATTCCAGCACTTTGGCAGGCCGAGGCGGGTGGATCACGACGTCAGGAGATCGAGACCATCCTGGCTAACATGATGAAACCCTGTCTCTACTAAAAATACAAAAATTAGCTGGGCGTGGTGGCAGGCTCCTGTAGTCCCAGCTACTCGGGAGGCTGAGGCAGGAGAATGATGTGAACCTGGGAGGCGGAGCTTGCAGTGAGCCAAGATCACACTGCTGCACTCCAGCCTGGGCGACAGAGCGAGACTCCATCTATAAAAAAAAAAAAATATATATATATATATATATATATATATATATATATGTTTATTTTCCCCTCAAAAATATTATAACCATATTACTAGAGTAGTGTGTGTATATAATATAAAGCTAACTACAAATCTTTTGCAATTATATGCTCAAGCAATTGTTACTGATAGGTGTATGCAAATAAAAAATTAGACAACTACTAGATGAGAGTCAGTGCTGTGCTAGAACGTGCCCCTACAGGCTTATGAGCACTGACTATTAAATTTTCAGGAATTTTTAAAATCTACCTATTAAACACAACTGATATGGTTTGGCTGTGTCCCCACTCAAATCTCATCTTGAATTGTAGCTCCCATAATTCCCACGTGTGGTGGAAGGGACCCAGTGGGAGGTAATTGAATCATGGGGGCGGGTCTTTCCTGTGATGATCTTGTGATAGAGAATAAGTCTCACAAGATCTGATAGTTTTATAAAGGGCAGTTCCCCTGTACACATCCCTTGCCTGCCTCCATGTAAGACTTGACTTTGCTCCTCCTTCACCCTCCAGCATGATTGTGAGGCCTCCCCAGCCACGTGGAACTGTGAGTCCATTAAACTTCTTTTCCTTTATAAATTACCCAGTCTAAGGTATGACTTTATTACCAGCATGAGAACAGGCTAATACAACAACTATTATTAAATTTTTAATTACATAAACTTATAATTACATATATTATGTTAAAAAAACAAAGGCAGGGCAGGGCGTGGTGGCTCATGCCTGTAATCCCAGCACTTTGGGAGGCTGAGGCGGGTGGATCACGAGGTCAGGAGATCGAGACCAGCCTGGCCAACATGGGGAAACCCCGTCTCTACTAAAAATACAAAAAAAAAAAAAAAATAGCCAGGCGTAGTGGCGGGCGCCGGTAGTCCCAGCTACTTGGGAGGCTGAGGCAGGAGAATGGCGTGAACCCGGGAAGCGGAGCTTGCAGTGAGCATAGATCACGCCACTGCACTCCAGCCTGGGTGACAGAGCAAGACTCCATCTCAAGAAAAAAACAAAACAAAACAAAAACAAAGGCAGTAAATATTCAAAACTTGGCATTTCCTAATTACTCTTCTTATTTTACTAATTCTATGCTCTTTAGGGTATTTATATCTATCTTATCTTTATGATGGTGTATTAGTTATCTATTGCTGTATAACAAATCATCCCAAAACTTAGCAGTTCAAAATCGCAAACATTAATTAACTTACACAGTTTCTAAGTCAGGAATCTGAGAGTAGCTTCACTAAGTGGTTTTAGCTCAGGATTTCTCATGAAACTACAGTCAAGTTGTCAGTGGGGGATGCAGCCATCTCAAGGCTTGACTGGAGCTAAAGATATGACTTCCACGAATATTAACTCATATGACTGTGGCTGGAGGCCACAGTTCCTTACTACATGAGCTTCTCCATCAGGTTTCTCAGAGCATGGCAGCTAACCTCCCTCAAAGTGAGTGATCTGAGAGAGAGAGACCAAGATAGAAGCTGCAGTGCCTTTTATAGCCTAACCTCGGAAGTAACATACAACCACTTCCACTATTTCCTACTGGTTATACGAAACAACCCTGGAACAACATGAGAGGGAAATAAATACTGAATACCAGGGCTCACATCTTAGAGGTTAACTAACATAGGGAAACATACAATAAAATGATGTGCTACTATATGTATCTTTCCAACTCCATATTCAGTGACATCACATTGATTGCCTGAACTTGGCCATGGTACAAGTATTTACACCACAAAAATCAGAAAATGCTACAAATCAAGTGGTTTTTGTCGTTTCTTTGTGCATTATTCATGTGCTTGTTTTTTGCCTGGGGAGCTGCTTTTGAAACACTTAGCAGCACCTCACTGATTAGAGTGCACCACCATGCTGCATTTGGTAAGGTGAGGGATGGGGATACCCATAGGTGACTGTGTGGTAGACAGAATGAGCTGAGAGTTAGTTTGGATGGGGGAGTTAAAGGTCCAACACAGAAGCAGCAAACCAAAATTGAGGTGGTAAGGGTGTGATTAAGTGTGGGACTGGTTCCCCAGTGCTTCTGAAAGAGGGCAGGGAAGACTGCAGATTGCCCCATGCTCATCATGAAAGTCTAGGATGAGGCCAGACTGGACAGACACTTAACCACGTAGGACATGGTGTGCACCCACCCTATAGGGAGCTAACAAATTGTATCTGAATTTTGACCTTGAGCTCATACTAGTGCACTAATCTGAGACTGACAGGAGTGATTTAAGATTGGGAAAGTGGCCGGGCACGGTGGCTCATGCCTGTAATCCCAACACTTTGGGAGGCCGAGGGGGGCAGATCACAAGGTCAGGAGTTCAAGACCAGCCTGGCCAATATGGTGAAACCCCATGTCTACTAAAAATACAAAAATTAGCTGGGTGTGGTGGCTTGGCCATAGTCCCAGTTACTTGGGAGGCTGAGGCAGGAGAATCACTTGAACCCGGGAGGCGAAAGTTGCAGTGAGCCAAGGTCGCGCCACTGCACTCCAGCCTGGGCGACAGAGCAAGACTCTGTCTCAAACAAACAAACAAACAAAAAAGATTGGGAAAACAAAACTTTGAAGCAATGGTTAAAGAAACAAGAAGATAAGTATTGTAGAGGAATAAGAGGTGATAGAAATGGATTTCTAGGTAACAAAAGGCTCATGCACAGAAAAGTAAGCAGGATAGTGACTGTAAAGATAAGAATTGGGATCCTTTTATGAGGTAATATCCATTTCAATCTGTTTTTAGTACTAACTGATGAATGTAGACTTGTTCAATCATCAATATGACACTCAAAATTCAATTAATAAGTGCTTATTCAGGGCCCACCATCTTCCACAAACTGGGCTGGGCTCCTGGGAATGCAGGCTGGAGTAGGGGTGGGGTGTAGGGTAAGAGAGCTATATTAAACAGTCTCTACTCTAGATGATATTACAGACTTTCAGGCCTAGTTTACAACATTTTAGGAAACTTCCTAGTTTTTTTTTCTGATAACAAAGATGTTGAAACTTAACATTTTTTTATTGTGATAAACTATATATAACATAAAACTTACCATCTCCACCATTTTTAAGTGTACAATTCAGTGGCATTAAGATATTCACAATGTTGTATAACCATCACCACTATCCATTTTCAGAACTTTTTCTCATCCCAAACAGAACCTCTGCACCCATTAAGTAATACCTCCTGCTGAAGAGATGTTGAAACTTCATATTTTGGATTGCTTTCTTTTTCTATTTGTTAATTCCTTCAGAGCCAGGACATTAGGCATTAAATATGAAGTCATCAAACCATTAACTAGTGTTAGTGAGTCCAAGATGGATTAAAATATTTTAAACTCAAATAGAAACAAGGCTTTGACCTACATGGTACAACTGCTGATAAAACTGAAAATGTAAAGATCAGTGAAAGAATGATGATATGGTTTGGCTGTGTCCCCACCCAAATCTCATCTTGAACTGTAGCTCCCATAATCCCCATGTGGGACCTGGTGGGAGGTAATTGAATCATGGGGACAGGTTTTTCCAGTGCTGTTCTCGTGATAGTGAATAAGTCTCATGAGATCTGATGGTTTTACAAAGGGCAGTTCCCCTGCATATGCTTTCTTGCCTGCCACCATGTAAGAGGTGCCTTTGCTCCTACTTCGCCTTCTGTCATGATTGTGAGGCCTCCTTAGTCATGTGGAACTTTGAGTCCATTAAAGCTCTTTTTCTTTATAAATTACCTAGTCTCGGGTATTTCTTCATAGCAGTATGAAAATGGACTATACAAATGGGTTGATCAATTTAGTTGCAGAATTTGGGAACCAACTGAATGCAACTGGTCCAGTAACAAAGACCAATCAGTTCTTGAATCAAAAAATTAGGTGGGCTTAAAGAAACTGTGAATCATAGCTGTAGCTTTTAGAATTTGGCCATCAAACAGAGAAACTAATTAGAAGATATTTAATTTCCTAATTGGGGCAAGAGATGAGGGGAGATCAGGACTGGGTCGTGGCTGCACAGATTGAAAGAAGTGGCATGATTCAAGATGTATTTTGAGGGTAGAATCAGTGAAAAATCAATGGTGATTCTTAGGTTTTTGACTGGAACAATTGGAAAAGTGGCAGTGCTATTGCTAATTCTGGAAAGGCTGGGGAGGCACAGATCTGGGGGTAAAAATCAAGAATTCTGTTTTGAACATGTTCTGTTCAAGATGTCAGTTATACATTCAAGAGGCAGCTGGAGCTATAAATCTAGATTTTAAAAGAGAAGTCTGGTTTGAGATGTAAATTGAGACCTTAATAACATCAATTTAGGTGTCAAATAAGAGATAACATTTAAGCCAGGATATCAGACTTCCAGTTTTAAAATAGTTGCGAAGAGATTTCTACCCCTGTGCCAGATATCTTCTGTGTAACCCTCCAGACCTATTTTCTTCCTCCTTCTACTCTGTTTTCTTCTTCAAGGAGATTGATGTGTATGTGCAGAGCTGTCAATGGGCCCCTTTGCCCTCTGGCTCCAGATTGAGTTGCAGTCTGGGCACCATCCTACCCCTGCCCCCCCACTTCACTCACAGGAGATGAAATGGAGGAAGCATGACGAGGTCTTCCTCCCTTTGGAGTCAAAGGTTACTCGACTCTTTCAAAATGGCTTCCTCTGATTAATTCTCTCTTCTGGGTCCCACTTATCCCTTTTCTCCCTGTTGGGCTAGAGGTAAGAGTTCTGCTACAGGCCCTGGCACTACAGTATCCCTGTAGTTCCCCTGTATCCAGCTCATACATTTATAAACATTCCATTAACTGAAGGTTTCTCAAATTATTCTAAATTTAGCATGTCATGTGTTTCCTCTTGGGACCATGAAAAATACACCCCTTTCTCCTCTTGAGAATCATCCCAGAACAATAATGACAACAAATGAACAAAAATACAAACTCTACCTGGTTGTGTATAACCCCAAGCAACACTATGTGAAGATGGAAAAGTTACTCACACCCATTCATGCAGGAGATGAGAGATTTATTTTCTGGAGAAACTGAACCAGAGAGGGTCCAGATTGGAACAGGAAGGTGGAGGCTCTAAGAGGAATATTTCCAGGAAATGAATATTAGAATGAATCAATTTCCTGACAAGTTTGACTATGTAGAAAATTCTTTGCAGTAGCATTTTTACGTCTCTGTAATTGTATGGGATAGCTTAACTGTAGGTTCAAAGACTATTAAGTAAATGAAAATATAAGCATATTTTTAACTCTAGGCAAAACAAAAATTTGTGCAAGAAAATAAATATAATTATGGCACATTGGTTGGCTCAGCAGTGAACAATATTTATATATTCATAATACTGAAAACAGATTTATCATATTACTATGTTGGGAAGAAAATGGAATACCTATCAAAAATGCACATACCCTATGACCCAGCAATTAAAATAATAAAACCTGTATTGGCTTGAAGATCCAGGACAATGTTGAATAGCTAAGATGATACAGATACCCTTCCCTTGTCCTGATGTCAGTGAAAATGTTTCTAATGTTCCCTTTGAAGTTTCATTTCTTATGCTGGAGTTATGGCAGACAGTCTGTATCAAGTTAAGATGGTTTTCTCCCTTTACTATTTTAGTAGGAGAATTTTTTTAATGTTAATCAGAAATAATTGAATAGAGTTGAATTTGAGCAGCTTTTTTTTTGTTTTTTGTTTTTTTTGAGATAGAGTTTTGCTCTTGTTGCCCAGGCTGAAGTGCAATGGTGCGATCTAGGCTCACTGCAACCTCCACCTCCTGGGTTCAGCTGATTATCCTGCCTTAGCCTCCCGAGTAGCTGGGATTACAGGCATGAGCCACCACGCTGGGCTAATTTTGTATTATTAGTAGAGACAGAATTTCTCCATGTTGGTCAGACTGGTCTGAAACTCCTGACCTCAGGAGATCTGCCCACCTTGGCCTCCCAAAGTGCTGGGATTACAGGTGTGAGCTACCGTGCCTGGACGAATTTGAGATTTTTAAAACATATAGCAAGGTCAACTCCCTCATTTGTTAATATAGAAAATTATAAGATTTGCTGACATTGTAATATCCTTATATTCATGGGATTAAATAACACTTGGGTAGGGTGTGATTATGTGAGAGAGAGAGGTATATATATATATATCTTTATTTTAATATATTATTTAGGATATTTATATGCATTTATTGCCAAGTAATTTTTCGTCCCATCTATGTCTGTATAACAAGTTGAAGTGCTTTACATCTTTTCCTATTACTGGAATAATTTATATAAAACAAGAACTATCTGTTTCTTGAAAGTTTGTTAGAACTTGCCTATAAATTGTCTGGGACTGAGTCTTTTAAAGGATAGTTATTTGATTACCTATTAAATTACTTTTATGGTTATTGAATTATTCAGTATTCTACTACTTATTTCTCCCTAAGTCAATATGAAAAATTTATATTTTTCTAGAAAACCATCCATTCTATCTACCTTTTCAAATATAATGGTATAAAACTTACATACTCTCTTGGAAGGAGAAGCACTGCTATAATTTTCATTTGTTCACTTTCATTTTCTCTAAGGATTACTATTTTTCCTTTTTCTCTTTATAAAAATTGGCAAAAATTTACTTACTATTCTTTTAAGATAATTCATTTATGTTTATATTGATCAAGTCTACTATATTTGTTTTTTGTTTCATCAATTTCTGCTTTTATTTTTACAATACTTCCTCTGTACTTTTTTGTTCTTTTCAAAGATTCATGTGATGAATGACTAGTTCATTTATTTTTAATTTTTCTTATTTTCTAATAAATATATTTAAGGCTTTAAATTTTCCTTGGACACATCCAACAAGTTTTAATATATAGGGCTATTATGGTCCTTCATTTTTCAATAACACGTAATTTCATTATTGATTTTTTAAACCAAGAAATATTAGAAAGGTGTTTTGAATATTCAAGTGATATTTTAAATGGACTTGAATTTCCTTTTTAACGCAATAATTATCTAAAAGGCATAACAATGTACTTAACACTACTAAACTGTACACTTAAACATGGTTAAGATTTTTGTTTTGTTTTAGAGACAGGTTCTGGCTGTGTTGCCCAGGCTGGTCTCAAATTCCTGTGCTGAAGCAATCCTCCCACCTCAGACTCTCAAGTAACTGGGACTGCAGGCACATGCCACCACCCCTAGCTTAAGAAAGATGCTGAATTTTATGTTATGTGTATTTTACCACAATTTTTTAAGTTTTTAATTAAAAAAAGATAGGTGGATTATCTGGGTGGGCCCAATATAATTGCAAGGGTCCTGCCTTAGTCCATTTTCTGTTGCTGCATTAGAATACCTGAGACTGGGTAATTTATAAAGAAAAGAGGTTCATGTCTGACAGTTCTGGAGGCTGGAAAGTCCAAGACTGGGCAGTTGAATCTCATCACCTTTTAGTAAGAGCCTTGTGCTCTGTCATAACATGGCAGAAGGCATCACAAAGTGAGGGTGTGCACTGAGAACCAAGCTATTTTTCATAATAGACTCACTCTCATGATAACTAACTAATCCACACCTATGATAACCAATGAATCCATTAATTCATGAATGGACTAATCCATTCATGAAGAAAGAGCCCTCATGATCCAATTGCTTCCCAGAGGCCCCACGTTATAATACTGTACATAGAAGATCAAGTTCCAACATGAGTTTTGGAGGAGGCAAACATTCAAACCTTGAAAGGTCTTTGTAAGTGGAAGAGGGAGGCAGAAGAGAGAACAAGAGAGATGGCAGTGTCAGAAGGATTTGGCTTGACATTGCTGACTTTGGAGATGAAGGAAAGGGGCCTGAGCCAACAAATATGGTGGCCTCTAGAAGCTGGATAAGACAAGGCAACAGATTCTCCCCTAGAGCCTCCAGAAGGAGCGCAGGACTTTAGCCCAGTAAGACCCACTTTGGACTTCCAACCCCCAGAACTGAAAGATAATAAATTGGTATTGTCTGAAGGCAAAAAAAAGAAAGAAAAAAAGAAAAGAAAAATTATTGAAAAGGGTATTTTTAAAAAATTCAATTAAACAAATTTTAAGAGGGACTGTAATTATGCTAATTCTAATGAACGATACAGTATTTGCCACAGTTAATTAACCCCTGAAGTTTACATGAGATATAGCATTAATATTAGCTACTTTCTGTATTTGATCTAATACAGATCTGTATTAGATCTGTAATCTAAGTGCAGCCATAAAAAAGAATAAAATTATGTAATTTGCAGCAACATGGATGCAGCTGGAGGCCATTATCCTAAGTGAATTAATGTAGGAACAGAAAACTAAATACCGCATGTTCTCACTTATAAGTGAGAGCTAAACATTGGCTACTCAGAGACATAAAAATGGGAACAATAGACGCTAGGAACTACTAGAGGGAGGAGGGAGGAAGTGGGGCAAAGGTTGAAAAATCTAACTACTGGGTACTATGCTCACTACCTGGGTGATGGCATGAATCGTACTTCAAACCTCAGCATCATGCACTATTCCCATGTAACAAACCTGCTCATATACCCCCAAATCTAAAATAAAAGTTGAAATTATCTTTTTAAAAAAGTAATCTAAACTTAGTGATATGTCTGGCATGGCATATAAGCCATAGTAAATTCTTCCTATAAGATATTCAAAGCTTCTTGTCCTCTTGTCATCTTTTGACACAACCTTAGTGCAGACAGCACCATCTAAGTTTTTCTTTTTTCTTTTTTTTTGTTTTTTGAGATGGAGTCTCGCCCTGTCACCAGGCTGGAGTGCAGTGGCGCGATCTCGGCTCACTGTAAACTTCGCCTGCCATGTTCAAGCGATTCTACTGCCTCAGCCTCCTGAGTAGCTGGGACTACAGGCGCGCACCACCACGCTTGGCTAATTTTTTGTATTTTTAGTAGAGATGGGATTTCACCATGTTGGCCAGGATGGTTTTGATCTCTTGACCTCGTGATCCACTCACCTCGGCCTCCCAAAGTGCTGGGATTACAGGCGTGAGCCACCGTGCCCAGCCCTAAGTTTTTCAACGTGGAAGTAGAGGCAGAAGGAAGTTAAGCTCCTAGACCTTAGGATCAGTGATGCAGGATGATGTAGAACTTTTTAGATTAGGGCTATTTCCACCATCCTAACTAAGCTCCTTCCAGAATTCACTCCACATAGCCAGGATCAAAATACTGAGACCCTGTCACCCAGTCCCAGTGAGGTCCACAGAGTCAGAGCTTGGGAAATATTAAACTGAAACACTATCAAAACTTGCATCTGCCAGTGTTTAGAATGGCAGTGAGAGAGAAGCCGGGCAGTGAGAGGGAAAGGCCACTGCTTATCAGGCTCTGCCTCTCTCAAGGCTTAAGGGAATTTCATTCTTGGAAATGTGTACAGAGCCCTTGCCACTGTGTCCCAGATGTGTTCTCCTTGCTTATCCTTTGAACTTTAGATTGCATTAGAAGAGCTAACATTTACTTATTTGGAAGGAGGCTGAGTCTCTTCTCGACCCTTCTCCCTGGCCATTTGAGAAAGGTCTGGGAGTGAGAACGATGCCTTTAATAAATGGAGACAGAGCCTCATCTCGCCAACAATATTTTTATCAATCTTTCATTTTACTATTTTAAAAAACAGAATTCAAGGAGACGTTCAGATCTGGCATAATTTCTCTGATCTGTGATTCTCTAAATTCGTAGATTAGTGCAGGACATTTTGGCCCATAAAGTGGCAAAACTGAGGCAGGAAGTAGGGGAGTGACGGAATCAAAGATATTCAAGATTGTAAGAAGAGCAATTTGAAAACTCATGATGGCATAATGAATTGATTAGAAACTCAGCCAGAGGCTTTCAAATTTTCTTCCCCTTCTTCCCCTCAGTGATTCTTCAGCATCTCAGAATAATGATCTCCTAGGTTTCACCTATAACTCTCTTTCCCCAATGCAGAAAATGGAGGTGAAGATGGACTCTGCATGTTTAAAGCTGAAGAAACACTTTCTCTCCCCTACACCCCCACTTCCAATCATCCAAATAATTCATATAATTACTGCAGCCATTGAATCCTGAAAAACATTTAAAATCTCCCTTAAACAGGTTTGTTTTGGTGCTAAAATGCTATTCCAAATATGAATTCTGCAAGCAAAAACACAATTTGCTCATAATAATTTTTATTAGCACTCTTTTACAACTTATAATCTTTACAAACTATTTTCTTATGTAATCTTTCTCAGAAAGCAGTTTACTTAAGAAGGCAGTTTATAAAAGTTGTAAGTTGCTGAGAAGTTACTGAGGAAAATCACTTATGTGCAAAATAAAATATTGATCAAATGGTTATAACTTGGAGTGAGCTCTAACATAAAAGAAAAATAAAACGCAAAGATGTAAAAGCACTCAAGTGAAGAGAGACCTAGAAATAGAATTAATTACCAAGAGGTTTCTGCTGAAGGGCTGAAATGCCTTACCTGGTCATAATCGCCTCCTTTCCTGCTGTGTGGGAAGAATCGATGATCAGACCTGAAACTTAAGAGAAACTACTTCAGCAGAAGCTGTGAAGAAAGGGAGTCACTGAAACGATTCTTTAAGTTAAAGCAATAGCCAATAGTTGATGGAAGCTACGAAAACAACTTTTCACCCTAAGGCAGACTACAGAGCCCATCTGACATGTTATCTGACTTTAAAATAAGAATTAAAGAGAAATTACAAAGACATTTTCGAATCACGTCTTGGGAAGATATATCAAGCTATGAATGATAATGTTCAGAATTTGTAAGAAGTGAACTGTGGTTTACCACATACCAGGATGTTTTCCAACTATTGACAATGGATTAGCACATCTGAAATAAAGGACACAAGAGACATGGAATGCTAGTGCTCACCAATGTCCAAGCCTTTTCTGTTCTACCTGAACATATCATGGGATTATATTCCCCTTCTCAATTTATACCTAGATGTGATCTCCTGATGGAGTTCAGCTCTGGACATAATATGGCCACTACCATGATAGCCTATAAAACCTCTCAGTGAAACCCTGTCTCTACTAAAAATACAAAAAATTAGCCAGTCATGGTGGCACGTGCCTGTAGTCCCAGCTACTCGGGAGACTGAGGCAGGAGAATCGCTTGAACCTGGGAGGCGGAGTTTGCAGTGAGCCGAGTTCATGCCACTGCACTCCAGCCGCCTGGGTGACAGAGTGAGACTGTGTCTCAACAAAAAACAAAACAAAACAAAACAAAACCAAAAAAGCAAAACAAAACAAAAGAACTCTCAAGCCTCTTACATAGCATATACATCACATTCTCAATCTTCCTTCATTTTTTGGTTGAAGACAGAGTTTTTCCATGTAGTACTTCAAGTCCCGAGAAAATGCCATAACCTTAAAATGTGAGAAGCCTAGGTCCCTGAACTTCTGCATGGAAGGCTGCCAATCCGTTTGGATTGGGATATAAGCAAGAAATGAACCTTTTATTGTGTTCACCATCTGAGGTTAGGGGGACCAGTGTTGTTATGGCAACCAGGACAACTTGATTAATACAGTGCTTACTAAAAGTGTAGGCTTCTTGCCCCATTCCCAGATAGGCTGAAGCAGAAACTCCAGGAACAGCATCCAGGAATCTGGAATTCTCAGAAGTTCTCCATGTGATTCTGTGCACACCAAAATGTAAGAAGTACTGGCTTAGATTTTGATTTCCTTAAAAGTACTTCATGTATATCAAAATTAAACATTTTTGGCCAGGTGTGGTGGCCCATGCCTGTAATCCTAGCACTTTGGAAGGCTGAGGCGGGTGGATTACCTGAGGTCGGGAGTTGGAGACCAGCCTGGCCAAATGGTGAAACCCCATCTCTACTAAATAAAATACAAAAATTAGCTAGGCGTGGTGGTGGGTACTTGTAATCCCAGCTACTTGGGAGGCTGAGGCAGGGGAATCGCTTGAACCCCGGAGGCAGAGGTTTCATTGAGCTGAGACCACACCATTGCACTCCAGCCTGGGCAACAAGATCGAAACTCTGTCTCAAAAAAAAAAACCCAAAACAACAACAACAAAAACCATTTTCAAAGGCCTTAAGTTGGACAGTTCAAGAGTTATAAATCTGTTAATACAGAAAAATACATTTGAAATAATGTGAATCCTTCAAATATATACATAGTTAGAATCATGAGGGTCAGAGTATGCAACATTTATTCAACAGATATTTGAATATCTGGCACCCACCCCACTAGGTGCCAGGAACTGCTGTAGATACAAGGATCAAGATAGTAGCATTCCCCGCTGCTACAGAGCCCTCTGTGGATATGGATACCTATAATATGTTGTGATAGGTGGAAATACCTGGCTCTCTGAGCACGACTGTGAAAAACATTTAACGCAGGTGTGGTGAATTCAGAGAAGACATCTCAGCTGAAACATAAGGATGAGTAGGCATTAACTTGATGGAAAGGAAGAGGAGATAGGTAGAGTAAAACATTGGTACAAGTAAGCAAACACTATGAGCGAAGATCAAAAGGTGAAAGAGGATATGGAACGTCAGGTTAAAGATGGATGTGATGAAAATTGGGGCTAAGGAACTAAGTATGGGCCAGGTCAAAAGAGCAGTGAAAATCAATCTAAGAAATTTGGATACTATCTTCAGGGTCATGAGGAGCCATAGAAGGAGTTTTATTATATCTATCTATTTATTTATTTTTAAATTTTAAGGTTTTCTTTTTTTTTTTAATTATACTTTAAGTTCTGGGTTACATGTGCAGAACGTGCAGGTTTGTTACATAGGTATACACGTGCCATGGTGGTTTGCTGCACCCATCAACCCATCACCTACATTACGTATTTCTCCTAATGTTTTTTTTTTTTGAGACGGAGTCTCGCTCTGTCGCCCAGGCTGGAGTGCAGTGGTGCAATCTCGGCTCACTGCAAGCTCCACCTCCCAGGTTCATGCCATTCTCCTGCCTCAGCCTCCCGAGTGGCTGGGACTACAGGTGCCTGCTACCATGCCCGGCTAATTTTTTGTATGTTTAGTAGAGACAGGGTTTCACCATGTTAGCCAGGATGGTCTCGATCTCCTGACCTCGTGATCTGCCCGCCTTGGCCTCCCAAAGTGCTAGGATTACAGGTGTGAGCCACCGTACCTGGCCTACTTCTCCTAATGTTATCCCTCCCCTAGCCCCCGACCCCCCACAGGCCCCGGTGTGTGATGATCCCCTCCATGTGTCCATGTGTTCTCATTGTTCAACTCCCACTTATGAGTGAGAACATGCGGTGTTTGGTTTTCTGATCTTGTGATAGTTTGCTGAGAATGATGATTTCCAGCTTCATCCATGTCCCTGCAAAGGACATGAACTCATCCTTTTTTATGGCTGCATAGTATTCCATGGTGTATATATGCCACATTTTCTTAATCCAGTCTATCATTGATGGACATTTGGGTTGGTTCCAAGTCTTTGCTATTGTGAATAGTGCCACAATAAACATACGTGTGCATGTGTCTTTATCATAGAATGATTTCTAATCCTTTGGGTATATGCCCATTAATGGGATTGCTGGGTCAAATGGTATTTCTAGTGCTAGATCCTTGAGGAATCACCACACTGTATTCCACAATGGTTGAACAAATTTACATTCCTACCAACAATGTAAAAGTGTTCCTATTTTTCCACAACCTCTCCAGCATCCTTTTTTGCATGACTTTTTAATGATTGCCATTCTAACTGGCATGAGATGGTATCTCATTGTGGTTTTGATTTGCATTTCTCTAATGACCAGTGATGATGAGCATTTTTTCATTTGTCTGTTGGCTGCATAAATGTCTTCTTTTGAGAAGTATCTGCTCATGTCCTTACCTCATTTTTTGATGGGGTTGTTTGCTTTTTTCTTGTAAATTTGTATAAGTTATTTGTAGATTTTGGATATTAGCCCTTTGTCAGATGGATAGATTGTAAAAATTTTCTCCCATTCTGTAGGCTGCCTGTTCACTCTGCTGCTAGTTTATTTTGCTGTGCAGAAGCTCTTTAGTTTCATTAGATCCCATTTGTCAATTTTGGCTTTTGTTGCCATTGCTTTTGGTGTTTTAGTCATGAAGTCTTTGCCCATACCTATGTCCTGAATGGTATTGCCCAGGTTTTCTTTTAGGATTTTTATGGTCCTAGGTCTTACATTTAAGTCTTTGATCCATCTTGAGTTGATTTTTGTATAAGGTGTAAGGAAGGGGTCCAGTTTCAGTTTTCTGCATATGGCTAGCCAGTATTCCCAACACCATTTATTAAATAAGGAATCCTTTCCCCATTTCTTGTTTTTGTCAGATTTCTGAAAGATCAGATGGTTGTAGATGTGTGGTGTGATATTTGAGGCTTCTGTTCTGTTCCATTCTTCTGTATATCTGTTTTGTTACCAGTACCATGTTGTTTTGTTTACTGTAGCCTTGCAGTATAGTTTGAAGTCAGGTAGTGTGATGCCTCCAGCTTTGTTCTTTTTGCTTATGATTGTCTTGGCTATGCAGGCTCTTTTTTGGTTCCATATGAAATTTAAAGTAGTTTTTTTCCAATTCTGTGAAGAAAGTCAATGGTAGCTTGATGAGGATAGCATTGAATCTGTAAATTACTTTGGGCAGTATGGCCATTTTCACAATATTGATTCTTCCTATCCATGAGCATGGAATGTTTTTCTGTTTGTTTGTGTCCTCTCTTCTTTCCTTGAGGAGTGGTTAGTAGTTCTCCTTGAAGAGGTCCTTCACATCCTTTGTAAGTTGTATTCCTAAGTATTTTATTCTCTTTGTAGCAATTGTGAATGGGAGTTCACTCATGATTTGGCTCTCTGTCTGTTATTGGTGTATAGGAATGCCTGTGATTTTTGCACATTGATTTTGTATCCTGAGACTTTGCTGAAGTTGCTTATCAGCTTAAGGGTGATTTGGGGCTGAGACGATGGGGTTTTCTAAATATACATTCATGTCATCTGCAAACAGAGACAATTTGACTTCCTCTCTTCCTATTTGAATACCCTTTATTGCTTTATCTTGCCTAAGTGCCCTGGCCAGAACTTCCAATAGTATGTTGAATAGGAGTGGTGAGAGAGGGCATCGTTTTCTTGTGCTGGTTTTCAAAGGGAATGCTTCCAGTTTTTGCCCATTCAGTATGATATTGGCTGTGGATTTGTCATAAATAGCTCTTATTATGTAGAGATACATTCCACTGATACCTAGTTTATTGAGAGTTTTTAGCATGAAATGTTGTTGAATTTTGTTTATGGCCTTTTCTGCATCTATTGAGATAATCATGTGGTTTTTGTCCTTGGTTCTGTTTGTGTGATGGATTACATTTATTGATTTGCGTATGTTGAACAAGCCTTGCATCCCAGGGATGAAACTGACTTGATGGTGGTGGATAAGCTTTTTGATGTGCTGCTGGATTTGGTTTGCCAGTATTTTATTGAGGATTTTCGCATCGATGTTCATCAGGGATATTGGCCTAAAATTCTCTTTTTTGTGTTGTGTCTCTGCCAGGCTTTGGCATCAGGATGTTGCTGGCCTCATAAAATGAGTTAGGGAGGATTCCCTCTTTTTCTATTGATTGGAATAGTTTCAGAAGGAATGGTACCAGCTCCTCTTTGTACCTCTGGTAGAATTTGGCTGTGAATCCGTCTGGTCCTGGACTTTTTTTGGTTGGTAGGCTATTATTTATTGCCTTAATTTTAGAACATTTTATAGGTCTATTCAGAGATTCAGCTTCTTCCTGGTTTAGTCTTGGGAGGGTGTATTTGTCCAGGAATTTATCCATTTCTTCTAGATTTTCTAGTTTATTTGCATAGAGGTGTTTATAGTATTCTCTGATGGTAGTTTGTATTTCTGTGGGATCGGTGGTGATATCCCCTTTATCATTTTTTATTGTGTCTATTTGATTCTTCTCCTTTTCTTTTTTATTAGTATGGCTAGTGGTCTATCTATTCTGTTGATCTTTCCCAAAAACAAGCTCCTGGATTCACTGATTTTTTGAAGGATTTTTTGTGTCTCTATCTCCTTCAGTTCTGCTCTGATCTTAGTTATTTCTTGCCTTCTGCTAGCTTTTGAATGTGTTTGCTCTTGCTTCTCTAGTTCTTTTAATTGTGATGTTAGGGTGTCAATTTTAGATCTTTCCTGCTTTCTCTTTTGGCATTTAGTGCTATAAATTTCCCTCTACACACTGCTTTAAATGTGTCCCAGAGATTCTGGTACGTCGTATCTTTGTTCTCATTGGTTTCAAAGAACATCTTTATTTCTGCCTTCATTTCGTCATTTACGCAGTTGTCATTCAGGAGCCGTTTGTTCAGTTTCCATGTAGTTGGGCAGTTTTGAGTGAGATTCTTAATTCTGAGTTCTAATTCGATTGCACTGTTGTCCGAGAGACAGTTTGCTGTGATTTCTGTTCTTTTACATTTGCTGAGGAGTGTTTTACTTCCAATTACGTTGGTCGATTTCAGAGTAAGTGCGATGTGGTGCTAAGAAGAATGTATATTCTGCTGATTTGTGGTGGAGAGTTCTGTGGATATCTATTAGGTCTGCTTGGTTCAGAGCGGAGTTCAAGTCCTGGATATCCTTGTTAATTTTCTGTCTCGTTGATCTGTCTAATATTGACAGTGGGGTGTTAAAGTCTCCCATTGTTATTGTGTGGGAGTCTAAGTCTCTTTGTAGATCTCTAAGAACTCGCTTTATGAATCTGGGTGCTCCTGTATTGGGTGCATATATGTTTAGGATAGTTAGCTCTTCTTGTTGAATTGATCCCTTTACCAATATGTAATGGCCTTCTTTGTCTCTTTGTTGGTTTAAAGTCTGTTTTATCAGAGACCAGAATTGCAACCCCATTGAAGAGGTTTTAAAAGGAAATGCATTTGGTCAGATTTGCTTAGAAAAATTATTCCAGCTGTATCGTGGAGAATGTATTGGATGATCCAAGACTGGAGAAAACCAGTTAAAAGATTTATTTGTATATGTGGCAGAAATCCAGGTGATAAGTTAACTAATTAAGTAGTTCACTCAACCAACATTTATTGAGCCCCATGAAAGCTTGGTGAGGGAGAGAGAGAGAAAGAGAAAGAGAGAGAGATTGAATGTGTAATAAAAAAGTAGCTCAGAGTAGTTACAATAAGGATGGAGAAAAGTAAGTACTGGTTATTGATGAAATGTAGGAGGTGAAGAAGTCCAAGATGATGCTGGGTTTCTGGCATGAACGAATGGCACCACCATTCATTGAGATAAAGACAGGAATAAGACTAAAAAGATAATATGTTCACTTTTGAACTTATACCACACCTAATTTCAAGACTTACTATAAAGATACAGTAATCAAGACAGTGTGATATTGGCAATAAAAATAGAAAAATAGATCAATGAAACAGATTAGAGAGTCCAGAAATATATGCACACATATGTGGCCAATTGATTTTCCACCAAGGTAAAAAGCAATTCAATGGAATAGAGATAGTCTTTTCAACAAAGTATTGAAACAATTGGACAATATGCAAAAAATAAACTTTGATCCATATCTTATACCATATGAAAAACTAACTCAAAATGGATTTTAGACCTAACTGTAAAACTTCTGGAAGTAAGCATAGAAGAAAACATCTGTGACTTTACATAAAGATTTCCTATGAAAAATACCCAAAACACAAAGCATAACTAGATAAAATGAATACATTGGATTTCATCAAAATTAAGAACTTAGACGTTGTTAAGAAACTTAAAAGACAAACCACAGACTGGGAAAAAATATTTTAAAATCACTTATCTGGTAAAGAATTTAAATATACAATATATAAAGAATTCTCAAAAGTCAATAAGAAAATTAACAATTGTATTTAAAAACAGGAAAAAGAGATTTGAGAAGTCTCTTCACCAAAGAAAATATTTACAAGGCAAATAATTACATAAAAATGCTTAATATCAGTCATTAGGGAAATGCAAGTTAAAACAACGGTGAGATGCCACTGCACTCCCATTATAATGGCTAAAATTAAGAGACTAATCATCCCACATGTTGGAGAGCATGTGAAGTAACTGGCACTTTCATATATTACATACACTACTGGTGGGAATGTAAAATGGTACAACTCCCTTGGAAGACAGTTTGGCAGTTTTTACAAAAGTTAAATTCATCTATCATGTGACCCAGCCACTGGTTGCTAATTATTTATTTTTAAAAAATGGAAATGTATGTCGATCCAAATATTTGTAGATACATGTAGATAGCAGACTTATTTGTCACAGTCTCAAGCTGGAAACAACCCAAATGTTCATCAACAGATGAGTAATTAGACACATTGTAGTGTATCTATACAATGGCACACTACTCAGCAACATAAAGGAGTTAACTATTGAGACATGCACCTGGCCTAGTATTTATTTTTTATCCAGAATCCAATCAAGATTCACACCTTGCATTTGGCAGTTATGCCTCTTTAGTTTCCACCAATGCTCCCCTCTATTTTTCATCTCATTGAATCCTTTGAAGAGTCTAGGCTAGTTGTTCAATGGAATATCCCACAATCTGTGTTTATCTGTTTCCTTGCCATAAATTTTGGGTCACATATGTCTTGTAAGAACTCCACAAAAGTGAGCCTATGTTTCTCCAATTATATTACCTTAGGAGGCACATCATATCAGGCCATCCCACTTTGGGGGATGCCAAGCTTGACCACTTGGTTAAGATGATTACTGCCAAGTCTGAAGTAGAGAATTTTCTTAAAGATTAGAGAATTGTGTTAAGGAGTAAGTAGAGCAGGAGAGATTGACGCTGCTGGAAGAGAAAGAATAGTAATTGGAGTGAGGTTCCCCGAGGATGCTGGAGGGAATGAGACCCAGAAGAAAGAAGGAGAAAGTAGCCTCGCACAAAGGAGAAGCCTCTTTTCAACTTGTCAGATCCAAGAGAAGTTCCTCTTCAAAGGTTTAGTTTGTTAAGTTTCTTTGCTCTCTACTTTCAAGGTCCAACTTCCTTATCCTTTGTGCCTCCCTGCTCCTAGTTCCAGTAAACAACTCTCCCACTGGTCCTTTTCTATAGAGCCCACATCTGCTACTCACTCTGTAATTTACCCCTCCCACTGTGACAGCTCTTCCTGCCAAAGCTGTCTTTCAAGTTAGCCAGTCGGGTTCAGTTTAGATTATGCAGTCCAACTACAGCCAACAGAGACAGGACACAGTCGTAGGGACAAGATGCATTAGGAATAAAAAAAAACCCTTTCCCTCTTTTGTTTGGCGTGCTTTCTTGGGAACCAGTCCTGCGAGAAGCACCCTTCCACAGAAGTAAATTTGCCTTGCTAAGAAATCTTTTGTTTGAGTGCTCGTTTTCTTTGTGACTCCAAGCTTTGCTTTCAACCAACTGAACGAGAATGGAAGGAGGAAAACTCAGTGCAGATGCAGGAAGTTGCTAAATGTTCAGTCTGATGACCTTTATTTTCTTTTAGAGTAAGAGATAATGTCATCTGTTGAAATGTAGGGGGCAGTGGTGAGGTTGAAGAGTGGAGACTTGAGGCCTTCTCTGTCCTTATACAATGCTTTTAGCCTTGCAAGCTATAGAACTTAAAACAAAAAACAAACAAAAAAAAAAAACCTCATTAGAAAAGTTTCTTTCCTGCAATTGATCTTTCCTAATCCCTCACCTGGCAGCTCTGCTTGAGTTAGTTTTGATTGGATGGTCTCTAGGAAATTAGGGCATTGGATCAAATCAGTGAGAGGTTCTGGACCATTTTTCGATTGTTGACCTCTGAAAATGTGATGATGAAAATATAACTCCATTTTCCAGGAGGATGAACATTTGCACATACCCATGCAATGTTGCATTCAGTTTTTAAAAGTTTCATTAACTGTCACTTAATATAACCTGAATTTGATTACTGTGGGTATCTTTACGTTTATATGATATTATGATCATACTACAAAGTTGGTTTGTTAGCCAAAATTTTAAAAATTTTGTTGTAATATTTCCCTTAAACTTCTATGTGTGTGTTTTTTTTTGTTTTTGTTTTGTTTTTGAGATACATTCTTGCTCTGTCGCTGAGGCTGGAGTGCAACGGCACGATCTTGGCTCACTGCAACCTCTATCTCCTAGGTTCAACCAATTCTCATGCCTCAGCCTCTGGAGTAGCTGGAACTACAGGCATGCGCAACCATGCTCGGTTAATTTTTTGTACTTTTAGTAGAGATGGGGTTTCACCATATCGGCCAGGCTGATCTCAAACTCCTGACCTCAGGTGATCTGCCCACCTCGGCCTCCCAAAGTGCTGGGATTATAGGTGTGAGCCACCGTGCCCGGCCCCTAAACTTGTGTTTGAGATCCCTTTCTGTAGTCAGTGAGGTCTAAAGCTGCCAGCATATAACTTTCGCTTCAGACTGTGATCTGATTTTTCTCTCCTGGTGTGACCCTTCCCTGTCAGAGCACCTGAAAGTCTTGTGGTAGTCACCCCATCAGATTTTATTTAAACAGGATCAATCTCTGCAGCTTAAACAGCTGACCCTGACACCCTGTTTGTTGACTGGCAAGAGCCCAGCCCCGCAGCTGAAGTTGTTGAAGGGACATCAGAGACACTTGCCACCCAGCCAATTCACTCTGACCTGGGAATCATAAGACAGAGAGAGGAGTTTTAGCACAGAAGGCAGTGCAGGGGACTGATGGGTTGATGAGGGGGGTCTCTGCTGAACACATCTGAGCTCGTGATCTCTACAGTACTTGGAAATGACAAGCCTAGGAACAAACCATGGAATGAAAGGAGGAAAGAGAAAAGAAAAACATTTCCCCCAAAGAAGCAGGCAAGCAACAAACATACACCATTAAAATTTCGTGTACAGGCCAGGCATGGTGGCTCATGCCTGTAATCCCAGCACTTTGGGAGGCCGGGGGATGTGAATCACTTGAGCCCAGGAATTTGAGACCAGCCTGGGCAACTGGCAAAGGCCCATGTCTACAAAAATTAGCCGGGCATGGTGGTGCGTGCCTGCAGTCCCAGCTACTTGGGAGGCTGAGGCGGGAGGATCACCTGAGCCCAGGGAGGTTGAGGCTGCAGTGAGCCATGATCATGCCACTGCATTCCAGCTTGGGTGACAGAATAAAACCCTGTCTCAAAAAAAAAAAAAAAAAAAAGTTTCATGTACAGAGGTAGCCTTAATTTTTTATTCTTCTTAAATTAAAATGAATCACATCTTATCTCCCTCTCTTTCTGTTGAAAGGTTACTAACAGTTTGTCCAAAGGGGCAGTAGATCTGCTCAGTATCCAGAGAGGGTACAAACCCGAATCCATTTCAGGAAATAAGTGGGCTGCATAAGTCAGATTATTTCTTCCCACTTTTCCTCTAAAACAGAAGTTTCCTTTACTCTCTATCTGTGCTTTCCCCTTTTCTGTGGCAGTTCATTTTCTCACCACCACTAACTATACTCTACCAAATTCCTAGAATAATGGTATAAAAAGTACATGTGATTTATTTCCTTTTTTTTTTTTTTTGAGAGAGAGTTTCACACTGTCACCCAGGCTGGGGTGCAGTGGCACAATCTCAGCTCACTGCAACCTCTACCTCCCAGGTTCAGGTGATTTTCCTGTCTCAGCCTCCCAAGTAGCTGGGATTGTAGCCACCTGCCACCACACCCAGCTAATTTTTGTAATTTTAGTAGAGACGGGGTTTCACCATGTTGGCCAGGCTGGTCTCGAATTCCTGACCTCAGGTGATCCACCCACCTTGGCCTCCCAAAGTGCTGGGATTACAGGCATGAGCCACCGTGCCCAGCCTTATTTTGATTTTATCTACAGCTTAAGGGGATTTGAAATGACTTACAATAAAGACTAAAATGCTGGATAACCACTAAAAGATAGCAAAAGAATATGAGCCAACCAATAGGTGGATTATAGCTGTGTCATAAAACTTAGGTTTAGCAAAACTACTGCAATTGATCCCAAAACATAGTCCTGAGTACCCTGGAAGCCAGGATAAAAAAGAGAAAATATAATAACTGAGCTAGGCTTTATTATCTGTGAAATTAAATATACCAACTTTAAAAATGCCTTTCCTATTATTAAATTCTAAACTGAATTTATCCATCATAGATATTCAACTAATATAGTAGATTTATTATATTTAATTTCGAGATATTGGAACACTTTTATATGAAAATTTCTCAAATATAGCCTTGAAAAGTGCCAAAGGAAGATGGTTAAGCCATGATTTGTTGAGGTTTTCTCATAGGTAGCTTGAAGAAGTCTATCACAGGTGTGTTATTTGCTAGTTTTTATGACTTGGCATGAGGATAGAACTTTGGCTAGAGGAGAATTTTGGCCATGCTTTTTAAAAAATTCTTCTCAATCAGTGGTCTCAGGTGAGTAATTAACAGAAAATAAATAGCAGGTAATTTGAGACCTACATAGATCTTCCACATTGTTGATAGGAAATTCATGTGCTAGCCAGGCGCCGTCGCTCACACCTGTAATCCCAGCACTTTGGGAAGCCAAGAGGGGCGGATGGCTTGAGCCCAGAAGTTTCATACCAGCCTGGGCAACATGGTGAAACCCCATCTCTACAAAAAATACAAAAGTTAGCTGGGTGTGGTGGCACAGGCCTGTAGTCCCAGCTACTCAGGAGGCTGAGGTGGGAGGATCTCTTGAGCCCTGGAGGTTTGGGAGGCGCCTTGGCCTCCCAAAATGCTGAGATTATAGGCATGAGTGACCACGCCCAGCCAGGCTTTCCTTTTTGGTGGGAGTTTGTCAATGAGATTATTTGCTTTTTAGAATGATTGCTAATGAAAGTCAGACTATGGTCAGGTGCAGTGGCCCCTGCCTGTAGTCCTAGCACTTTGGGAGGCCGAGGCAGGTGGATCACTTGAGGTCAGGAATTCAAGACCAGCCTGGCCAACATGGTAAAACCCCATCTCTACTAAAAATACAAAAATTAGCTGGGCATGGTGGCACGCAACTGTAATCCCAGCTACTCGGGAGGCTGAGGCAGGAGAATCGTTTGAACCCAGGAGGCGGAGTTTGCAGTGAGCCAAGATCGTGGGCTGCTGCACTCCAGCCTGGGCAATGGAGAGAGACTGTCTCAAAAAAAAAAAAAAAAAAAAAAAAGGTAAGACTATGCCATCATTAAAGAAAAGAATGCTTATCTATTTGTTTGTCCTGGAAAGACAGAATGCATCCAGCTTATCTAAAAGTTTTACCAATATATTTGGTATGAGTTCCAGGCAATGGTGAGGAAGTTACAAAGTTGCTACAAAGAGCACACAGGATCTCTGATTTCTGCTCCTCAGTACTTTCATTTAAGTGGGCTGATGAAGTTAGAGTAGGATCAGATTCACATTATTCATTTCAGTGAGGACAAAAGGGGACATGGTACAAGCTACGAGAAGCAAAAGATTGATAATGTCAGCATAGTTGTTAAAGCAAGAGGAAATTTGCATTACAGTTTTCCATATTATTAAAGTAAAATGATTTCCTTTACATTCAAAGTCCACTCAAGTACCTTATCCTTAAAGAGTTAGTCTTTAAAAGAACTCCTTTGGGAGTTATTTCTCCTCTGGTAATTTGACTGTCTTGTAAATCGATAAATAAAAGGATGTCCTAAGAAGAATAAAGTAATGAAAGCACTTTTTTGAGGTTTTTTTCTTTTTCGTTATAGAGAAAGAGTCTTGCTGTGTTGGCCAGGCTGTAGTGCAGTGGTGCAATCATAGCTCACTGAAGCCTCCAACTCCTGGGCTCAAATGATCCTCCCACCTCAGCCTCTCAAGTAGCTAAGACTAGAGCTACCTTCCCCAGCTAATTAAAAAAAAAATTTCTTTTTGTAGAGGTGAGATCTCACTATATTTCACAGGCTGGTCTCAAACTCTTGGCCTCCCGAAGTGCTAGGATTACAGGCCTGAGCCACTGCACCCAGTCTTGAGTTTTAAGATTTGGAAAACAAATCTAACTGATGTTGACAGTGTGCCATGAACAGAGAAGTATGATAATAAAATTACTTGGACCTGAGGTTCAAATAAACAACAGCAACAACAACATGTCTAGGTCATAACTTGAGAACTGATTTTGAGACACATACACACACACACACACAAACACATACACAGAGAGAGAGAGAGAGAGAGAGACAGACAGAGAAAACAAAAATTCCATTTAAATAGATCAACATTCCCTGAATTATTTCCCCAGAATATGAACTCCATACTAGTTCCCTAGCAGTTCCATATTTAGCAAAAAGAAAAAGGGGTTTCCTTAGTCAAATAAGTTTGGGAATCTACATACTGCCTCCTGATTCCTGGTGAGTCACGATGTACATTAGCATAGGCAGAACAGCATATTTTGTTCAACCTAGTTTTCTGAACTTGTTTCACCAGGGTATTCTTTTCATGTGACATTTATTAATTTCCTACTAAACTCACTTTGGTAAACAGAGCAGTAAATGAAATGCTGGCCATGTTTCTATGCAGAGTACTACGTAACAGCTTTATGCTTATGTTACGAATGGAGAATCCATGGGCAAAGGACTTTATCTTCATGAGTTTGCCATACTTCACTCAAGGCAAACTTCTGATGAATTAAGATAAGTGCACACCAGTTAATTTTGTTTTCTTATTGGTACAATTGGTCCCAGAAGGGTCTGGCTTCTTTCTTGATGTCTACAGGCCCTGTTCCTTCTGCATCTATGGAAGAAACTACTCTGCTGGTGGAGATGCGGGCATTGTAGACAGCTACCATACAATAGGTACCCAGAGTTAAAATTATAAAAAATTTGTTATAAAAACTAGATTTCTCTGGTTTAATGTAGATGAGAAAAAGTTTTTTATACTTGTGATATTTTCCTGTAATTGATGACCTTTAAAATTATTATCTGTCTGTTTGCATATGGTGGCTGTTTTATAGAGAAGAGACAGGATGGGGAGAGTAACTATAATTTCTCACCAATTCCAGTTTCTATGCTAGATCTTCTATGTAGGTCATCCACTGAATATTTAAAACAATCCTATAATGTGGGTCTTATTAGCCTCTTTTTCAGGTTCTAAAATTGAAGCTCAGAAATACTAATAAACATTTATCATAAGTGAGAGGGTCAGAATTCGAATCCAGGTCTCTTAGAATCCAAAGCCCATCATTTTCCTACTATTCTGTGGGCTGTAGGACACAGGACACTAACAGCGGGGTTAGAAGACAGGCTGGCCATTACTAAATGTACGATCTTAGCTCAGCATTGCACAATAAAAATAGAATGTGGGCTGCATGTGTAATTTAAAATTTTCTAGTAGTCACATTTTTAGAGAAACAGTTAAAATTATTTACTCTGATATATGCAAAATATTGTCTCAACATGTAATCTATATTTTAAAAATTATTAATGAGATATTTTACATTCCTTTTGTAAGAAATCATTAAAATCCATTGTGAATTTTAAACTTACTGCATAATTCAACCTGAACTAGCCACACTTCAAGTGCTAAAAGCCATGTGTGGCTAGTGGCTACTATATTGGACGGCATAGCTTTAGCCTATGTAATTTCCTATGCAGTAAAATAGAAATTGCCATAACCTGCCTCCCAAGGTTGTCTGAAATATTACATGGGATACTTTATCTAAAAACATTGTTGAAAAGCATAATGGGTGAGGTAGGCTGAACAATAGATGACTCTCACCACTCAGATGTCTGCATCCAAATTCCTGCAACCTGCAAATATGTTACCTTAAATGGTAAAGGGGCCTTTGAAGATGTGATGAAGCTCAGGATCTTGAGATAGGGAGATTATTTTGGATTATCTGAGTGGGCCTGATGTAATCACAAGTGTCTTTTTTTTTTTTTTTTTTTTTTGTGAGATGGAGTTTTGCACAGTCACCTGGGCTGGAGTGCAATGGCACGATCTCTGCTCACTGCAACCCCTGCCTCCCAGGTTCACACAATTCTTCTGCCTCAGCCTCCTGAGTAGCTGGGATTACAGGTGCACACCATCATGCCTGGCTAATTTTTGTATTTTTAGTAGAGACCGGGTTTCACTATGTTGGCCAGACTGGTCTCGAACTCCTGACCTCATGATGCGCCTGCCTCGGCCTCCCAAAGTGCTGGGATTACAGGCATGAGCCACCATGCCTCGCTACAAATGTCTTTTTAAGAGCTCTGGAGGCATGAGATTGCAGTGATTAGTTGGAGATGTGGTGATGGGGACAAGAGGTTAGAGTGATGTGAAGAGGACATCATGAGACAAAGGGTACAGGAAGCCTCTAGAAGCTGAAAAAGATAAGGAAACTTCACCCCTCACAGTCTCCAGAAGCAACCAGCTCTGTAGACACGTTGGCTTTAGCCCAGTGAGACTTTGGACTTCTGACCTACAGAACTATAAGATAATAAATCCTAAGTTCTTGTTCTAAGTTCTAAGTTCTTGGTGGTGGTAATTTATTACAACAGCAATGTGAAACTAATACAAAGGGCCATGTAAATGAGATCTATCACTATCATCATATGTGGCTATAAAAGACCATTTTAGGGCTGGGAGCAGTGGCTCACACATGTAATCTTGGCCCTTGGGGAGGCCGAGGTGGATGGATCACCTGAGGTCAGGAGTTTGAGACCAGCCTGGCCAACATGGTGAAACCTGGTCTCTACTGAAGATACAAAAAATTAGCTGGGTGTGGTGGCACATGCCTGATATCCCAGCTACTCGGGAGGCTGAGGCAGGATAATTGCTTGAACCCGGGAGGCGGAGGTTGCAGTGAGCTGAGATCGTGCCATTGCGCTCTAGCCTGGGTGACAAGAGCGAAACTCTGTCTCAAAAAAATAAAAACAAAAATAAAAAAGACCATTTTAGGCTTGGCTTGGCAAGAATTAAGGCTGAGCTGTTGTGGGGGTGGGAGGAGTAGGTGTGGGTCTTGGCTATTTCCAGGTAGAAAGGTAATTTCCCACTTCAGTCTTCATCAATTTGCACTCGGAAATAAGAGGCAGAAGGGCCACCTAGGGAACATATATTAGACCCTATCCCTTTTCCTCTGAGTATGAAAGACATACAAGTATTATGATAGACCAGCACTCCAGCCTAAGGCCAGATTGCAGAACAGAACATACAGGTCCCGGAGAAGAGACCACCACAAAAGAGGACAAAATCTGGGCTGGTGGCCTGGACTTAGCCTGAGCAGCTTGGCTGTCAGAAAACAACTGCTGGTTTGGGACACAGCCCATGGATTAAAACTTCTCACTCAGCCTTGCCAGCGCTGTGAGACCTCCATGGTAAAAATGGCTGTCAACTCAAAGAGCTGTACCCCTCTGAGACCAGGCAGTTGTGTGGCTGGCTTCCACTGCCTGACACTCCATTTGGACTGATGGCAGAGGCTTGGGGTGGGGACTCCAGGCCAGCAGGAGGCCCAGCAGATCTCATTGCTGCAGGGTGGCTGGCTGGCCTCAAGGACATATGAGTTGTCTCTCTCCTGCTGTGGGCAACTGGCAAGCAGTGAAGGGGACTCCCAGGAGGAACCAGGGAGAACTTGAGGAGGTCTGGTGAGTGGGGGTCAAGGGGATGGTAATCTGGGGTAATGTGAGCGCCTTGGTTTTTGCCATAAGCTTGCAGGCTATGGATATCTAGATTACTTTAGGGAGCTTTTCAGTCCTCCATTTGCTTCAAGAACAAAGAAATGACCACGTGGCGAGGCGAGTTGGCTCATACATATAATCCCAGCGCTTTAAGAGGCCGAGGCAGAAGAATCTCTTGAGGCCAGGAGTTTGAGACCAATCTGGGAAATACAGCGAGACCCCATCTCCACACACACACAAATTAGCAGGGCATGGTGGTGTGCACCTGTAGCCCCAGCTACCCAGGAGGCCAAAGCAGGAAGATCACTTGAGCCCAGGAGGCTGAGGCTTCAGTGAGCCATAACGGTGCCACTGCACTCTAGCCTGGGTGACAGAGCAAGGCCCTGTCTTGAAAATATTAAAAAACAAAACAAAGATGGCCACGTGTAAGGGATGTTCTGGGAACAGTGTGCCTAGCAAGATAGAGATTAGACAGTGTCCATTGACAGTGGTGTTTCAAATGACACCTTTCCCTGGGAGACTATCCTTGTCTTATCAAGGAAGAGTCACTTGAGCTGACCACCTGCAAATGTAAGAGAGGGGCCACCTGTAGCTGTGAGGCAGTGTGGCAAGGCCACTCACTGTCGGTACATTTTAGTATAAATGCTGGTCTCAGCTGAGTGCAGTGGCTCACACCTGTAATCCCAGCACATTGGGAGGCCCAAGCAGGTGGATCACCTGAGGTCAGGAGTTCGAGACCAGCCTGGCCAACATGGCAAAACCCTGTCTCTACTAAAAACACAAAAATTAGTTGGCCATAGTGGTGCACGCCTGTAATTCCAGCTACTCAGAAAGCTGAGGCAGGAGAATCACTTGAACCTGGGAGGTGGGGGTTGCAGTGAGCTGAGATCGCACCACTGCACTCCAGCCTGGGTGACAGAGTGAGACTCTGTCTCATAAATAAACAAATAAATAAATAAATGCTGGTCTCTGAGGAAAGGGCGGACCAACTGACAGAGACACAAGACTGCCCTAAAAGGGAAACACCTAGGGAAGGGTAGAGGAGGAACGAAAGGATTGTGGAAGAAGGACTGTCTCTAACACAATGAAAGACTGGAAACACCATCAGACCTCACTCCTGGGTAATGGTGGGCTGGTAAACTGGCTCTCTGGAAGAACCATCACCACCATCCCCAATACACCCTTCCTAGAAATTAAGCCTTTAGCATCTAGTAACAATTCAAGGTATTGGGGGGGACCTCAGCAGAGAAATCCTGGGCTTTCTGCCAATAGGTGCTTGGGAAAGTTTTGCTGTAGGGCAAACAATAATGAGAGAAGCAAAAGAACGGTGAACATATTTGCACCATGAGTTTGTGGAATAAACAGTTTATACTATTGATATAAATCATGTTCTACTGCTGGAAGCATTCAGCATTCAATAAGACAGTCACTCTCACCATCTCATTCCTGATTAGACTTTGAATGGCCTTGTTGTCTAAAACCTCAAATGGGGAGTAGTCTTAGGAGAAAAGGTTATGAAATACTCACATAACCCATTGGCTGCCATCCTTTGCAAACAGGACTCTAGACAAGCATCACTGGGTTTGTCTGACATTTGCCAAATTCCTACATAAATAACCATTACCTGAATCTCTAGCAGCTGGGAAATAAATAAGATTTAATAGGTTCAGACTGATAAGGTGGTCCAATCCAGCTGACTTTGCTTAGAAACGAGATTAGATGCCCTTCTAGGAGCTGTGAGAATTTAAATATGTGCTAAACGTGGCCCTGAAAGTCTGTTAGACACAGCTCTGGGCTTCACGGAGGTGTGAGGGTAAAGAGATTTCCTCAGTGCACAACTGTAGAACATTTTAACACCCTCTGTCTCTGAGGATGAAATACTGTCATCCTGTGTGGTCTAAAGCCTCTCTCTGTGTTCTTCTTTAATATTCAGCTTCATCAGAGAAAATGATACATAGTAATTTTAAGAGACAGCTATTGCTGGAAGAGGTCAGGCTGGAAAAATGAACTGCTCAAGGCTGCTGAAGTTCTTATTAAGGAGAAAAAGTGTATGCAGATGAAGACAGAGACGTGCTTTGAGATAGAGGGGAATGCTTAGAGAAGGTTGGTATAGAGACTCTAAAAACCTTTTCTGATTGGAAAATGACCATTATGAGGCTTCCATCGTGCTGACCTGCAGACATGATGGGGTTATAAATCTCTCTTCCCAGCAGCATTGAGTTTAGTCCAGGACTCCCCGTGCAATTAAGGAAGTTCCATACATACTCATTTGCATGAATCAAGGAGAAAGAAGTAACAGGAGAAAGAGGGGAGAAGAAGGGAACTGGTGATTTAGAAGGCCTATAGGAGTGGGTTTTTCATCAGCTTCTAAAATGTCTTCCAACTGTTTGCTGATAGCCATGATTAACAATTCAAAGCAGCTCCGGATCTCAATTGTCAAGTTCTGCCCCGGTTCCCAGTTACCAGGCAAAGTGGGTGTGTTCTACCCATAGGAGAGTGATGTGGCTCGCAGCAGGGACAGCAGGAGTCCCTACTCTTACATTTTCTGTTGTCTCAAGATTTATAATGGGTGGGTTCATCTTGTGGCTTGTGGGTGGAGCCAAAGACTGGAACACTGGCACATACCCAATCAGGACCACTCATAACTCAGGTAGCAAAGTCGCAAGTTTCAGGGACAAAGCCAGAGGTGTCTCTTAACAAGGGAATAGTCAGAAAAGACAGAAGACACAAGAATAGGCCACGTAGTGCAGGGGTCCCCAACCTGTTCGTGCTCTATAAGAAACGAGGCTGCACAGCAGGCGGTGTTTTTACAGCCGCTCCCCAAGGCTCATTACGGCCTGAGCTCTGCCCCCTGTCAGATCAGCAGTGGCATTAGATTCTCATAGGAGTGTGAACCCTATTGTGAACTGCGTATGCGAGGATCTAGGTTGCACGCTTCTTATGAGAATGACCTGTCACTTGATGACGCTTGATGACCTGTCACTGTTTCCCATTACCCCAGAAGGGGCTGTCTAGTTGCAGGAAAACAAGCTCAGGGTTCCCACTGATTCTACATTATGGTGAGTTGTATAATTATTTCATTATATATGACAATATAATAATAATAGAAATAAAGTGCGCAATAAATGTAATGTGCTTGAATCATCCCGAAACCATCCTTCCCAAGTCTGTGGAAAAGTTATCGTCCAGGAAACTGGTCCCTGGTGCCAAAAAGGTTGGGGATAGTGAATATGGGGAAGTTTGTTCCATGACATGCATGGGAGGTACAAGAGAGGGATACGGAAATAATTCTGTGTTCAAGTGTGACATGTGGCAACCAACCCCAGAGCCTGTGGATTTTAACATGCCTAAAACTCCAGACCCTGTCCCTCGGTAAGAGCTGGGTTCTATATTTCGTTGGTTGATAGAGCCTGTGGATTTTAACATGCCTAAAACTCCAGATCCTGTCCCTCAGTAAGAGCTGTGTTCTACGTTTTGTTGGTTGATGGAGCCTGTGGATTTTAACATGCCTAAAACTCCAGATCCTGTCCCTCAATAAGAGCTGGGTTCTATATTTGGTTGGTTGATGGGCTGAGACCTATCAATTTCAATATCCCTAGATTATGGCAAAATCGTTTAGAGGCTCCTCTGACTGATGGACTATTCTGTTTCTCTTCCATCATCACAGCGTGTCGAGTATGTGCTTGCCATAATTAACTAACTTAATGTTAATAGCAAACTTCAATGAGGTATATCAGCCCTCAAACTCACTAAGATGAAGGAAAAAAGGAGTAATTTTTTTTTCTTGCTTAACACCAATCCCCTGGGGAAATCAGAAGCTAAGGAAATTTCCAGCAATGAAATTAAAAACTATTCTCTCAGTGTATTAGATTAAAAGGGAACAAGAGTGGCTGTAACTTAACTGTAAGGGACATTTTAGTGTCATTTCAGAATCGACAATACTGACACACAATGCACCTTCAATAAATGTTGAAAGAAAAAGAAAGAGAGAGGCTAAGAGAATGAGGGAGGGAGGGAGGAGGAAAAGAGACCGCAAAAGAAATAGCTGACTCAAATTTAGCTATGATTTTTGAGGAAGCCAGTGAAAATGGAGAATAGATAACTTAATGTGTATATGTTGGAAAGATCTTTTAATTGCTTCCAAACACTTTTGGTGTGTCAATACTTACACTGACATATAACTATCAAGAGGATCCTTAAATATTTTACTAGAGTAGAAGGAGTCTCCTAATATCGCCTTCAGTTGTGATAATGAGCACCAATCGAAAATGGAATTAATAAGGTTTACCTGAGTCAGATAAAGAAAAAGCATACAAGGAAAAGTGTTCTCCTGAAACTTTTGGATTAAAATGAGAAAAAAATGGCACCCCATATTCTCAACCTCTTTTTATATGTATGTGTATATGTGTATATATATATATATATATACACACACACACACACACACACACATATATACACACATATCTCAAAGGATCTCAAAGGATATTTGCACCTCCATGTCCATTGCAGCACTAGTCACAACAGCTAGATGTGGAAACAACCTAAATGTCCATTGACAGATGAACCGATAAAGAAAATGTGGTATACATTATATGTATTAGTCAGGGTTCTCCAGAGGGACAGAACCAGTAGCATATATGTATATATGAAAGAGAGTTTATTACGGAGAATTGGCTCGCACAGATAGGCCATCTGCAAGCTGGAGAGAGAGAGAAGCCAGTAGTCCAAGTTCCAAAACTTAAACCAGGGAAGCTACGATGCAGCAGATGAAAGCTACAATGCAGCTGTCAGTCTGCTGCTGAAGGCCTAAGAGCCCTTGAGAAGCTGCTGGTTTAAGTCCCAGAGTTCAAAGGCCAAAATACCTGGAGTCTGGTGTCTAAGGGCAGGAGGAGAAGAAGCAAGCATCTGGCATGGGAAAAAAGAGAGAGCTAGAAGACTCAGTGAGCAAGCCTAGTCCCCTTTCCATTACTGGCTTCGTTTCAGCTGCACTGGCAGCCAATTGGATGGTGCACACACATTGAGGATGGGTCTTCCTCTTCCAGTTCACTGATTCAAATCTCAATCTCCTCTGGCAATACCCTCATGCCCAGAAACAATACTTTACCAGCCACCTAGGCATCCCTCAATCCAGTCAAGTTAACACTTAATATTAACCATCACATACACACAATGGAATATTATTCAGCCATAAAAAAAGAAGAAAATCCTGCCATATGCAACAACATGGATAAACCTGAGGACGTTATGCTGAGTGAAATAAGCTGGTCACAGAAAGGTAATGACCATGTGATTCCACTTACATGACATTGATGGCAGCAGTGACCCATCTGGAGCAGCCACTGTGAAAATACTGGCTGCAGCGGGGGAGGCCCAGCCAGGGCTGTGGCTCCATAGAGCCTGCAGGAGCCAGGAACAGGTGGGAGCCCTTCCCTCTTTTGAGTTGGCAGGGCTCCTGCCCCACCCTCCCAGGCGCAGCTGTAGCCACTCAGCTGTGGCTGTGGCCCAGGCATTCCTGGGTTTTTGGGAACCTGGGAACTTTCTCTCCCCCAACAGGCTCAGAAGTGGCTGCTCCTACTGCCTGGCCTCTCCCCACTTCCAGCACCCACCCCAACTTTGGAGCAAATTTGTGGCAGAGCCTGGATGCTGCTGCAACACGGCCGGCTATGCACCCACTCAGGGCGGTGCTAACATGCCAGCTCCCTGCCACCTTGGCCCCCTCTGGAGTTTGGGTGCTGACAAGCATGGGAGGGACCCCGAGGGGGTGCTGAGGGCAGGTTGGCACAAGCCTGCAGGCATCCCTTGGCACAAACAGCCTGGGCACTGTGGGCACCATGGATGGCAGGTTGTTGGTGGCAGGAGGCAGACAGGCTCCTGGGTGGAAAGGGGCAGTCCCTGGTGAAGCTCCATCTTCAAGCCAGGATGGACTGAAGCATGGGGGCTGGGCTGCTAGTTCCACAGACTGCAGTGAGAACTTATAGTGCTTTTTCTTGGCCCGCCCTTGGCTGCCCACAGAACAGTCAGCAGGCACTTCCTCCACTCCGAAACCCATAAAACCCCCAGACTCAGCCAGACTTGGGCAGACAATGGGACAACTTGCCTGCAGATAAGAGCTACCCACTCTGGGTCACCTCTCTTCTGAGGGTTCAGATGACAGGATGACCTGCCTGTGGATAGAAGTTACCAATTCCTGGTCTTCTCTCCCCTGAGAGCTGCACTCACTGGGACAACCTGCCTGTGGAAAGGAGCTATGCACTTCGGGTCTCCTGAGAGCTGTACTGTCTCTCAGTAAAGCACCTCTTCAGCTTGCTCTCCCTCCAGTTGTCCAGGAAGACCCATTCTTACTTCATTCTTCCTGGACACAGGACAAGAACTTGAGAACTACCAAATGGCAGGACTGAAAGGGCTGTAACATAAACATGACTGAAACATGCCCCCTGACTCACCATGTTGTGAGTGATGAGAAAGAGAGAAGAGAGAAGACAGAAAGCAAGAAGAGCTGTGGCTCTTCAGGGAGTCCAGATGTAGGAGCTCCATGAGCCAGAGCTGTGACACCCTCTTTGGGGCTCTGTAGTTCCTGGCATCTCCAAGCTTCTGGAATGCCCACAGTGGAAGCTGCTTGCAGTATACCTGGTCCAGCAGCAGCCTCGCAGGGAGCCATCACCCATGCTGGCACCTGGAGCTGTCCACCCAGTGGCAGCAGGTGTGCCTGGCTGTGCACAGTGTCTGGACCCTGTGCTTGCTTGCTCACACACTCCTCGCCACTCTGCCCCTGGCTCACTCTTGGCAGGTATGAGATCCAGGCTGGTAGTGCAAGCTGAGAGCTGCCTGCTAGGCCTACTGGGCAGAACAAGCCCAGTGGGCCCAAGCAAAACTTGGGCAAAGGGGCGACCAGCCACAGAGGTTTCCAGCTGGCCAAGTGATTCCCCAAGGATCCTGTGACAACATGTCTAAAATAATCAAACACATGGAAACAGTAGAATTGTGGTTGCCAGACGCTGGGGCGATGGGAAGATGGGGAGTCGTTCAATGGGAATAAAGTTTCAGTTATGCAAACTGATTAAGTTCTAAGAGATCTGCTGTATAACATTTTGCCTATAGTTTAAAACCGGTGCTATACTGTCTTAAAAATTTAAGATAGTAAATCTCATGTTTAGTGTTTTTATCACAATTAAAAAAAAATGATTCAGTCGTGGAAATCAGTGCCCACTTAAGGATAGCCCTGGTGATGAAATTAACACTATCTGTAACACTTGAGAAACTTATCTTGATTTAGGAGCTGGACATTAACAAAATGTTGACAGGTAATCTGTCCTAGTCCACAGAATTTTAGTTTGGGGCTCAGGTTAGAATTGCCCAAGCAAAACTTGGGCAAAGGTGCCACCAGCAACAGAGGTTTCCAGCTGGCCAAGTGATTCCCCAAGGATCCTATGACAACATGTCTAAAATAATCAAACACATGGAAACAGTAGAATTACATACACCTTCACTACTCTACCAGAAATTCCAAGAGAAGGATGTGGGCTTAATCCACAGATATTAGTGAAAACCCAATTAAATAACAAATGATTAATGACAATCTGAAGTTATTTTGAACTCTCAAGGAAGAGAAGATTGAAAAAATGTAAAAAGAAAAACGGAGTAGGAAGAAATTCAGCTCAAAGGAAGGAGAAGGTGAGAAGAGAAAAATGATAGAAAAGTAAAAGAAATCTGAAGAAAAGTCATTGGCTAAATGGGCCCGAGCATAAAAAAGAAGGAAATCCTGCCATATGTGACAACATGGATACATCTGGAGGATGTTATACTAAGTGAAATAAGCCAGTCACAGAAGGGCATTTACCATGTGATTCCACTTACATAACATATCTAAAATAATCAAACACATGGAAACGGAGAGTAGAATTATGATTGCCAGGGGCTGGGAGAACGTGGAAATGGGGAGTTGTTCAATGGGAATAAAGTTTCTGTTACGCCAGCTAATTGACTGCATAACTGAGCCCCAGCCCCAGCATTCTCCCACTGACTGGACTTCTACTAGCAGCAACTGGTAAATCAGCTCAACTTGGAGTCCACCTGTGACTTCTGGCAGCCACGGAAGGCCCAACCCCCATCCGCCACCCTCCCCAAACCCAGAAGATTGCTGGCCTGAAACCAACAGAAATGTGTTCACTATCTTCCAGAGTCGCAAAGCTCTTGTGTCTAAAGCATGAGATCTTACGTCCAGAGCCATTTGCATTCACTCTCCCTGGTGCTCTTTCTCAGACACATTTTCCAAATCACACAGACTCGGCCCTCCAGTGTGTGGGGACATGAGCAGGGTGCAAACACCATGGCTCATCTAGCCCAACCTGCTTTCACATACCAACAAGGTACCAGCAGCTCTTCTAGTTTTCTTTCCCAATTCCACTTTTCTCTGGACAGTTCTGGGGTACACATACTTAGACACGCCCTCTCTCCTTTTTTTCTGTACTAGCTATGTCTCTCTTTTTCTTTGTCTCTTAATTTTTAAGAGCTTATATTTTATCATGGCTTAGCCTTACAGTTTTAGATTACAATCTAAGTATAAATGAACAAATAAAGATATTTTTTGTTGTTGCAAGCAACAGAACTCTAACTCAAACTGAGTTTAGCACAAAAAGAAACCCATTGGTTCTCACGACGGAAAAGTCCAGAGTTTTGGGTATGGCTGGGTCCAGAGGCTTGAACCATGTCAAATCAATAGAATTCCATTTTCTTCTCTCTCATCTGTATTAGCATCATTTTCAAGTTGTTCTCCTTATAGGAGCTCCCAGCAGCTTCAAGCATCTACCATTCTTTTATTAATAGCTAGAAATATCTGCAAGAGTTTACCTGTCCTAGTAATTCCAGTGCAAATCACAGGACTGAATTATATCACCTGGCTTAGATCGCACTCCCAACCAATCAGTGTAGCCAGCAGAATGGAATCTTCTGACTGGCCATGCTTGGGCCACATACCAATTTCTGGAGCCATGGGTGGGGTCAGTTCTCTCAGAATGACACTGACTGGGTGTAGTGTTATAACCAAGAAGGGGAAATAAGTCCTGGGTAAGCAAAAGCAATCAATGTCCACCACATAGCCTTTCTCCTCTTTTTTTTTTTTTCCTTTCTCTGCATCCCTAGAAACTTAAGGCCCTTGTCTCTGCTTTTCAGGAACAACTTCTCTTACCTACAGTTTCCATTGGAAAATGAGTTTCTCAGTTGCTTGTCAATCTAAATGGTGTGCTCCTCATTCCCTGCCCTCCTTTCTCTGCTCAGAGCTTTTGACCTAAGTGAAAATATTCCCTTCAACATTGGTTTCCTGCTTTCAAGATGCTTCTGGGGTCTGCTCAGTCCATTTTCTCAGATTCTGGTTACTTCTACTTTCCTTCACTTACATCACAGCATTCTGCACCATTCTGCTGCCCATTCCTGTATCTCTCTCTCTTCTTTTGAGATAGGATCTTGCACTGTTGCCCAGGCTGAAGTACAGCGGCATGAACATGGCTCACTGTAGCCTTGGACCTCCAGGGCTGAAGAATCCTCGCACCTCAGTATTCCTTCAAGTAGCTAGGACCTCAGGTGTACATAACCACACCCAGATAATTTTTAAATTTATTATTATGTAGAGACAGGGTCTCACTATATTGCCCAGGCTAATCTTGGACTCCTGGGCTCAAGTGATCCTTCCACCTTGGCCTCCCAAAGTGCTGGGATTACAGGTGTGAGCAACCCCACCTGGCCTCCCATGTCTCTTAATGCTTCCCTTTGCACTATTCTACAAGCATCTTTGAGCTAACAGGCCTACAGGGCCTCTAACCTGCAAAACATTGCTGACTTCAACATATGAAAACACAAATTACTTGTGAAACTACTGCCGTCAAATACACAGTTTTTTTTTTAAAATCCACAGGAAGTTGGGAGGTGGGAAATTTACTGTGATGGGTGATAGTAAGAATTACAAAATTCTTGCACGTGGATAAATGTATGGAATTTGCTTTGAGTTCCAGGGGTCAGCAATTTGGTGGCATGAAAAGTATCCTGGGAGATTATGGCAAAAATCCTAAATTTATATGCTGGGCTTTCTTTTCCTCATTAAATATGTAATGCTGAGGTTGCAAATTTGGATGACTACAGAAACCTAGCGGGTTGACATAAATGAGGACAGCACCAGGTGGCAGACGATGGAGATTGATGGAGACTGTGGTGAACTGGAGCATGCATGGCCCTGCTACTGGTGGTGTGCAGTGGCTAACAGCACAGATCCTGGAACCAGACAGACTGAGTTCAAATCCTGCTTCTGCTATTTCTCACTGTGTGATCATGGTCTAAATATGTGATCTCTCTGCACCTCAGTCTCCCATCTGTAAAATGGGCTCATCACTAGCACCTGCCTTCTAAGGTTATTGTGAGTACTAAATGGGTCAATATATATAAAGCATCCAGAATGGTTTCTGGCACATGGTAGGAATGGTATAAATGCTGGCAATTATTATTTCTAAATTCAGACAATTGTTTTCATCCAGGAATGTGTGCTATCTTGTAAGCTCTTCTAATATTTCAGGATAAGCTAGAAATGCACTTTTTCATGTTAAGTGTCCTGATTGTATGTGTTTGAGCTAATTGAAAAAAAAAATTAAATCACCAAGAAGGGTATATTGGTTAGGAATGCATTCAGCTTCAAGTTATTGAAAACCTACCTTACAGTGGCTTAAACAAATATATATATATATATATATTTATATTTTTTGCATAAAGAGATTTCTGACATAACCACTTTGGAAAACTGCTTGGCAGTGCATATCCTATGACCCAGTAATCCCACTCCTAGGTATATACCCAACAGAAAAGTGCACATGTGTTTATCATCAGACTGTTTAAGAATGTCTATTGGGCCGGGCACAGTGGCTCATGCTTGTAATACCAGCACTTTGGGAGGCCGAGGTGGGCAGATCACGAGGTCAGGAGATCAAGACCATCCTGGCTAACATGGTGAAACACTGTCTCTACTGAAAATACAAAAAAAAGCTGGGCATGGTGGCGGGCGCCTGTAGTCTCAGCTACTCGGGAGGGTGAGGCAGGAGAATGGCATAAACCTGGGAGGCGGAGCTTGCAGTGAGCAGAGATCACGCCACTGCACTCCAGCCTGGGTGACAGAGCAAGACTCCATCTCAAAAAAAAAAAAAAAAAAAAAGAATGTCTATTGATAACCAAAAACTGGATAACACACAAATGCTCATCACAGGTAGAATGGATAAGCAAATTGTGATATATACACACATGGGTTACATATGGGATAAAGTAAAGACAATGAATAAACCACAACTATCCACACCAGTATGGAAGAATCTCACTAGCATTGTATTGAGCAAATAAAGCCAGACACACAAAAATACACACCCTACACTTCCACTTATATAAAGGACAAAAATCAGGCCAAACTCATCAATGATTTTAGAAGCAGGAAGGGGCTGTCCTTGTGGAAGTAAAGACTGCAAGAGACCACATTAGGGGGACACTGGGGTGTTGGCCGTATTCTCTTTCTTGATCTGAGTTCTGCTTACCTTGGTGTGTGCAGTTTGTGAGATTTCACTGAGCTGTGCATTTATGGTAGGCGTCTTTTCTGCATGCATATTATAGTTCAGTAAAAATATTTAAAAGGAAGAGGAAGAAGTCCAAAAGCAATGGATCTGGTATTGACTCAGGTCCCAGTTCTTTAAATATCTGCGTTCTACAACCTTCGGTTATTGGCTTTCATCCTTAAGCCTTTCACTGCATGTGGCTATGACCATACTCCCAGTCATGTTCACCTTCATGGCATGAGGAAGGGGCCGTGTCCCTTTTTATCAGGAAAGCAAGCTCTTTTTTAGAATTTCCCCTCACCCTAACCCAACAGTCTTTCATTTACATCTCAAAGACCCAAACTGGATCATGAGGCCCCTCTTAGTTGCAAGAGGGCCCTGTATAGTGGGAGGGGTCAAGGAAGAGATGTCTGAGAAAGGTGTCTGCATAATCTATCAATAGTGTCTGCCACACAGGCCAAAGGAGATACATTAGCAAGTCAGGTGTAATGGTTGTTACTTCTTCCTAGATCCATATACAAGGGTGTTTCCTTGTGTGTATTCATGGGTAGAACATATCAGATTAAATTTAAGACACGCTTTTGTGATTAACATGGCTAATTGCTACACTGCCTGACCTGATAAATCAGGCTCAGCCAAAGTGTTAAGTCAGAGAGGAGACTGGGTTTGAAGGTGGTTCACAGTGATAGGAATTTTGTGAGATTTTCCTTTGATTAAATAAACAATGAAATGCAGGACTACTCTTCTTAAAACCATCTGTGACTAGTCAGATTTCTGACTATAAAAGAAGTTTGTGCCTAAGTAAAGGCAGGCCTATTCTTGATTTGAACACTGAACACCCCTCCCCCAAATCCTAACTGGGCAAACATTTCACAATAAAATCTAGTGAACCAGTGACATGAGGAGTAACATCAAAAACGATGAAACAGAGGGGTGTCTGGTGGCTTTTGAGGAATAACATAAAGGGTTAAATGGTGATATCTTTTTTATTTGAGACAGAGTCTGCTCTGTTGCCCAGGCTGGAGTGCAATGGCGTGATCCCAGCTCACCGCAACCTCCGCCTCCTGGGTTCAAGAGATTCTTGTGTCTCAGCCTCCTGAGTAGCTGGGACTACAGAGGTGCACCACCATGCCTGGCTAATTTTTGTATTTTTAAAGTAGAGATTGGGTTTTGCCACATTGGCCAGGCTGATCTCAAACTCCTGGCCTTAAGTGATCCGCCCACCTCGTCCTCCCAAAGTGCTGGGATTATAGTCGTGAGTCACTGTGCCCAGCCTAGGGGTTAAATCTTGGTAGTGGATTTGGGGACTGTAATTAAGGTTGTTGAGCTGCTAAACCAATTGGAAATCATTATCTCCGCCAGGCCCAGACTGTCCACCAGGAAGAACTTCTTTTATTGCTGAAGCCAATTCACAACATACAGATTTTTCTTTTCTTTTTATTCAATCTCCTTCCCCTCAGAGGCTTTGAAGTGCAAGGCTTGATCACACGGCCTAATTGTTTAGGTATTTAACCCATATGGCACTTGGCCCCCAAATGGATCACAAGGTTATAGAGTGTGGGGTTCCCTTTCTTTTCCTTCCTTCCTTTTTCCTCCTCCTCCTTCTTCTCACTCTTCCTCTCCTCCTCCTCCTTCTCTCTCTCTCTTTGAATATTCTGTGCACTGTTATATACCCAACAAATACTTAGCCATTGACTGGTTGTCTGGGAAACTGGCTTGATGGATGAATGAATGAATTCATTTTTCATGCTCTTGGGATATTTGCATTCTGGAAGATGAAGATGGCATGAGTGAATGCTTGCAGACCCTACACAGTCCAACATCAGTTTTCTGACACTGTGCAGTGACACTGTGGTTAAAGTCATGGCTCTGAGATCTGTCTGAGGCCAGACATTTACGGGCTTGTGGGCTTATATCCCAGTTCTGATACTCTGAAGCTGTGAGACTTTAGGCAAGTTCCTTCTGAAACCTGAAACCTTCATATATGATTTCAGTTTAGTGGTCACCAGTAACATCACTGAGTCTGGCTAGTTAAATAACAGAAGGAAACTTATTCTCATAATACTGAGTCATTTCAATTAAACAGCCAAGTGAAGAGCCTAGGCAGGCAGGGCTGCACTGGGGAGCTAGCAGTAGAACACTTGGTCTTTGTTTACTTTTTTAATGGGGTAAACATAATATAAAATGTTGCCAGTGTAACCACTTGTAAGTGTACAATTCAGTGGCATGAATTACATTTACAATGTTGTATAACCATCACCACCATCTTTCCCTAAAACTTTAAAAATCATCCTAAACAGAAACTCTGTCACCATTAAGCAATAATTTCCCATATTCCTTCTTTTCTCCCACTCCCTGGTAATTTCTAACCTACTTTCTGTCTCTATGAATTTGCCTATTCTAGATATTTCACATAAATGGAATCATACATTACCTATCTTTTTGTGTCTAGCTGATTTCACTTAGTATAATGTTTCAAAGGTTCATCCATGTTGTAGCATGTGTCAGAATTTCATTCCTTTTCATAGCCAAATAATATTCCATTGTCTAGATAGGCCACATTTATTCATGTATTCTTCTGTTGGTGGATACTTGGCTTGTTTCCAGCTTTGGGCTATTGTAAATAATGCTGTCATGAACGTTAGTGTGTAAGTATCTAAGTCCTTCTTTTCCATTATTTTGGGTGCATACATAGTAGTGGAATGGCTGGGTCATGTGGTAGTTCTGTGTTTAGCTTTTTCAAGAACCAGCAAATTGTTTGCCACAGTGGCTGCACCATTTCCCATTCCCACCATCAAGGTACGAGGGTTACAGTTTCTCCAGGGACATGTTCTTCATCTGGATTTCTGCCATCAGTGGGCACAGCCCCACATCTGTGCACTCTCACTTCACATTTCTTGGAGACAGAATGTGACTGACTCACCTTGGGTTGGGTCAGGGGTTTGTCCATGTATCAGTTGGCAATGGGGGGAGGAGAGCAGGATCACAAGATCCAGATGTGGTCGCATGGGGGAGAGACTGTGAGAGCTGAGCAGTCAACCCAGGAGCTTTGTGCAATACTCAATTTCTTCTTTTCTGAAATGGGAACCATCATACCTGATACAGTGTACCTGTGAGGATTAAACAAGAGAATGCACGTACAGTTCTTAGGAAGTCCCTTGCACTCAAAAAGCAAAGGGCAGTAGTAGCAGCCATGGTTCTGAGAGTGGCAAAAACGACGATTTGTATCAAGCACAGCTATTCTGTCAAGTGTCAAGTAGACCTAGCTTTCCTATTACAAAGGAAACCTCTGTTGTAGATTTATAGGTCTTGAATTTATCCAAAGCAATTTTTGAACCTATTTCTATTTTCAGCCTGTATTGCCTGCAGGGGCAACATGTTTCATTTCTTTACTACCTGCTTTGTCGAGTAGTAATTTGTTGTATTTGTCCTAAAACCACCCCTTTCAAGCTCCTAAGACAGCTTCTTGTGTCTACCTCTGTAGTCCCTGAGACCTTCACCACGAGAACCTGTTCACATTTCTGAATTCAAGTGGATGGGAGCATTTGGACAGAGTCCAAGCTTTCTTCAGAGTTGCATTCCAAATCACGTATTTCCTTTGCATATCTTCATAGACAAGCTTATAGCCTTTTAAGCTTTATTAAAGTGTCCAAGTGCAACACTTCTTTACAGTGTTTGCATGTGTTGCTGTCTATGAGGACAAGGCTGAGTTGCTGCATGACTATCTTGAAACTGGGTTGGTGTCATCACCCTCTGTAACTCTTTTTCTTGTCACCTGTCACCTACCACAGGTGATTCAAGCTCATGCCTCAATAAAGTGACAAATTATGTTACCTGCCTTTGTAGTCACTTTGATCACAAACCAAAATTTACGGATGCAAGAGTCTACTGATTCAGAATTTAGTTAACACATGCGTTTTCTTACCCTCTTTATTCCTTTTATAATCAGGGGTATATTTATGGACATCTGAAAAGAGAATTTTCTGTATATCAAACCGCAGAGATCTGACTCATGGTCTTCCTTGGACTCCACCAACTGAGTTAATCACATTAACCCCAACTCTGAGAAATGCTATTGTGGTGTGACCCATATGGGACAACTGTATATCTGCCCCATATATAGCCACCTTCCAATTATCTGCACAAATGCAGGGGTGCAGTGGTGCAGATAATTCAAAACAGCACACAACTCAAATGCCATTTCTGCTTGGCTTGAGAATACATTATGCAAATTTGGGGCAGCAAATTTGCCTTCTTTATTACATTTTGCTTGTATTCATATTAAAAATTGTTTGCATTCTTTATGAGTGTGTATATATTTGGGGGAGGGGGTAGAAATGGCATCCCTAGAGTTCAAAGGAATCATAAAACCTTGGTACTCAAAGAAGTCTTAGAAATCTTAATGCAAATTCCTCCTTCATTTTTTTTTTTAGAGAAAGCAACCAAGATCTAGAGAGGTGATGTGACTTATGGGAGACCCCAGAGTAAACTGGTGGCAGAAGAAAGACCAGATCCAGCCCTCTGACTCCCTCATTCCAAGGGAAGATCACACACTATCAATCAGAAGCTGACTGAGTGCTCTGGCATCATCAGTACAAACTTGTTAGTGCCTCTCAGGGTGAAGCCATATGCAGTCTAACTTCTGGAGGCACAGAACTTCCTAAGAAGGCTGGATCAGGAGACTCCACCTCCCTGTGGACTAGACAACAGCTCTTCCCCTAAGGCTACCTAACAGAGCTGGCGGGCTCTGAGCCTTCTTGCCATGTGTTGTTGGGATTTGAATTTCTTGGCACCAGCCCAGAGCTCTCATGGAGGTTCACCTGAGTTCTGAGTGAGCTGGGCATAAGGAATTGCTGGGAGGCCACAAACACTGGAATTAGTAAATCGGGGAGTGTGGCAAGGGAAAGCAGTTATAGGCACCATGCTTCAAATCAGGACACCAGACGCATACGCCAGGCTGATGGGTAATCTGGGACCTGGCTGCCAGTGAGTTAAGATGACCTTGAAATAACAGCTAAAGAGCAAACATGAAGCAAATAGGCAGGCCTCCACCTCTGGCTAACCTCCCCGAGAAGCACGGAGCTGAGGTTGCAGCAAAGACATTCAGGAGATCAGCCAGCCAGCAAACGTCAGCTCAGGCATGTCTGGGGAGCTGGGCGGCTAGTGGGGACCGTAATGCCGGGTTGCTACAATCTGCATCAACTTTCAATCCAGCCTGTGGCAGCCATGCCAGGGGTCACGAGCAGCTAATGACTTTTTGTAGCCTGGAGCTGGCTGGCAGGCATTTCCTGAGCATTACTGTGTGGGCAGGTGTTGGTGCCTTGAGTCCTCTTGGGGCAATTCAGCAGACATCACTGGAGCACCTGGAGGTGCTCAGAGGCTGGCATGGCCTTGGAGGCTGAAAATGGAACCCAAAGATTGAGGAGATGCTCTGGACGGGGATACAGGAAGGGTTTGCTTTGAGCTCCCAGGACGGACAACTCGGATCCATCAACACCACTCACATGTCCTGAACGCTCTTCTCTTCTGCCAAGGATGAAGATAAATATTTACCTTTGAATGCAGAATAATGTCTGAAGCTACATAATGCGTGAAAGGCCTTCCTTTTAATCAGGGATGGATTTCATTAATGTTTATTCTTTCTGGGCAAAGCCTTTTTCTCTGCTGATAGCAACTTCCACTTGGAACTACTGGGGTTACCGATAATAACAATGTTACAACAATACAATAGACTACTAATGATAATACATAATTTAACTTTATGAAATGTTAACACTGATGAAGTAGTTTGCATAAAATTTCCTATTTAATTCTCACAATAGTCATGTAAAGTAGGGAAGAGGTTTTTTTGTTTTTTTTTTTTTTTTTTTTTTGAAACAGAGTTTCGTTCTTGTTGCCCAGGCTGGAGTGCAGTGGCGCGATCTCAGCTCACCACAACCTCTGCCTCCCCTGTTCAAGTGATTCTCCTGCCTCAGCCTCCTGAGTAGCTGGGATTACAGGCATGTGCCACCACGCCCGGCTAATTTTGTATTTTTAGTAGAGACGAGGTTTCACCATGTTGGTCAGGCTGGTCTCGAATGCCCGACTTCAGGTGATCCGCCCGGCTCGGGCCTCCCAAAGTGCTGGGATTACAGGCGTGAGCCACCGTGCCTGGCCTGGAAGGGTATTTTATTATCTCCATAGTATCAGGGGTAAACTGACTTACACAAGCACACAGTGCAGTAGAAACTTGAATCCAGTTCTTAACATTCTTTTCCAGGTTCTGTGGCTCTCCCTCCAAATGCCTGGGAGGAAAGATGAAATGTCTCACTTAAAAGACAAAGTGGGAGCTGTGAGCTCAACCCTACAGCTCAGCAGAATGCTCAGGGCATGGAAGGCACAGCAATGCTGTTTTGAACTCTTCTCTAAATTGCACCTAGGTGTGGATTGAGGAGCCTGTGTAACTAGCTTACAGAGGTCATAGAACAGGCAGTTGCCTCCACAGGGCAATTTGAGGGTCATGAGACCGAAGTAGAAAAGCAAAATTTTCAGCCCTAGCCAGACTGACTGAATCAGAAACGCTGAAGGTAGATGGCAGCAATCTGTGTCTTAACAGGTCCTTCAAGTAGTTCTGATGCACGCTAAAGTTCCAGATCCACTGGCTTAGACCAGGGGCTCAGCAAACTTTTTCTGTAAAGGACCAGATAGTAACTCTTTTAGACGTTGCGCACCACACACACTCTGTCAAGATTATTAAAGTCTACCATGGTAGTGTGAAAGCAGTTGTAGAGAATATGTAGATGAATAGCTGAGGCTGTGTTCCAATAAAACTTTATTTAGGCTGATCAGGACTCACTTAGTTAATAATACGCACACCGATGTGAGTATACCTACAGAGTAAATTCCTGCAAGCAAAATTGATATTTTTTCACAATGCAATATGCTATTTTATGCAACTTTAAGAAGTCATTATTTTATGACTTATCCCTGGTCAAAAATATCTAGTAGTAGAAAGACACCTAGGTGAGCTGTTTCCTGCCCCCCCTTTTACGTTTTTACAAAAGTGTGTTCTTTTTTATGTTGTATCACTTAGGTTCTGCTGCATGACAAAGTACTTCAAAGCTTAGTGACTTAAAACAACAACCATTTATTATTGTTTCTGTTTCTATGGATCGGCTGGATAACTCAGCTCATCTGGCTCGAGCTTGGCTGAACTTGACTGGGTGCTAATGTGTCTGGGGTCAGCCAGTGGATTTGCTGGAGGTTCCTGGTGTAGGATGGCCTCACTCACATGTCTGGAAGTTGGCAAGCTATTAGCTGTGGTGACAAGGGTGACTGGGCCAGACTTCTCTCATAGAGACCAGCTTGGGATCTTTCACATGGTAGCTAGTCTGGGCTCTAAGTGAACTCATGAAAGCCCACAAGGTCTCTCGAGGCCTATGCTCAGAACTGGCACAAAGTTACCTCCACCGTATTTGGCTGGTGATACAATTCACAAAGTCAGTCCGAAGTCAAAGGGTGGAGAGCTAGACTCTTCCTCTTGAGGGAAGGAGTTGCAAAAGCATACTGCAAAGTAATGTGGGTTCAAGGAGAGGAATAATTACAGCTGTTTTCAAAATCTACCATAGAGATTTTTTATTGTTTAACATTTGGCTTTTAGAAAATTCTGAGAAAAACTGTGTTGATCATGAAGCTAATATAGACTAGTGCACAGCACTTTGGGGCTTCCTATCCCTACTGGTACATCTGGGAAAGAAGGTCTTATGGGTCTTCATGATACACCCAGTACAGTGAGAAGAGGCCCAAGGATGTGGGATATTTTTTAGTTTCATTTGACAATCTGTAAAGCTAAAACTACTTTGGAAACCATATCCTTCCTTTCTCTCTCTCTCTCTGAGAGATAATGTACGTAAAATAAAATTCATCCCTTTTAGCATACAGTTCCATAGGTTGACAAAAGTACAGTTGTTCCACCCCCAGCACAACTGAGAAATAGACTTATTCCATCACCTCAAAAACTTTTTCCAGAGCCCCTTCAGAGTCAACCCCATACCCTACCTCCAGTCCCTGGCAACCACTGATCTGTTTCCTATCCCTATAGTTCTGCCTTTTCTAGAATGTCATATAAATAGAATCACGCATTATACAGGCTTATGGAGCTGGCTTCTTTCCCTTAGCCTAATTCATTGAAGATTCATCCATGTTGTGGCAGGTATCAGAAATGTGTTCCCTTTTATTGCTGAGTAGTTCTTCTGTTTGTGTTCTTTCAAATTACTCTTCAGGAAGTTAACCTAGGCCAAGTTCAGATGTAGGTTCTAATCACACAAACATTTTCTTTTCCAGTCTACAGCTACTGTACACACATTTCCTTCTCTAGTCCAAAGTTTATGGAATTAGCATAAGAGCAGAAAAAAAAGAAGCATATGCAGAAAAAAGCATTTATTTCTTTAACCTGTTAGTTACTTTTCATACTTCCCTATTTCAAGAGGTTTCTTTCCTTTGAAATTTTCAATAGTGCCCTTTTTTTTTAGAACAAAGTTTTTATTTTTTATAGGAGACAGGGTCTTGCTGTGTCACTCAGGCTGCAGTGCAGTAGTATAATCTTGGCTCACTGCAACCTCCACCTCCTGGGCTCAAGCAATCCTCCCACTTCAGCCTCCTGAGTAGCTGGGACCACAGGTGTGCACCACCATGTTCAGCTAATTTTTCTTCGTATTTTTAGTAGAAATGGGGTCTTGCCATGTTGCCCAGGTTGTTCTCAAGCTCCTGAACTCAAGTCATCCTCTTGCCTCAGCCTCCCAAAGTGCTAGGATTGTAGGTGTGAGACACTGCACCCAGCCAATAGTGTCTTTTATAGCTAAGAAAAACATTTAAAGATCATATCATATAATCCCGTTATTATTTTTAAATGAGTGCTTTCATCAAATTATCACAGGTAGACAATTTTTAAAAATCAAACAGGGCTATAAACCTTATAACTAAAAAACACAGTCCCCTGTCCCACTATTTCTTGATTTCCCACATGCCAGCTCCTTCACTTTCAACCCTTTTATTTCTTTCTTCTGGTTTCCACATTTCTACATCATGTGCTCCTACCGTTAATGTTCAGTTTATCCATTCTGATATTTTCTATTGATTTCATATTATGTGAAAATATCTAGGTTTCTTACATACCCCTTCCCCCTCCCTCCAGACTCCCAGTATGGTTGAACCACAGTTTAAGGTTGAATGTACATTCGTATTTACATTACATTATTATGACTGTGCAAAGTTTGTTCATTCATCTGCCAAGTAGTATACTATGGTTGTTTCCTTTCTTGGACATTTTATTCCCCTGGTGTTAATGATTGCCTTATATTTTTCATTTTCTGTTTTTATTTTTTTTGGTGGGGGGGTGCTAAATATCTAATTTTTCTTCCAACAACCTTTCAATCCAGTTTTCTATGCTGTTTTTCATGCCATAACACTCATCAGATAATCAATCAGTTTATTCTTTCCCCTTGAACCTCCCATTCTCTTGCTCCAACTTGACAGTTGCTCTCTGGACTTGCTGCTCTCTGGGCTACCTGGCCTTTGCCATCATTCTAATAATTCTCTTTATCTCTCTCTCTCCCCTGTTTGACCCCCAATTTCCTGCTCCCTATCTTTTTTTTGTTCTTGTTTTAATCCTTTCTGTGGAGTACATTTTATAGTAGCTTCCTGAAAATGGTAATGAGGAGTAATATGTGTAGGTTCTTTTCTACAGGCAAATGTCTTTATTTTACTCTCATCGTTGGTAGTTTGGCTCGATATAGGTAGATTATGGTTTTCCTTAGAATTGTAAAGACATTTTCCCACCTATCTTTTAATTTCCAATAATGCTTTTAAGAAGTCCAGTTCCATTCTGACCACTGATGCCATTCTGATCTGCACAAGGTCTTTCTTTTTATTATTTATTTATTTTTTATTTTTTATTTTTTATTTTATTTTATTTTTTTAATTGATCATTCTTGGGTGTTTCTCGCAGAGGGGGATTTGGCAGGGTCATAGGACAATAGTGGAGGGAAGGTCAGCAGATAAACAAGTGAACAAAGGTCTCTGGTTTTCCTAGGCAGAGGACCCTGCGGCCTTCCGCAGTGTTTGTGTCCCTGGGTACTTGAGATTAGGGAGTGGTGATGACTCTTAACGAGCATGCTGCCTTCAAGCATCTGTTTAACAAAGCACATCTTGCACCGCCCTTAATCCATTTAACCCTGAGTGGACACAGCACATGTTTCAGAGAGCACAGGGTTGGGGGTAAGGTCATAGATCAACAGGATCCCAAGGCAGAAGAATTTTTCTTAGTACAGAACAAAATGAAAGGTCTCCCATGTCTACTTCTTTCTACACAGACACAGCAACCATCTGATTTCTCAATCTTTTCCCCACCTTTCCCCCTTTTCTATCCCACAAAACTGCCATTGTCATCATGGCCCATTCTCAATGAGCTATTGGGTACACCTCCCAGACGGGGTGGTGGCCGGGCAGAGGTGCCCCTCACCTCCCGGATGGGGCGGCTGGCCGGGTGGGGGGCTGACCCCCCCACCTCCCTCCAGGACGGGGCGGCTGCCGGGCGGAGATGCTCCTCACTTCCCAGATGGGGTGGCTGCCGGGCGGAGGGGCTCCTCACTTCTCGGACGGGGCGGCTGCTGGGCGGAGGGGCTCCTCACTTCTCAGACGGGGCGGCGGGGCAGAGGCGCTCCCCACATCTCAGATGATGGGCTGCCGGGCAGAGACGCTCCTCACTTCCTAGATGGGATGGCGGCCGGGCAGAGACGCTCCTCACTTTCCAGACTGGGCAGCCAGGCAGAGGGGCTCCTCACATCCCAGACGATGGGCGGCCAGGCAGAGACGCTCCTCACTTCCCAGATGGAGTGGCGGCTGGGCAGAGGCTGCAATCTCGGCACTTTGGGGGGCCAAGGCAGGCGGCTGGGAGGTGGAGGTTGTAGTGAGCCGAGATCACGCCACTGCACTCCAGCCTGGGCACCATTGAGCACTGAGTGAACGAGACTCCGTCTGCCATCCCGGCACCTCGGGAGGCCGAGGCTGGCGGATCACTCGCGGTTAGGAGCTGGAGACCAGCCCGGCCAACACAGCGAAACCCCGTCTCCACCAAAAAAATACGAAAACCAGTCAGGTGTGGCGGCGCGCGCCTGCAATTGCAGGCACTCGGCAGGCTGAGGCAGGAGAATCAGGCAGGGAGGTTGCAGTGAGCAAAGATGGCAGCACCACAGTCCAGCTTTGGCTCGGCATCAGAGGGAGACCGTGAAAAGAGAGGGAGAGGGAGACCGTGGAAAGAGAGGGAGAGGGAGAACGTGGGAAGGGGGAGGGGGAGGGGGAGAGGGAGAGGGAGAGGGAGAGCTGCACAAGGTCTTTCTTTCTGATGTATTGAAATGTTACAATGATGTCCGTTGGTGGGGGTGCTTTTTATTCTTTGTACCAACATTTTAGGGCTCTTTTAATCTGGAGACTCATGTTCTATACTTTTCTTGAATTATTTCTTTGATAATTTCCCCTCCATGACTTACTTTCCTTGTTCTCTCTGGAATATTCATTAATCAGATGTTGAATCTCTTGGTTTGAACCTCTAAGTTTCTCCTAAGGTTTATCTCCTTGTTTCTTTGTTATACTCTGTGGGAGATTTCTTTTCTTTTCTTTCTTTCTTTTTTTTTTTTTTTTTTTTGGAGACAGGGTCTTGCTCTGTCAGTCACCTAGGCTGGAGTGCAGTGGCGTGATCTCATCTCACTGCAACCTCTGCTTCCTGGGATCAAGTGATACTCCCACCTCAGTCTCCAGAGTAGCTGGGACCACAGGTGCACACCACCATGCCAGGCTTTTTTTTTTTTTTAAGTAGAGATGGGGTCTCACCCTGTTGCCCAGGCTAGTCTTGAACTCCTGAGCTCTAGGGATCCCCCTGTCTTGGCCTCCTAAAGAGCTGGGATTATAGGCATGAGCCATGTATTACAGGATCTTGGACCCAGCCAGTGTGGGAGATTTCTTAAACTCTTTCTTCTACCCCTTCATTGAAAAAACATTTAAAAGTTTTTGTTTTAATATTTAAAAAATTTTTTTGAGACAGGGTCTCGTTCTGCTGCCCAGGCTGGAGTGCAGTGGTACAATCACAGATCACTGCAGTCTTGACCTCCTGGGCTCAAGCAATCCTCCTGCCTCAGCCTCCCAAGAACCTGGACCCAGAGACATGCACCACCATACCCAGCTAACTTTTAAAAAATTTTTGTAGAGATAAGGTCTCCCTATGTTGCCCAGGCTGGTCTTGAACTCCTGGGCTCCAGCAATCCTCCTGCCTCAACCTCCCAAAGTGTTGGGATTACAGTTGTGAGCCACCGCACCCACATCTGTAATTTTTAAGAGCTCCATTTCTCTTATTATTCTTTATATAGTTCCCGATCTTTTCCTATTGAGCTAATATTTTCATTATTTCTAAGAATATCAATTAGATTTAATTTTTGAAAATATTTTTTTGCTACCTACCTTGTCTTTGTTTCTTCGTAGTTCCTTTTTTTCTGTGTGTGCATACATATGCACACATTTGTGTGTGTTTTAGAGTCTTTTATATTGGAAAATTTTTTCTTAAATGTCAAGTGATCCCTGGTTGTCAGTTCATATTTAAAAAGGAGCCATCAAAGAGCTGATTGAAAATTCCATTTGTACGGTTGAGCTTGTTGGTTTCATTGTAGATGAGTGGAGTAGCAGGCTGCTTGATTTTTATTGGTAGAGTTCACAACTATCTGTATCTCTAGGTATTTCTCTTGGATATTCAGTTATTCTGGAGAAGAATTCTACAATTTGCTCTCTTTGGGTAGAGGGTGGTGGGAAAAGGAGGCGGCCATGGCGATAAGGCTGGTTCCCTGTGTTCTGGAAGCTGAGCATGCAGGGAGGGTCTCACTATTCACTTTACACTTGATCTTTTTTAGCCTTGTGCCTATTACCTGCCTTTCACTGGGCTGGGGTTCCCGAGTCTGGAGCTCCACTGGTTTAATTCTTCTTGGTATAGATTATGTGAGGGGTAGTCACCTGGCCGCTCAGGAGAGGGTGGGGTATTCTCTGCTCCTCATATAGACTTCTAATAAATCTCTCAACTTTTAGCCCTTTTCTTAACCCTCACTTCCTGTGGCATTTAGTGTCTTAAAAATCCTGTCATTGGCCGGGCACAGTGGCTTATGCCTGTAATCCCAGCACTTTGGGAGGCTGAGCCAGGCGGATCACCTGAGTTCAGGAGTTCGAGACTAGCCTGGGCAACATGGTAAAACCCTGTCTCTTCTAAAAATACAAAAATCAGCCGGGCATGGTGGCGTGCACCTGTAATCCCAGCTACTTGGGAGGCTGAGGTAGAAGAATTGCTTGAATCTGGGAGGTAGAGGTGGCAGTGAGCCGAAATTGTGCTACTGCACTCCAGCCTGGGGAAAAGAGCAAGATTCCGTCTCAAAAAAAAAAACCCCAAATCCTGTCATTGGTTGGATGCAGTAGCTCATGCTTATAATTCCAGTACTTTGGGAGGCTGATGCAGGTGGATCACTTGAGCCCAGGAATCTTAAGCCCAGCCTGGGCAACTCGGTGTAACCCTGTCTCTACAAAAAAATACAAAAATTAGCCAGGCATGGTGGCATGTGCCTGTAGTCCCAGCCTCCTGGGAGACAGAAGTGGGAGGATCACCTGAGCCTGGGAGGTCAAGGCTGCAGTGAGCTGTGATTGTGCCACTGCAATCCAGCCTGGGTGACAGAATGAGACTCTGTCTCAAAAAAAAAGAAAAAGAAAAATTCTGTCACTAATTAACAATACAGGCTACCTCCACTCTGCTACATCATTTTTTAAACTCTTTTATTTATTTTCATATAAATATTTCCTAATTTCATGGATTATGAAATTTGCAGGTTTTCTCTCATCATCCTTGTTGGTTTGGGGTAATTTCCTAAAAGGAGCAGGGGCAGAAAAAAATCTTTTCACTACCATCTTAAAATGGAAAAATCTCTGATTGCACATTTTATTTTATATTTTATTTTATATTTTATTTTATTTTATTTTATTATTTTATTTTATTTTATTTTATTTTATTTTATTTTAGAGATGGAGTCTCACTCTGTCACCCAGGCTGGAGTGCAGCAGCACGATCTTTGCTTACTGCAGCCTCTGCCTCCCAGATTCAAGTGATTATCCTACCTCAGCCTTCTAAGCAGCAAGGATTACAGGCACCCACCACAAAACCTGGCTGATTTTTATATTTTTAGTAGAGACAGGATTTCACTATGTTAGCCAGGCTGGTCTTGAATTCCTGACCTCAGGTAATCCCCCCAGCTTGGCTTCCCAAAGTGCTAGGATTACAGGCGTGAGCCACTGTGCCCAGCTTGCACATCTTAATTTTGACAAATGTTCTCATACTGCCCTCCATAGAGTTTGCACCAACTTATGTATAACAATGTAAAAAAGCATGCACTCCCCATGTCTTAACCATCTTAATTATTAGCTTTTAAATTTCATCAATCTTAGGGAAAAATGGGGGTAGCATAATTTTAAGTACAGCTTTTGTAAACGGTGGTAAGATCCCATTAATCCTAAATGTAGTCGTTCAGTAGATACACATCTTTGCATACAAATGTTAGTAGATAAATTACTATAGATACCTCTTGGGAAATATCTCAAAGGGCTCACCTTTCTTACAGTGTCAGAATAGTAGTATTTATATGTAAGAGATTGCCCATGAGTGGGCTTGTTCATATTCAACGAAAGGGCCCAGGGAAGTGAAATCTCAAGAACTCTGGATTCTGTGCCTTATTCTCTAGTTTGCCCTCTTAGAGTTTTCACCCAGGGAGACAAGTAGAGGTGATGGGAAGGTATTGGGAGACTTATCCTGAATTATGCTTTCTTCTCAGGTTCCTGACTTCTTAGTGCTTAGATTTACACAGTATGTGTCCTCTAAGCTGTTCAAGGTGCTATATAATCTCTTTGACTTAACAGTTCATAAACATCACAACATCTCAGCTGTCAGACGCAACGCTAAAGGGAAAAATTAATCCAAATCTCTGGGCGACAGTCACAGAGGGTTGTGGAAGGAGATATTCAGAAGGGAAGAACTGATTAGGAAGTTATCTGTTCTCATGTTTGAGAAATGAGAGGCGATTGGACTTTCCACTGAATGACCAATTCTCCTCCATCCAGGGTCCTTGTCTAGCTAGGAAGATAAAGCACCAAAGACACCAGTGGAAGGTTTATAAGGGAAATCTGCTATATTTCAGCAAACTGAGAACACTAAATTGTGAAGACATTTTGCTAATATATGGGAGACCTGCTCCTGCTTCTTTCCCTTTTACTGACATTTTTGCGGCAGCTTTTCCACCTAATTCACATCTGTGGGTAGCTCAAGGCTATGGTTGGGTTGAGGAAGGAATCTCAGTCCAGAAGACAGGTTAAGGGATTAGCTACACAAACAGCATGGCAACAGCTCTTGCTTTTGTTTTATTTTATTTTATTTTATTATTATTGTTTTAGAGATGAAGTCTCATTATATTGCCCAGGTTGGTCCCGAACTCTTGGGCTCAAGAGATCCTCCCATCTCAGCCTCCCAAAGTGCTGGGATTGCAGGCATGAGCCACCGCTCCCCATCATATTTTATTTTACAGGCTTAACAACTCTATCTTGTATTCTAAGGGTTACTCTCCTCAAAGATTTAAATGGGTCTGAAAAATTATAAAAACAAACAAAAGATAAGGCTGTTCGCATTTAAAGTTGATTTATCATTCTGAACCTACTTCAGTGCATTTCATCACCCTTATCAAAAGGCAAAATGAAAATACACCTCTTTCTTCCTTGACACCAAATGAGAAAACACAACTGTGGACTCTGCCAGACTTTTCCAGGTGGAGCATAGGTAGGGATATCTGCCTTGTATCTCAGTGAAGCTTCCAGGCATTATTTTTAGTTGCCCTAGTGAAAGCTAACACCTGTGGGTCTCCAATGCCATACTGGGTTTCTAGCTTATTTAGGAGACACCAGCAATTTCATTAATAAAGTTTTTTGTTGTCACTTGACAAAGGAACAATACACTGACAGACTAAGCCCATGATAGTTTCTATCAATCAAGCACTTAGGGAAATCAGAAATGACAATGAAACCCACTGCATTAAACAACCCATGGTGCTGGGAGTTAATCAGAAATCTGGTGTTGTTGAAAATAAATGAGTTTTTAATAAATTAGATTTGAGAAATACAAGTTGTGGATTAGGAGTCTATGCAGAGGCAGCTTCTGATTCATTGGGAAATCCACAGGGGGCAACTGCTACTAAAGTTGACGGGAAAATATGCTTGTCCCTCGGGAGAGAAGAGAGAGAAGGTTGTTCAACTATGTACTTCTCTGTTGCCCATTCCTGCATTGGCAGGCCAGATCATTCCTTGAGGCCCTTTGATATTCAACAAAGAAAAATTTGTCTTATATAGGCTCTTACACTCTCCACCTGCTTTCCGTCTTAGACTTAAATTGCCTGAAGTTTTAGAGTAAATTATTTAAAGTAGGATGGCACTCAATTTCATGATTAAATTAATCAATTTATTTTGTTTGGAGACATTCAATTAATAACCTACAATAGGCATTGTACCTATTCTACTCTACCTGGTCTGGTGTACCTGGCCCCTGGGACCCTAACAGTCAGTTAGATTTAATTAAAGGTAACACACCGAGTGACTACTATGTGTGAGATATTATGGTGAGTATTGGGAATACAAAATTGCCAAAGCTCCCCCAGGATCTTAGAATCTTATAGGGGAAACTGGATTTGATTGCAAAGCAAGGTGTTCTGAGTGCTCAGGTGAAGTTATAAATTGCTCTAGAAAAGCAGAGGAGGGCCAGAAAATTCTAGTTTAAGGGGTTTGGGAAGGCTTTCCAAATAAAGTAGAATTTAGTGGATGCTAGAGGACTACTAACTAAATCACAATTGCTGAGGGAAGGGTTAACAGCATTTTAAGCTGATGGAACAGTAGGGACAAACACTAAGAGGGAGTCTTGAAAGTAAAGGACATGTTTGAAAATTGTAATTCATTCATTTATCCCACAAGCATTGAGCGCCTACTCTAATTCAGCAAGTGCATAATGTAGTTGCTGACCTGAAGTGCAACGTCGAGGTGGGAATATTGGAGGGGGTAAGGCAAGGGAAAAGTGTAGGACTAGAGTCTGAAGGCCCATGTGTTCATAAGAGTTTATATAAAATGTATAGTTTTATTTTGTTTAATGTTGTTTTCATAAATGGGGTTATACTGAGCCTATTCTTCTGTCACTTTTTTTTTCACTTAATATGTCTTAAAGATATTTCTATGTCCATACCTGTAAGATTGTCTCTCTTTTTTTTTTTTTTTGGAGAGAGAGTTTAGCTCTTGTCGCCCAGGCTGGAGTGCAGTGGCGTGATCTCAGCTCACTGCAACCTCCACCTCCCGGGTTCAAGAGATTCTCCTGCCTCAGCCTTCTGAGTAGCTGAGATTACAGGGACCTGCCACCACATCCGGCTACTTTTTTGTATTTTTAGTAGAGATGGGGTTTCACCATGTTGGCCAGGCTGGTCTCGAACTCCTGACCTCAGGTGATCCACCCACCTCGGCCTCCCAAAGTGCTGGGATTATAGGCATGAGCCACCGTGCCTGGCCAATTGTCTCATTTAAAAAAAAATTTCAGCCCCTTCTGCGCAGTCACGCCGAGCCAGCGCCTGGGCCTGGAACCGGGCTGCAGCCCCCCAGCTTCGCCCACCACCTCCCTACCATGGACCCCCGCAAAGTGAACGAGCTTCAGGCCTTTGTGAAGATGTGTAAGCAGGATCCGAGCGTTCTGCACACCGAGGAAATGCGCTTCTGAGGGAGTGGGTGGAGAGCATGGGAGGTAAAGTACCACCTGCTACTCAGAAAGCTAAATCAGAAGAAAATACCAAAGAAGAAAAACCTGATAGTAAGAAGGTGGAGGAAGACTTAAAGGCATATGAAACATCAAGTGAGGAAAGTGATCTAGAAATTGATAAAGAAGGTGTGATTGAACCAGACACTGATGCTCCTCAAGAAACGGGAGATGAAAATGCGGAGATAACGGAGGAGATGATGGATCAGGCAAATGATAAAAAGTGGCTGCTATTGGAGACCCAAATGATGGTGAACTCCAGAAAGCCGTTGACTTATTCACAGATGCCATCAAGCTGAATCCTCGCTTGGCCATTTTGTATGCCAAGAGGGCCAGTGTCTTCGTCAAATTACAGAAGCCAAATGCTGCCATCCGAGACTGTGACAGAGCCATTGAAATAAATCCTGATTCAGCTCAGCCTCACAAGTGGCAGGGGAAAGCATACAGACTTCTAGGCCACTGGGAAGAAGCAGCCCATGATCTTGCCCTTGCCTGTAAATTGGATTATGATGAAGATGCTAGTGCAATGCTGAAAGAAGTTCAACATAGGGCACAGAAAATTGCAGAACATCGGAGAAAGTATGAGCGAAAATGTGAAGAGTGAGAGATCAAAGAAAGAATAGAACGAGTTAAGAAGGCTCGAGAAGAGCATGAGAGAGCCCAGAGGGAGGAAGAAGCCAGACGACAGTCAGGAGCTCAGTATGGCTCTTTTCCAGGTGGCTTTCCTGGGGGAGTGCCTGGTAATTTTCCCAGAGGAATGCCTGGAATGGGAGGGGGCATGACTGGAATGGCCGGAATGCCTGGACTCAATGAAATTCTTAGTGATCCAGAGGTTCTTGCAGCCATGCAGGATCCAGAAGTTATGGTGGCCTTCCAGGATGTGGCTCGAACCCAGCAAATATGTCAAAATACTAGAGCAACCCAAAGGTTATGAATCTCATCAGTAAATTGTCAGCCAAATTTGGAGGTCAACGTAATGCCCTTCTGATAAATAAAGCCCTTGCTGAAGGAAAAGCAACCTAGATCACCTTATGGATGTCGCAATAATACAAACCAGTGTACCTCCGACCTTCTCATCAAGAGAGCTGGGGTGCTTTGAAGATAATCCCTACCCCTCTAACCCAAATGCAGCTGAAGCATTTTATAGTGGTTTGCCATTACGGTATTCATTCAGATAATGTTTTCCTACTAGGAATTACAAACTTTAAACACTTTTTAAATCTTCAAAATATTTAAAACAAATTTAAAGGGTCTGTTAATTCTTATATTTTTCCTTACTAATCATTTTGGATTTTTTTTCTTTGAATTATTGGGCAGGGAATGTACTTAGGTATGGAAGATTACTGCTCTAATTTGAGTGAAATAAAAGTTATTAGTGCGAGGTAAACATAACTCATTTGAGGATAAAGTTTGTGTTGGATATGTAGTTTCTGATGCATTTTGACTTGTCTTTTTAAATGCTTTATCTTTTTCTTTAAAGATTTATTTCAATAAAACTAACTGGGACCACCCATATTTCAGTAGGACCTGGGTAGGGATTGGAAGTACTTGGCAGGGCAGCAGCAATCTTGCTGTGTTTGATATAACATGCATCCTTGGGCAGGTTGCCCTTAAATCTTACACTGTGGTGAAGGGATGATGTTTTTTGTAATGCTGCAGTAGAGTTGGAGTACTTAGTTCTCTTGTTGTCCAGTATATCTAATAAGTGTTTCATATTATTTCCACGTAAGGGAAATAAGGGAGTACTTTTCTTTTTATATTTCTATGCTTAAAATTCTCTTTCCTAGTCAAAAATTGCCCAACTCTGTGTTTGCTTTCTGCTTGTTACATTTTTCTCCCTTACTTTTCACGGGTGAAAGACAGGCTTTTTCCACCAGCATCATCACTGCTATCATCATTAACAACATAATTATACAAGCATATTTAATGCTGAGTTTAATTTAATATGTAATACATATGGTAATTGTAGGGTAATACCCACAACAACTGTAGTTTCTTACTTGGCCAAGAGAATGCTTATTTAAGTGTTAGACTTCCATTCTGGCAAAATCTTGCCATATCAGAAGACATTGGAAAGAGGGATTCCCTTTGGTGTTTGCTCTTCTACTTAGAAAATACCTATTGCAGTTAGTTTATCTTGTAGTATTCATCTTTGTATTCTGAAGATAAGGTTTGAATTAAATTGATATACACAGAAGGGAACCAATTTTTTTTATCCGATGTGAATTATAAATGAGATAATCCACAGTTATTCATTGTGGAGTTGTTGAGACTATGAAAGACTCATTGTCTTTGTATTCAGCTCTTAAATAGTGTAACCATATCCCCACCTCTGCTTGCTTTCTTTCCCTCCCCTCCAATGATAAAGAAAATGACAAATTTTCAAAAAAAAAATTTCAGTATCATATAGAGAGATGGATCATAATTTATTTAATCATTTTCCTATTAATATTTAAATTAGAGAAAACTATCTTAAGTACTTTCTTTCATGAAAACAGATCAGCCCAAGTGTGATTACTATGTTGTAGAACTTTTTAAAGGAAGATATATTAGAACAAAGATCAGATAATATCGTCAATCAATCAATCAATCAGTATTTGCAGAAGACTCTTTCAGAGTCATGTCAGAAAAGACATACTGGATTCAAACTAGGTAATTGAGAAGAGTTTCGTTAAGTTAAGCTAATGAAGCTTACCAAAAGCACTGTTTAAAAAGAATAGGCAGCCTTTAGGGAAACTCACAAGGGATACTGTCAGTTCCCACAGGCTAACAACAGCAGGAGCTGTCACTACCTCTAGGCCAGACTGGAAAGTAGGGAGAGTGTTGACTGCAACCTAAAGCAAGTGGCTGTACAGAGAAGCAGCCAATTCATCATGACCAGGCGAAGAGGGATTCACGATAAATGTGCACCTTGACCTCACTCCCCTCCGGGCTGTTATCTCTCATTTGTGTCTTCCGTTGGCCAAACGATTTAGCAGCCAGTGGGCAAGGTGATGCCATTCACAGAGCTCAGCCTCCCAGGGCAAAAACAGGAAGGAGAAGAATGGAGAGAGGATCTGGAGGTGCAACCAGAAAATCTCTAGTACAAGGACCAATTAGGAGTTATCAAAATGTTTCTATCGAAACATTAGACTGAAGGATGGGGAGTGTCCATTGAGAATTTCAGAATGAGTATCATCAGGAAAGAAATTAACTATTTTTGAGAGTCAAAAATAGGACTTCTAGTGATAGATATCCCAATTATCCTGTTGTAATGTATACATTGTATACATGTACCAAAAAAACACATGTACCCCATAAATATGTACAACTATTAAACATCAATTAAAAAAAAAAAACAGGATTCTTCTACAACAGATCTGTTGTAGAGGAACTAAGTTTGGAAATGTTATATTGAAGATGGATTCCTGTTGTGCCAGGGCTCCCAAGTGGGAAAATTGCTTCCAGTTCAGCCAGCATTTAACTGCCTTTTCAGCTGACATGAATATGCAAAGGAAAAAAAAGGCCACTGACAGATCCTAGCGTGGCTTGGTGAATAGGCATTAATGGACAATCACAGTTTGGACAGACTGAATTTTCAAGTGCTCCAGGTATTAAAACAGGTATTAAAAAGCAGGACATTCTACAACATATCTGACCAGTCCTCCAAAAAAAGCAAAACCTCTACATCTCTATCTTTTTTTTTTTTTTTTTTTTTTGAGATGGAGTCTCGCTCTGTCACTCAGGCTGGAGTGCAGTGGAGCAATCTCGTCTCACTGCAACCTCCGCCTCCTGGGTTCAAGCGATTCTCCTGCCTCAGCCTCCTGAGTAGCTGGGATTACAGGCGCCCACCATCTTGCCCGGCTAATTTTTTGTATTTTCAGTAGAGACTGGGTTTCACCATACTGGCCAGGCTGGTCTCAAACCCCTGAACTCAGGTGATCCACCCACCTCAACCTCCCAAAGTGCTGGGATTACAGGCGTGAGCCACCATGCCTGGCCTACATCTTTACCTTTATTCTTGACTTTTCTCCTGAGTTCCAGACTCAGATTTTAATTGACTGTTGAGCACCATTTCTATGTTAAATTTAGTATGTCCCACTCATGCCTCTCTAAACCTGTCCCTGACTCCAGCACCCCTCAAACTATGCTCTCCTTCCCCTGCCCCTAAGTTTCTTTCTTTCTCTCACCTTATGCTATCAGCCATTATTTGAAATTTTTTCTTCAACCAGGTTGTTAGATCCTTCTGTACCTTCCACAATGTCCTGTGCCAAGCCTGTCCACCTCTATCTAGCAGAGAAATAGGAACCTTTTCTCCAAAAACAGATCCATTCCCGAGACTGACTCTAATTTGTATCCACTTAGTTATTCTCAAACCATTCAAATTTTTAGCCAATAACTTACTATATTGTAAGTTATTTGAGGGCAGGGACCATGTTTATTTGTCTTGATGTGTATCCTGGTGTCTCATATTCCGAGGAAAGAACTTAATACCCAGTGAGAGTCCAGTGGCTACTGCATATGTTTTTGCTGTCATTGTTAATTGCGTCTGGTGAGTAAACCATGTCTCAGCTAGGGCACCATCTAAGCTTACTAGACAAAACCTCTGTGGAAGAACTACGTTTGGAACTGTTATATGAAAGATGGATTCCTGTTGTGTCAGGGCTCCCAAGTGGGAAAATTGCTTTCAGTTCAGCCAGCATTTAACTGCTTTTTCAGCCGACATGAATATGCAAAGGAAAAAAAAGGCCACCGACAGATCCTGGTGCAGCTTGGTGATTAGGCATTAACAGACAATCAAGTTTGGACAGACTGAATTTTCAAATGCTGAAGGTATTAAGAAAAGGTACTAAATTGTTCTGATTTCATTGAAATGGCTGTTAGACAAGACTGAAAAATACATGATTATAACTCTCCCTTGGTGGGTCTTTTCCACCTTCATTTGAAAGAAGTACAGCAGCTCATAAAGAACAGCAACTTCCTTGCAAGCCAGAGGGCTTAATGAAGAATTAAGTACATTGCAACCTTGTAGCTGAAATAATAGAAAGAAAATTGAATTATTCTTCCCATATTAAATGCATATATTCCTGCCAAAATGACTTTGCTAACCCATGGAGTGAAATACACTTTGTTTTCACATGAGTGCACTAAACAAAGCTGTGGGCTCTACTACAACTGCTTTGAAGGGAACGGAAAGTATCAGAATGAAAAAGCACTCTCGATATATGGTTATATCAGCCCTAAATTGTATCACAGCTGCTTCTGGCACCATTAGACAGAACCCTGGGTAATTTATAGAAGTCATTTTTAACAATTTGATTGTTGGTATATATCTGCTGAATTGATTGGTTGTGGAGACAGATCTTTATTTTTATAATGCAATAACATCCTTTGCAGATTACTGCTCAATTTATTTCTGATGCTAACATAACCAACTAGAACCTATCAATTTATATCAGAAAAATGTGTTCTTATTTCTTAATTATCTGCTTAATTGTAGGGAAACTAGAGTCCTGTGATGCCCTGATTTGTCAACACTAGGGAGCCTGCCAGAGTCACTGGAAGTCTTGTGATTTGGTTTCTAGGCAACTTTTGTGATACTCACAACTTTTACTGGTGCATAAGAAGGCACTTGTGTCCTGATACACGGCCGGCAGCACCACCTGCTCTTCTGCACCCCAGCCGAAGTCTCTGCAAGCCAGTAAGTGGCTTCTCCACTGACCTACTTCCCTGCTGATCTAATCGCACCAGCTCCAGTCATCAAGAATCCTGGTGATGACCCTCCAGCAGGTGTCCCCTGGCCACCATGATCCCTTCTGGAGTGTGACTGGTGGGAAGGCAGGGCTGCCCACCAATTGAGTTTTATGAGCACCATTACTCAACAGTCAATTAAAATAACTCCGGCCGGAGTTATTTTGTGGTAGTTCCCTGGAATAAATGATAGGCCCCATTTCTGACCAATGGGTCGGTTCAGTTGGCAAAAATGGAAATTCTATACATTTAGCCAGTTTCCTCTTCACCCCAGCCACCACAACTGAATATATAAACATAAATCTATGTAGGAGATGTGCATTCATTGGTGACTGCTATAGTTAAGTCATGTCATTCATATTCACCCTCTCTTTTTATTGTGAGATTTTCTTTATTATTTTTAATGTCTTAAAATATACATAGTATAAAATTTATCATTTTAACCATTTTTTAAAATATATAGTTTAGTGACATTAAGTACATTCACATTATTGGGCAACCATCACCTCCACCATCCGTGTCCAGTAGTTTTTCATCTTCACAAACTGAAACTCTGTAACCCATTAAACAGGGGTCCCCAAACCCCGGGCCACAGACTCGTCCATGGCCTGTTAGGAACTGGGCCAGTGAGCGTGACCACCTGAGCTCTGCCTCCCATCAGATCAGTGGCAGCATCGGATTCTCATAGGAGCGTGAACCCTATTGTGAACTGCGCATGTGAGGAATCTATGTTGTGAGCTCCTTATGAGACTCTAACTAATGCCTGATGATCTGAGGTGGAAGAGTTTCATCCCAAAGCCACTCCCCCAATCCCCTCACCCCTGCCATCTTCTATGAAACCAATCCCCAGTGCCAGGAAGGTTGGGGATCATGACATTAAACAATAACTCCCCATATCCCCTTCCCCCAGCCCCCGGCAACCACCATCCTGCTTTCTGTCTCTGTGATTTTGACTACTCCGGATATCTCATATGAGTGGAATCATAGTATTTGCCCTTTTGTGTCTGGCTGGTTTCACTTAGCATAATGTCCTCAAGACTCATTCATTTTGTAGCATGTGTCAGAATTTCCTCCTTTTTAAGGCTGGATAATATTCCATTATGTATCTACGACATCTTGTTGATCCACTCATCGGCTGATCCATTCATCTGCTGATGTGGCAATACTGCAGCCACATCAATCAACACCTTTCCTGGAGTCCAGTGTCTCTGGGAGTGAGAAAAGCATTGACCTCAATCTTTTGTGAATGGGCATTTGGGTTGTGTTCACCTCTTGGCTTTTGTGAGTAATCCTGCTGTGAACATGAGTGTATAAATATCTGTTCAAGTCCTGGTTTTTGATTCTTCTGGTCTTTTCCTGCTCTTCAGAAGGATGGCGATCTCCTTTGCTATGTGACCCTATCCCAACTTTCATCTCCTCTGACTCACAGTTCCTGCCAAAGCCTTTCTTTGTCACTGCCTGGATCTCACCTCTTCTCTTTACTGGCTCTCTCTGCCTCCCCCTCTTCAACTCACAGATTCTGGCTTCTCTCCCAGGGCTCTTTTTCACCATTTGCCTACTAGGGCCAAGACAGAAGTCCACCTGAATACATGAGAAGCATCCCTGATTTTGCGATTGGCAAAAGACAAAGGCTGAACACAAGCCCAGTAGTCAAAGAACAAAAACCAGAACTATGATGTGATAGTAGCCTCAGCTACTTTGAACTTCATCAACACTGTGGTATGAGCACATAGTCTTTGTCCCAAGTCAGATCTATGCACAAATTAAGAAATCCCTCTATCTAGTAGGAGAGTGGTTTGCTTGGGGCCAGAAGCCCTTTCAAGGATTATAATAATGTATTTTCTAAATCGCCCTTTTTTAAATTTTTAATTTTATATATATATATATATTTGAGACGGAGTCTTGCTTTGTCACTCAGGCTGGAGTGCAGTGGCGTGATCTCGGCTCAATGCAACCTCTGCCTCCTGGGTTCAAATGATTCTTGTGCCTCAGCCTCCCGAGTAGCTGGGACTACAGGTGCATGCCATCATGCCCTGCTAGTTTTTGTATTTTTAGTAGAGACAGGGTTTTGCCACGTTGGCCAGGCTGTTCTCGAACTCCTGTCTTCAAGTGACCCACCACCTCCGGCTCCCAAAGTGCTGGGGTTACAGGTGTGAGGCACTGCACCTAGCATAGTCACCCTGTTTTTTTTTATTCTTTTCATCACAGTCATCATCACTATCACATAGATTATTACCATTCATTGCACGCTTACTACATATAAAAAACATAATAAAAAATATATTCTTCAATTTTTCTTTTTATATTTTTTACAATCTTATTACTGGTAAGAGGCAGAACAAACTTTGGAGCCAGACTGCCAAGTTCAAATCTAGCTTTACCTCTTAAAATGGCTTGAACCACTTTATCCCTCAGTTTTCTCATGCAAGGGGGCATCATAATATAGTATGGACCTGGCCAGGCGCAGTGGCTCATGCCTGTAATCCCAGCACTTTGGGAGGCTGAGGTGGGCAGATCACTTGAGGTCAGGAGTTCAAGACCATCCTGGCCAACATGGTGAAACCCCATCTCTACTAAAAATACAAAAATTAGCTGGGTGTGATGGTGGTTGCCTGTAATCCCAGCTACTTGGGAGGCTGAGGCAGAAGAATGGATTGAACCTGGGAGAAGGAGGTTGCAGTGAGCCGAGATTGCACCACTGCACTCCAGCCTGGGTGACAAAGCAAGACTCTGTCTCAAAAAAAAAAAAAAAAAAAAAAAAAAAAAAAAAATATATATATATATATATATATATATATGAAATATGGACCGTAAGCAGTTGGGGGAATTGAATGAGAAAATGCACAGAAAACACTTACAGCCATTCCTGGCACACAGTCAGTGCTTGACAAAGGTTAGCTCTTGTTAAAGATCAGAAAACTAGACAGAGCAGGTTGAGCAGGTTAAGAAACTTGGCCAAGTTCACATATTCTAGGTCTGCTGACTCTAAGGCGGTAATATTTCGCGGGAAGTTTATAAATGCTTACTCCATCTTTGGGCAAGGAAAGAGAATGAGGTACATTTCAGCCTTTTATATAAATTACAAGTATGTACCCACCCCAAGATAATATTTTGTGTTAACTAGCCTATGTCTACTTCAAGTTGCAAAGAGGAGATAACGCAGAGTTAAATAAAATGTCGGCCTCTAATTTTTACTGACCTAAGGCAAATGGCTATCTGAAAGGCTGATATATTGATAATATCTTCCATGTACACACACATAAAGTGTGGAGATTCCTTATCTCACTGTCTGCTAAATATCTATTCTCAACATTCCCAGTGACTAGAAAGCACACTATTGATCCTTTCTCCTATCTCAACACCCTCATCACTCTTCCCAAATTGGTACATGAGAGATAGTGAATACAGAATGGCAATTCACAGAGCCAGAAATAATCTCTACAGGTATTCCTTATGCAGAAAGCTGCCCATTCCCCAAAAGGAAGGACCCGATGAGTCCAGTTCAAGGGCATTTTAAAGTCATTGCAGCAGCAGCAAAACTCTTAAAATACGGACCATTTCAAAATCACCTTTTATAGACTTATCATTGCATTTTCTTGGGTTTTACTAAAAAAAAAAAAAAAAAAAAAACACTTGTTTTTTTCCTTCTCTTCTCCCACTTTTGAAGTGCCACAACCATGTTGTTGATATTGATTGGTTATTTGCAACTGGGCATGGGCCATCTGACCATGTGGCGGTAATAGCGAAAGTTTCTGAATATGGCTTTAAATTGAAACATCATTATGCCTCAATTGTGGATGGGTCTCTGGACATAGATGTGAGCTTGTCTTCAAAAGATAATACCATATCATATGGACATTACATAATGCAGGTGAACTTCTCTTTGGAAGTGGTTAAGGTTGGTGGAGCCCATATCTAGATTTTATGGAAACTGCTTTTGCAGAAAATAACACGTTAGACTAGAAAGTGAGATGTAAAGTCACTTTCAATAGCCAGTTTTTCCTGATTCTCTAGGACAGAGTGAGCATGTGTGTTGGGGAATAGGGCTGATAAACATTTTCTGTAAAAGGACAGATAGTAAATATTTTAGGACTTGCAGACCATATGGTCTCTGTCACAGCTATTCAGCCCTGCCATTGAGGCAGGAAAGCAGCCACAGATAATACATAAACTAATATGTTTGTGTGCTAGTAAAACTTTATTTGTAGTTTGTGAGCTGGATTTGGCCTGTAGGCCATAATTTGTTGACCCCATACTGGGTTCTGTGCTGAGCATTTTATGAACATCAATTTTTTATATACATAATCTCAATCGCCCAGATCACTGAACATCAAGATCCAGTCTAGCTAAGCTAATCCACTTATATGAACATAGATAAAGAGAGATTTTTTTCCCCCAGCATATAGTCAATAGCAGTAAATAAGGCTGCCCCAGACTTTTCCACAAGATCATTCAATGCCAGAAAAAGGCAAAGGCGGAACATCATCAAAGTTCTAAGGGAAAGTAGGTGTGACCGTGAGCATGACATTCTCTAAGATGCCTTCAAGCAAAAAGCTACAGACATGAAAATAACTCAAACACATGAAATAAATCAAAGAATACAGACACATAAGCACTTCTGAAAAAACTACTGATAACAAAATTCCTCATGGAGATAAATCAAAACAAAGAACTCTGGAATGGATATTCCATGACCAAGGAAACACCTCATATAAGCATAAAATACACTTGAATATAGAGCCAAAACCAGATTCCAGGCAACCATGGGAACTATGTTAACAGAAATTAAACTGCAATGTTAAACATATAAAAACAGGCTGGGTGTGATGGCTCACACCAGTAATCCCAGCACCTTGGGAGGCTGAGGTGGGTGGATCACTTGAGGCCAGGAGTTCGAGACCAGTTTGGCCAACATGGTGAAACCCCGCATCTACTAAATATACAAAAATTAGCCTGGCATGGTGATAGGCACCTGTAATTTCAGCTACTCGGGAGGCTGAGACGGGAGAATCACTTGAACCTGGCAGGCAGGGGTTGCAGTGAGCCGAGATGGTGCCAATGCACTCCAGCCTAGATGACAGAGTGAGACTCCATCTCAAAACAAACAAACAAGCAAACAACAAACAAAGAAAATACCAATAATGCAACACAAATCAAGAAGTGGGGGAGGGAAGATTGTAGAAATTGTAGGAGTACCAGTGTCTTAAATAGAAACATAGTAACTGTACCCTCCTATTTTTTTTAGTTTCTTTTTTTTCTGTTATTGATATATAGGTTATTGATGTATAGTATTTTCCATATTTATGGGGGTACCTATGAGTATTTTTTACATGCATAGAACGTGTAATGAGCAATTCAGGGCATTAAGGGTGGCTATCACCATGAATATTGATCATTTCTATGTGTTGGTTCCACTTCAAGTCCTCTCTTCTAGCTACTTGGAAATATACAATATATTGATGCTAACTATAGTTCCCCTACCCTGCCTGCTATCTAGCATTAGAACTTATTTCTTCTGTTTCTTATCTAACTGTAGGTTTGTACTCACTCATCAACCTCTCTTCATCTCCCCCACCTACCCTCACACGCTTTTAGGATTTTTTTTTTTTTTTTTTTTTGACACTCACTCTGTCGCCCAGGCTGGAGTGCAGTGGTGCGATCTCGGCTTACTGCAACTTCTGTCTCCCAGGTTCAAGCAATTCTTCTGCCTCAGCCTCCCAAGTAGCTGGGATTACAGGTGCCTGCCACCATGCCCAGCTAATTTTTTTTGTATTTTTAGTAGAGACAGGGTTTCACCATGTTGGCCAGGCTGGTTTCACACTCCTGAACTCAAGTGATCTGCCCACCTCAGCATCCCAAAGTGCTAGGATTACAGGTTGAAGCCACCGTGCCCAGCCTGAACTCATTTTTTAAAAATACGTTTCTATTTCTTTAGTTCCATACTTGCATTTTAAAAAGATGCCTTGGATAACAAAGAGTTTTTACTGTGCTATCCTTAATAAAGAATAGAATTCCAGGATAGAGGGATTTGGGCTACTTTAAAATTTAAAACATTTTCTAACCTTTCCATATTAATTGAATTTTTAAAAAGAAAAGAATAAAAAAGAGAATCAAACATGTTAGCGCTAGTTAATTTTTGGCAATGATACAAATAATTGCTGATTTCTTTTTGCTTATTTATATATTAAAATAATTTTTAAAAATTTACAAATGAGGTCTCACTACGTTGCCCAGGCTGGAGTGCAGTGGTTCTTCACAGGCCTGATCATGGTACTCTGTAGCCTCAAATTCTTGGCCTCAAGCAATCCTCCTGCCTCAGCCTCCTGTGTAGCTGGAACTACAGGTGTGTGCCACTGCACCCAGCACTCATTTATATATTAAAATAATCTTAAAGAAACCAACATCGATTTGAAAAACCACGACATATATTGTTATAGAAGCCATAGAAAGAGCATTTTCAAGAAGGAGAGAATGGTCAACAGTGACGATTCTAAAAAGAGAATGAATATGATTAGGACAGATGATAGCAACAGAAAAAGTCATAGCTGACCTTAATGAAAACAATTTCAAGGGACTGGTAGAAGCAGAAGCCACAAATAAGTGAGTATAGAATAAATGAAAAGTGAAGAAATAGAAATTCTGTATTTAGATGATTTTTTCCAAAATGGGTCATTATCCTCAAAATAAGCTTTCGAGATAGATGCTATTTCCCCTATTCTTATGGAGAAATTGAGGTTTACGCTCCTTTATCAAGGCCATAAACCTACTATTTACAAAGCCAGTATTAGAAACCAAGTCTGTCTCCCAAGCCTATTCTCTTCCACTATCCCCTGCTTTGTGTGACATCTAGGTTGGAAGAGAGGATGTCGGATGTGATCAGACTGGAGAGAAAATAGACATGACAAGGATGCCTTGGAGGTGCATGTCCAGCCCACAGTCCCATTTCCAGAGAACTTTCCACAGGGACAGGAGTGGATGAGGACAGCTGTGTGTACACTGCATGACCGTGCCATCCAGGCCAGACTGGGTGACTTCGGTGGACGATCAGAGGACAATACTGATTGCACGGGGGTAGACCCAACGTGAACCAAAGCTTCTGGGACTGTGTATTGGAACTATAGAATATGAGTACTTTTTTCAGCCAGTCACCTGAACTGAGAGAATTAAAATGGACTAACCACATTTATTTATGTGCACAAGGAGAGGCAGAGAGAGCTGGTTAAGAGAGATGGACAGACTGAAAAAGACAGAGGTGAAGAGAGAGGGACAGAGGGAGAAAGATATCACAGGGAAAGTGAAGGTGAGAGGACATGTGGCTGCAGAGAGAGAAAGAGACCAGGTGCAGTGGAAGAGAAGCTGCTTTGACTAAATGGCTTGCCAGGTCTGGTGAGGTCTAGCTGCACTTTATTTATTTATTTATTTATTTATTTATTTATTTTTTTTAAGAGACCAGGTCTCACTCTGTTACCCAGGATGGAGTGCAGTGTCATGATCCTAGCTCACGGCAGCTTCCAACTCCTGGGCTCAAGCAATCTTCCTGCCTCAGTCTCTCAAGTAGCTGGGACCAACCCCAAGTAATTTTTTTTTTTTTTGGTAGAGACAGGGGTCTTGCTCTATTGCCCACACTGGTCTCCAACTCCTGGCCTCCAGTAATCCTCCTGCCTCGGCCTCCCAAAGTGCTGGGATTACAGTCGTAGGCCACTGTGCCTGGCCTAGCTGCACTTTTTCGATTGAGTTACGTTAAGTGGATTTCTGTTACTGCCAATCAAATAGTCTCAACTAAGGGTAAAGGTAAGAATTTAGTCACATCAGGAGAGGCTGGTGGGGGTTTGTGGGCTAAGAGGTTACCTGACATCACCATGGCGCTGGGCCTTCTACTTACCCCCAGTCACTGGGCAGGCCTCTTGTCCATTGGAAGATTCCAATTCTACTTTATAAAAACACTCTCCTGAGAAATGGAGCCTGACTGTCCTTCCTGATGCTTTCCTTGCCCTCTGACTGGGCCAAGAGTATCTCAGAACATGAAATTTTCAAAAAGGATACAATAGAAAGCTCCTATTAATCCAAAGGGAGCTGATGAGCTCTTGAAGCCCTCCTGAAATTGCAGCAAATCCCTCTTTCATACAAGGAAACTGTGAGGATTCCCAGCCAGTTGAGAAACTAACGGCTTGAGCCATATGCCAATGCTTCTTAGTCTTTCAGGGCTGGCTGCCCCATTATTGCTCCTTGAGTTGGGTTTGGAGAGCATAAGCCTTCCCTTGAGTATCAGAGCCCGGGCCTTCAAGGAGTGACTGGAGAAGAAGATTGTAGAATTCTGGTGTCAAACCTTTATTTGTAGTGAAGGGTTGGCTTTCAAGCCTTAAGACATTCATTCATTCATCACTCATCATCACAGCTCTCTTGAAAAGTCCCATGTATATAAATCTCCTGGTTAGAAGAAGGATAATCAAAAGATCATAAGTATTTTTTTCCAGCTTTTATTTTAGGTTCAGTGGGTATGTGTGCCAATTTGTTACATGGGTAAATTGAGTGTTGCTGGGGTTTGGTGTACAAATGATTTCATCACCCAGGTAGTGAGTATAGTACTTGATAGGTAGTTTTTTGACCCTTACCCTCCTCCCACCCTCCACCTTCAAGTAGGTCCCAGTGTCTATTATTCCCCTCTTTGTGTCCATGTGTTCCCAGTGTTTAGCTCCCACTTGTGAGTGAGAACATGTGGTATATGGTTTTTGGTTCCTGCATTAATTCTCTTAGAATAATGGCCTCTAGCTACATCTATTTTGCTGCAAAGGACATGATCTCATTCTTTTTGATGGCTGCATAGTATTCCAAAGATTCTAAGTTTAAACTCCAAGTAAGTCAGTTAGTATTAATCTGAGTGGAGGTGCCAGCTGTCATCCAGTCACATGCTTCAGAAACCATCTTACTACTCATCAGCATCAATACTTGAAAGTCTCTGCACAGGGCATGATTCTTCCCACAGCGCACTGGAGGCATTTGGAATGTTTTGTTTATCAGATCCCCTCTCACAAGGACTTGGTGGTTGTGGAGTTTTCCAGTGGAGAAATGGGAATTCAATGTAGTGGATGAACTTTGGCTCTCAGACGGAGTGTGACATACATGCTCTCCCTTGGTGCAGTTTATACCCTCAGCCAGCAGTCCCTGCACATTAGATCACACTCTCTGAATAATGAGCATCTTGTGTCCAAGCTGATGTGTGCAACTTGGCCAATGTAGACTTAAATGCTACGATGCATTACAAAGTGCTACATGTCACCCCAGGTTGTGTTTGCCTCCATCATGACTTAGGCTGATGGGATGCAACATAACAGGATGTGGCAAGCTGGGAGATGTGGCAAGCTGGGAGACGTGGCAAGCTGGGAGATGTATAATGCAACGTTACGTGTCCTGCCTACACAGCAGCATGTTCTCAGTAGGAGCAGCACATCACAATGGAAAGCCCAGCTCTCAACTGATCCTGCATCTGTCAGTGGTCTGGGAGGAACTGGCTCGCTTCTGCAATGAGCTCTCTCAACACCTTAGAGACCACTGCTTAGTTCTTAGCTGTGTTCTGTCAGCAATTGCTTTCAAAAACCCCACATTCTATCAGCAAATGCTTTCAAAAGTGAAGCCCCTCAGTTTCAACCTATCACCACCTCAGGGAAGAGATGAGCCTGGAATTGCATGTGTGTGGTTAGAAATTAGGTATGCTTGAAATATTGGCATTTGCTCGAGTTTTGAAGGCTCTCGTGAGGGCGACTTCCCATGTAGCCCCTGCATGTTTTTGCCAGGTTTGCATTTCACTGTGAATATGATCAAGTTGCTGATACTAAAGAGCATGCCCACACAGGGCTACTGTTAGCCTAGAAGTTGACTTTTTGTAAATTAAGGCACTGCTTTTCCTACCAGGTGCCTATGAGGCTGCACATTTTGACCATAGGCTACCTGTTTCTTGCCCATGGGCACTGCCCCTCCTGAACATGCCTCCTTCACACAGGGCCCTCTGCAGAGAAAACTTACATGGGAAGTGAAGGGGATCTGGAAAATTCCATACTGACCTAGAACATCCACTCCCTGGAGGCAGGACCAAAGCACACTATGTGTGTCCGCAACAGTGAAGATGATGTTACAGACTTTCACTGAATATGACATACTGAAACACTATTAATAAATGAAGTGCCAGTGTTTATCAATAATTGGCCTTTCCAGGCCGGGCGCGGTGGCTCACGCCTGTAATCCCAGCACTTTGGGAGGCCGAGGCGGGCAGATCATGAGGTCAGGAGATCGAGACCATCCTGGCTAACATGGAGAAACCCCATCTCTACTAAAAATACAAAAAATTAGCTGGGCGTGGTGGTGGGTGCCTGTAGCCCTAGCTCGGGAGGCTGAGGCAGGAGAATGGCGTGAACCTGGGAGGCAGAGCTTGCAGTGAGCTGAGATCGCGCCACTGCGTTCCAGCCTGGGCAACAGAGTAAGACTCCGTCTCAAAAATAAATAAATAAATAAATAAATAAATAAATAAATAAATAAATAAATAATTGGCCTTTCCAATTATAGTACAGAAAGCACAAAGCAGAAAACTAAAATCACCTATAACCTTACTACTTAGAGATAATCACTATATATTTTCTAATTTTTGCAATAAATATACATATGCATTAAAAAACTCTTAAGAATAGGCCAGGCATGGTGACTCATGCCTGTCATCCCAGGACTTTGGGAGGCCAACGTGGGTGGATCACTTGAAGTCATGTGTTTGAGACCAGCCTGGCCAACATGGTGAAACCCTGTCTCTACTAAAAATACAAAAAATTAGCTGGGCATGGTGGCGTGTGCCTGTAATCCCAGCTACTCAGGAGTCTGAGGCAGGAGAATCGCTTGAACCTGGAAGGTAGAGGTTGCAGTGAGCCAAGATCATGCCACTGCACTCCAGTCTGGGCGACAGGGCAAAACTGTCTCAGACAAACAAACAAACAAACATCTAAAAAAACCCACAAAATTATTGAGATTATATATATGTGTTTAAATATGTGGTCAGGCGTGGTGGCTCACGCCTCTAATCCCAACACTTTGGGAGGCTGGGCAGGCGGGTCACTTGAGTCCAGTTTGAGACCAGACTGGGTAACATGGTGAAACCCCGTCTTTACTAAAAATATAAAAACTAGCCAGGTGTAGTGGCGTATGTCTATTGTCCCAGCTACTCGGGAGGCTGAGGTGGGAAGATCACCTGAGCCTGGGATGTTGAGGCTGCAGTGAGCCATCATGGTGCCACTGCACTCCAACCTGGTTGACAAAGTGAGGCCCTATCTCAAAAAAAAAAAAAAAAAAGAAAAAAAATACACACACACACACACACACACACACACACGCACGCACAATTTTCTTATTTTTTTTCTACTTAATTTCCAACATTGTTCACATTTCCCCATGATTTACTTTGGATAAATTACTAGTACAAGAATCACTAGGTCAGAGGGGCATTTGTAAATCATGTGGTACATATGGTCAAATTACAAGGACATTGTCTTGTTTTGAAATTTTGCAACCTCACAGGCCAGAGAAAAACAATCCATCATCTTTCCCTGAGAAGGACACAGGTGCAGTACAGGAAGGAGCTCACGGTGGCTGGAGGCTGAGAGTGCTAGCACCATTTCATTCACCAAGTCACTGGGACAATACATATTTCCACCCCCAAGCCTCAGTTTCCACTCCTATAAGATGAACTTGAAGATGACTGCCTCCAGGATTCCTAAGATCTTGTTGAGGGGATAGAAGACATCCAGGATGGTGTTTTTTTTTTTTTTTTTTTTTTTTTTAGACAGAGTCTCTGTCACCCAGGCTGGAGTGCAATGGTACAATCTCAGCTCACTGCAGTCTCCACCGCCTGGGTTCAAGCAAGTCTCATGCCTCAGCCTCCCAAGTGGCTGGGATTACAGGTGTGCACCACCACGCCCGGCTAATGTTTGTACTTTTAGTAGAGATGGGGTTTCGCCATGTTGGCCAGGCTGGTCTCGAACTCCTGACCTCAAGCAATCCACCTGCCTTGGCTTCCCAAAGTGTTGGGATTACAGGCGTGAGCCACCGCCCCTGGCCAAGGATGGGTTCTTTCTCGCGCTCCCTCTTCCTCATTCTTGGCTTTCCAGAGAAGCAGGTCTTCCTTTCTACTACATGCTCTTTCTTTCTGCAGACTGGAAAAGGGGCTCTCGGGTGAGGAAACGGTTGGGAACAGAAGTGAAGGATGACAGACAGAGGGAAAATGCTGCCGATGCCTCTTGCTTGGCTCCATTTCCTAAATTCTTCCTTAAATCCCAAAGACTTCTCAGGAGACGTTGGGACTAAAATGTAAACTTTTCCTTTAAACTTGCCCCATGCAGTAGCTGATAGCTGCATGTGGCTATTCAAATTCAAATTAAATAAAATGGAATGCAGTTAAAAATTCAGTTCCTCAGTCTCACCAGCCACATTTCAAGGGCTCAATAGCATATGTGTCTATACAGAACATTTCTTTGGTCGAAGAAAGTTCTAGGAACAGCGCTGCTCTGAACAATCCTTAGAGGAGAGTAAGTGCATAGCCCTGGGGTTCTGGAGCCTCTAACAGAACGTTATTAGGGGAGAAATTTCTTTGAAGTATCTCTCTCTTTTTGTTTAAAGATGTGATTTTTCTTTTTTCTTTTTTTTTTTTTTTTGAGACAGAGTCTCGCTCTGTGGCCCAAGCTGGAGTGCAGTGGCGCGATCTCGGCTCACTGCAAGCTCTGCTTCCTGGGTTCACGCCATTCTCCTGCCTCAGCCTCCCGAGTAGCTGGGACTACAGGTGCCCGCCACCACGCCCGGCTAATTTTTTTGTATTTTTAGTAGAGACGGGGTTTCACTGTGTTAGCCAGGATGGTCTCGATCTCCTGACCTTGTGATCTGCCCTCCTCGGCCTCCCAAAGTGCTGGGATTACAGGCTTGAGCCACCGTGCCTGGCCAAAAAAAAAGAAAAAAAGATGTGAATTTTTCATTCTATAAGATAATATGTATGCCTTGGGGTTTTTTTATTTTTTATTTTTGAGACAGGGTCTCACTCACTCTGTCACCCAGGCTGGAGTGCAGTGGTGTGATCATCTCAGCTCACTACAACCTCCACCTCCTGGGTTCAAGTGATTCTCCTGCCTCAGCCTCCTGAGTGGCTGGGATTATGAGCATGCGCCACCACACCGGGGCTAATTTTTGTATTTTTAGTAGAGACGGCGTTTCACCATGTTGGCCAGGCTGGTCTCTAACTTCTGACCTCAGGTGATCCACCTGCTTTGGCCTCCCAAAGTGCTGGGATTATAGGTGTGAGCCACCGAGCCTGGCCCACCACCTTGGTTTTAATGTAAAAAAAAAATTTTTTTTAGTTACTGAACACTGAATAAAATTGACAAACTAGGAAGGTGCTAGATGTCTCCTGTGGTTTCTCACATCATGGCTGAAGGAACATGGCTTTTGGAGCACTGAGGGTCTTGTGCACCTCTGTCTGTTACCAGTGATGTGCCTACTTGCCTGGCCAAACCCCTGCAGAAGTGAAGGGGGCTGCTGGAACAAACTGATTCATAATTAGGCCCTGAGAGCAATGCATTTGTCAACTTCTCACAGAACCTCTGCACGCCCAGTGAGGCATTGTGCAGCACAGGACACATCTAGGGTCATTTCAGCAGGTCTTTCTGTTTTTTATCTATGCATGACAACCTGGCTGGCTGAGTAGCTACAGCTTGAATTTGTTAACCAGATAAGAGCTTCTCCCTCTGATCACTGAAATCCTAGCGTTTTCTCCCAGGATGCTGTTCCCAGGAAGATTACTTCAAGCCCAGTGCTGAAGTTTGGTTGCCCTAAGCCAGGAGTTTTCAAAATCACTGGGAGACGTTATTTAAAATGTAAATTTCCTGAGATTCTGATTTCATCTGCATTTTGAACAAGAACACTGAGGATTTATATTACGCATGATCTCTAGTAGCAATGTTCACTGAGCACCTACTACGGGTTGAGCACAGTAGCAGTCACTGGAGATAGAAAGAAAGTGGTCATTTCTAGAATCCTAAGGTTGGAAGCCACCTCTGAAGAATATATAACCCATGGCTAAGCCTTAAGTGGATTCAGTTATAAGCTACAAACTGACCCCACTTCTGATGCATGAGATCGGGTCCTTTGTTAATGATTTGGCCTATATTTTTTACCAAAGTACTACTTTCATCTAACAAAGGCAGTTTAATGATTTCCAACCAAGAAGATGTCTAGAATAACACGAAGCAAAATGAAAGTTTGTGCAGAACACGGAGGGACCTGTGTTGGGATTTATAGCCTCTCTGCAGTTCTAAAAAGTGTTCACGGGAATTAGATCAAATATCTGTGTAGTCTCTTATTTTAGAATCTAAAACATCAAAATTTTTGCTTAGTTCAAATTCCTCATTCTGCAGTTGATGTTTATGCCTTCTTTGTGCTAAGAGGAGATGGACATGGCTAATTTCTATTCTTGGAGAGGAAAACTTCTCATAATTTTGAAAGTCTTTATTAACATGTTATGCAGACATAGTCCAGACTAAATTGTCTCTTTTTCCTCACCTTCCTCCTAGGTGCTGTTTTCCAACTCAAATCACTCTTGTTAGTTTCTGGAATTTCTCCAGTTTAGCCAGGCCCATTCTACAGTAAATATGCTAGACAAAGTAAGGTCCAAACCAGTGCTACAGAGTTGGATTCAACTAAAACTGCACCAAGGCCATCCAATTTCAACCAGCCCATTTGTTTTCTCTAACCTGGGGACTACCACCTGTTTTTCTATTGTTTTCACCCCGATCAGACCTCTCTGTCAAGATTCTCTCAGCATTCAACTGTTGCAAATATATCATCTATAGGAATTGTTATTGCAAATATTTGTTTCAATTAATTAGCAATGGCCCTGTGATGAAGCCTGACTGCTTTTTTCTGTTGTAACCATGTGGTAGCTCTAGCCCCAGGGTGATGCACAGCCCAGCAACATTCCTTAACGATCCTCTTAATTACACAGTTGGGGTAACCATTCTGTCTAAAAAATCTGCTTCGTAATTACAAAATCACCAGCCCAGCCAGCCGTGTTGACCCATCAATTGCTTGCAATCTACTGTGTCCTTAAAATGTGTGCTGTCTTCTCTCCAAATGAGAGGGAAGCTTCGGAAACTGGTGAGTGTGGGGTACAGCTGCTCCCATAATAAACGTCTCTGCTTCTCTCTGCCCAGGGCTGCTCCACCACTGGATTTCTTCCTCTGCCCCCTGCCACCCTTTCCTCCATAATAGCCTCAAAAACACGAGGGAATTCATCCCCTCCTTCAAATCCATCTACACAAATCTTATTGCAGTAATTTAGCATAAGCCTGAAAAAGTAATTATGGCCCCTCAGGTTGATTGGCCAGGTTCCTTGGATGCAAAGGCTGTTCTTGAAATGGCCACTGAACTTGTTCTCTTTTCCTAACCAGATTTGTATCATCAGCTCCAAAGTCAATGTGTGTTTCTTTGATATTACATGTACCACATCGGATAGTGATGATCTGGGGACATGCTGGGCTCCTCCGTTGTACTTTGAGTTCCGGGATGCTAGCATCTTGCACGTGACTGGCACATAGCACAGGCTCAGTGGATCTTTGAGGTTGAGCATTGATGAATGAAAAAGCTAGCACGTTCTTAGTTGCTCTGCTATGTCACATTTTCAAACTTTAAAGGCTCCCACTGGTTAATTTGTCCTGACTATCATGTATGTGGGGAAATTTGGGACCTAGGTTACATATGTTCATCTTGAGTGTTGATTAATGAAGTTCCTTTTTGATATCACAAAACTACTGTCTGACTGTGTAATGAGAAGTTCAGCTATCTTGGGTATCCTCTACATCTTATTCTCTTATTTCATTCAGAGAATCATCACTTCCCCTCATACTGCAAAAATATGGGAGTCCCAGGTATTTGCCATGAACTCATGGCTCCTCGAGTTATGGACATGGTGGATACTGAGGACTTGTGCCCCAGGCATAATCTTTTCTTATGGAAACTCTGCCTTCTGTGGCAAGGAGATTGGCTAGGAGCTTTTCTTCATGTAGTGAGTTTGTGATTTGAATTAAAAGGGAAGGCTGAGAGCAACAGGAGCCCTCATTCATTGCTGATGGGAATGCAAAATGGTACAGTCACTTTGGAAGACAGTTTGGCAGTTTCTTGCAAAGCTAAACATAGACTTTTAACATGATCTCAGAATCACACTCTTGGGTACTTACCCAGTGGATATAAAAACTTTTGTTCACACAGAAACCTGCACATCCATGTATTTAGAACTTTATTCATAATTGTCAAAAACTGGAAGCAGCCAAGATGTCCTTCAAGAGGTAAATGGATCAACAAACTATGCTAACTCATACTCTGGAATATTATTCAGTGATAAAAAGAAATGAGCTCTCTATCAAGCCACAAAAATATGTGATGGAAATAAAGTTTCTAAGAAAGTCTTAAAAAGTTATATATTGTATGATTCCAGTGACATGACATTCTGGAAAAGGAAAATCTATACAGCCAATAAAATGATCAGTGGTTTCCAGGTATCCAAAGGGATGAGGGGAGGAATGAATATGTGAAGTACAGAGGTGTTTAAGCAGTAAAATTATTCTGTATTATACTGTATTGGTGCATGACATTATGCATATATATTATTATCTATTTGTCAAAACCCATAGAATTTTTGTGGCACAAAGAGTGAAGCTTAATGTATGTACATTTTAAAAAATCATTGAGGAAGTTGACGAGTCCCAGGAAGGAGTGCAGACTATGACAAGAGAATCTAACTCTGTTACAAATATATGAAACAACCTCACTGACGGGGACAAGAGGAATGATGCTGACCCAAGTAACTGGTAATTAATGAAATCTCTAAGACTGAAGACAAAAGAAAAGAAACAGCACCTAAGCACTGTGCTCTAGTTGATAAAGCACTGAGTTTATACAAGTTGATAGGTTGTGAACCACAGGGGTATGGGTCAACAGTTCTGATACTGCTATACATGTATATTGGAAGTGAACAATTAAGTGAATGAATAGCAGATGTGGGAGCCGGGTTTATCACTATCGGAGCAGAAATTTACAGATCAGCAAGGATCGGGACCTAGGTGGATTCATGTAGTAAAAGATTACAGTTGGACACATCTTATGAACTCATGTTTAGCTTAATATAGCTATGCATGGTAACATATAGAAGTGTGTATTGACGGCTGGGTGCAATGGCTTATGCCTGTAATCCCAGCACTTTGGGAGGCTGAGGCGGGAGGATCACCTGAGGTCAAGAGGTCGAGACCAGCCTGGCCAATATGGTGAAACCCCATCTCTACTAAAAATACAAAAATTAGCTGGGCATCATGGCGGGCACCTGTAGTCCCAGCTACTCGGGAGGCTGAGGCAGGAGAATCACTTAAACCTGAGAGGCAGAGGTTGCAGTGAGCCGAGATCGCACCATTGCACTCCAGCCTGGGTGACAAGTGAGACTCCATCTCAAAAAAAAAAAAAAATAGAAGTGTGTATAGATATAGATATCAGTTAGCATACATAAGCAAATATTTTTTTGCTGTCAGCTCAGAGGGCTGACAAAAAACAATACCTTGATGGCAACAAGGATACCTAACATCCAGATCTTCCTTTCAAATATCATTTTCCGATAACAGGAACCAGGGATCCTTGGAGAAATGACAGATTCTAGGACTAGGGCAAGAAATATACAAGATAAGCTTGGAGCATCTTGTAGTGCCAGAAGATGAGAAACTGCGCGTGTGTGCGTGCATGCACACACACACACACACACACACGGAAATGCATTGATAGAGGTGTGTCAAGGGAACACAGGAGGCAACCGAAGAAGCTCCCAGTGGTCAATCTGGAACAATTTGAGCAACACGATAAAGTAGTATTGGATTATAACCCAAAGTATAAAATATTTATGAGTCCACACTGATATAAATAAAGTATTGAATAAATCAATAAATAGGAAACAGGAGAGAAATCTCCTGTGCAGAAGAATCCCAAATAATGTATGTAGATATTCCACCCTCCAGGAGGGGGACATAATTCCTTAGTCTCTAGGAATGGACCATGCATAGTGATTTCCTTCCAAAAAGTACAATACTGAGAAGAGGGAAAAAGAGTAACTTTACATACAGAAACCTGACGAACATTGCCCCAGCCAGGTGATCAAGATCAACATCAACAGTCACAAATCAAGCTGATAGTGTGTACCCTTGATATGAAGTGATGTAATGGCACTTTACCTCTGTGGCTTTCCTCCCAATAACCCAACACCCCAGTATTGTCATGAGAAGAACATCAGACAAATTCCAATAGAGGGGGCATCCTATAAAATACCTGACTAGTACTGATCAAAACTGTCAAAGACCTCAAAAACAAGGAAAGTCTAAGAAACCAGCCCAGTTAAAATGAGGCTAAGGAGACACGACAGTGGAATGTTATGTGGTATTCTGGAATAAAAAAAGAGTGTTGCAGAAAAAGTAAGGACATCTGAAAAAACAATGGACTCTAATTAATAGTCATATGTCAATCTTGGCTCATTGATTGTAGCAAATGTTCAATACTGATGTAAGATGTTAATAATAGGGGAAACTTGGTGAAGGGTATATGAGAAGTTTCTGCACTGCCTTTAAACATTTTCTATAACTCTAATACTGTTCTAAAAAATGGTCTATTTAAAAAAAGTGGGGCAGGCATGGTGGCTCATGCCTATAATCCCATCACTTTGAGAGGCTGAGGCAGTAGGATCACTTGAGGTCAGGAGTTTGAGACCAGCCTAGCCAACATGGTGAAACCTTGTCTTTACAAAAAATACAAAAATTAGCCAGGCATGATGGTGCATGTCTTAATCCCAGCTACTCAGCAGGCTGAGGCAGGGGAATTGCTTGAACTCGGGAGGTGGAGGTTGCAGTGAGCTGAGATTGCACCACTGCATTCCAGCCTGGGCGACAGAGTGAAACTCTGTCAAAATAAAATAAAATAAAATAAAATAAATAAAATAAAATAAAAAGAGGGGACAGGCTCGGGGGTCATTAGAGCTACCATCCTGGTCCCTTTCTCTCATGCCCCACTTCCTGGGAGGCTGACAGCTCTTCTTTTTGCCCTCTTTTCCCTTTGGCTAGGACTGCAGGGCGATACTGGCTATACTTGCATCACCCTTCTCTGTGCCTGTAGAAGCTGACCACTATGAATTGTACCAACTGGTCTCCCTTATCTCCCTTCCCTGACTTCTGGTTGGGTTCTACAAATGGTAGGTACTGGCAGTAGATGAAAGTGGAAGAAAGGTTGGGCTAGCTATTCCTCTAACAGCCCTGCTGCTGAGCTGTGGACTTGCAATGATTATGTTGTATTATCTAAGGCCAGAGCTCTGGCTGGGGGTCCTTCTCTGGAGCTGTCCCTCAAGGTTTCCCTAACTCCCCATTCCTCTTGCTCCTTCAGACCTAGGCTGGTAACTGTTGCCATTGCTCCTCTGGATATTTTATCATCACTTATTGGTTTATTTTCTTTTCTTTTTTTTTTTTGAGACAGAGTTTCGTTCTTGTTGCCCAGGCTGGAGTGCAATGACACGATCTCAGCTCACCGCAACCTCTGCCTCCCATCCTGGAGCGATTCTCCTGCCTCAGCCTCCCAAGTAGCTGGGATTACAGATGCACATCACCATACCTGGCTATTTTCTGTATTTTTTTAGTAGAGATGGAGTTTCACCATGTTGACCAGGCTGGTCTCAAACTCCTGACCTCAGGTGACCCACCCACCTCGGCCTCCCAAAGTGCTGAGATTACAGGCATGAGCCACCAAGCCCGGCCCACTTATTGGTTTCTTTTAGCCTTGCCCACACCCTTGTAAGTAGCTCTTTCATTAAACAAGTGCCAATTTCTCCACTTTACTGGACCAGCTTTGTCCTGCTCTGATCCTAGTGATCCTCAGGGTTTCAAGATCTTCATCACCACCAATACTTCCTTATGTGCTTGATCTATCCCCAGCACCCTGCACCCCACCAGACTGTAACCCACACTGCCTCTCCAGGAGACACAAGAGAAGCTTGTCTCCCTTTGGCACCACGGAAGCCTACCCTGACTGCCCTAGTATTGGGAGACCAAGTAGAAGCAGGAGGATGAGAGATGTGCTGAATCTCTCAACATAAACCAATGGTGAAGAGCACTCTACTTGGGAGGCTGAGGCAGGAGAATCAGTTGAATCCAGGAGGCAGAGGTTGCAGTGAGCCGAGATTGTGCCACTGCACTCCATTGCAAAAAAAAAAGCACTCTCACTACTTACCAGGGCCTTTATTTGAAAAATGGGGGTATTGCCCCATTTCTCTCTTTAAAAATTGCTAGTGATAACAAGAATGAAGTCATCAGTAAACCTACAGAAACATGCAATAATAGTTTTATAATCTTTTCTCCTCAGTATAAAAGTAATATAACTTCTAAAGTGGTAAGTTTTTTTTACAATAAGCATGCATTCATATATTACTTTCATAATAAAAAGACTATAAAAATGCAAATAAAAATTATATATGCTTATTATTGAAAATCTGAATTTTTTTAATTTAAAGGAGACAATAATAACGACTCACAATTCTAGAACAACAAAACTGCATGTTAAAACACTTAAAAATTCTCAGTTCAGATACCAGCTCCGTCACTTTTCAGCTGTAACCTTGAACAAGTCACTAGCTCCTCTGAACTTCATCTGTCACAGCTATAAAAAAGGGCCACTAATACCTCCCTTGCAGTATTGTGGCAAGAATTAGAGATAATATAAGCATGGCCTTTAGCACAGTACATATGAATAACGACAGACCTGAGTTTGAATCTCTGCCTTGCTAGTTATAAGCTATTTGGACCCTGGGAAAGTTAGATAACCTTTGTAAGTCTGTAAAACAGGGAGATAAAAATGATAGCTATTTCTAGGATTATATAGGGTAATTAATTTTTAAAAAGAGCTTTTATTTATTTATTATTGATTTACTTGTTTTTTTGAGAATGAATCTCATTTTGTCGCCCAGGCTGGAGTGTAGTGGCATGAGCTCGGCTCACTGCAACCTCCAACTCCCGGGTTCAAGCAATTCTCCTGTCTCAGCCTCCTGAGTAACTGGGATTACAGGTGCCCACCACCATGCCCAGCTAATTTTTGTATTTTTAGTAGAGATGGGTTTCATCATGTTGGCCAGGTTGGTCTCAAACTCCTGACCTCAAGTGATCTGCCCGGCTTGGCCTCCCAAAGTTTTGGGATTACAGGCATGAGCCACTGCACCTGGCCAAAAAAAGAGCTTCTTAGTACAGTGAATTAGAATGTGTCAAACACACTGAATTGAAGCCATTGTCTTCATCTTCATCATCATCATCTTCGTATCTTCATTATCAAAAACAATCATGACCTCAAAGAAGGAAAGCAATGCTGAACTGACCCACCAGGTCTGATCTTACAAATGGGCTAGTTACATATTCAGTGAGACCTAAGGGGCCAAGTTGGACCCTTTCAGTATCCCCAAAGTTACACCTTCACAGAGGTATTTCTTGAGTTCCAGACTATTAAAATGCAGCTGGGGTATCACAGGAGCTTATTCGTTGCTGGGCTTTTAGAAGGACTGCTCCCTCAGGGTATAGGGGCAGGGGGCCCTTCCCAACCTCTAACATTCCCAGACCAAACACAAGCAGGTAAGAATAAACAGCAGCAATAGCCTTAAATTGGAAAAACACAAAGTGCAATTTGGTTGGATTAAGAGGGAAGGAGGAGAGAAATGGAGTTAGAATGTGAGACGAAGAGATGATAGAGGAGGGGTGTTAGAAGGTGCTGCCTTTTTATTTTTATTTCTTTTATTTTTTGAGACAGAGTCTCACTCTATCACCCAGGCTGGAGTGCAGTCATGCGATCTTGGCTCACTTCAACCTCCGCCTCCTGGGTTCAAGCGATTCTCCTGCCTCAGCCTTTCGAGTAGCTGGGATTACAGGCGTGTGCCACCATGCCTGGCTAATTTTTATTTTATTTTATTTTTTATTTTTAGTAGAGACGAGGTTTCACCATGTTGGTCAGGCTAGTCTCGAACTCCTGACCTCAGGTGATCTGTCTGCCTTGTCCTCCCAAGGTGCTGGGATTACAAGCATGAGCCACTATGCCTGGGCGGGGCTGTCCTTTAAAATTTCTCTCAGCAATAGAAGGTTGACCACGTTTTTATTTATTTTATTTAGGTATGTTTGCTTGCTTGCTTAAGAAACTCATATATTGTTTTCTATGAGCTGGGCACTGTTCTAAGCACTTTACAAATATTAAATTTCTTTGAACCATACAAATTTACAAGTATAATCGTTTGGGTATATTTAGGCCTAGGAGTCCCCGGCCTTTTTTCTTTTCTTTTTTTTTTTTTTAAAGCAATAGGCAGATATTTTCTTCTCTCTTTCCTACCCCTCTTCTTTTCTGGGGGTCAGTGAGACAGCATTTGCATGCCCAAGCATATGCCCTTTATTCATTAATTCTTTCAAAACAGACATACTGGAGCCTGGTGCAGTGGCTCACACCTGTAATCACAGAACTTTGGGAGGCCGTGGCGGGTGGATCACTTGAGGTCAGGAGTTCGAGACCAGCCTGGCCAACCCTATCTCTACTAAAAATACAAAAGTTAGCCAGGTGTGGTGGCATGCACCTGTAGTCCCAGCTACTCAGGAGACCGAGTTGGGAGAATCACTGGAACCCAGAAGGCGGAGGTTGCAGTGAGCCAAGATCATGCCACTGCACTCTAGCCTGGAGGACAGAGGGAGACTCCATCTCAAAATAAATATATAAAAATAAAAATAAAACAAAAAAGATGTATTGATAATCTGTTAAGTAAAGGCATAAGCAGCACTAGCCTTCTGGAGCTTATATTCCAATGGAAGGAGCTAGGCAATGAACAATTCGTTATAATTATTCTAGGGAAGTCAGCATTTCAGTTTGAATAAGTTCATCAGATATTCTGTCTGAAAACAAGTTTTGATAGAGGAGAGGGCAGCAAAGACACAAGGTCTGGCTTCAGGGAATCGGGGTGTTTGGAGCACATCAGTTCCAGGGGGACTCAGATGAGGCTGTCAGCAGCCTGGATGGATGTGCCCATCCTACCTTTGCCTGGGGTCAGCTCAGGGTCCCTGCGCCACACCGCAGGAGCTTTGATGTCTCTGAGTCAGTCTTTTCCCAACCTCACTTATGTTTCTTTGGGAGCTCTTGGATGTGGGCTGTGCCCATACAGCCACAAAGCTTGATCCAAGAATCAGGGTAGGGCTGAGCCTAAAGGCCATGCTGTTTCAGAACTTCCTTATCTCTTCATCTCCTGTGGGGACTGTTTCAACAAGCCAGAGGGGAATTGGGGATGATAAATTTTCTTAGGAAAATCATATTAAAGTTCAATTTGTTAAATCAGCCTCCTGATCTTATCAACAGTGGGCACTTGTTCTAGCAGCAGAACCAGGAGGCGATAAATCCTTGAGGCTGAGTCTGCAGATGGTTATCCTAACGGTGCGGATGAAATCAATGGGGATGTCATCTAAGGGAATGTACTCGGGGCTTATATAATACCAGTCTGGTAATATTGCATGGTCAGATTGTAATCATTATTTTCTCGTGGTGTGTGTGTCATTTCAATAACAAAGGTTTCAACATGGTTGAAATTTTCCTCTTTTCCTGGCCAGAGCAGCAGAAACACCTGTTACCTATGTTCCTGTTTTCAACACCCAAATTCAGATGATTTGGGTGTTAAACTGTTTCCTGGAAATTTTTGGAAACAAGACTCGGAAAGAGGTTTTATGCTGCTGGCAATGAACACAAATTCATATAATGTAAGTGCTTTTCAGAGAGCCATTGATGCTGAGGAAAACATCCCAGCTGACTGAGGAACATCAAGTTGGGGAAGCAGCTGCCTTTTGAGAGACTTCCTGAGCAGATGGAATATGAGGTTGAGCAGGTGAATGTTGTTTAGGAAGCAGTCTAGGCGCTGGCATTTGCCACGTTAATTTAGCCATCCAGTGAGTGTTGAGCACATTCTGGGTCCCACGCTCTGTGCTAAACAGAGGAGAGGCTGCCTGAACAAGTCATTTCCTCTCTCAAGCAGCTCAAGACCAAGGGCAAGGGCAGGCAGAGATGGCCAGTCCTGCCATGGCGTGTTTCTGTACAGCCCAAGAACTAAGAAAGGTCATTGCATTTTTTTAATGGCTGAAAAAATAGAAGAATGTTTCATAATCTGAAAATTATATGAAACACAGATCAGTGTCTGTAAGTAAAGTTCTATGCAGCCCTGCTTATGTGTTTATATATTGTCTATGATTGCTTTCTCACAGTAATAGCAGAGTTGAGTAGTTGCAACAGAGACTTAATGACCAGGAAAACCTAAAATATTTTCTATCTGGCCCCTTAAAGAAAAATTTTGCCAGCCATGGTCTTGGGGGACGCACGTGTAAGAGGAAGCTACCTCATAACATGATGCATGCCAAGAGAGTGGTTAATACTGCCAGCTACTTCCTGCCCTCAAGACTCCAGGACAGCAAAGATGGTGAACCGGCCATTAGCAACTGCTAATGCTGTTACAAAGAAGACTGACTGAGCAATGAAGTGGGAGGGGAGGGTGTTTCAAAGAAAGAGAAGGTGGGGCTGGCTGGTCATGATTAATGTACAATGCGCAAGAAGACATCAAAACAGTGAGAGCTGCAGGGGAAGTGGATTAAGGAGGAGACTGACCTTGGTTTGGGTTTCTTTGAAGTCAAAGCCTGAGATAAGAGCTTGAGTATAGGAAGGTTATTTGGGAAGTAAGCTCAGGAGCCAGGAGTGAGGAAGTGGAAAGAGTAAAACAGGAAGGGAGAAAAGCTAATAAAGGGTCTGTTAATGATTGGTTACTGCTTTGGGCAACTGGGGCTCAGTCCTGGGAACCCTCAGAGGAACAGCGCAGAACTAGGATAGGGGAGCTGGAGTGTTTGCCCACGGATCTTTTACCATTGGTTAAGCCCTCATTACCTTTTCTGCACTTCCAGGTTGCACCTACAGGTGGCTGCTGAGTGCCTTTTGAACTTCAGAGGAAGGCTTGTGTGAGCAAGGCAGAGACCTTATGTTGGAGATGGAATGCTGCAAAATGCATGGAACTGTCCACCACCACTGTGCTGAAATCAAGTGGATCAAGGAGATGTGGCACGTTGCATCATGACCATCTGCTGCAGAGATGTCCACGCAGCTGAGTAGGAGTAGGATTGAACTTTGGCCTCAGGCTGTGATGCATGCTGTTGGACTGATCCCTTCTGCTGCTGCTACTCAGATCCCCTGGCTGGACTTGCAGCTCCTGGGGGAACACATGCCTCATGTCCTGGAAAGAACACAGTTCTGGAGTCAGAGGCCATCATTTCATCTGGGCTAACTGTGTCTTGGTCCCTGACTAATATTGGTAAGCCATTTATCTTTGCCAACTAGAAAAGAACTGTCCTTCTTAACTCATACATTTGTGATGAGGACTAAACATGTTTCAAGCTTTATAAAAGAACAGAGTACCATATAAATACATTATTATTGTTGTTGTTGTTGTTATTATTATTACTCTGTTCCCCAGGCTGGAGTGCAGTGGTGCAATCTCAGCTCACTACAACCTCCATCTCCCGGGTTCAAGTGATTCTCCTGACTCAGCCTTCCAAGTTGCTGGGATTACAGGTGCGCACCGCCACACCCAGCTAATTTTTTGTGTTTTTAGTAGAGACGGGGTTTCACCATGTTGTCCAGACTGGTCTCAAAATACTGGCCTCAGGTGATCCACCTGCCTTGGCTTCCCAAAGTTTTGAGATTACAGGCATGAGCCACCGTGCCTAGTCTATTAATATTTTTTTATTTCTATCAGATGCCCCCTCACATTTCTTCTCTGTAATGCAGAAGACTTTTCAGAGAGTCTTAATCACCCATCAGCAACTTGTCTAGAGCCCCGATCTGTGTGCATTTAGTGCTTCTCAGTAGTTGAAGTTTGCTTCTGTGGATTAGATGAGTTTGCTTGGCTCCTGGATGTGTCTGATGACCCACTGGATACATCAGCATTTCCCCACCTCTTTGTCAATCAGTTCAGCTTCCAGGCATCAAGGAACTGCAAGCATCATGAAAAACTGTAGGAAGGTTGCTGTCTTCAAGAAAAGCAGTTAAACCATTAGCCAGGATTTTTCCTTAAAATTTAAAAAAAAAATGAGGAAGGAATGGGACCTCCCTGAGCCCAGCACCTCATTGTTTTCTGAAAAAAAGAGTATGTTTGGGTGGCAGATGGTAAACCTCTTCACGTTACAGGTATCTCACTTCCCTGGGACCATTGAAAAGACACTTTTCATATTTCCAAGCAGTTGATTTTTGATTGTGTTTGCTACTTGTGCAATATCTGGGGAGAAAAGAATATTTTTTCCTTTAAATATATGCAAAGTTTTTTACTCTGATAGATGGCAGTGTTCATCAAAGGGAGAAATAAACAGGGAGAGGGGGAAGGGAAGGGAAGGAAGGGAGAGAGAGGAAGGGAGGAGAAACAGACAGAGAGAGCAGTGAGCCATCTCAGGATATCATCCATACCCTGGGCTGTCAAAAAAGAGGCAGGAGCAGAGAGAAATGATAGCAATAGAGGATCGTCAACATCTGGAATTCAACGCTCATCACTTCTTGGTTCAGTCTAGGTGAAAATGTTGTGGAAAGATCTATTTTGCTTAAATCTACTTTTACAACAGCCGAGAGGCACTATGTGTAACCAATTCCATTTTAGAGATAAGGGAAGTGAGTACCTAGTGTCCTATGATAGTGGTGCTGGAGTGAGAATTCAGGGATGTCCGCTCTCTGAGCCAACTTTGCCTTGAAACAGTTTGGTTTCCTGAAGTCCCTTTCTGCCCCTCCTTTGCCAGTTCATCCCTCCACTTCAACAGCATTTTCTTCCTCAAGGAAATTATGAGCAGTAGTGCTCAGGTTTTGCCATTTAGAAAAAGAACTTTTATAAAAAAAGTGAGGCCCTCACATTCTGGAGTTAATCCTCTAAGTTTCCCTCTTGTTTTAAACACTGATGGGCAGGGATATTCACTGTTCTTAAAGAAAAGCACAGATCAAAGGCAATGGTTAAACCCACAGTTGCAGATCTGCTGTTTGAAAGATTTTTCCCACCATTGCTGTATTTGGAATTTGCAGTAAGCAACACGTCTTATGTCAATTGCTTCATATTTCTTTCATGCTCTGTATTCATGAGAATTTGACCATCTAACAGATATGTTTCTGCCCAATCACAGAAGTCAGTTTAATATCCTTATTTCTCCTTAATAAAGGCCCTAAAACAGAGAAAGGGCAAATGACTTTTCTTATTCTTTTATCAAAGTCATTATAGGAGTATTTGGAGACATAACTTTGGAGTTCCCTCTTCTATTTAGGCCTACTAACATACATAGTCTAGTCCCGGGTATACATGACTTAAAAATATATATATTTTAAATACCCTCAATCCCACCTTTCAGAGGTACCCTTGCCTTTCCTCTCTCTAACTTGCACTACTTTTTTTTTCAGAGGCAATGAATGCAGAGTATAGCTCAGCCCCATCCTGGTTGAGAAATTTCAAACATACCAGGAAAGTAAAAGATACGAGAGCCTTAACAAGGTTGTAAATATACATGAAGTCATCCTCTGCCTTTCTTCTTTCCTTGAGGCTATGATCTTTGCTACACGGGCTACAATCTGAGTGTGGAGTGCTAATTGCCAAATTGACTTTACTGAGAAACAAAACAGAAGAAAATAGAACTTAATTTTCAAATGTCAGTTAAAAACCCATATTAAGTGCAAGCAATATAAAAGACAAAGAAAACAAAAAGGGAACATCGAACCCCACTGAAACATACTTGGCAGGGAAAAGCATTGCCTCAACTTTTCCCTGCTCAGATTTTAAGGCCTCTTCAAGAGGACTCTTGGATGACTCTGAAATTAAGGTACAGACCAATTTAGCCAATCCAAGGAAAGCAGAGAATAAACAATTGAAGTGAGAAGGTCCCGAGGTCCTAAGTATGTCTGGCGATCTCTTCTACCACTCCTTGACTCTTTGGAGCACACCCTGACAGTGACTCATTTGCAACTGGTCCATGTAGGTAAGCCTTAACTTTTCTACCCTCCAATCCCACACCTGCAAGTTCAACACCTGGAATGTGAGAGTTGTCACAGGATGGGCACTCCAGGAATTAGGGGATTTACTGGGAGGGCTCTGGGGATTGATACAAATGAAAGAGAAGAGACTTCCAGTAGCAAGATTGGGCCAAAGGAGAAGTAGAGCTGTGAGGCAGGCTCAACAATGGTTTTGGCTAACACTATGGGGAGCTTCAGAACTTCCCCTGTTGGTGCAAGAGAACTTGGCTTTTAAGCTCCCTGTGGATCAATCACTGGATGCTGATTGCTGTGGGAAGGAAGCATGACACTGAGCAAGGTGGCTCTCCAGCAATTTATAAAAGGGGCTGACAGCTGCCTACAGCTCTTAGCAGCTGGGGCAACAATTCCTCCTTTCTTAAAGGAGGATCTAAGTGATACATCACAGCATCCGTCGCAAGGACACTAAGACAGACACTGATAATTCCAGCAAAAGAGTAGAAATCAGATGAGAAAGGGGAGCCCAGCAGACCCAGATTCCCTAGTGCCTCCAGCCCTTCCAGATGGTCCATTGGCAGGAAGCTTGCTATACAAATCCATCAGGCTCTGGAAGATGCAAGACAAAAGCTGAGAGGTAAGCTTAAATCTTCTTTTTGCTGGTGGCTGCATGGCCCGACTCTGATACAAAGGCAATGTCCACTAGCAACAGGGAAGCCAGAAACAGCTCCAAAAATTGATTCTACAAAGGAAGGACGTGATTCAGAGTAAGCTGTTGTCTTCATTGTCTCTAAGGAACCTGTGCTTTCAAAGCTCAGATTGGTTTAACTCAACTACCTTGGAATGTGGTAAGCAGCAAAGGCAAGTTCACCAAGATTTCAGTCATGTTATAAGGGCTGAGCCATGCTGGGCATTGCTCTCTCAGTGACTCTTATCAAAATAAGGATGACTCAGATTCTTGAGTTAGCTTCTCTGAAAGCCTTCTACTTGCAGCAACTGGAGCCTGAATTCCAGTATCAACAAGGCAATAGATGCTCATGAAATGGGACTAACCCTAGAATGAGAAACAGATCCACAGAGAGAAAGTCTGATCATTCCTAGGTTTGGCTATCCTTTTCCAGCTCTTCACTCCAGCATTTTAAGCTTGGCCTGCATAAGGAGACCTGGGGCCTGGAATGAAGCTCTGGTCTCAGGGAGCTCCAAGTGAGATGATCATGGTTGAAGAAGGTCCAAATGAAGTCAGGTGTGGAGGACTGACCTGCTATTTTCCGGGATGACCTTTTGAGTCATGAAAAACCAGGGAGTTATGAGCCAAATGGCAGGCCTTATCTATTTGGATCATCTTGATTTTAGAAGGTAAGTTTCTATATCATATCTCTGTATAGAGTCTTCCCATTCATTTTTTCAACAGTCAACAGACATTTTTGTGGACCTCCTTGGAACTAGGCATTGCATTAGGAAGTGCAGCCTATGGAAGGTTAATGTATGGCTCTTTCCCTTGAGGAAATCACAGTGAGCTTTACAGTGGTATTTCCTGGAATCATTATGTCAACCACAGTGTGGGGTGGGGCAAGATTAGGTTAGAGTAAAAAGGATAATCAGGGACCAGTCTCAAGCCCAAATGACCTTGACTACTTGATATGAACTCCCAGAGTTTCTGCTGGGCCAAGAGGCTTGCCCTGAACCTCAGACTTTTTGACTGGGGTCTCATCCTATTTGGCACTTGTGAAATCCTCCTGCTGGCCCCACACAGTGGGGGATCCAAGCAATCCACCTGCCTTGGCCTCCCAAAGTGCTAGGATTACAGGCGTGACCTGCTGTGCCTGGCTTATTTTTAACTGTGATGTTTTTATTATTTGTATGGCTTCTTCCAACTGAAATACCTTTTTTTTTTGTTTTGTTTTTTTGAGACAGGATCTCCCTCTGTTGCCCAAGCTGGATCAGAGTTCACTGCAACCTCTGCCTCCCAGGCTCAAGCAATTTTCCCATCTCAGCCTCCTGAGTAGCTGGGACTACAAGTACGGGCCACCACACCCAGATAATTTTTTTTTTTTTTTTAAGAGACGGGGTTTTGCCATTTTGCCCAGGCTGGTCTTGAACCCCTGGGCTCAAGCAGTCCTCCCTGCTCTGACTCCCAACGTGCTGGGATGACAGTTGTGAGCCACTGTGCCTGGCCCCAGCTGAAATCTTAAAAGGGACCCAATGCTATATTTGCAGTTATGGTTCTAAGCCATGACTTAGGCCTGGAGGAACTCCTGCAAGGGAAACCGTGCAGATGAAATGGGACAGCCACCCGGGCTCAGTCATATCTTGTCACGGGGTAAAATATGCTTTTCCTTTTAAGTATTCCTTTCTAGAGTCTCTCTCTCTCTCTTTCTCCTTTTTGCTATGGATACTTTCAAACGCACAAAAAATAAAAAGAAAGAAAGAAAGAAAAAAGAAAACACGGAGGGGATGCTCTAATCAACCTCCTATGTACCCATTACACATATCCAACAGTTATCAATATTTTGCTAACCACGTGAAACTTGCTGTTGGTGCCTAATTTCTCCCACATGTAGAAATTAATCACCAACATCTATTCTTGCTAACAGTGGATGGTGATGCTAGTGAAGACCTTGCTCTTTAGCCCCAAAATACCTTCTGTGAGAGCCTCAAAACACACCATTTCATCATTTTCAGTCCAAGAGATTAATCAAAACATTGAAATTTTCCAATCTGGCATTCCCATCTCCAAGATTGCCCACAAATCCAAATGTGATAAGGCATAACCATATCGCACTTCTTTCTTTCCCCCCAAGTCCTGTCATATTATGCAGTATGAAATAGTTTGAGATTAAAATGACAAATTAACTGTTAACTGCTAAATATTTAATGTCAAGAAAAAGCTGTTTAAAACCCATAAAAATGCAGGCAATAAATCTCAGTAGGATCGTGGGGAAATGTTATACTAACTTAGATTTTGCAGTATCTTAATATTGTCTTATATCAGGCATTTGCCAATTGGAGAATGCACAGTGCATTTACTGCATAAATTTATGAACATGTTCAGTAACCCCATTCATTTTCTCTCTGTTGTTTTCTCTTGGCATTTATAGCAACTTCAGTTTGTCACTGTGCAAGGATAAGTGACTTTTTAATTTTTTTTCTTCCAGCTTTGGCCCTTGTTTAGTGGAGTATACTCATGGCCAGCTTGCTTTTTTCCCCATCATCCTCAAAAAAGTTAGGTTGATTTTTAAACATGTAAGTGACAGAATTTGAGCAGGACCAGAGAGGAGCTAGAGCCCAGGGGTGGGAAATTCTCACTCCCCAACTCTAGCCAATAATTCACTCTCAGAATCCGAGTGGCTACTTTTAATGCATTCTACTCGGGATGCTGTGAGGGTAATACTGCTTTTCACAAAGCAATTCTCGAGATATAGAGGGAGTTAATGAAGTAATAATGAGGTGAAAATGCCTGTGAGTTATAGAATGTTCCTTGGATTACAGTGGTAATAAATGAATGTGGATAAAATGAGAGCTTTTGGGCCTTTGCTCATGTTGTCTTCACTTCCTGGACTACTTAATCCCCTTCTTCTTTGCTTATTTACAGGGATGCCGTATACAGTTAAACAGTTTGTGCACTGCACAGCTCCAGGGCTGTATTTACACAGACCACAATGTGATCGGCTATCTAATCCCTCACATGCTTCCTCTGGGAGGTCTTTTCTGATCCTCTCACAGTCCACGGGACTCTCCCTTCAGTGGACACTCAAAGATGCTACCAGACGCGCCTCTGACCCCAGTCTCCAGAAAGGACCACGCCCTCCAGAAGAATTCTCACTGGTGAAATCTGAAGACCCTAGATGAGCTGCCAAGGGTGAACCAAGAAGGGGGCTTTAACTCCTCAAGTAAAACCCAGTCCCCTCAGTGATGTTGAACTACCCATAGAAAAACCACATCGAGGCCAGTTGTGGTGACTCAAGACTGTAATCCCAGCATTTTGGGAGGCTGAGGTGGGTGGATCACTTGAGGTCAGGAGTTCGAGCCCAGCCTGGCCAACATGGTGAAACCCTGTCTCTACTAAAAATACAAAAATTGGCCTGCCGTGGTGGCGTGTATCTGTAGTCCCAGCTACTTGGGAGGCTGAGGCAGGAGAATCACTTCAACCTGGGAGGCAGAGGGTGTAGTGAGCTGAGATTGCACCACTGCACTCCAGCCTGGGCGAAAGAGTGAGACTCTGTCTCAAAAAAAAAAAAACAAGAAAAGAAAAACCACATCGAGGTGGGCCAGGGAGGACCCAGCCATTGCCACAGAGGTGTTCAAATGCAACCTCCTCTTGCATATGAAGGGAGATCAGCTGACAGTTTAGCTTGAAACTCTCAGGATACCAGAATTCCCTACTTAGGAGCTGGGGCCAGAGCCAGCCATGTGCATTTGTTCAGGCTTCAGACATCCTTCCTTAGGAGCCATCAGGAACTGGACTTAGTTGAGCTGCGACTAAATTTCATCTTGCTTCGAACAAGAGACTGCAACCTTCCCATTAATACCACTCAGGCCCGAGCCAGAATCCCCCTGTAGCTATGACCTGCTCACTTGATTACCCACTCAGCCTGGTTGGTACAACACCCCACCCCCATCACTGCTCCTGGCCCACCCTCTAGGACCATAGACAGCCCAGGACAAAGCAGCTGTACTAATAGTATGAGACACCGCATATGTTACCTGTGAAATCTAGTATATATCACACTCCACCACCTCAGTCTGGTGGACAGAGG